>NC_000021.9:38914030-39581595 GCF_000001405.40 Homo sapiens | reverse complement strand
GGCCAGGACACTAAGTAGCCAGCAGGGGCAGTAGCATCAAATACCTCTGCCACCTCCTCCCAAGAGTTAGGTAACTGTCCCTAGGCCCACTTGCCCACCTTGCATTTATGTTGTCATTTAAAAAGCATCAGAAAAAAAAGGAACAGCTTATTGCTAAGTCTTTCAAAATCAACTCCATGTTAAAGAAAGCACACTCAGTGAGGCAGGACATAGAGGCAGCAGGCAGCAGCTAGGACTGCACTGGCAAAACTAGGCCAAGTAGAGCCCATTTCTGCTCAGATCGGCTCGCTCCCTGGACAGCCTTCAGGTCTAAAGATGACAACATGGCCCTGTTCTGACTCAAATCCATTCATCCAACAGGCTTCCCTAGGACACAGGCCTTCAGGCTACACTCAGCTGAGTTGGCTGTCCTTCCAGATCCCCCAAGAGTCAGTTCCAGAACCTGCACCCTCACCAATGTCCCCACAGCTATGGTCCTGCCAGGGCAAGAAACCAGCCTGAGCTGTCCTTCCCTTTGGCAATGTCTGGGAATCCCACCTGCTTGGTCCCAGGACTGATTTAATCCATGGCAGTGCTTGGCCAGACACACCACAGCTCAAACACCTCAAGGAAAAAAAAAAGTTACAGAAAAGCAAACTGCAACCCTCCCTTGATAAAGTGCAGGAAGTATTGTACCATATCAATTTAGATAACATGTAGATTTGTCAAGGACAGAGAGGAGATAATAAAAATGAATACTAGTAAAGTGGGAGAAGCCCTATAAAATGAATCTAAAGATGACGCCCTTCTGTTTACAATCTCATAACCTCAGGTAAGCCCCTCCGACAGCCTTGGACCAAAGGGTCATGTGCAGGTTCACTGAGAAACAGGACTGGCACACAGTGGCCTTCAACAAGTGATGGATGGATGAATGAATGAGTGCAGGATAGGCTGAAATCCCGAGCGGAAGATGTGAAGCCATAGGTAGAGATTTATTTGAATCCTTCATTGGTAACTAAAATCTTAAGATCAGTCACGGCATATAGGGTTAAAACCGAAAAGAGCAGTGTTTTAGTCCATTCTCATGTTGCTATAAAGAAATACCGAGACTGGGTAATTTATAAAGAAAAGAGGTTTAATTGGCTCATGGCTCAGCAGGCTGTACAGGAAGCTTGACAGCTTCTGGGGAGACCTCAGGAAATTTTCAGTCATGGCAGAAGGAGAGCAAGAAGCAGGTGCACGTTTTACATGACCAGAGCAGGTAGAAGAGAGAGAAGGGGGAGCTACCGCACACTTTTAAATAACCAGATCTCACAATAACTCGCTCATTGTCACAACCAAGGGCGATGGCACTAAACCATTCATGAGAAAACTGTAACCACCCAATGAGTTCACCTTTCCCGCTGCCCAGACAAGAGCCAATTTATCAAGACAGGGGAACGGCAGTGGCGAAAGAGTAATTCACTCAGAGCCGGCTGTGCGGGAGACCGGAGTTTTATGATTACTTAAATCCGTCTCGGGGATCAGAGTTTTTAAAGATAATTTGGCGGAGAGGGGCTTGGGAAGTGAGAAGTGCTGATTGGTCAGGCCGGAGGTAGAATCAGAGGGAGTTTTCTTAATGTCCTCTGTTCCTGGGTGCGACGGCAGAACTGGTTGGGCCAGATGACTGGTCTGGGTGGTGTCAGCTGACCCACCAAGGGCAGGATCTGCAAAGTATCTCAAGCCCTGATCGTAGGTTTCACAATAGTGATGTTATCCCCAGGAGCAATTTGGTGAGGTTCAAACTCTTGGAGCCAGAGGCTGCATAACCCTTAAATTGCAATTTCTAATCTTGTAGCTAATTTGTTAGTCCTGCAAAGGCAGACTAGTTCCCAGGCAAAAAGGGAAAGGGCTGTTATCGATTTTGTTTTCGAGTCAAACGATGAACTGAATTCCGTCCCAAAGTTAGTTCAGCCTATACCCAGGAATGAACAAGGACAGCTTAAAAGTTAGAAGCAAGGTAGAGTCGGTTAGGTCTGATCTCTTTCACTGTCATAATTTCCTCAGTTATAATTTCGCAAAGGCGGTTTCAAAACGCCCCCATGATCCAATCACCTCCCATCAGGACCCGCCTCCAACACTGGGGATTATAACTGAACATAAGATTGCGGTGGGGACACAAATCCAAGCCATATCAGATAGAGTATCTGGCATCTCTTAGGAAGGAGGCAGAAGTGGAGACGTGCCCTTCTGACAGTGGAGTCAGAACCATGCGGAAAGCACCCCTTACACTGCAAATGCCCTGGGGTTTTTATGGGTCTTGGGTGAAAAGCCAAGTTCAGGGATTCCCATGTATTTAGTAAGAAGACTGCTTGCTTTTTTTTTTTCTTTACATAAAAAAAGAGGTCCTGGATCCCTTCACATAATAACATCTGCTGCCTGAGAAGACAAACACTGACGAAAGACCACCTAGATTTTAAAGGAATTTGCACTTTCTGTTTCACAAGGGCCTTTCCACACATTTACACAAAAAATGGAACACAGAGATTCTTTATCCAGGATACTCCCACGGTTGAGGGCACACTGGGATTCCAGAGCCCCTTTTCAGAGCTCTCTGCTCCTCAGGGGTTTGGAAATTCTAGTAAAGTGGAGAAATATCCTGGACTTTGAGTCAGACAACTGATTTTGAAGTTATTTTCTGGTTCACAAAAGCTCTATGATTGTGAGCAGGTTATGTAACTCTCTGAGCCTTGGTTTCTTTATCTGTAAACAGGGAATAATACTAATTCCCTTACAGGTTTACTGTGAAGATTGACTCCAATAACATATGCAAAACAGCAGGCACAGAGTAGGCGCTCAATGAAAGTTAGCATCCTTCCTCTCAACATGCAGGTCACATGTAAATTCACACCCAAAAATGAAAACCTAGGAAAAGAAAATAAATACAACTCTGAATACTTATATCAAAATAATTATCAGATAAATCAACTTTCCTCTATTCCTATTTTTCCCTAGATTAGTTTGGAAATTATTTTCTCTTTCTATCTGTTGGGGCAACGAAGTTCCTCTTCAAAGACTCAACTTTCTGGTCATAAGCTGTATAAGTTGTAAATCAATCCTACCCCCTTTCTTCTTCAAATGCAAATAGCACATTTACCCTTTTTGGAAAAAGTTTAAGTCTTAGCCAATCAGGATTAGCTTAGATTGTGTGGTCCAACCCCAGCCAACAGGAGAAGGACACAGAAACAGGAACTGCGTTAGGATTAAAAACTCCTTTCCTCCTTTGTTCAGTGTGCTTTTGCGATTGTAACAGGCGCAAGCAGCACCCTTCTGCAGAAGTAAAGGTACCTTGCTGAGAAATTTTCTGTCTAAGTGCAGGTTTCTTTTGGCTACGCTGAGTACTTGTTTCCGACATATCCTTTTGCTAGTATCCTTTAAAATTAGACTAGGCATATGTCTATAGACATATACAAAGTCCAAAGTTAGTCCAATCTCTCTCATCCTCCTGAGCAATGCAAAAACATCACAATGTGGACTCCGGTCACCCTTCCCCAGGTCACATGGCATTATTGTCCTGCATTGCATCTTACCTCATTTATAGCCCAAAACTAGTCTTCATTATTTTTATTTTATATAGTCTGTGCTTTTGTCTTTTAGTGGTCTTTTTCATTGAGGGTCTACTACTTTCCATTCATGTTGCACTCACTCTTCAATGATCGCTAGCTGGCTCTAGAATTCTAGATTGATAGTAATTTCTCTCATATATTTGAAAATGCTCACTTGGCATAACAGTTATTAAACACAGGCTTCATCCTCAGAATCCCTGGGATCCCATCGTGACTTTGCCAATTAGGAGCTATCCGACCTTAGCAAATGACTCAAAGTCTCTGTGCCTCAGTTTTCTCATTGGAAACATAAGAATAATATTAGCTCACATCTTATAGGGTTACTGTAAAAATTAAATGAGATAATAAGTGTAAAGCACTTAGAACACAATTCCTTAAATAAGGCTGACTATTATTTTTATTATTACTTTATTGTCTTCTGACTTTTAATGTTTCTGTTGGGAAGTCTGATGGTGCCAAACGTCCTGTGTCTCTTGCATTTAACCTGACTTTGCTCCTCATTACTTTTAGGTAGGACCTTTGTTTTTGGTGTTTTGTGGTTTCATTGCTGTGTGTCTAGATGTTGATTTGTTTTTTTAAATTTATGCTGCTTAGGTCTCATTGTGCTTCCTGAATCTAAGGTTTCATTTCCTTCACGGAAATTAGGAAATGCTCAGCCATTATTTCTTTGAATATTACCTCTATTTCTTCTATTATCTCTCTCTGGAAATTCTGTTACACAACTGTTGGGATCTCTTTCTATCTTCCATTCTATTGACCTTGCCTTTATATTCTCTCTCTCATCTTCTAGATAATTTCTTCACATCTAATTTTTATTTCATTTATTTGGCTCTTTGCTCCATTTAGGTTTTAATTTCAATAGCTTTCTTCATTTATAGAAGTTCTATTTGATTTCTTTGCAATTCTTCTGGCCTTTTTTGTGTCTTTTTTCTTTTTTCATTCCTTCTAATGTCCTTAATGATTTTAAAATAAGTATTTCATGGTGTGTAACAAGTATTCTTTCACCTGAATATCTTGAAAGTCCTATCCTGTGCTGATGTGCCTGCTGACATTCCTGCATGGTGAATTCATTCTGCCATTTCTAACTGTGAGCTCATCTCAGTGGAGCTCTCTCTGTAATTATGCTGTGTGGTCTCATTTAAGAGTGTGTCCCCACAAAGCTGTTTGTTTCTGCTAGACACCCAGGGAAATTATCAGCCTAGACCACCTCGGTTCGTTGCTCAGCTGGATGGGTTGGTGGCTGTCAGACTCTGCAGGTAGAGCAAATGCAAGCCCCACCCCTACCTGAAGGCAGGTGAACACCCAAAGCCTGAGCCACAGCAGACATGCTTCCTTGTCACTTGCCCTGGTGGGCAGATTATTCTTCTAATCTGCCCTTTTATAGAAGATGCAGCAATCTGTGGGTCCTGACCTGATATAAATGTTTTCAGTTCCAGGTTTCTACCATAAGCTGTCCCAACACGATGCTCCTTTCCCAGCATGGGTATTAAAATCTAAACCCCTTGGTTAGGAAGATGAGCAAATCTCCCAAGGCAATAGCAGCATCATTCCTCTCTGACTGCTCTGTTTCTTAGGTCCTGCTCTGTTTTGGCCTAAAGGTGTCCCTCACTTTCTTGCAAGTGGAACTTTCCTTTAGAAGAAACTTGGTTGTATTTTATCTATTATTTCTAGTTGTTTTGTTTTGTTTTGTTTTCTATGGCAAAACTATTGTTTTGCTATAAAAAAATAACAGTTTTGGGGTATGTGGATTACATCATTGATAAAAATAGAAGTCCTAATCTGTGTATTTTTTAAGTTTTTAAAATTTAACATTAAATTCAAAAAGAATACCAAAGAACTCTTTAGAGACTTAAGCTACTTTTTTAAACCACAGAATTTGAATACATTTAATACAATGACATTATTCTTATTATGACTTCTAAGCTAATCATGGAAGCAAGGGAATGTTCAAATTTAAATTTCCTCTTACTGAAGCTCAAGGAAAGCTCAAAAACTTTCCTGAGTCAGCATCCTTTTCTCAAAAGCTTAACTGCCTGCACCAACACCTTACCAAGGCCAGTGAGTAAGAGAGGAAATATGCCCATATGTTTCCCTTGTAGGACTGCCAAACTGTTATTCTCTTCCATTTGTGGGCTAATTAAGCACCATGATTTCATTCTATTAAATATAACAATGCTAAATTTATATAATATATATATATGTGTGTGTGTGTGTGTGTGTGTGTGTGTGTATTCAGAACACTTGATAACACTTCATATACTGCCAATTTTCCAATGCCTATATTCACACTTAAAATCAATTTTTCCTATTTCCTTTTTTTTCCAGTTAACTCCTTGCTAGGAACATAGGAATACATTTATTTCTAAGTGGAATTTTTCCCTAATACATGCCTTAGGATTCTCCTTCTTCTATTTTGACATTCTTTAAATCTGGACTTTGTTGAAATCACTCTATCAGAATGTGAGCTCCTAGAGGGCAGGGACTTGTCTTCTTCAGCCCTATAACCTTTGCCATATAGTTTGTGCTCAGCAAATATATGTTGAATAAATGAAAGAACCTTTGAGCTTTTCCAAATTAACTTCCCTCCCAAAGCTGGAATTCTTTTTAATAGAATCCCCACAACCCAAACTTTGCCTAAATACTTCTAACGACACAGAGCTTTCCACAGCAGGAGGAAGCCTGTTCCACTCATGGCTACACCTGGTTATTTACTTGGTTTGGGTTTTTTTACTTGAATCACTCTACCCCTACACCTGTTCTACATGGGTCCCAGTTTATTCTTCTGTGGTAATGTTCCGCTATGGTGTGAATGTTTAGGTCCCTCCCCCAAAGTTCATGTGTTGAAATCCTAACTGCCAGTGCGATGGTATTAGGAGGTGGGACCATTGGGAGGTCATTAGGGTCATGGGGAGGGTGCTCTGATGAATGAGATTAGTGTCCTTTTTAAAGAGGTCCCAGAAAGCTGCCTTGCTCCTTCCATAATGTGAGGACACAGAGGAGAAGGTGCCCTTTATGGACAGGAAGCAGGTCTATACCAGACACCAAGTCTGCTGGCACCTTGATCTTGGATTTCTCAACTTCTAGAACGGTGAGAAATAAATGTCTGTTGTTTATAAGCCACCCCGGTTATGGTATTCTGTTCTTGTTATAGCAGCCCAAATGGACTACGACATGCTCCCCAGGATTGTACCTGATTCTTCATGGTAGCCTGTAAAAACACAACTCCCTTATCTTATAATAGATTCTTCGAGCTGTGCACGATCTTAGGTTTCATCCTAGAAATTGGGATTTTTTAGAATTTCCTCCACAGATTTGGATGCGGTTGATTCATGGGCCAGCACTAATGCATCACTTTATTCTGGCAACAAGTTCACCCCAAACTTCTCTCCTCCTCAGTTAATTGTTTCTCATTCCTGTAACCAGTCCTGGGCTTGGTCTAATCTGGGCATCCCTTTGGAAAATATGTCACCCCCATAAATGGATGTACACTCTAAGTGCTGTCGGCCCACCCAGGCAACGAAGGAAACGATGTGACACAGTTTTTCTATCAATGTGGCCTGAGCATTTCCGTTGCCTTATGTTTTGTCCCATTTTTAACTTATTGTCAGTTAAGTCTCCAGTTCTTTCTCATAAGCATAGCACATGCAGTCAGGGAAAGAAAACTAAATGCAGAAATTTTCATTTACTCTTTTTAAATTTTAAAATGATTTTTGGTCAATGTTTCAATATTTAGATCAATTGAAAATACTATACATTCCAAGCAAATGACAGAGATGAATGACCCAAAATAAGCCTAGACCTAGACTCAATACCACATATCTTAGCTGCTTGATTCGGAGCCTGGAAAAGAGAATTTGGAAGAAGCAAGTGAATGGACATAAGGGAGATCTTTCAATCCCATGTCAATGCCCCAGGGAGAGAATTCACCATGAAAAGGGCACTAAACAACCAAGTGGGCAGAATGACCTGGCCAGTTACTGTAGCCAGCCTCTGTCACCAGCCACACTAGCAGGCTCCTGAACAAAGGAGTCATAATGGCAAGGGTGGAGGTTACGCATGAGTCCAAACGCATGGGCTCCTATTCACCAGCTGATCTAACTACTGCTACTACCCAATGTCCAATTTGCAAGCAACAGAGACTACCTCTGAGCCTCCAAGATACAATCATCCCTGGAGAAGACTAACAAGACACGTCTTTGCAAGTTAATTACATCAGACCCCTTTCTGATGCAGCAATGCATCTTAATGGAAACCAACACATTTTCTGAGTATGGTTTTGCCTTTCTTGCCTAGAAAGCTTAGCCGGCATCACAGTCTGATAAAATTTATAAAACTATACACACACACACACACACACACACACACACACACACACACTTTTTTATCCACCAACTAAACAGCCTACATAACATTGCATATTGTGGGTCAAGAGACCCACTTTACAATAAAAGAAGTGTAGCAGTGTATACCTGAGCATGCAATCCCTTGGTCCTATCATATAACACTACACATGGAAGCTGCTAATTTAGTGAAGGCTTGGAATCACCGTTTGAAGATGCAACTGAGGCATCAGCTTGGAGGTGATAACCTGCAAAGATGAACCACCATCCTCCAGGAGGCAGCCTAAACCCTTCATGAAGGACCATCATATGGTGGTTTGTCTCCAATAAGCGGTCACAAGAACAAAAGGGGGAGGACAGAGTGGCCCTGCTCCCCATTACTCTCCGCGATCTGCTTGGGAAATTTGTACTTCTCGTGCCCACACACTCCAGGTGCTGTGGGTATAAGGTCCTAGTTGACAGAGAGGGAATGCTTCTTCCAGGGCACACAGTAAGAGTCCCATTGTGGTTTTTGCCCACTCTCTTTAAGCTTCTTGTGACAAGAGACCAACCAGACAGGAAAGTATTTCCCTCCCAGCAGGGGCCATTGACCCTGCTCGTTGGGGTGGGTAAGACTACTGTCATGAGTGGCAGTAGGGAAGATTACATTGGCACCCAGGTGATCCACTGCGTGTCTTTTGTTACACCCCTGCCCAATCTTGACAACAAATGTCCAAGTGTAGTTCTGTGTTAACATGGTAGCCAGGTGTTCAGACTCCTTAGGGATGAGGGTCTAGGTCACCCCCATGAGGTCAGCCACTTAGACCAGAAGTGCTACTCAGCCAAGGGCGGGGAATACAGAACGTGTAAGGGTAGAGGGAGAAGATGAGTGTGCGCTGTGACTTTGAGACGAGTTTAGCAATAAAGACTACAGGACTATAGGGCTCTCCTGAGTTTCCCTAGGAAAGATTAGCCAGAATGCTGGTGCAGCTGTTTAATTAAGCATGATTATGTGCTGCTACATCATCTGTTAGAAAAAAGGGGGAAAAGATACTAACTTGGAGCATTTGCCAATTACCATGGTGTAAAAATTTCCTCCATAGCCTATTTCAAGCTACCAATGGCTTAACAACTGTCCTGCAAAATTCCTGAAAAGTCTAACAATCTGCTGTCACAATCTGTTACAAGCTGGTTTCAGCACACCTTTGAAAGCACATTGCTCTGTGAAGGGAGTAGATCTGAGTCGATCTGGAGTAGATGCTCCAGGAATGTGAGATAGTAGATGCTGTCGCGTACTTCCTGGGTTCCCTACCCTACCCTTTTCAGCATTGAGCCGTCCAGGAATTGCCCTTGGCAAAGGAAGCTGCCTTTCCTAAGGTTTTGCTGGGACCGCCTGCATCTGATGAAGCGGGTGGAGTGGGGACAAAGGCTCAGCCCCCTTGCCTCAGTGGGATGGCTCTCAAGGGCCATCCTAGCTCCAGGGCTCCTAGCAGGATCCACTGATGGCCTGCGTTCAACCAAGGGCAACTCAATCACAGTTTACCTTCCCCCTCCACCCAATCATATTCCTCTCACCCCTCAAAAGAAAATATTCTTCAATAAGTCCCCAGCATGCAAAGCTCAGAGGCTCAGAATCTGATTCCCAGACCTACAAAAATTAAGAAGACATATTTTTGGCAAGAATCATCAAAATAGTGAAGAAGAGAAAGACCAAGAGAATGAGAGAGAAAATATATAAATAAATATAATATAAAATAAAAAGGGGACATAACTACAGGCAAAATGAGATTTGAAATAGTGTAAGAACACCCATATACTAATAAATCTGGGGACCTAGGTTAGAAAGGATCTATTTCTAGGAAAATTGGCTGTTTACTCTGCTGATAGTTTATTTTGCTTTTACAGAAGCTCCTTAGTATAATCAAGTCCCACCTGTCTATTTTCAGTTTTTTGCAATTGCTTTTGAAGACACTTGGGGTGCAGCAGGGGAGCTGTGCCTGCCCAGGATGGGAAAGGTTCACTTGGGGTGCAGCAGGGGAGAAAGATACACAAATACCAAACCTGGCACCAGGAAAAAAAGACAAATACAGAGTAAATGTTAGAGAAACTGATGTAGTGGTCAAAGATCTCTGCTACCAAAAGACCTCCAGTCTCTGACAATTTTCCTTGTTAGATCTCCCAAACATTCAAGAAACCATTAATTCCTAAGTTATCTTGTCTTAATCTAAGATGTTCACAAAATATTAAAAGAGCAAAATAAATCGGACACACTCACTTTAAGAGAGATAATGTAATCTTAATTCTAAAACCAGAAAACAACAATGCGAATTACACACACACACACACACACACACACACACACACACACATCTATATTTGCAAACTCATTTTGTTCTTTATTTTACTAAATCATTTATTTAGCAAAAATTCTAAATAAAATATTAGCTAGCTAAATCTAACTCTATGTACTTTTGAAAAATACAATGTGACCAAATAGAGTTTATTCTAGGAAAACAAAGAAAAATCTGTCAATGTAATTTACAACATTCATAGACTAAAAGTACGTACAATCTCATGACCATTTCAATCAGGAATGACAAAGTATTTGACAAGTTTCAGTGTATATTTTATAATTTAAAAGGTCTCTGGAATAGAAATCAGTTTCTTAAACTTCATAAAGCTTGTATACCAAAATGTTACAGCAAACATCAAGGGAGAGATGCTAGAAGCACTTTAAAATCAGGATAAGACAAGGATGTCCATGATACCACTTCTGCTCATTCTAACAAGGAAGGAAACAGCAACCCCAGATATAGGAATTGGGAAGGAAGCAACAAATCTGTCATTTTCTGTACCTTCTAAGAAATACAAACAGAATCAGGGGACAAATCTCTTGAACTAATGAGTGGGTTCAGAAAGAGCGCCAGAAACGAGCTTACCCAGGCTGGACTCAGTGGCTCACATCTGCAATCCAAGCACTTGGGGAGGCCGAGGCAGGAGAATTGCTTGAGCGCAGGGGTTCGAGACCAGCCTGGACAACATGATGAAACCCTGTCTCTACTAAAAATACAAAAAATTGGCTGGGCATGGTGGCGTGCATCTATGACCCCAGCTACACAGGAGACTGAGATAGGAGGATCACCCGATCCTGGGAGATCGAGGCTGCAGTGAGCCATGATCACGCCACTGCACTCCAACCTGGGCAACAAAGCGAGACCCTGTCTCAACAAAAACAACAACAACAGCAAAAGAAATGAGTTTACCCTGCAAAAATGCAATGACATTGCAACTAGAAAACGTTGTCAAAAATAAGATGCCACTAAAAAAGAACTAAAACTCTAAGTATCAAGATATTAATATAGCCAAGAATTTACAGGCTGTCTGTGGAAAAAAAAAAAAAACATTAATTAAAACTCTGTACAGGACACATTCGCTCATGCAACAAAAATGGTTGCATACCTGCTCAGTGCCATGCACTGTACTGGAGTCAAAAGGTAGAGCAAAATAACAAACCAATCTCTGCTCCCGTGAAGTTCAGATGCTAGTGGGAGAGAGAAAATAAAAAGTAAATATAAGAAATAAATTCTATAAGGTAGTATAAGAACGTAGTATAAGGTCATGGCTCATTGCAGCCTGGACCTCCCAGGCTCAGGTGATCCTCCTACCTCAGTCTCCTGTATAGCTGGGACCACAGATGCACGTCACGATGCCCAGCTAATTTTTCATATTTTTAGTAGATACAGGGTTTCACCATGTTGTCCAGGCTGGTCTCGAACCCCTGGGCTCAAGCAATTCTCCTGCCTCGGCCTCCCCAAGTGCTTGGATTGCAGATGTGAGCCACTGAGTCCAGCCTGGGTAAGCTCGTTCTTTCTGAACCCACTCATTAGTTCAAGAGCTTTGTCCCTTGATTCTGTTTGTGTTTCTTAGAAGGTACAGAAAATGGTAGATTTGTCACTTGCTTCCCAATTCCTAAATCTCTGATTGCTTTTTCCTTCCCTGTTAGAATGAGCAGAAGTTTAAATGCTAGTGGGAGAGAGAAAATAAAAAGTCAATATAAGAAATAAATTCTATAGGGTAGTATAAGAATGTAAGTTTCATGGGTGCAATAGAACGGGTTTAGGGATGCTGGAGAGGGGGTCTCAGATTGAAGGGGGTTGCCAAAGTAGGCCTCGTAGAGAGGTTGATAATTGAGCAAAGACTTGAATGAGAAAGCAGAGTGAGGCACGGGGATACATCAGGGAAGAGTGTTCTAGGCAGAGGAAGTAGCCAGGGCAGGGGGTCTGGGGTGGAAATGTGCCTGGCATATTCAAGGACCAAAGCCAAGGCCAGCGTGGGTGGAGCAGGGTGAATGAGCAGGAGCTGTAGGAGACGATGTGTAGAGAAATGAGGAGCCACTGGACAAAGGAATGATGCGTTCTGATTGACATTTTTAAAACTCATTCCAGCACAGGCACAGTGGCTCACGCCTATAATCCCAGCACTTTGGGAGGCCAAGACGGGCAGATCACTTGAGGCCAGGAGTTTGAGACCAGTCTGGCCAACATGGTGAACCCCTATCTCTACTAAAAATACAAAAATTAGCCAGGCACAGTGGCGCGAGCCTGTTATCCCACCTACTTGGGAGGCTGAGGCACAAGAATCGCTTGAACCGGGGAGGCAGAGGTTGCAGTGAGCCAAAATTGCACGATTGCACTCCAGCCTGGGCAAAAAAGCGATACTCCATGTCAAAAAAAAAAAAAAAATCATTCCAGATAGAGTGTAAGGGAAGATGGGAAAGCAATGAGAAGGTACTGAAAATATCTAGGAAGAGCAAAGAGGCTTGGCCCACAGAAGCAGCAGGGAAGACAGGAAGAGGCAGTCAGATTCTGGAAGTATTTTGGAGGGCCACTCAACGGCATTTCCTGATTAATTCGCTATGAGGTGTGAGAAAAAGAGAGGCGTCCAGGGGGACTTTCAGTGTTTTTGGCCTGAGCAGCTACAGAAGTAGAGCTGCCACTGAAGTGGAGAGAGCAGGTCGGGAGGGAGACCACAGGTTCCGTCCTGGATGCGTTGTGTGTGTAGCAGCCATCCCAGCAGAGAGGTCGGGCTGCAAGCTGGATCAAGGCGTCTGGAGTCCAGGTGGGAAGTGAAGTGGAGATGCAAATGTGTGAGTCATGTGCGTGTAATTTGTATCCACAGCCATGAGCTTGGAAGACAGGGAGCAGGTGTAGGCAGAGAAGAGAAGAGGTCCCAGGACAGGGACCCAGGCAGGAGAGCAAAGGAGAAAAAAAAAAAAAAAACAGAAAGCAGCTGGAGAGGCAGGAGGGAAACCTGGAGTGGTAGACCACGGAAGGCCAGGAAGCAGGCAGAGGAAGGAGAGTGAGCCACACCAGGCGCTGCTGATGGCTTCAGGAAGCCGAAGGCTAAGGTTTCCTCACTGCAGCTTGGTGAAGGGGAGCTTATCGATGACAGTGACAAGAGCAGTTTGGGGAGAGGCGTGAGAAAACCTGATTACAGTAATTTCAAATGAGAATATCACCTTTGCAACATTTCCATAAATCTGAGATCATTCTGAAACAAACATTTTCCTTAATAAAATAAAACAAGAGGAGAGGAACTAGGAACCGGAAATATGGACAATTCTCTCAGAGGTTTTCTGTAAAAGGGAGCAGAGAAATAGGCAATAGCTGAGGAGGAGAGTGGGATCAACAGAAGATTTTTTTTTAAGGTGGAAGAAATGAAAGCATGTTTGTGCACTTATGAGCCAGGAAAGAGATAGAAATGATGATGTAGGAGAGGGAGGGGAGTCTCACGCCGCAGCACACCTTTCAATAGGCAACAGGGGACAGGTCCTAGGCACAAGCAGGAGAACTTCCCCGCTCTAGGAGCTTGGGCAGTTCATCTCTATGGCAGCAGAAGGGAACGTGGAGGATATAAATGCAGACACAGGTGGGTGGGTAGGTGCAGTGGGAGTTTGGAAACGTTCTCTTTCATGTCTTTAGTGAAGAACGAAGCAAGATCACCAGCTGAGACAGGAAGAAGGAGAGGATGGTGGGAATCCAAGAAGAGGAGAACCTCTTGGCATCTTCACCTAGGAGAATGGAAAAGCCAGTGCGCCGGCAATACACAGCACTGCAGACTTGCAGCCGAGTGCGGGTGCCCACTTGATGATATCGGTCATTCGTGTAAGTGGGACCGGTGGGTGCAGTTGTGTTTTTCTCTAGCCCCATTCTGTTAAATCGGCATGAACGAGGAGCACATAGCAAATTGCAGTCGGCAAATTGCAGTGCATCCGCACCACAGCCTGAGCAAGCAAGAGCAATAAAATAACAAGTGCAATAAAGCGAGCAGCAACAGGGAACTGGAAACATGGCAGCAAGTGACTATCATGTGTGCCCAGGACATTTAACTAAGTGAGGAGGAATGAGGACAGGCTGCAGGGCCCACAGGGGAAGGACAGTGGAAAGGGGTCCATGAGTTGTGTGCAGGTTGCTGAAGGGTCCAAGGTTTGGCAGAGTTCAGGCAGTAGATGGAGAAGAGCGGCAAGGCCAGGAGGTGGTGGGCAGGGAGTGGAGATGTCCAGCTAGGATTATGGAGACATTATACTGACTGGTAATGACAAAGCCCAGGGCAATGCTAGAAAGTTCCAATAGAACTATCTGTGATGATGGAAGTGTCCAATATCTGCACTAGCCAACACGGTAGCTGCTAGCCACAGGCACTTGAAATGTGGCTAATGCAACTAAGAAATCAAATGTTTACTTATTCTTGATTGTAACTAATTTAAATGTATATAGCCACTAGTGGTTAGTGGCTACCATATTGGACAGCACAGGTCTAAGGTATAATGAACCATAAGAGTGAGGCACTTGGGTTGCAGGCAGGAGGGGATGTGTATATGACACAATCATTAAGAGAGAGATTCGGGGAACTGGAAGGTTCCTTGTTGGAAGAATCAACCACATGGACTGAAATCATGCAGAATTAAGGCTGGAGTGGTGATGGAGAGAGTGACAGGGAACCAGAAGCCCCAATCACTGAGAAGTGAGCAGTCTGCAGATGGCTGCAGCCGGGGGAGAGGGGGATGCGATCTGATGAGATGAGGCAAAGCTGAGGCATTTAGAGAGGTCCAGAAGGGACAAGAAGAAGCAGGAGGGACCCCTGCCTCACCTCCAGGTCCAGCAGAGTGTTTTCTAGAAGGAACAGTGGAAAGGCCCAAGGGTTTGGGCAGGAATGAGAAATGCAGCAGATATTGGGGATACTCAGACACTGTGGGGATCCGGAAGGAAGCGATGAGGAACCACCTAGAATTCCAGGGCATCCGTGGTGATTGACATGTATGTAAGTGAGAGTCACGCAGAGGCAAGCCGTAGTGGACACAGGGCCAGTGCGTGTGTTGACACTGGGTGCTGGGGCCCGGGAGGGGATCCGGATTCCCTCAAACCCCTGCCAAGGGAGGCCTTCCCCCCAGCCACCATGCCTCTCTCCAGAGCCTCATTGAAATCCTTCTTGGTGGAAGGTAGGAGACCAGCAGAGGTGCACTCCCTGCTAGGCATAGGAACGCTTTACTTCAAGCACTCAGGGTACATTCTACATCCTTGTTAATAGACGTGAAAATGTCAGGAATCCTCAAAAGATGCCACTTAGATGGGTGAAAACCAGAATAAAGACATCATTCTCCCTACATTAAGATATAAACGCAATCCAGTTGAAATAAAATTACAGGCAGGTGTTTTGAGAAACTCAGTAAACTTATTTTAATTTTAACATGGAAGAAGAAAGGTCTATGAAGAGCTGGGTTGGGCCGGTGTGGTGGCTCATGCTTGTAACCCCAGCACTTTGGGAGGCCAAGGCGGGCAGATCACCTGAGATCAGGAGTTCAAGACCAGCCTGGCCAACATGGTGAAACACCATCTCGACTAAAAATATAAAAATCAGCCTGATATGGTGGCGTGTGCCTGTAATCCCAGCTACTCAGGAGGCTGAGCCAGGAGAATCACTTGAACTCA
Source organism: Homo sapiens (assembly GCF_000001405.40). Classification (NCBI taxonomy): domain Eukaryota; kingdom Metazoa; phylum Chordata; class Mammalia; order Primates; family Hominidae; genus Homo; species Homo sapiens. Next base: position 39,565,704 of record NC_000021.9, on the reverse strand, counting down.
GGAGGTGGAGGTTGCAGTGAGCCGAGATCGTGCCACTGCACTCCAGCCTGGGCAACAGAGCGAGATCCTGTCTCAAAAAAAAAAAGAAAAAAAAAGCTATGTCAACTTTTTAAAAGCCAAGAGCCAAGTGAGACCAGGCACAGGTGGCTCACACCTGTAATCCCAGCACTTTGGAAGGCCCAGCCTGGTGGATGACTTGAGCCCAGGAGTTAAGGACCAGCCTGGACAACATGGCAAAACCCCATCTCCAAAATATATATATACACACACACATACACACACACACACACACACACACACACACACACACACACACACATACATATACAAAAATTAGCCGGGCATGGTGGTGCACACCTGTGGTCCCAGCTACTTGGGAGGTTGAGTTGAGAAAAATCCCTTGAGGTCCAGAGATTGAGGCTGCAGTGAGTCATGATTACACCACTGCACTCCAGCCTTGGGGACAGAGCAAGGCCCTGTTTCAAAAAGAAAAAGAAAAAAAAAAAAAGCAAAATGAAGTAGGCTTGTTCTGCTAGGCATTAAAACACATCTCAAAGTTAAGGTAATGAAAAGACAGCATGCAAGCTGCACAAAGTAGAAACTATATCAAGGAGACAGAATAGAGAGTACAGAGTGAAACCTGTGTCTGAAAAGGATTTAACATATAGTAAAGGGGAACAAAACTCAATAAGGAAAAGAGGACAATGGTTAGTACATAGTGCTGGAGAGACCATGACTGTATCAGTCAATCGAAATATGACTGAATCTCTACCTAACACAGAAATCATCATGCGCTCCAGATGAAAGCAATACCTGCCTGAGGAAGGTAAAAGGGTGAGGATAACAGAAAGACATATAAGAGAATATCTTTATGATTTGTAGATAGGGTAGGACTTCTTAAAACTTCCAATGTACAGAAATATTAATACATTTGATTATATGAAAATGAAGGAGTTTTGTTCCAAATGGTCACCCCAGGGACAAAAATAAATACAGGACAGACAGGGAGAAGATTCTGCAGCAGATAAAATCTACCAGATAAAAAAACAGAAATGTAGAACAAAAAACCCCACAAACCAACAAGAAAATTCCAGCAGCTCTAATAGTAAAATGAGTACAAGCAGTTTACTGCAATGCAGCCAGATGAAAGGCCGCCTGCATTGGGGGAAATGTTGGCCATCATCAATAGTCAGAGAAATGCAAATTAATACCATGGAAAATCACTTTACACCTATTAGCCTGGCACAAATTCAGCAGCTGATGCCAAGTGCTGGCATGGATGGAAGGACACTGGAACTGTGCCCACTGGTGGGAGGGGAGGCTGGGCACAGTCGGGCCTAGCTCACCAATTAGGCCTCAGCACCCCAGGGCCTGGCATTTCTGATTCCAGGCCATGGAAATGTCCCCACGGCCCCTTGTGGAGACATATTTGAGAATATTTGTCACAGCTTTATTTGTAGGACAGAGAGCTGGAAGCACTCTGGGTCCACCACTGGAAGAAAGGATGGGTGAAATGATTTCCTCTGGGGGAACCAGAAAGTACCTGGCCACCAAGGGAAGCGAAGGCCTAGAGAAAATAAGAAACAGAGACATTTACAACAATAATTTCTTGACTGTTTTTTAAATGACTACAAAACAATGATATCCGTTTTGTAGGAACACATAACAAAATGATATCCATTAAACCTAAGGGGAGGGGAAGGGGGACAGTGCAGAGCCCAAATCAAAGGAACAGACTGCCTGGGCTTAGCCCTGACACCACATGCAACTTACCAAGCTCCTCCAGCTGGAGGCCGTGGTGGAATCCATCTCAACACTTGCAAGTGGGGAGCAAACAGTGAGTGTACATAAAGCCCTTGGTACAGCATCTGGTCTGAAAGTGACATTGGAAGGGTTGGGTAATTGCTGTTGCTGTTATAAAAGGAAATTAAAGAACCAAACAAGTGAGAGTCCTTGCAAGAAGCCACACTGAAAATGTGCCAAGAAGCGAGGAGTGTGACCAGATCAGCCCTCTGAACCTGATGTCCAAGCAGGAATGAGAGAGAGAGATGGAGAGGGAGGGATAAGGGAGAGAGGGAGGGAGGGAACGAGGAAGGAGGGAGAGGGGAAAGAGGGAGGAAAGAGAGAGAAGGAAGGAGGAAGGTGGGAGAGGGAAGGAGAGAGGGAGGCAGAGAAAGAGAGAGAGAGAAGAAGGGAAGAGAAAAAGGAGGGAGGGAAAGGGGAAGGGAAAGAGGGAGAGGGAGGAAGTGGAGAGGGAGGAGGAGGTCTTATAGGTAAATGGGGGTGGAGAAGAGGATTTACTGGAAGAGGATTTACTGGAAGAGGATTGCAGGCTGAAATGAACCAATTCTGCTGCCAACCAGTGAGAACAGATGCCACTCTGAATGTCTCCTGCAGCTCCAGGAACTAATACTTTAGTCTTGATTGCTGCTCTCCAGGAGAGTCACAGTGGGTCACATGCCCTGGCAACAGGCAATTTCGATTATTCACCAGACAGTAGCCCAGCAGTTGTCTCTTATTAGAAGAGCTCAGGGCGATCTGTCTCGGGATGTGGCAGTGTCTGCAGCCATACCTAAAACTGCCGCAGAGTATGGTATTTTCCACAACATTATCTTATCCTTTGCCAAAGTTGGCAAATACCGTAAGTTCCTCAGTGGACGCTTGGTGGGTATTGCTAGAAGCTGTGCCAGTGTGCAGTTATGGCAGGTGGTGCTGAGCCACGGGTTCCTTGTCTTGCAAGAGCAGTGCCACCTACAGAAGAGAATGTTCCACAATCTGACAATCAAATGATTAAGAGCCGCAGGCGGTATCTTTCCAGGTTCCTCCCCAAGATTCTCCCAGCGTCTGCACCTTTTCTTCTGCCCTAGGAAGTTTGCTTTCTTGGGGGCTGGGTTGACCACACTCATATCCCTAGGGATCCAGAAGTTCCCTTGCTCTATGATTTCAAAATTAACTCAGCAAAGGGGAGCCCCAGCAGGGGATTGGAAGGAGGAAGAACAGTAAAATTTCGGCTTTATTCCCTTGACCATATCCTGCAGGGTGGCTGTGGTCACTGCCGCATTGAGGCACCTTCTCTAGAGACTCTCTCCTTCCCTGTCCCTTTGCTCACTTCCTCTCTTCCATCCCTTTGGTTTTAGGGATGGTAACAGCTGTTCCACCACTCTCCCTCTCCCTGTTACCACACAACCCTGGTGGTTTCCCTACACCTTTGTACCTGGTGCCTTTATTAAGCCTTTCTTGGGTTTCCCTAATTTGAGTGTGCTTTTCCTGCCTGCTGGGACACTGATTCTGGTGCCCTGTCATTATGATAAGATCCAGCTATGTCTGCTTCTATTCTTGGGCCCTGATACAGGCTTATTTCATGCCATCTTTTTAAAGAACCACTTATATCCCCAGTCATGTTCATTATATATGCTGTGCTGAAGTCTGTTCTCAGTTCTTAAGATTTTCAAAGTCATCCTTGATTAAGCATTCACTACATTCCAAGTACTGCACCAAACACTCCAAATGCATTTCCTCATTTAATTCACACAACACCAATAATAGATGACGTTGCCATCATCATTTTATAGATGAAGACTTTGAGACTTTTGGCTAAGATCTCACAGCCAATTAAGGATCTGCTTATCTTTGGGAAGTTACCAAGAATCTTTGATCGAGATCTTTATTGATTTTGCATCATCATTTTGGGGGAAGTTTTGTTGGTGGTAAGTTTCCTCTCAAAGTGGCTCAAGGAGCTTGTAGCACTATTTCAAATTTCAGTCTCAATGATGGGGACTCTGCGCTGGCTGCTGGCCGCTCCCAAATTGTCAGAGTATTGAAAATGAGTCAACATCTACTTAAAGTTTTAAGATCATTTGCCTTAGCCAAGAGGGGCAGGAAAAGAGAGCCGGAGACAGAGTGAACTTTGTAGTGATTGAATAATGTCTCCCCAAAATTCAAGTCCACCTGGAATCAGAACGTGACCTTATTGGGGAAACAAGGTCAATGCAAATACAATTAAGTTAAAGATCTTGAGATGAGATGTCCAAGTTTTAGGGTGGGCTGGTGGACACCAACTCTATCGCTGATGTCCTTGTAAGAGGAGATTAGGAGACACAGAGACCAGAGGAGAAGGCCGTATGGGAATGAGGTACAGGCTGGAGTGAGGCTGCCATGAGCTGAGGAGCAACTGGGGTCACCAGAAGCTGGAAGAGGCCAGGGAGGATCCTCCCTAGAACCTTCAGTGGGGTTGCAGCTTTGCCAATACCTCAATGGCAGATTTCTGCCCTCCAGAATTGTGAGAGAATACACTTTTGCTGTTTTAAGTCACCGAGTTTATGGTGGTTTGTCACCTAGGAAACTAATACAGTTGGATTAAACAACCTGGAGACAGGAACCTTATTTGAACCATCATAGAAACACTTTATCACCTAAAGCAAACAGTCAATCCAAAAGAATAATACAAGATAAAGAAAACTCTGGCGATTATCTAGCAAATGCACATGGTGTGTTAAATGATTACTTCTAAAGACTGGGGAAAAAATGAGAGGAGAAAGGAGATTTTTATTTTTTGTGCCATTTAGATTTTTTTTTTTTTTACCGTGAACATGTATTACATTTATAACTTTTTAAAAAGATGATGCTGACATTAAAGGGGTTTGGGGTGGGGAGGCCTTACCTGGTAGGTCAGGGGGCATTTGATGCAAACGTGCAGGTTTTGCTCCTTAAGTCCCTGTTGATTGATATCCCAATATAGTCCATGCCCACACTTTGGGGTTTTCACCCCTTCAACAAAGCTCCTAACCTTGTTTGGCTTGTCATTACACATGTCTACGGTTAATCGGTGTTTTCTGAGTGTGGTGTGACTTGCCCCTGCCCTGTAGCTTTTGTTGCTGCATGACTGAGAGAGAGAGTCAGAGACACAGAGAAGAGCAAGAAAAGAGAGACAGAGACAGAGTGAATTGGCAAATGCCTCTCTAGCCCCAGCCAGCTGTGTAGAGGTGCCATGGTCCTATCACTGGGACCTCTGAAGTCATCAGGAACCTAACGACCCTCAATACAGCCGGTTGTTTTCCCCAAGCATGTTGCCCAGGGCGATTCTTCAATTGATGTGGCCCTTAGGATGGGGGACATGATGTCTACAGCCTAGAATCTCACAGCTCTAACTCTGCCAGCCCACAGGGAACTCATGTAATTCAGAGCTACAGGCAGGAGTAGGGGATGGAGGGGCAGCACTTGCCTTAAGGCAATTAGAGGCCCCCAAATCCCACTAGGAACCACTTATGCCCGGTATGAACTGAAGACTTTCTAGGCACCATAGGCTGTGCGAGGCACTTCGGGTGTGTCTTTGTAGAATCCTCATATCACCCCTGTGGATTCAGTACTAATATTCTCCACAGCTCTCTTGATGACACCAACTGTATTAGTCCATTTTCACACTGCTATAAAGGAACACCTGAGATTAGGTAATTGATAAATAAAGGAGGTTTTATTGGCTCACTATTCTGCAGCGTACAGGAAGCATGGCTGCATCTGCTCAGCTTCTAGGGAGGCCTCAGGAAACTTACAATCATGGTGGAAGGCAAGGGGGAAGCCGGCACTTCTTACATGGCCAGAGCAGGAGGAAGAGAGAGCAAGGGGGCAGGTGCCACACACTTTAAAACAACCAGATCTCAGGAGAACTCTATCCCAAGAACAGCGCTAGGGGGATGGTGCTAAACCCTTCATGAGTGACCGCCCCTGCGATCCAATCACCTCCCACCAGGCCCCTGCGATCCAATCACCTCCCACCAGGCCCCACCTCCAACATTGGGGATTACAATTTGACATGAGGTTTGGGCAGGGCCACAGACTCAAACCATATCACTAAGTCTTGCTCAAGGTAATGCAGCCATTAAGCAGAAGAGCTGGGAGGTGAACCCTGCCCTTTCTCCTGTGCACTGGAGCCTGAGGCATAAAACCACACAAGCCCCTGGCCAGTCTCACCCTCGTGACTTTAGGAAACAAAAGACAAGCCATCACTAGAACATGCAGTGAGACCTTCAACTGTTTTCAGTCTTGACTTGAGGAACCACGGGGTGCCCTGCTGGCAGAGAATCCCAGAGGCTACAGGGCCCAGGTGGGGAAGAAATTCTTTGCCTGTGGCTGATTCTCCTTGCCGTTTCCTTTTCCCTATCCAGACCCCCAGGCATGCAGCTGCTAAGGAACACTGCTCACCTCCAGCAAGGACGGCCAGGGTACCGCGCCTCCACATGCATTCCTAATCCTCAGCTGTAGGAAAAAGCATACCTGTCCATACCCAGAGTAGGAGGCTCCATACAAAGCAGGATGGCTGGCCAATCCCACCCACAGTGAGTCCTATAGTGACCATTACAATAATAGGAGTTAAGAAGAAACCACTTAAGCAGATAGCAAGGGTATGGGAGTCCTTGGTAAGGCTTTTCTTTTTAATGAAAAGCAGCCCTGAATTACTTTCCTTTCTAACCAAGAGCAGCCTGTAAAATCGAGCTGCAGACATAGATACCTGCAGTAGTGCCAATCATGTTTAAGATGGCGGCTCCATCTTCCCTTGTCTTTGTCAGCCACATGTAATGTAAGGAGCAGACAAGATGGCGCCCATCACCTGGAAAGCTCATTTGCATAATAAGATGAGGGTGGGGCAACCAGCCTTCCCTGTGTGCTATGTAAACATCATACCTGATTGCACTGAACCAATCTGTGAGCCTTATATAAATCAGACACCACCTCCTCAAAGTGGACTATAAAACCTGGTGCATTCACCAACAGCCGGTCCTTTGAGCTTGGAGACCCCTTTCTCTATGGAGAGAGCTGTTTCTCTTTCTCTTCTCTTCTGCCTGTTAAACTTTGGCTCCTAAACTCCTCGTGCATGTCCATGTCCTAAATTTTCCTGGCACACGACAATGAACCCCGGGGTATGTACCCCAGACAACGTAGCCGCTTCAGCTACAGTCCAGAAGTTGAAACCAACATCTTGAGGAACTTCAAGCACAAGTCAAGAGTTAGGCTAACTCTCACAGTACAGTTCCATCACCACATTCTATACTGTAGTAATTCTTTCCAAAAAATACGTGCATGGCCTGATTGGCTTAGCCATAGTTGAGCCATCAAAGGTAGACCTAGGAATATACAACAGTGTTGAACCCTGACTGGTCACAGTGCTAAGTACATTGCATAAATTTTCTCATTCAATTCTCACAACATTCTAAGGTACTATTTTTATCTCAATTTTAGAACTGAAGAATCACCCAAAAAGAGGTTGAATCCTTCACCCAAAATTACTGTATTAGTCCGTTTTCACACTGCTGATAAAGACATACCGAGACTGAGCAATTTACTAAAGAAAGAGGTTTAATGGACTCACAGTTCCACGTGGCTGGGGAGAGCTCACAATCATGGTGGAAGGCAAAAGGCACATCTTACATGGCAGCAGCAAGAGAGAATGAGAGAGAAGTGAAAGCGGAAACTCCTTATAAAACCATCAGCTCTCGTGAGACTTATTCACTACCACTAGAACATTATGGGGCAAACCACCCCCATGATTCAATTATCTCCCACCAGGTCCCTCCCACAACACGTGGGACTTATGGGAGTACAATTCAAGATGAGATTTGGGTGGGGACACAGAGCCAAACCATATCAATTACATATCTGGAAAATAAGAAAACCAAGATCTAATTGAAAAGCTTAGGATTCTACCGCTGTCACATCCAATGTAGATGTTGTTGTAAATCAAATGAACTGGAATTCAGGCACATTTTTACTGTCACTAAAATTTCCAAACCGAACACTTCTCTTTTTCTAGAATTCAAAATTATACCTTTTTTCAGGTTCAATACTTCTAGTCCCATTTTGTTAATTTGGAACATATTTTCTCTTGAATTTATAACACACTGGTTATTTTTCAGTTGGCAATAAATACCCTTCCTAATGTGACCATAGTAAACAAGTTTAGAAAGACAAACAACCCCATCAACAAGTGGGTGAAGGATATGAACAGACACTTCTCAAAAGAAGACATTTATGCAGCCAAAAGACACATGAAAAAATGCTCATCATCACTGGCCATTAGAGAAATGCAAATCAAAACCACAATGAGATACCATCTCACACCAGTTAGAATGGCGATCATTAAAAAGTCAGGAAACAACAGGTGCTGGAGAGGATGTAGAGAAATAGGAACACTTTTACACTGTTGGTGGGACTGTAAACTAGTTCAACCATTGTGGAAGTCAGTGTGGCGATTCCTCAGGGATCTAGAACTAGAAATACCATTTGACCCAGCCATCCCATTACTGGGTATATACCCAAAGGATTATAAATCATGCTGCTATAAAGACACATGCACACGTATGTTTATTGCGGCACTATTCACAACAGCAAAGACTTGGAACCAACCCAAATGTCCAACAATGATAGACTAGATTAAGAAAATGTGGCACATATACACCATGGAATACTATGCCGCCATAAAAAATGATGAGTTCATGTCCTTTGTAGGGACATGGATGAAGCTGGAAACCATCAGTCTCAGCAAACTATCGCAAGGACAAAAAGCCAAACACCACATGTTCTCTCTCATAGGTGGGAATTGAATAATGAGAACACATGGACACAGGAAGGGGAACATCACATACCAGGGCCTGTTGTGGGGTGGGGGGAGGGGGGAGGGATAGCATTAGGAGATATACCTAATGTAAAGGACGAGTTAATGGGTGCAGCACACCAACATGGCACATGTATACACATGTAACAAATCTGCATGTTGCGCACATGTACCCTAAAACTTAAAGTATAATAAAACAAAAAAAAGAAAAAAAATCATGCCTCATGAACGAGAAGCCACTTTAAATCCCGCTTCATTCCTGAGTGGGAAATCCTACTAAGCCAGCAACTAATGGAAGTATAATATTCTAATAGTTGGGTTATTTTAAAACAAACTCTGTAGAAAGGATGGCTTTCATAATCCCTTTTAGATGCTCGAGACAGCTTTGGTACCGTCACAGAATGAGAAATATTTAAAGACCATGTTCAAATGATTTGCACACGAGCATTAAATGTGTTTCTGCAGGAGCATGTCGAATGAAGCAACGGTATGGTTTAGGAGAGCAGGCCTGAATTACATTCATCAGGTTTGCTAGCACATTGCATTCATCTATTCATAAAATAATTAATGTGTGAAGGGTAAGACTCACATTTTTCCCTCCCGGGTCTTCAGGCTGAAGGTTTGTCATAGCCACCATCACAACCAGCGGCTTTCCTGTACCCAGTTGAACACAGAAAAGGCTTTGTTGTAGGAATTAGCCTCCCAGCCTGAGGGCCTTGGGCTCTCAGAGCCACTTCATGGATGGCAATGCTGTTGCCATGGTTACCAGGCTAACCCTCCACAGTTTGCCTCTTCACCTCACCACAAAAGCTTCGGGAGAAAATAAAACTTAAAGTTGAGCCGCATGCTAATATATGAGCCAATACTGTTACTTGTTAATGTTAAATATTTAAAAAATCATTTTGGAAGAGAAAAAAATAGGAAAACAGGTCTTTGGAAAGCCATCTGTAATTGCTCAACTATTTGGATTTTTAACAGCTCACCAGAGAAAACAGGTGCTTTCCAAGCTTACAGATGTTGCTTTAAAATGGACTTGTTTCTTGGTTTAGAGCCACGCTGTTTGTGTTGGTTTTATTCTTGGATTAAAACCATTGTGACAGTCAGAAATCGGAGAATAATTCATCTCAGTCCCACTATTTAAAAGCCTCCCAACCATCATGCATAGAGCATGGCTTTGGGAAATGGAATTTTTGCTTTTCAATAAATGTCTTTACATTATGTCTATTTCATGTCTTGATGGGACTTCCCACCAGGAAATTCTATGACAAGTTACTTCAATAAGAAAAATTAAAATCCGGCCAGGTGTAGTGGCTCACGCCTGTAATCCCAACAATTTGGGAGTCTAAGGTCGGAGGATCATTTGAGCTCAGGAGTTTGAGACCAGCCTGGGCAAAAGGGTAAAACTGTGTCTCTACAAAAAATATATATAAAAGTTATCCAGGCATATGGACACACACCTGAGGTTCCAGCTGCTCAGGAGGCTGGGGTGGGAGGATCACTTGAGCCCAGAAAGTCGAGGCTGCAGTGTGCCGTGATTGCACCACTGTACTCCAACCTGGGCAACAGAGTGAGATCCTGTCTCAAAAAGAAAAGAAAAAGAAAGAAGCCAGGCGCAGTGGCTCACGCCTGTAATCCCAGTACTTTGGGAGGCTGAGGAGGTCAGATCACGAGGTCAGGAGATCAAGACCATCTTGGCTAACACGGTGAAACCCCGTCTCTACTAAAAATACAAAAAAAAAAAAAAATTAGCTGGGCGTGGTGGCGAGCGCCTGTAGTCCCAGCTACTGGGGAGGCTGAGGCAGGAGAATGGTGCGAATCCGGGAGGCGGAGCTCGCAGTGAGCCAAGATCGCGCCACTGCACTCCAGCCTGGGCGACAGAGCAAGACTCTGTCTCAAAAAAAAAAAAAAAAGAAAAAGAAAGAAAAATCCTTTTCAAGGAGGTTTTACTGATATAATGAGGTAAAAATTATAGTGTCCAATTAAAAGCCAGAATTTATGTTTTATGGACATAAAACCTCAGGTGTGTGCCAGCATGCCTGGCTAACTTTTATATATATATATATATATAAAATATATATATATATATATTTTATATATATATATATATTTTATATATATATATATATATATATTTTTTTTTTTTTTTTTTTTTTTTTTTTTTTGGTAGAGACAAACTTTCACCCTTTTGCCCAGGCTGGTCTCAATTCTTTTCCAGAAATCAGAATTACTCTAGATGAAGCACATCTTGGGCCCTCAGGGCAAGCAAAGGTCTTGGGGGCTAGTGGCATCACTTAAGCAGCTTCATGAGGAGTGGCTTCCAAGAATATGCAGAGCCTGGCCCCCTGCACCTGCAGTGCTGAGTACAATGCTGGCAGTAAGGATGACCAGCTCAGAGTGGGAACCAGAACATTGCCTGTAATTTTAGAAGTAAGGCCAACTCAATCCACATATATATGAAATGATACCAGAGCACTTAATATTGACCTTGGAATTTTGCAAAACCCACAAGGCCTGAGGACAGCTAACCTATGCCCAGGGAGAAAACTATGTGCTTTCTTCTGCATGATTCACTTACAGATAAGTAGACATCAAGGAGTTAAGAGCACTGGCTTTAAGTTGGGAAACTCTAGGGTCAAATGTCAGCCCTTTGCTAACTGTGAGTACTTAGGTGGTCCACATAGTGTTTCCAAGTGTTCATTTCCTCGTGGTAAAATGGGGATGATATTAATAATACCGACTGTATGACTTAATGAGCTATTGCAGGTCAAGTGCTTGGCACAACACTGGGGCAGAATAGACATGCCCTATGTGGTGGTTATAATGATGATGATAAGAGAGAAGGCGGTGGAGGAGAAGGAGGAAAGGATGGAGAAAGAGGAAGAAGAAAGAGGAAGAGAGGAGGTGGGGGCGCAGAATGACTAGGAGGAAGGAGGAGGAGGAGGACATGGAGAGAGGAAGGCAGGAGGAGAAGAATAAGGAGCCCTGAGCAGAAGGAAGAGGAGGAGGGGAAGAGGAAGGAGACCAGCGGCAGAGTATTTACAATATTTATAATCGCCTGCTGTGTACAAACAGTGATAGAGAAAATGACTCCACGGCTGTGGATATGGAGTGACCTGGGTTCAAATCCTGATCCAACACCCAGACATTCATGATCTCTAAAAGATCTCCATGAGTGCCAGAATTTACCACTTGGCCTTCCCTTCAGATCAAATTTACATTTTTTTATTATAATTTCAATAAAGGAAAGAATCCACCCCAACCACCTCCCACTTAAACAGGAATATTATGTAGGAGACCAAACTAAACTGTAGCTTGAGTTGGCTTTAGAAACTCTGTCTCACCTTCCCACCTTTTCTTCTTGTCTCTGCAGAAAAAGTCATTCTGTCTTACAGTCCATTCTCCAGAGCATAGCTCAGAAGAGGGCCTCCGAGGCTGCGTTGAGGTTCAGAATTTCTCAGGGCCACTTAACCATCCTCCTCACAACTGATGGCCCCTCCAAGTGTCACCAAGCAACAGAACGCAATAAAATCAAGCACTGGCTGAGCTTTAAGCTGCAGGAAATATTTCAGGTCATCAGCTGCCATTGGCAGCATTTGTTGGCTGCAGCACTAGGCCTGGGAGACAGAGAGTAAAGATACCCAAGAAACAAGGCTTAGGGAAACAATGCTGCCCTGATATTTTTAATCTTTTGCTGAGACAATTCCCCAAAATATTTCCAACTAGGAACCAAGGTTATTTTCCTGATTGCAAAAGCAGGGTAGCTGTGCCATTTTAGGAATTTGAAAAGGCATGCATGTGTGTCTGTGTCTGTGTCTGTGTGTGTGTAAGCTAAGCATTTGAAGTACAATTTACAGATTGCTAAAGACCAACTCTCGCTATTCACACAGATCATATAGTTTATTCAATAGATACCTCTTGACCCAAATAATAAAATACTTCATGAATTCACAGGCTCCAGCATCACAATCTGCAGAGATCTAAAGTTATAGAGTAATAACATCTGGGTGTTCACCAAAATTGGCATATAGTAGAGATCCAAAGTTCTGGAGTAATAACATCTGGGTGTTGGCAAGGCACCTGTAGTGTAGTTTGATCATTTTACAGTATGTCTTAAACAACATTTAATTCCTTGTGACACTACTTTCACCATAGGCACAAGTCACATTAGTATCTTTAAGTATCTATTCCATATCTTCATGGACCCAAGGTTCTTACAGATTGGCTTGTCCTTTCTTGCTGTATTCACTGCTTTTCAGATCCAACTCCTCAATGCTTAGACATTCCAAGATCCTCCTGCCTCAGCCTCTTGAGTAGCTGGGATTACAGATGCAAGCCACCGTGCCTGGCTTCAACAACTCTTAAATAAAGAGTCTGCCATTTTCATTTTGCACTGAGCCCTACAAATTATGTAGCCAGTCCTCGGTATAGGAAACATCCTTTTCTTCTCTGAGCAGTTGAAGTTTCCCAAAAGGAAGTTTTACTATGAAAATGAGGTAGCAACATCTTCATAAATGGTCTCCTGCCCATTCCAGCAGCAGCCCCAAATACTTTTGTGTTCCCAAAACAAGGCATTTCAGGATCATCTTGGGTCCCGAGATCTAAGATCTAGTACTATTTACACTTCAGGTGTATTAACCCTGTCTTTTATTTTCTTTATTCTGATTCTGTGACATCTGGAGCCTTGCTGACCCTGGACGGACTGCTCCTCCACCTCCAGGGTTACCCATTTCCTAGAGATAGTGAAACCATCCCAATAGTCCCATAGACTGTTCTTTTGGATAAACATAGAAATTGACCTTTCGGAGTCTTAAAACTTGAAACACGTATTTGTTTTATCTGAGTTCTTTTCTCATGAAAGGACTTTCAGCCCTCTCAAAAAAGTATCAAAGAACTGAAACTTACCAGATCACCGTTCCAGAAACCGGACCTCTCATTCATCATGATTACTTCCTTGCCCCTCCCTAGTTCCCGTTTTCTTACACATTATTACATTTCTTCCCTGCCACACAAACCCCTGGTTTTAGTCAGTCAGGGAGATGGGTTTGAGACTGAGCTCCCATCTCCTGGGCTGCAGCACCCTATTAAAGCCTTTTTCCTTGGAAACAATCATCATCTTGGTCATCATTTTCTGTGTGATGAGCAGCAGGACCTAGACCAAACCCCTGGTGTTTCAGTAGCAGTAGCAAACAGCTTGCCTGAGAGTGAGCTTTTCAAATGTAAACTAACCAATTCATAACACAACCGCCTCCTTTCCTGGGCTCTCAGACTCCCCTCCTGCCCTGTCTCATGCCTTTCTTCCCACAGATACCCCCTCCCTCTACCAGCTGACCAACCCTGGTGCTTCCCCAGGTGGTCTCCATGGTGTGACATGGTCCTTTCTGTTGGGACCTGCAAATAACAAACTATCTTTTCAATGGCAGTCACCATCTGATCTGTTGGCCTTAGTGGACCTCAAATTTTCTGTTAATATACTTCAGGAAAGCAAGTTTTTCTTGAGGGAAGCAAAGAGTAAAGGGCCAAACATTTGTTTCTGGACCCACACAATTGTGAGCAAAGTGATCCCAGAAAAGAGACTTCAGTTATTCACTGACAGAGTCTCACATCTTACAAAGTCATAATCTGTGCTAAAATTTTCAATCAAAACCTGGTTTCACTGAGTTGTTTTTCCTATATTAATCTAATATGAAAGTGTCTCTGTTTCTATGTAAAACCCAAAACCGTAAAAACCCTAGAAGAAAATCTAGGAAATACCATTCAGGACATAGGCATGGGTAAAGACTTCTTGACTAAAACACCAAAAACAATTGCAGCAAAAGCCAAAATTGACAAATGGGATCTAATCAAACTAAAGAGCTTCTGCACAGCAAAAGAAACTATCATCAGAGTGAACAGGCAACCTACAGAATGGGAGGAAAATTTTGTAAGCTACCCATCTGACAAAGGTCTAATATCTAGAATCTACAAGAAACTTAAAACAAATTTACAAGAAAAAAAAACAACCCTATCAAAAAGTGGGCAAAGGATATGAACAGACACTTCTCCAAAGAAGACATTTATGTGGCCAAAAATCATATGAAAAAAAGCTCATCATCACTGGTCATTAGAGAAATGCAAATCAAAACCACAATGAGATACCATCTCATGCCAGTTAGAATGGTGATTATTAAAAAGTCAGCAAACAACAGATGCTGGCAAGGCTGTGGACAAATAGGAACACTTTTACACTGTTGGTGGGAGTGTAAATTAGTTCAGCCATTGTGGAAGACACTGTGGCAATTCCTCAAGGATCTAGAACCAGAAATACCATTTGACCCAGCAATCCCATTACTGGGTATACACCTAAAGGATTATAAATCATTCTGCTATAAAGACACAGGCACACATATGTTTATTGTAACACTATTTACAATAGCAAAGACTTGGAACCAACCCAAATGCTCATCAATGATAGACTGGATAAAGAAAATTTGGCAAATATACACCATGGAATACTATGCAGCCATAAAAAAGAATGAGTTCATGTCCTTTGCAGGGACATGTATAAAGCTGAAAGCCGTCATTCTCAGCAAACTAACACAGGAACAGAAATCCAAACATTGCGTGTTCTCACTTATAAGTGGGAGCTGAACAATGAAAACACATGGACACAGAGAGGGGAACATCACACACCGGGGCCTGTCGGTGGGTAGGGGACAAGGGGAGGGAGAGCATTAGGACAAATACCTAATGCATGTGGGGCTTAAAACCTAGATGACATGTTGATAGGTGCAGCAAACCACCATGGCACATGTATACTGAGGTAACAAACCTGCGCTTTCTGCCCATGTATCCCAGAACTTAAAATAAAATTAAAAAAAAAGAAAGTGACTCTGCTTTTATTCTCTTTTCCTTACCTGAGCAATGATCTTTTTATCTTTTTCAAATGACATCCTTGCACTAGCTTTAGTGTATATATAGTCACATTTATTTAGTCAGTTATTCAACAGAGATTTATTGATTTACTGTATGCGGTGTTTTAGGGCAAAGGAATACAACAGTGAACAACACAGGGAAAAATGTCTGATCACACGGAGTTTGTAAGCCAGTACAGTGAGGCAGACAGCAAACTCTACAAATGTTATGTTAGGTAGGAATAACAAGGAAATAAAGCAGGAATGAAGAATAATGAGCGCCAGAAAGACAGGGAGTTCAAATTTTTCTATAATAGCTTTGTTGAGATATATTTCAGATATCATAAAATTCATCCTTTTAAACTATTCAAGCCTGTGGCCTTTAGTATTATTAAAGAATTGTGCAACTATCACCACTATCTACTTCTAGTACATTTTCATTACCCACCCATCTCCTCAAACATATATATATATGGGTATATATATATATACCCATTAGCAGTCACTCCTCATTGCCCCCTCTCCCCAGCCACTGGCTACTAATAATTTCCTTTATATCTTTATTGATTTGCCTATTCTGGACATTTCATATAAATGGAATTATACAACATGTGGCCTTTTATGTCTGTCTTCATTCAGTTAGCATAATGTTTTCAAGATCCATCCATGTTGTAGCATGTATGGGTACTTTGGTACTTTATTCTTTTTTGGCTGAATAATATTCCATTTTATGTATGAACTTTTATTTATCCATTCATCTAATGATGAGCATTTACGTTGTTTTTGCCTTTTGGCTGTTATGAATATTGTTGCCATGAACATTCAGTATGAGCTTTTGTAAGGACAGATTTTCATTTTTCTTGGGCGTATACATACAAGGGTATTATTGAGTCACAGAGTAACTCCATGTGGTTTTTTTGTTTGTTTGTTTTCTTGTTTTATTATTTTTTTTTTTTAGAGAAAGAGTCTCTCTGTGTCACCTAGACCAGAGTACAGTGATGCAATCAAAGCTCACTGTATCCATGTTTAACTTTTTGAGGAAGGAGTTTCATTTTAAATCAAGCAGTCAGGGGAGGCCTTGTTGATAAGACGACATTGAGCAGACCCCTGAAGGAGATGATCTAAACAAAACCTACATGTGGAGGGAGGGAGAGCATGCCAGGCAGAGAACAGCAAGATCCAGAGGCAAGAATGTACCTAGGTTGTCCAAGGAACAGCAAAGTGGCTGGAGTAGCAGGAAAAAGGAAGACGCCACATGTGCGCCCACAATGCTAACCTAAATGTGATCTGGAAACGCTGCACTTAAATGGCAATCTGTTAGCATGTTTTTTGAGCAAATGGAGCTACATATTCCAGCCTCCTGAACTTAACTTTTTAACTCAATTTATTCATAACGATTTTAATAACTGATTGATTCTGATTTCATCCAGGATTTCAGTTGCATCCAGGATTCTGTCCTCTCCAGACATGTTTTATTAAGGAATAAACATGATAGAAGTACACAATGATTGTATAACAAAGGCTAAATTATACAGGTTTTTTTTTGTGTTCAGGGTAGCACAGTACATTGCTGTCCCTGCCCAATAAAGGAAGGTAAACTGCTTTTGGTATTCTGTGCATGTACACTGAGATTAAGAAATGCCCATCATCAAGTTCTGTTACTGCCCATTTCTCAGAACTAACAAAGTATTCAGGAACAGCTACATGATCACAGGCACCAACAGGCCAAAACAGTGGTGTTTCCACACTCTCTGCATCACCTGAAAGGGAGCAAATAGGCTTGACTACTTGCATCTCCTGGAAGTCTTGATTGCTGTGGCTAACTCCTTCATTTTTCCAGGATGGCCTCGGGTTTATAATTTAAGAAGGCAATGAGAATTATAAACAAACATAGTGTGTAAACTGCTAAGGGAAGCTAACTGGGTACAGAAGGGAGTTGGAAGAGGTCAGGGAAGGCTTCACCACAAAACTGATATCTCAGCTACAACATGAAGGATGGGGGATTTCTGGTTTTGCAGATGAGTAAGATATTCCAGGAGAGTGGACAGCAGGGACAAAGGCTCAGAGGCAAGACAGAACATGGGACAGTTTAAAACAAAAAAGCCATTTACCTATGGCTGCAGCATAGAGTATAATGCAGAAATGGAGAGAGACGAGTAGTGTTGGAAAGCAGGGTCTCAACGGGTAGAGCCTTCTCTGCTGATATGGTTTGGCTCTGTGTCCCCACCGAAATCTCATGTTGAATTGTGATCCTGAGTGTTGGAGGTGGGGCCTGGAGGGAGGTGATTGGATCATGGGGTGGTTTGTGGTGGTTTAGCACCATCCGCTTAGTACTATCTCCTGACAGAGTTCTCATGAGATCTGGTTGTTTACAAGTGTGTAGCACGTTCCCCAAATCTTGCTCTCTCCTGCTCCACCATGGGAAGACCGTGCTCGCTTCCCCTTCACCTTCCACCATGATTGTAAGTTTCCAGAGGCCTCCCAGCATGCTTCCTGTACAGCCTGCAGAACTGCAAGTCAGTTAAACCTCTTCTCTTTATAAATTACCCAGTCTCAGGTAGTTCTTTAGAACAGTGTGAGAACGAACTAATATATTGGCCATATAAAGAGTGTGTTTTATGCTGAAAGCCCTAGGCAGGAGACAAAGTATTTCAAGCAGTGGAGTGGCATGATAAGGTTGATGTGTCTGACGGCAGTGGAGTGAACATGGGCAAGACTGGAGAAACAGCACCCGATGAAATTCCCAGTTCTCTCCGCAACAGGGGCTGGAGCATCCAGCCTCACCTAAGTGTGACCACTGAGTGCCATAATATCCATATTTGAGTCCCAGCTCTGCCACCAACTCTATTTAATATGAAAAACACACATTCATTGAGACAACAAATATACTACAGTGAGCCAAACATGACATTCAAAGTCAGACCAGTCCAAATTTAGCCCTGTAATTATTTCAAAATGAACTCATATTTTTTAAAGTTCTTAAAATGTTCTTAGCCTCATTAAATCATTCCTTTTTATTTAAAAACTATTTCAATCTAGTGAATACAGTTATGCCACTTGCCTCATGAGGAAAGCAACCATAACAAATACATGTATATTCATATGTTCTATGTCACTATTATCTGAATGCTTGTTTCCCCCCAAAATATGTTGAAACCTATACTCAATGTAGGCTATTTGGAGGTGAGGCCTTTGGGAGATAATTAGGTCATGAGGGTGAAGCCCTCATGAATGGGATTAGTGCCCTTATAAAAGACCCCAGAGAGCTCCCTCACCACTCCCACCCCTAACATGAGGACACAGTTAGAAGACAGGCATCTATGAACTAAGGAAAGGGCTGTGGAAGTGTTGCACAGCCTGGTCCAGAGGTCCCTTTTTTGGGAACCTGGAATTCAATGTGAAACTAAGATCCTTAATTTTGGGGGATCTAGGTGTTCCACCTTCCAGCGGCACCTGTTTTTCACATATGTAAGCATTATTCCCTGAAAATTACAAATGCTTTGTTGGCATTATTTGTTAGTGGGCTTCACCCTAAGCTCAGTGGTCTAGTTGGAAAATGGAGATTAAATTAGAAGCTACCTATCCAAATGAAATTGGTCTCCTTATAAAATCCTAGGGCAAATTCCTATGATTTTGTGTTACATTGGCATCCATTTTTAATCTCCCTTTAAAACACCCAAACTCCTTTTTAAACGTTCAAATTCTTGTTCTGTGCTTTGAGGTGCAAATATGCAACCATTTTATCTAAAATTTGGTAAGGCCTTTGGCCATAACTTGTTCCATTTACAGAGGTACAATTTAATCCAACTGTCCTTCTAAACTAGTGAGTTTTATTAGACTAGTAAAACTTTACTAGTAAAACTTTTACAGTAAAACTTTACTTTTTCACTAGTTAAAGTTTTACTAGTCTAGTAAAACTTTACTTGTCTAGTAAAACTCACCAGTTTAGAAGGACAGTTGGATTAAATTGTGCCTCTGTAAATGGCACTAAATGTACCTCAAATGGCACTCTGTAAATGGACACTAAAATTTCATGGCTAAAATTTTAAAATATAAGCTATAAAATCTTGATTTATGTTTCTCTGTATTTTTATGCATACATAAGTTCATGTCATATTATCTACATGGTACCAAATGGATTTATAAACAAATGAGTGCTTATAAATTAAGTAAAGAAATCCAACTGCTTTTCAAGCTTGGCATCTTAAAATTACATTAGAAACATTGGCAAATAAGAAACGATTTTGAGTTAACATTCTTTGAATTGTATTTGTATGGATATGTTATTCAAATGTGTTCCAAAATTGTATGAGATTCCTAAACTCTGATAGGTCTTAGTGTATGCAGTAAATTGCTTCATTCTGGTGATTTTACTCTAAAACCTTTTTGCAAATCCTAGTGTTGTGTCTTCAAGGAAATTTATGAAGGTGACCCTGGACTCTGATGAGTACTCTTGAATCCAGGTTTCTGATAACTTTGTAGAGCATACCACTGAATTAGGTAAAACCTTCAGAACTCTAATTTTAAAACTGATGAGTTCATGAAGATTGCTAACCCACCATCAGGCAGAAGAAAAATTATTACATGGGACTGAACTGATAGAGGACTGAAATGATTTTTTATGACTTTTTGTTTGAAACTGTATTAGTTTATTTTCATGCTGCTGATAAAGACATACCTGAGACTGGGAAGAAAAAGAGGTTTAATTGGACTTACAATTCCACATGGCTGGGGAGACCTCAGAATCATGGCGGGAGGTGAAAGGCACTTCTTACATCGCAGCAGCAAGAGAAAATGAGGAAGAAGCAAAAGTGGAAACCCCTGATAAACCCATCAGATCTCATGAGACTTATTCACTATGAGGAGAATAGCACAGGAAAGACCAGCCACCATGATTCAATTACCTCCCCCTGGGTCCCTCCCACAACAGGTGGGAATTCTGGGAGATACAATTCAAGCTGAGATTTGAATGGGGACACAGCCAAACCATATCAGAAACATTGATTATTTTTATATTTTGTTTTCCAGAGTCAAGGAAACTTTTTTGGAGCTATTTATGGTTTACAGCAATTTGGTAAAGTATACTTTTGTAAGCAAAATTAAAATACATTCTGTCTACTTGAATTCTCCAAAATTTCAAAACTATTCATTAGTATTCTCATTTTATGGCAATATGTTTTTTTGTATAAGTTTTATAAGAATCTCTTTTCTTTTTGTAACAGGAAACATTGGAAACACTGGTTATTTTATCAAGGCTTTGACTGGAATGTCGTATTTTCAAAGGGGACCAGATTGCTTTGAGGGATTGAGGTCAACTTTATAAGCCAATAGCCTTAGAAAAAGACTGGCCTGGTACCTTGTCTGCACAGGTCCCTTACAGTGTTTCTGACCTTATGGTAAGTAAAGAATGTCACTTTCTGACAGGACTAGGAGCGTCAAGATATTTGGAGGACCTTAAGAAGACAGAAATCACCCAATTCATTCAGGTGATACAAGCACAACCAGAGGGTGAATCCTTGGCTTGGCTTCCTAGCCTCAAAAGATTTTTGAAAGTCTAATCAGAGATTCCTCATGAAAATGGTCCAGCAAAGCAAGCTTAAAAAGAGCTTATACGACAATCACTATTCTTGCTGTACTTCATGCAAATAATTAGGCCAAGGATAATAAGACTAAAACTTATTTTGCAAATAAATTGGTCCTACTATGATTTATTTTTGGCGGAAATGGGGGATTAGAGAGAGAAAAATTATGCTTCAGAAGAAAGCTATAGTATACCTGTTACTAGATTTTAGTCCTGACCATTGGGGTGGTTTTTATTGTTTTGTTTTGCTTTGTTTTTTGAGATGGAGGCTTGCTCTCTCACCTGGGCTGGAGTGCAGTGATGCAATCTCAACCCGCTGCAACTTCCACCTCCTGGGTTCAAGTGATTCTCCTGCCTCAACCTCCTGAGTAGCTGGGATTACAGGCATCTGCAACCACACCCAGCTAATTTTTGTATTTTTTATAGAGACAGGATTTTACCATGTTACCCAGGCTGGTCTCGAACTCCTGACCTCAGGTGATCCACCCACCTCAGCCTCCAAAGTGCTGAGATTGCAGGCATAAGCCACCATGCCTGGCTGATTTTCCTACAGTTTGGACTGAATCCTGAATTCTTTCCTTGCAACAAGTCTCCAAACTAACATTTCCTTCCACGTTTTTCTCCCATTTTACTGACTTGGAACACTAGAAATTAAAACTGAACTTTTTTTAAAGTCCTGCAAGCTGAAACTAGACAATTTTATATAAATGTTGGGTTAAAGCACTACAGCAACGTAATAGACAAACAGCCTTCATGCCTGTCGATGTATAGATTACACAGAAAGTTCACT
Organism: Homo sapiens; assembly: GCF_000001405.40. NCBI lineage: Eukaryota > Metazoa > Chordata > Mammalia > Primates > Hominidae > Homo > Homo sapiens. The sequence continues at coordinate 39,543,838 of NC_000021.9, read as the reverse complement.
GGAATGCCTGATGCAAACTGCAAACCAGGAAAACTGTCAGATTCTCACTGTCTGCTCTCTTTATCTGCAGGTGCTTTGAGCCCAGCACCTACAATTCTTCTCAACTGGCTGCTCTCTAGACTCAAAAAACTGAGTTTATAGTTTGCCCTAACCATTAATCTTTGTTTTTATTTTCTTCAGTTTCTATAAAAATGCCTTTTTTTTTTTTTTTTGAGATGGAGTCTTGCTCTGTTGCCCAGGCTGGAGTGCAATGGCACTATCTCAGCTCACTGCAACCTCCACCTCCCCAGTTCAAGTGATTCTCCTGCCTCAGACTCCCCAGTAGCTGGGATTACAGGCGCGCACCACCATGCCTGGCTAATTTTGTATTCTTAATAGAAACAGGGCTTCACCATGTTGGCCAGGCTGGTCTCGAACTCCTGACCTCAGGTGATCTGCCTGCCTCAGCCTCTCAAAGTGCTGGGATTACAGGCGTGAGCCACCGTGCCCAGCCAGAAATGCCTCTTATTAAATATATGATTGCTCAAATCATATAGAGGCCTGACCTTAGTGGAAGCCTGAAATGAGATCCATTTTTGGGACTGAGATCCTGGCTCAATAACTTATAAGACAATCCACCAATCCAATTTCTGGACTGTGAAACTTCTTGGGAAAGTTTCAGACCAGGGAATGTTGGGATTCAGAAAATGATACTCAAAACAAAGACCTTGGAAGCAAAAGTTTTCGTCTGACCTTCTCCTGCCCTCATGTTATCCATCTCACGTTTCCCTGAGGCTAGGCATAGAAACCAGAATCCGTTTTCCCCAAAGCCAGCTATAAACCAAAAAATATTGCTCTAACTTTTCCTCCACCTTTCTGTGTAAAAACTAGCCATAAAGAAATTATCAAGGCCGTGAATGGTGACTCATGCCTGTAATCCCAGCACTTTAGGAGGCTGAGGCAGACAGATGACTTGAGCTTAGGAGTTTGAGACCAGACTGGGCAACATGGTGAAACCCCATCTCCATTTTTATTTTAAAAAAAATTTTTTTAAGAAATGATCAGACCTACGTTGTTTGATTGTATGTCATAAGGCTTCTGTTCCAGAGAGGGTCCTTCCCATACCCAGAAGGAAGGGATGTTGCTCAGAGAAGCCAAGAAGAATCTAGACAGACAGGCCTTGCCGGATTTCCCCTCCCAGCCTATCAGCATTAGGTCTTACCCCTTTCATCCAATCATATCTCTACACAGCTGTCCATACTCTGTTGAACCTAAGCATAAAAATGGACAGTTTCCCTCTTTGGTTGTTCATTCTGAAGTCTCCTGTGTCACGTAAAACTATGATCAAATGCATGTGTGTGCCTTTTCTCCTATCAATCAGCCTATTGTCATGATTTTCAGGGAAACTTCAGAGGGTGAAAGGGAAGTTATTTCTCTTGGCCTCGACAATGTCCACAAAGGAAGCACTTCTATAGGAAAATAATCACAATCTTTTAGCAAACTATATCCACCCTCTCTAAACATTTTTCTTTGCATCAATGTGTGATTAAAGGAGGAACCAAGTGGCTCAACAAACTGCCATAGTGAGAAGTGTGCATTTAACCTGGGGATTCCCAAAGCTCCTTTTCCTGCTCAGTGTTTCCATCTTCTTGGTGCTATTATTTTCCTCAAATACACATGCACAAATATCTGTTCACAGACATGCATGCACACACTGCAAAGCCTATCTTTTCATCTTTACACCCTGGCAGTTTTAGAGTGAAGGTTGTTATCGCTTTTGTCCTTAAGCTGTGTATGTTCTTTCAATTGAAAAGATACAATCTTGGCCAGGCACAGTGGCTCACACCTATAATCCCAGCACTTTAGGAGGCCAAGGTGGGCAGATCACCTGAGGGCAGGAGTTTGAGACCAGCCTGGCCAACATGGTGAAACCCTGTCTCTACCAAAACTACAAAAAAAAAAAAAAAAATTAACCAGATGTGGTAGCAGGTGCCTGTAGTCCCAGCTACTGGGGAGGCTGAGGCAGGAGAATCACTTGAACCCAAGAAGCAGAGGTTGCAGTAAGCCAAGATGGCACCACTGCACTCCAGCCTGGGCAACAGATGAAGACTCCGTTTCCAGAAAAAAAAAAAAAAAAGGAAAGAAAAAATACAATCTTATGAAAGAAAAAAAAAAAGCTGTACAGAATAGGAATCACTATACTTGCCATTAAAGATTTCAAATCAAAGGTTTAAGCCCTAATATGGTTTGGTTGTGTCCACACCCAAATCTCAACTTGAATTGTGTCTCCCAGAATTCCCACATGTTGTGGGAGGGACCCAGAGGGAGGTAGTTGAATTGTGGGGGCCGGTCTTTCCCGTGCTATTTTCATGATAGTGAGTAAGTCTCACAAGATCTGATGAGTTTATCAGGGGTTTCCGCTTTTGCTTCTTCCTCATTTTTCCCTTGCCACCGCCATGTAAGAAGTGCCTTTCGTCTCCCGCCATGATTCTGAGGCCTCCCCAGCCATGTGGAACTTTAAGTCCAAATAAACTCTTTTTGTTCCCAGTTTCAGGTATGTCTTTCTCAGCAGTGTTAAAATGAACTAATACAGTAAGTTGGTACCGGGAGTTGGGCATTGCTGAAAAGATACTCGAAATTGTGGAAGCAACTTTGGAACTGGGTAACAGGCAGAGACTGGAACAGTTTGGAGGGCTCAGAAGAAGACAGGAACATTTGGGAAAGTTTGGAACTTTCTAGAGACTTGTTGAATGGCTTTGCCCAAAATGCTGATAGTGATATGGACAATAAAGTGGTCTCCAGGCTGAGGTGGTCTCAGATGGAGATGAGGAACTTGTTGGAAACTGGAGTAAAGGTGACTCTTGTTATGTTTTAGCAAACAGACTGGCATCATTTTGCCCCTGCCCTAGAGATTTGTGGAACTTTAAACTTGAGAAAGACGTTTGAGGGTATCTGGCAGAAGAAATTTCTAAGCAGCAAAGCATTCAAGAGGTGATTTGGGTACTGTTAAAGGCATTCAGTTTTGTAAGGGAAGGAGAGCATAAAAGTTTAGAAAATTTGCAGTCTGACGATGCAATAGAAAAGAAAAACCCATTTTTTGAGGAGAAATTCAAGCTGGCTTCAGAAATTTGCATAAACAGCAAGGAGCCTAATGTTAATCCCCAAGACCATGGGGAAAATGTCTCCAGGCCATTTCAGAGACCTTCACGACAGCCCCTCCCATCACAGGCCCAGAGGCCCAGGGGGAAAAAGCGGTTTTGTGGGCTGGCGCCAGGGTCCCCATGCTGTGTGCAGCCTAGGGATTTGGTGCCATGTCCCACTGCTCCAGCTGTGGCTGAAAGGGGCCAACGTACAGCTCAGGCTGTGGTTTCAGAGGGTGAAAGCCCCAAGCCTTGGCAGCTTCCATGTGCTGTTGAGCCTGCAGGTGCACAGAAGTCAAGAATTGAGGTTTGGGAACTTCCACCTAGATTTCAGAAGATGTATGGAAACACCTGGATGCTCAGGCAAAAGTTTGCTGCAGGTGCAGGGCCCTCATGGAGAACATCTGCTAGAGCAGTGCAGAAGAGAAATGTGGGATCAGAGCCCCCACACAGAGTCCCTACTGGGGCACTGCCTAGTGGAGCTGTGAGAAGAGGGCCACCGTCCTCCAGACCCTGGAATGGTAGATCCACTGGCAGCTTGCAGCGTTCACCTGGAAAAGCCACAGACACTCAACGCCAGCCCGTGAAAGCAACCAGGAGGGAGGCTATAGCCTGCAAAGCCACAGGGGCAGAGCTGCCCAAGACCGTGGGAACTCACCTTTTGCATCAGTGTGACCTGGATGTGAGACCTGGAGTCAAAGGCAGTCATTTTGGAGCTTTAAAATTTGACTGCCCAGCTGGATTTCAGACTCGCATGGGCCCTGTAACCCCTTTGTTTTGCTCAATTTCTCCCATTTGGAATGGCTGTATTTACCCAATGCCTGTATCCCCATCGTATCTAGGAAGTAACTAGCTTGCTTTTGATTTTACAAGCTCATAGGTGGAAGGGACTTGTCTTGCCTCAGATGAAACTTTGGACTATGAACTTTTAGGTTAATGCTGAAATGAGTTAAGACTTTAGGGGACTGTTGGGAAGGCATGATTTGTTTTGAAATGTGAGGACATGAGATTTGGAGGGGCCATGGTCTTCCGGAATGATATGGTTTGGCTGAGTCCCCACCCAAATCTCAACTTGAATTGTATCTCTCAGAATTCCCACGTGTTGTGGAAGTGACCCAGGGGGAGGTAATTGAATCATGGGGACTAGTCTTTCTTGTACTATTCTTTTGAAAGTGAATAAGTCTCATGAAATCTGATGGGGTTATCAGGGGTTTCCGTTTTTGCTTCTTCCTCATTTTTCTTTTGCCACCGCCATGTAAGGAGTGCCTTTCGCCTCCCACCATGATTCTGAAGCCTTGTGGCCTCTACAGCCGTGTGGAGCTATAAGTCCAATTAAACCTCTTTTTGTTCCCAGTTTGGGAACAAAGATCTTGTCCCCAAGATGATCGCTGTTTCTTCTGCCCAGAAAAGCTGCACTTTTTTCTGTTCAACTGATTTTATATGCAAGGTACATAGTGGCCATCTCCATCCTTCCTACTTATAGGCAAAGGAAGTTGAAACCCTAAGTTCAAAACTCAAGCCTTAAGTTTGTTTCTTCACCTTTACAAGTTGTTTTTTCTGTTATTTAAAATCAACTGCTCCTTTGGGAAAGAAGTTCTCCATTCAAAAAAAGAAGACAGGCATGGAGCTGAAATCAACTCATGCAAAATAAAGTCACTTTAAAGCAAAAGAAGCAGCTCTTTTGGAATTAACAGTTACAGCTTCCAATATCTGAAGAAAGTAACACTCAGCATTGAATGAATCTATAAAAATTCCCCTGAAATGTGTAACACAGCCAGCATGCAGGGAGCACTTGGGGCAAGGTCTTTGCACCCATCCCCTCCGTGATCTTATTGCAGTAGGTAGTCGGGCAGACATGAGCAGGGCAGAAGAGGGCCCCATCACACCAGGAATGTCAGGCAACCATGAGTTGATGGCCAGGCGGTTGTTAAGCACTAAAATAATAATTGGTCACAGCTAGCGCCAGGGAAAGGCAGTCTCCCAGTAGAAAGAAAAAACCTGAAACTGGTAATCAGCAGCTTCTGGAGAAGATCTCAGGAGTTGGACGAGTGGGCTCAAGCATGCGCACTAGAAGGCAAAATGGCGGTGTTAAGTGGCACATGATCTTCCTCTAGGAACACTTGGCTGGTAAGGGAAGAATGCCTCAAGTGAGCATGCATACAACTCCAGTAAACACTGTACACGCAGCCCCTCCCAAGTGCTGGCAGGTCACAGCACAGGTGGACAGCCCACCCCAAGGGAAGAATAAGGAAAGAAGAGAAGCAAGACACCAGAAGCAAGCCAGCATGTGAAACCCCAAGTCAAAAGTCAAACAGTGCTCTTGTCTCTCCCACTTGGCCCTCTTCCAAGGACACTTCACTTCCTTTCATTCTTCCCCTAAAAATTTTTCATAAGCTTTCACTCCTACTCTAAGACTTGCCTCGGTCTCTCCCTCTGCCTTATGTCCTTCCGTCAAATTCTTTCTTCTGAGGAAGCAAGAATTGAGTTTGCTGCAGACCCATAAGGATTCACTGCTGCTAACAATCTCTAATAATTATGAAGTAGACATTATCATATTCATTTTACAGGTGAGAAAACTGAGGCATTACAAAAGTTGTATGACTTGCCATAACTTGTCAAAGATCACCATGCTAGGAAGTAACAGAGCCAGAAATCAAAATTGAAGCTTGTCAGATCCTAAAATCCATGCTCATAACTGCTACACTATAATGTTTGCCAGTGCTTTGGCATGACCAGTGTAGGAGACCACAACCTGCCCCCACCAAAATATGCCTTTTGGGCATAAGGATTATTTTGAGAAACTGCTGACACAGAAGAAGCCCTGAGAACACAGAGGCAGTTACCCTTTTGTAAGGGAAATTTACTTCTGTAAAGGAGCCCTCCATTTATGAGGGTGCCTCCCCCTCTGTACCAGGAAGACAAGGATGACTCAAATCTGCACAACAAACCTTACCCTTTTTGACTGCTTTTCCTGGTTACCTCCCCACACCTGCCAGCAACACCTTTCTTTGTGACAGCTGAAGATGGTATTAAATATTTAAGCCTGAATTCAAAGTCTCCTCCTTGAGACTGACTCATCTCTCTGGGTATCTATCACATACACAGGAGGCATGCATGTTAATAAACTTCCGTTTGTCTTTCTCTTGTTAATCTGTCTTTTGTTACAGGAGTCCATCCCAAATAATAACTGTGAAGAGCAGAGGGAAACTAAAATTTTCCTCCTCTACACCACAGAAACTTGGAAATAGACTTTAACCAAATTGTTTGTGCTTAAAGTATATGTAGGAATCAGAAAGATCAGAATCAAAACAAAAAACAATGGCTTTTGTCATACGGTGATCCCCCTTATCCAAAGGGGATATGTTCCAAAACACCCAGTGGATACTTGAAACCTTGGATAGTACTGAACCCTGTATATTCTGTTTTCTCCTATCTATACATACCTGTGATAGTTTAATTTATAAGTTAGGCACAAGAGATTAACAACAATTACTCATAAAAAAATAAAGCAATTATAACAATATACTGCAATAAAATTTATGCGAATGCAGTCTCTCTCTCTCTCTCTCTCAAAATATCTTTTTTTTTTTTAAGAGAGACAGGGTCTTGCTCTGTTGCCCAGGCTGGAGCGCAGTCCTGCGATCATAGTTCACTGACGCCTTGACTTTCTGAGCTCCAGTGATCATCCCACCTCGGTTTTCCGAGTAGCTGGGACTACAAGAATGCATCATCACACCCAGCTAATTTTTTAAAATTTATTTTTTGTGGAGAAATTTCACTATGTTGCCCTGCTGGTCTCAAACTCCTATACTCAAGCAATCCTCCCACCTCAGCCTCCCAAAGTGCTGGGATTGCAGGCATGAGCCATTGTGCCCACCCTCAAAATATCTTACTGCGCTACACTCACCCATTTTCAGACCTCCATTTATTGCAGGTAACAGAAACCATGGAAAGTGAAACCACAAATAAGGGAGGACTACTCCAATGAAGAGTGAGATAAGAATAATGGAAAGTGAGATTGAAGCTGCCTTTGCAAAACGATGACTGAGCCAGTGAAAGAGATCTAACTTAACGGGCCTCATCTTGCTTCTCACCTCCAAGCTGTCCTTGTTCATTCCTGGGCATAGGCTGAACTAACTTTGGGAGAAACTTAGTTTACAGTTTATAGTTTATAGTTTAAACAAAGATGGCAACAGCCCTTTCCCAAAGCAGACCTCCTTCTTGCCTGGGGACTAGATTGCCTTTGTAGGACCAACATTAGCCACAAAATTAGAAATTAAGGTTTAGGAGTCATGCAGCTGGAGGCTACAAGATTCTGACCCTCCCCAAACTGCTCCTACGATCAGGGCTTGAGATACTTTGCAGACCCTGCACTGGATGGATCAGCTGGCACCACCCAGATCGATCAACTGGCTCACCTTATCTTGTGGCTCCCACTCAGGAACTGACTCAGCGCCAGAAGACAGCTCCGACGCCTTGTGATTTCCTCCCTGACCAATCAGCATTCCTAGTTCACTGGCTTCCCCCCGCCCACCAAGTTATCCTTAAAAATTCTGCTCCCCGAATGCTCGGGGAGACTGATTTGAGTAATAATAAAGCTCTGGTCTCCCGCACAGCCGGCTCTCTGTGAATTACTCTTTCTCTATTGCAATTCCCCTGTCTTGATGAATCGGCTCTCTAGGCAGTGGGCAAGGTGAACCCCTTGGGTGGTTACAAATTAAGAATGTGATTGGCCTGTTGCCTGTACATTTCTGTTTTGAAAATAACTTTTAGCCAAGAGGTCAATAGCCAACTATTTAACAATTTGGTGTCATGGGACCAAGCAGTGAGAATGGACGGTGGCCAGGGCATTGGCACAGGGTCCAGAGGCCCCCTGCGGAGATGGGTGCCAACGCTTTCATTGCTGGAGCATAAGATGTTGGAGAGGAGAGAGCTCTAGGGGAGGAGCCAGGGCAGCCTGCTGTTTACCTACAGAAACAAAAGCATTTCAATATTGTGGGAATCACTGTGGACAAACCAGAGCATCCCAGCTGTGCATCGACCCCATTTCCAGTCCACCCTGCCATATCTATGGTGTTGGGTGCCACACAGCACTCTGTTCACAACTCTCTTCTACAGGCCTCCCCACCTGGAGGAGATGAATTGATAGGAAATTGTAAAGAACGCTGAACCCCTCAAAGTTCCTTTTCAACAAGAGTCCCATCGCTCAAGAAAAGGCCTCCAGAAAAGCCCATAGATTTTGTGGAAGTGTTGTTTATTGTGAGTCAACAACACATAAAAAGCTAGAAAATTCGTCTAAATTTCCACAGGTGACAATTAATTAGTGGCTTACCAGCAAAAGGTTGATAACAAGGAAAATTCAGGTGAATCTTTAAAAATTCAGCTGACAATGCTCCTTTATTTATTTATTTATTTTTTTTTTTTTTGAGATGCAGTCTCCCTCTGTCACCCAGCCTGGAGTGCAGTGACATGATCTTGGCTCACTGCAACCTCTGCCTCCTGGATTCAAGCGATTCTCCTGCCTCAGCCTCCCGAGTAGCTGGGATTACAGGTGTCCAACACCATGCCCAGCTAAATGCTCTTATTTTCAACAGTAAATGATACGACAGAATGGACAATGTCCCAGAGTTAAAGACTGACTCCTAAACTTCACTGTAGCAGGACCTGACCTACTTCAATGGCCAGAAAGGCTCTGCTGAGCCCACAGAGGCTCTCGGGAGAATTTACGGACTCTCCCACATGTTAAATCAACTTAGCTGATTCAACAGGCAGCCAAAAATAATACTAAGAAATAAACCTGGCCTTTGGAGTCCAACAGAGGGTTTGAATCCTAGCTCTATTAACTTATTAGCTGTGTGCTCCTAGGCAGGCTACTTAACTTTTCCAAGCCTCTAACTCTCCAGTTAGAAATAAAATTCTGGACTGGGCACAGTGAGTCATGCCTGTAATTCCAGCATTTTGAGATGCTAAGGCAGGAAGATTGTTGAGTCCAGGAGTTTGAGAACAGCCTGGTCTCGAACATAGTAAGACCTCCATCTCTGTAAAAATAAAAAAATTAGCCAGGCATGGTGGTGCACACCTGTAGTCCCAGCTACTTGGGAGGCTGAGGTGGGAGGATTGCTTGAGCCCTGGAGGTTGACACTGCAGTGAACCATGATCATGCCACTGCACTTCAGCCTGCTCAACAGAGTGAGACGCTATCTCAAAAAAAAAAAAAAAAGAGAGAAAGAAAGAAAATTCTGTAAAAATAACACATTGTATGGTTGTTGAAAAAACTAAATATGACAATATATAAAAAATCCTTTAAAAAGTAGCTGGCAATTAGTAAACATTTACTAAATATTCCTTCCCTTTTCTTACCAAGAAGTTCATTTAACACTGGCTCAATGCAGTGCGCTCTGGATCACAAAAATGAAAGAGACATGGATTCTATTTTCAGAAACCTATCATCTCAAGTTTTACTTGACATCTACTGAGGAGAAATAAAAACATTCATACTCAAAAAGACTTATCCACAAATGTCTGTGGCAGCTTTATTCAAAATACCCCAAAACTGGCAATGACTCAAATGTCGAGTGTGAGTAAACAAACTGGTAATGCCACACTCAGCAAGAAGGAACAAATTTATGTATATAAAAAATAAAAATAAAAAACTAAAATTTAAATTTAAAAATTAAATTCATTCAATTAAAAATAAATAAAATTAAAATAAATAAAATAAAAAATAAAAAATTTAAAATGTAAGTTTTTTAAAAAAATCTTAAAAATAAATGAATAACATAAAAAATAAATTTAAAAGAAGGAACAAACTACTGATATTAACGACATTACAGGTGAGTCTCAAACACATGTGGAGGAAGAGAACCCAGGCACAAAAAGAGGAAATAGCTGTTGTACTCATTCCCATGCAGTTCCAGGAAAGGAAAATCTAATCCGTAATGTCAGAAAACAGCAGCGGTAGCCTGGGGTCCTGTGGAAGGGAGGGATTAGCTGCACAGGAGAAGAGAGCTTTACAGCATGACAGGAATAATCTGTGTCTTGACAGGGGCATTGGTTATACACACTTGTCAGAACTCATCAAACCGTGCACTCAAAAAGGGTGCATATTGCTGGATGAATTAAACCTCAATAAAATGTATTTTCTAAAAATCCTGCAATCTAGTACAGGGCTTTCAACCCGAGCTCTGAATTTAGTCCCCTTGGGGTTCAAGGTCTCTGTAACTACAGTCAGAGCAGCTCTCTTTCCATCTGATTTTTTATGCTAGGGACCCATTTGAACAGAATCCTATGGCTTTAAAAAATTAAAAACTAGGCCGGGTGTGGTGGCTCACACCTGTAATCCCAGCACTTTGGGAGGCCAAGGCGGGCAGATCACCTGAGGTCAGGAGTTCGAGACCAGCCTGGCCAACATGGTGAAACCCATCTCTACTAAAAATAAAAAATTAGCCGGACTTGGTGGCACGTGCCTGTAGTCCCAGCTACTTGGGAGGCTGAGGCAGGAGAATTGCTTGAACCCGGGAGGTGGAGGTTGCAGTGAGCCGAGATCGGGCCACTGCACTCCAGCCTGGGCAACAGTGTGAGACTCCGTCTCAAAAAAAAAAAAAAATTAAAAACTACTGGACTGAAGGAGAGCTCTGACTTACATGAAAATGATTTGTATCACGAGAAAGGTTAGTTAAAATGCTCTGAGAGGTCAAGTATGGAGTAGTAAATACTCTCTGATGGCAATAGTGAGTAAAGCTTAATGACAGACGTGACCTCAAGCTGGGTCTTAACCTACAAGTAAGACTCAGGCATGTGGACATAGTCGGACGAATAAGCAAAGACTTGGATAGCATGGATAAGAACATGCTACATGTACATGAAGTTCTGATGATTGTGTAGAAAAATAATGGCAAGATACGTTACAATGATATTAATGGCTATTTCTGGGCACAGAGATTATAAATTATTTTATGTTTATTTTTTACTTATCTATATCTTCTTTAAAAAATATGAACATATGTTGCTTTTGTAACAAGAAAAAAGTTTTTAAGACAGTGCCAGGGCACAATGGCTGAAAGGCTGAAAGATTAGATATTGGCATCAAGATGAAAATTGCTTTGGAATCAAGATGAGTTAAATCTTTGACTTTTTTTTTTTTTTTTTTTTTTTTGAGACGGAGTCACACTGTGTCGCCCAGGCTGGAGTGCAGTGGCACGATCTCAGCTCACTGCAACTTCCGCCTCCCGGGTTCAAGCGATTCCCCTGCCTCAACCCCCAAAGTAGCTGGGATTACAGGCACGCAACACCACGACCAGCTAATTTTTGTATTTTAGTAGAGACAAGTACCTGCAGGACATCCACATGGAGACATCCTGCAGGTGCTTTGAATTCTGGGTGTAGTCAGTACATTTTGGGGTGCTTTCTCAGCCTGTACCCTAAAAAACTACCCTCAGCGCTCGCACACAAGTGGGTCTTCTCAGCCTTGTTTGCTCTTTATGATCGTATCTCCAGAACTCTCATCTTGCAAAACTAAAACTCTATACACATTAAACTATAATGACCCCTTGCAACAACCATTCCACTCGCTGTCTCCATTTGATGACTCATACAACGTACTGTATGATTCCACTTATCATACAGCACTCATCCTGTTGTAACGGGCTTATTTCACTTAGTGTGTTCTCAAGGTTCATTCATATTGTAGCATGTGACAGAGCTTCCTTTCTTTTGAACGTTTGAATAATAGTCTGTTGTATGGGCATTCCACATTGTGTTTATCCATTCATCCATTGATGGACATCTGTGTTGGTGCCACCTTTTGGCTATTGTGAATAATGTTGCTTAGAACACAGGTGTACAAATGCCTCTTCAGGACTCTGCTTTCCATTCTTTTGGGCATATACCCAGAACTGGAATTGCTGGATCATACGATAATTCTATTTTTAATTTTTTGAGGAATCTCCTTACCACTGTCCGTAGCAGCTGCACCATTTAACATTCTCACTAACAGTTCTCCACACCCTCACTAACACTTGTTATTTTCTGGGTTTTTTATAGTAGCCATTCTAAATGATGTGCAGGGGTAAGCATCCTTTTTTAAAGGTGGCTTGAGGGAGGCCCCAACCTTTGCAACCAATAGCCTCGCTAACACAGGACTTGAGAATCATCAGGATCTATAGCAAAACCATGAAAATGAAAGAAATTGCCAAAGAAGAAAGAATCAATGGAGAAGAATAGAGAGCCACGGACTGGTCCTTCAGAAATTTTCCTATTTAAAGGGTGAAAAGTGAAAGGAAAGGCAGAGATGGAGGGAGAGGTAGGAACGGAAAGAATCACAGAAGCCAAGCACGTCAGTGTCCTGGGATGTCCTGACAAAGCACCACAGATGGATGGCTTAAGACAAAGAAATTTACTCTCTGACAGTTCTAGAGGCCAGAAGTCTGAAATCAAAGGAGTCAGCAGGGCCACGCCCCCTCTGAGGCTCTGCTTAGAATCCTCTTTGCCTCTTCCTGGCTTCTGCTGGCAGCTGCCAATCCTTCCCGCCCCGTGTTTTGCAGCCTCATTCCTCTGATCTCTGCCTGTGTCGTTACAGGGCGTTCTCCCTAAGTGTCTCTGTCTTCACATGGGGTTTCCTCTCGTTAGAAGGTCACCAGTCATTGGTTAGGGCCAACCCCACTCCAGGGTCAGCTCATCTTTTTTTTTTTTTTTTTGCAATGGAGTCCCGCTCTGTCGCCCAGGCTGGAGTGCAATGGCGCGGTCTCGGTTCACTGCAACCTCCAACTCCCGGGTTCAAGCAATTCTCCTGCCTGAGCCTCCAGAGTGGCTGGGATTACAGCTCTCAAACTCCTGGCCTCATGTGATCTGCCCACCTCAGCCTCCCAAAGTGCTGGGATTACGGGCGTGAGCCACCGAGCCCGGCCGAGTCAGTTCATCTTAACTTGATTACGTCTGCAAAGACTGAGCATGGGCCACAGGGCACGGAGACACGAAGGAGAATGTGTGGCATTCACAGTCCTTTAAAATCGTTCACTAGATCTTCTGTGTCTAAATTTTCACACAGAACCACAGAAACACCAAACTATTTGCCAGTTTGGCCAAATCCTTCATGAAGGAGGGTTTCTGTGAAAACTCTTTCCTAATTATAGGCATTAAATCTTCATGCTATAAAAAATGATTTCAGCCGGGCATGGTGGCTAACGCCTATACTCCTAGCACTTTGGGAGGCTAGCAGATTACTAGAGCTCAGGAGTCGAGACCAGCCTGAGCAACACAGTGAGACCTCGTCTCATTTATTTTTTAAAATTTAATAAAGGGCTTGACGTGGTGGCTCACACCTGTAATCCCAGCACTTTGGAAGGCTGAGGTGGGCAGATCACATGAGGCCAGGAGTTTGAGACCAGCCTAACCAACATGGTGAAACCCTGTCTCTACTAAAAATACAAAAATTAGCTGGGCGTGGTGGCACATGCCTGTAATTCCAACTACTCAGGAGGCCGAGGCAGGAGAATTACTTGAATCTGGGAGGCAGAGGTTGCAGTGAGCCAAAATCATACCACTGCACTCCAACCTGGGCAACAGAGCAAGACCCTGCGTCAAAAAATAATTAATCAATTAAATTTAATTTTTTAAAAAAGGATTATTTCAACGGACTATTGCTTTATCTCCACAAAGCAATTCTGTGTGGATGGTAAGTTTCCTAGTGACAGTGGTAAAGAATGTCATCAGTACATTAAAAACCAGCAGTTTCCAGATCCTACATAGACGGAATCAGAGAATGCTCTTGCAGATGAACAGTGAAGAAAGAGAAAAGGAAAAGAAAACAACAACAAATAAGAGAATACTCCATCAGCAAACGCACGCAAGCGTCACTGGCATCTCATCACAGTCTCTCCTCTCTGCTAGGGTCATACGAATCTGGACACCAGATGCTCATTTTCTTCCCGTGAGATACCATCCTTGGAGAAAGACAGTGAGTGGCCAACTCTGACCCTGTCGTCCCTGCCTCTCAGAGACACAGAGCCTTCTGGAAGGTGGACCTGGCCCCTCCAAGCCTTCAGTCCCTCCACCTCCTCCAGGGAGTCAGCACTCCTGAAGCTCAATAGACACTCAACACACCTCTTCCATTCTCATCAGGTGGCAGGGTCTGCTCTCCTGGCCAGGGGGAAGCCAGTTTCTCTTGCGAACTTTCAATCACTTTGAAAGCACTTCTGAGCCTCTTTTCTGAGTCTGCCACACTTGGAGTCCTCTCTATGAAGTAGAACAAAGTGAATATGAAGGGCAGTTTTGCCCCCACTTCCTTTAAGGACTTGGACTCCAAGGGGTTAGCCTGAGACTCAAGGCTGGAAGCTCCATTGGTGACAACCCTAAGTGAGGTCTGAGTGCTCAGAAGCCTGGGGAGCCCACGTGGCACTGTTCCCTTCCCCTACCAAGAGAGGGCTTTCAGTCCAGCCACACTTTCTCCTGCCATAAAAGGCACCAGTGGACACCATAAGGCCATCAGCCAGTGCTGAGCTGGACAGCGACTCTTGCCTGGGGGCCTCTGGGCTGCAGACGCTCACCTCAGGGAGGCTGGTTCTGCCTCCACCCTCAGGGCACTGGCAGGAGAAATGCCACCGCCATTCAATGCCCAGGATCCTCACAGCCCTCACTTGCAGGGACTTGCCTGGAGGGTTTCTATTGCATCCACTTCCCTCAAAGACCCCTCTAGCTTGCTGGCTCACTCTACTCTTGCCCTGTGGTGAACACCATAGCCTGTAAAGTCTGGTGCCAAGAGCCCTCGGTTCTGGTTAGTCAGGGACAGCGGGAGCACTGTGTCCCTCTCTCCACCACTATCAACCTTCCAAGGGGCCACTTCACTCAGTTTCACAGAACTGAAAGTGCTGGTAAGTTTCTGACTTTCCTGGGACGCCTTGGCTCAGCCGGATAGGAGAGGGGCACTGGTTTTGTGTCACTTGATCTTGAAGACATCACTCTCTTTGCAGGACCTGGGCTCATTACCTCCATTGCCAACCTTCTGGTGTCTCTCTTCTGCTCTCAAGCTTTCATCTGCTGCCCGGAGGATGCATGGCTGTCGTCTCCACCTGAGAGGGACCCAGGGACAGAGGCCAGACACGCAGGTGGCCAGGTTCCAGCTCCTCACCTCAGCTCTCAGACTTATGTCTACCTTTTCCCAACTAAACCCAGGGTCCTCCAGCACCCACATCCTTGGCTGTTGCTCAACTCATTTCCGGGCTGTTTGCACAGAAGCCTGAATTCTCCAGTCTGGGGTCAGCACAGTTTTCCTGCTGCTGTTCCGCCTCCGTTTCCTCATTGCTGCAGCAGCTGTTTTCTTTGTCTTCCTTCTTTGTCTTCTTGAAGCTCCTTGTTAAAACTTACTCGTTAACTTAATAAGCCCAGGCACAATGGCTGACTGGTGTCAGGAGAAAACGCCCAAATCATTGTTTGCTGTTGCACAGACATGTGGGTACCTCCTTCACCACCTCCCACTTGGGCCGGGATGGACTGCATGCCCACAGACACCCACACAGGGCTGACTTCAGCCTGCTTTTGTCATCAGTGCCTGATTTATGGACAAGGAAGTCCTTGGAAAAGCACTGTTGCCGGCTGGGCTGAGGGACCTGTGACCTTTCAGGTTGCAGGCACTTCACCTCTATTTGTGGTCACCAGAAGGGACTGCCGTGTGCATCTGAGCTTCGGAGGCAGCAGGGTCCAAACATTTTGGAGTCAGGGACACACTAGACCCTCCCAGCTTTGCAACAGGAAGGAGCTGCGAGCTTTGGGATTCTTTGGGGAAACTGGTTTGTGTTTGCTGATCTCTGTACTGGTGCCCTGGCCAAGAGCCAGAATGCTGGAGTTCACTGTGCTTTGTAAGGTAAATGAATCCAAGGTCATTGATTGCTTTATCTTCTTCTGATCCCCACCCCCAGATCTTGTTTCTGGAGCTCCATTCTCCCACCCATGCTTCCTGTGACAGCCTGCAGCCCCAGGTCGCTGGAGGACATGCTCAGCAGACTCTGTGGTTGCAGAGCTGTGCTCTCATCAGACCCACTCAGATTTAAGTCATTGTTGTCCGTACCTGTATCTGGCAGCTGTGATTCTGATTTCACAGGGATGAAAATCAAACAAAATACAGTCTTGTTTTTTGTTTGGTTTTCATTTACTTCTTTGAACTTTTCTTGGTCCGAATCCCAGTTTCAAACTTTTTGAGTTTGGTTTGAGTTTCATGAGTGCCCTCGCCCTGTGGGCTTGGGGAAGAAACTTGGCTTTCTGCGTGTCTGTGAGGGCTGCCCCTCACGTCAGGCTGCCATCCTCTCATGACACAGCTGTCTCTTTGGTCAGGAAAGCCACCATTTTCTCTATTTCTGGGAAGCTGGACCCATGGCCACAAGGGGCTAGGATCAGCCAAGGCCGGGCCTCTCTTATTCCCTGACAAGGCTATCAGGCTCTGTGGATTCCAAATGGCACCATCAGCATTTTTCCATGAGCTGGCTCTTGGTCAGTGACAGGACTGGAGTTATAAGATTCATCACCAAACCTTGTGTCCTCAAAGAAACCCTGGGGTTGAGCTGGTTTGATATGTCATATCCTTGGGTCATCAAAGGGAATGTACTGAATGAAGCTGTCATGGGCAGTGGCAGATTGGAGGTGTGGAGGGAGCCCTGAGGTAAGAGGGTGTTTGCAGGGCCCAGTTCCAAGGGGGCCACAAGGAAGCCGACCACCAGCCCGGCCTTCTCAGTTGGAGGCTGCTGCTGACCGTGAATGCCACATATGAGTGAGCACTGTGTCTTCCAAGTAGGGGCTTGGGATGTGCTGGGGGGTGACCTGTGTGATGGTGGAGGTACCTACTGGAGGCTCCAATCCAAAGTCAGACATGCAGAGCTCATGCCTGGGGACTTATGGATCCGCTGCTGGCTGTCCTGATAGTCACCACTTTCTACTCCCTATGGGACTGGTGGTGCAAGCCGTCAGATGGGGGCTTGAGGGGTCTCCCAAACTTAGGCTGAGGAAAAGAGGCCAAGGAGCCACCCTTCTCAGGGTCACTTGTGAATTTCAAATTTGTTGCATAATTGGGAGAATACTGTGACATTTTAGGTAAATGTCTGTCATTTAATGGAATGGAAATTTCTGTGCAATTCAGGCTGTGGGTCGGAGGGCTATGGGGGTGGGAGAGGGGAGAGTTCTAGGCAATAATTGGGATTTCTCTTTGTTTTGAGAATTCGACACGTGTTCTCCTTGAATGAACAGTAACAGATCTTGAAATAATTTCTTCCCATCACCATCAGACACCCGCCACCTGAATTTCCTTGGCTGGTTGCAGACGTTCAGCCACTTGGCAGGACCCAACATTCTCAATTCTTCTTCCCAAGCTGCCTTCTTATTTATCTATTTATTTGAGACCGAGTTTCTCTCTGTTGCCCAGGCTGAGTGCAGTGGTGTGTTCTCAGCTCAAACCCCTGCCTTCTGAGTTCAAGCGATCCTCCTGCCTCAGTCTCCCAAGTAGCTGGGATTACAGGCTCCCACCACCACACCAGGCTAATTTTTGTACTTTTAGTAGAGACGGGGTTTCATCATGTTGGCCAGGCTGGTCTCGAACTCCTGACCTCAAGTGATCCACCCCTCTCAGCCTCCCAAAGTGCTGGGATTACAGAAGTGAGCCACTGCACCCGGCCCCAAGTTGTCTTATTCGTCACATCCTCTGCCCTTCCTCTGACTTCCTATGGACGCTGCCTCATGTGGACGGGCGGACTGTGGGCTTGGGTCATTCCTGCAGGTCTTCTGGGTCCCTCGGACCCAGCAGGCTGCTGACTTCCCGCGCTCCTCTTCTCCAGTTGGCTTGGTCATTAACAGTCTGGGGTTGGTTGATTATGAAGCCCTGCCTCAGAGGTTCTAGAAGCAGAAGTGCTCTGGGGATCCCCGTGGCCTCTCAGTGTGGCGCGGCAGCTTTCAGAGTCACTCCCACGCCCTTTCCCAGCAGGTGTCTTATGATGTGCAAAGGCCGCAGGGCCATCCTCATGCCTATTCAGCAGGCCACAGACCACTCGCATCCTTGTCTTTGCTGGCTGGCATCCCTCAGGGTTATCCCTGCGTGGTGCTGGGAGGTCTCTCAACAGTTTGTACCCATGAGTGATCAGGAGGTCTTCGGCACTGTACATGGTGCCCAGCCTCATTGAAGCTCCACCACTGGAATGCTGGTGGAGGCAGGACCCAGCTCCCCTGGGCTGTTGGTGTTAGCAAGTGCAGGGACTTCAGCATCCTTCAAGGCAGCAGGCTGGGGGAGCTTTTAAAAAGACTCTAGTTCCTGGGGCCTAACCAGAATCTGACTGAAGAGCCACAAACTGACTGAAGAGCCCTTGGGCCTTAAGTGAACGTTGGCAGGAGCCTGGCAGTACTCCTCGTGGGCCTGTGGCAATAGTGGCCATGTGACTGAGGCTCCTCTGCCTGTTGAAACGGGAGAGACTGTGTCTAATGATTTGAGTGCCAGCTTGGCTGCAGTACAATAGAATACTAGGTAGACTTCTAATGCAATTGGCATACTGAAGAATTCATCAGAGTTTTGTTCTATTTTTTTGAGACAGAGTGTTGCTCTGTCTCCCAGGCTAGAGTGCAGTGCAGTGATCTTGGCTCACTGCAAGCTCCACCTCTCAGGTTCATGCCATTTTCCTGCCTCAGCCTCCTGAGTAGCTGGGACTACAGGTGCCTGCCACCATGCCCAGCTAATTTTTTATATTTTTAGTAGAGATGGGGTTTCACTGTGTTAGCCAGGATGGTCTCGATCTCCTGATCTCGTGATCCGCCCACCTCGGCCTCCCAGAGTACTGGGATTACAGGCGTGAGCCACCATGCCCAGCCTCATCAGAGTTTTTTAATAGCAGAATTGATCAAGCAGAATAAGGAATCAGTGAGCTTGAAGACAGGCTATTTGCAAATACACAGTCAGGTTTTTTTCCAAGATGGCAGATCGGAGGCAGTGTTAGTGTGTCTCTCATATTTGGAAGGAAAGAATACTGTGTAGAGATTCACAATGAATTTTTTTTTTCCAAGAATCAAAGCAGGAACTTAACAAGAAAACCAAAAGAATCCACAGACCTTTGAAAGAAGTGGCAGGCTGCAGCCTACCCTATGAGACAAGTAAGAAACTGTTTAAGTCCCCGGAGTGTGAGAGGGGGAGAGTCTGCCTCCAGAGCACACACACCCACCATGGAATCTGAAAATCCAGGCCATGGGAGAAGGTCTTAACTCTACCCAGAGCTGGAACAGACTCAGGGAGTGACATGAAAGATAAAAGTGGAAGCAGCAGCAGGAAGTGCCTTGCAGGCATTCCCAGTCTCCAGCATGAACTGGGGGAAGCCATTCCTGATTATATCCCACAGGGGTCCTCAGAGAAGTCAGCCAACGAACTCAGGGAGGGGTCACAACTTAAAAGAAGCTTTCAACTGAATTAAGAAGTTTTCAACTGAATTTTATAATATAATCTCAGGTGGGGACAAATTCCCTTGAGCAGAATCTAGGGAGGGGTGAATGGCAAGTGCTCTACAGACACTACCCTCAGGAGCTGGGTACCCAGCCTTGTGGGCAGATGGGGAACAGTGTGACCTGAAAGCCAAGATTGCTATCTGTGCAGGGAAGCTGATGGCCTGGCGCAGCTCTGTGCACAGACTGCCTGGATCTAACCCAGCACTGTTAGCAGAGTACTGCAGGAGTGAGATCAGCCTTGCCAAATGCATGGGAGCTGCATGAGACTTACTGCTACCCACTTTTCCCCACTCCCTTTGCAAACTGTCCTGTGCAGCAGAGGCAGTTATGCTCCTCTCCAGAACATTACCCAAGCAGCATGAAAAAAATTTCCCCAACCCTTGCGGGAGCTGTCACTAACCCTGCTCAAGGAGAGTCAGAGTGCAGACCTGCCTAACCCTGCCCCAACCTGGTTGTGCCCCTCCACCCACTCTAGTAGCTTTACACAAAGGACATAAATTTTGGGGAGTTTTATAGCCTCACCCATTGCCTGAGAAACCAGAATACTTTCCCAGGGCAACTTAGGGCAAGCTCAAATCCCACTGTTACTACCACAGCTAGTGCTCTTTGGCAATCACCACCTCCTGGATGGAGGCCAACCAACACAGTCCATTGTAGCACTTCTGAGTAGAATAACACTGTGCCCAGGAAGGAGAAAACAGTCATGTGACCTCAGCTATCACCTCTGCATACAGCACCCTGGCTAACCAGAGGTCTTGAGTCTATCCACATGACAAGTTCACTACAATTATAACCAGCATTCAAGAAAGCCAACACACTAAGCCTATCTACAACCAAGGAATCTCACAGAATCCACATTGCTCCCCTGCCACCTCCATCAGAGCTGGTGCTGGTATCTACAGATGGGAGACTTGAAGACAGGTCACATTACTGGATCCCTTGTAGACATTTCCTAACACCAGCCTGGAATCTGGTAGCCCCACTGGGTGGCTAGACCCAGGAGAGCAATAACAATCCCTATAGTATGGTTCTCAGGAATTCCCATTTTTAGGGAAGAGGAGGAATACAACATCAAAGGGAAGAATACCCAGATGAAAGAATCTAAACAGCAGGTCTTGAGTCCCAGATCTATCCACTAATGGGAAGTTTCAGAGATACAATTGCATTGCTAGGGACAGTAGGGAAAGTCTGCCCCAGTAGGCAGGCAGCCTGTCTGTACATGAAGGGTCTTGGAAAAGGGGTTCTTGTTCTTCTCTGGTACACCATTGCAGACACAGCTGGTGCTTCTCTCATGGGTATGCAGCATGGATGCACCTATGGTCAGCCTTCTGGTACAATTCAGGGTGATAGCATCCCCACAGGAGGAGCACTCCTCAGATTTAGGCTTGCGTGGGAGGCAGAGTCACAACCCCTCTCTACTTGGAACATCAACATTCCTACAGATGAAAAGAAGTGCTTGTCTGATCTGAATAGCCAGAACACTGGGACAGGAGTGAAGCTGGGAGGTAAGTAGTTTTCCTGCTGGCCTGGCAGGGGAGCTGAGGTAGCTCCCACCCTTTACCCTGATAAAACCTTAGACATCTAATTGAGAGCTCCCTCAGACACCTTCATCAAGGCTGGAACCTGCGCCCACCACTGGGTATTACAGCTACCTACCTGTTTTAGCTACAACTGGTGTCTACCCAGGGTTACCTCCTCTACTGGCCTGAAGCCTAAATCATCAACTCAGTAAATAAAATGCTGGGGAAAAATCAAATACATTTAAAAACTGTTCACAATGGGAGAATGAGATAAGCTTCAAGAGATCCTTGCTATTCCAACCATGTAGGAGACAGTGAACTTGCCCATACACCAAGTACATAAATACTACAGCCAACATCTGGGAAAGCCAGCACACAAAGACTCTCTATAACTAAGGAACTCATACGGAGTCTTCCCCCCTAAAATCACCAAGAATCAAATTAGGCTATAATAAACTATAAACATTGAAGTCAGACCCTTAAGAGAAAAAAAAAAAGAAATTAAAGAAAAAAATACAGTCAAATACATTCAAGAACAATTTGAAAAAATAGTCTACCCAAATGAGAAAGAACCAGAGAATTAATTCTGGTAATATGACAGAATAGGGTTCAATAACACCCCAAAAGATCACACTAGCTCCCTAGCAATGAATTCAAACCAATCTAAAATCCTTGAAATAGCAGACACAGAATTCAGAAGATTGATTATTAAGCTACTCAAGGAGATACCAGAGAAAGGTGAAAAACAAAATAAAGGAATTTTTTAAAATTCAGGATATGAATGAAAAATTTTCCAGAAAGATGGGTATCATAAAGAAAAACCAATTAGAACTCCTGGAAATTAAAGACACACTTAGGGAAATACAAAATGCAGTGAAAAGTTTTAAGAATAGACTAGAACAAGTAGAAGAAAGAATTTCAGAGCCTGAAGACAAGGCTTTTGAATTAACCCAATCAGAATCAAAATAAATGAACAAAATCTCCAAGAAATATGGGATTATGTAAAATGGCCATACCTAGTATAACTGGTGAAGGAACTCAAACAAATCATCAAGAAAAGAACAAATAACCCATCAAAAAGTGGGAAAGGACATGAATAGACATTTCTCAAAAGAAGACAAACAGCCAACAAACATACAAAAAAAATGCTCAACATCACGAATGCAGGGAAATGCAAGTTAAAACCACAATGAGATGCTACATTACTGCTGCAAGAATGGCCATAATGAAAAAGTCAAAAAACAATAGATGTTGGTATAGATATGGTGAACACTTTTACACCACCAGTAGGAATGTAAAATAGTGCAATCACTATGGAAAACTGAATGGAGATTCTTAAAAGAATCTCCAGACTACATACATAGAACTACCATTTGACCCAGCAATCCCACTACTGGGTATCTACCCAAAGGAAAAGAACTTATTGTATGAAATGGACACATGCGCATGCATGTTTATAGCAGCACAATTCACAATTGCAAAGATATAGAACTAACCTAAGTGCCCATCAACCAACAAGTGGATAAAGAAAATGTGGTATATATACAACCACGGAACACTACTCATCCATAAAAAGGAATGAAATAATGTCATTTGCAGCAAACTTAGATGGAGCTGGAGGCCATTATTCTAAGTGAAGTAACTCGGGAATCAAAAACCAAATATCATGTGTTCTCACTTATAAGGGAGCACTAAGCTGTGAGGACACAAAGGCATAACAATGATATAATGAAATTTAAGGGATTGAGGGGATGTTTGGGAGGGGGTTGAGGGATAAAAGCCTACATATTAGGTACACTGCTTGGGTGACAGGTGCACTAGAATCTCACAAATCACCACTAAAGAACGTATCTATGTAAACAAAAACTACCTGTACCCCAAAAATTATTGAAACAAAAAGTGCATCAAAAATAAGAAAATACACAGAGAAGAAAAAAGAATAAAGAACAATGAAGCAATCCTACAGGATCTAGAAAGTAGCCTAAAGGGGTAAACCTAATAGTTATTAGCCTTAAAGAGGAGGTAGAGAAAAAGGTAGGGACAGAAAGTTTATTCAAAGGGAAGGTAACAGAGTTTCCCATACCTAGAGAAAGGTATCAATATCCAAGTACAAGGCAGTTATAGAACACTAAGCAGATTTAACCCAAAGAAGACTACCTCGAGGCATTTATAGTCAAATTCCCAAAGGTCAAGGATAAAGAAAAGATCTTAAAAGCAGCAAGATAAAAGAAACAAATAACGTACAATGGACCTCCAACAGACTTTTCAGTAGAAACCTTACAAGCCAGGAGAAAGTGACATGGCATATTTGAAGTGCTGAAGGGAAAATACTTACCCCAGAATAGTACATGCAGTGGAAATATCCTTCAAACATGAAGGAGAAATAAAAACTTTCCCAAAAAAACAAAATGCATGCTTGTACCAAAATATCTCATATAACCCATAAATATATACACCTATGTACCCACAAAATTTTTAATTTAAAATTAAAAATAATTTTTTAAAAAGCAGGGACTACAGAGAAACCTGACCTGCTACAAAACGAACTAAAATTCATGTCATGGGATTAAGACGCACTCATTAAACCATCCTCAACTAGAAGGAGTTGTTCTCTCAGCTAAAAATACCATGTGGGGCTGGTTGCAACTCTGGCACATCACTGCGTGGCAGTTGATAGCTCAGAACCAAATGAGTTATTGGTGTGTGTGTGTCCTTCCGCATCAGTGGGCAAGATATATCCAAGGACAACCAGGCTGGAAAAGGCAGGTGGCAGTTTTAGTATTTTCTCTCTGCAACCTGAAACTTCGGATCTGAGGCCACTGACCAATTTCTAGAACCCTGTGGGTGGACAGTGACCCAGTTCCCTCTGTAACTGGCGCTGGTGGTGGCGGCCACAGCTAGCGGCCCAAAGAACTGGAAGATGAAGGTAATGGAATAGACCTCTGATGGTGCAACTAAGAAAACAAAATAGGTGGATAGTAAGTGAGAAGGGCAAGGCACCTTGCACCAGGGCCCGAACGGCATCGAGTCTGAAGACAGAATGCGAGGACCAAAGCCAGGCGGAGGAGGCGCTCTGGGGCCAAGGCGCACACTGCCCACGGCCAGCCAGGCACCGTAGAGGAACCGTACTGTGGTCCAGGACCGAGAGGAAAGGGCTTGTTGGGAAGGCTGTTCGTGGCTTTGGAGTGGGACACAGGTATATCTCAGCTTCGGTTCAGCCATTGCCGAAGTACTGAATTGAAACCCGGTGCCTCAGTTTCCTCCTTGCCAGATAAAGATGGTATCCACCTCATCGGGTTACTGTGGCAACACACGAAGCCTTTAATACAGAGCCCGGCTCATAGCAGGCACTCCGTTAGTGTTAGTGAATAAAAATAATAGGAAAGCCCACACCCTGATTGTAAGCCTAGACTGTGAGCTTGATTCATGGGAGTCTGCCTCGGAGGTTTCTCTCACCTCCCCTGACAAGATCCGGGTGCTAAATCTACAGAATGCCGGACTGGAACCAGGAGCCCCCCAGGTTAAGCCCCCACTCCACGCCCCCTCTATGCTACTCACACCTGTCCACCTGAGCCCCTCCCCAACTGGAATCTTCCACACCTGAGTACATTTCCGCATCATTGAACAATCTCCTGACTTCTGATTTGGAAAACAGCCAGATGCACTGATACATTTTAAAGATTTCCCAACTCAGTTTTACTACTTCCAAGAAAGTCCTTCCAAAACAAAGTAGTGAAAAAGCCAAGTAACCTAGACAACTGTGAAAGGAATGCCTTTGTTAGGATCGTGAATATATTTCCAAATATTTGGACATATGTTCTATTCGAACTAAAAGTCTTGCGAAAGAAAAGGATAATCAACCCCTTCAATAATCAGAGTTCTGTTTTTACTTATTTGATAAGATAGAACCCCATTAGAGGCTAAAAGACCCCGTATCTTTATCAAAATTGTCAACATGCAATCAGTTGTTGACTGAATTTAGGCTCCTTTTGTATAATGCAAGGATGTGCATTCAAACAATAAATGCACATTTGGCCCAAAATAAAGTTATCTTGGATAAAAGCTTTATAAATGATACACTAATTAATTCACAAATTAATTATAAGTAGAGTTTTTGTCTATTTTCCTCCATCTGGTTGACAAATACCTCTTCCCACCTTCTAATGTCAACTAGCAGTACCCTGACTCGGGTTCACAGCCAGGGGACCTCGGGGGCAGCGACACCATAGCAAGAAGCTTGTCTTTTATCGCCACCTAATGGCCATTCTCTGTTATTACAATGTACCAGGCCCTTCACACCTACTTGCCGTGCTTGCACAGGTGTTAACAGTTAAATGAGGTGCGGTTTTTTTGTTTTGTTTTGTTTTGTTTTTGAGAAAGGGTCTTGCTCTGTCACTCGGGCTGGAGAGCAGTAGCGTGATCAATGGGCTGGGCTAGAGTGCTGGCTCAAGCAATCCTCCCACTTTGGCCTCCCGAGTAGCTGGAACTACAAGCACACGCAACCATGCCTGGCTGATTTTTGTATTTTTTGTAGGGATGGGGTCTTGCTATGTTGCCCAGGTTGGTCTTGAACTCCTGGGCTCAGGCAATCCACCCACCTCGGCCTTCCAAAGTGCTGGGATTACAGGCATAAGTCACCACACCTGGCCCGGGTAAATGAGTTTTGAAAGAAAACATTTGTAGGCTGGGCATGGTGGCTCACGCCTGTAATCCCAGTATTTTGGGAGGCTGCAGTGGGCAGATTGCCTGAGGTCAGAGTTCGAGACCAGCCTGTCCAACACGGTGAAACCCCATCTCTATTAAAAATACAAAAATTAGCCAAACATGGTAGTGCAGGCCTATAGTCCCAGATACTCCGGCAGCTGAGGCAGGAGAATCACTTGAACCTGGGAGACAGAGCTTGCAGTGAGAGTGCCACTGCGCTCCACCCTGGCGACAGAGCGAGACACTGTCTCCAAAAAAAAAAAAAGAAAAAAAATCTGTAAATATTTCCAAAGAATCTTTGCAGGCAATACAGTTCATTCTCTTCCTATACCTTTCACATTTCATTGAGAAAACTAAGAACTCAAAGACAACCACAAAGGAAGATTTCAGTCCAAAGAAACGAGAGGGAGCCCAGGAGAGGAGAGTGGGGAAAGGAGAGTGTATTGTTCAGTGGCTGGAAAAAAAATACACTCAAATTTTTGTGTAGTTGCTTTTCTAATTAAAAAAAAAAAAAAGGAAAGAAAAGAAACAGTTCCTTTGCGTGTTCAGGCCTCCTTTATACTATTAAACCAAGCTCTTTGAACTTCGATTCACTTCAGATCATCATGCAATTATTCCATTTCTCTGGTCTCTTTTGGTTTTTCTTCAAAATGATTTTCCTTATTCACTTGGGGTTTCCTTGTGAGTTATTCTTTTTTACAGATTCACAATGCTGCTTAGTTTCTAGAAGCTTCCTATATTGAAAAGCATTCAGATTTTTTAATCGTATTTTGATACCATACAGTCCATATCTGGGATTCTCCTCACTGTGCCACTGGATTGCTAACCATGGAAGGCTGAAGGGACAGCTGAAGCCAAAACTAGAAGAGAACTGATACCATCCATAGGGTACTATTGATCTAAGTGATTTTTGCATTTCAGTGATACTTTAAATAAAATGAAACAGGAGCAAATACAAATACCCTTCTAAGATGTTAATGTTTCTGACTACAGGAAAACAATATAAGAAAAAATTAATTCAATTTAAATAAGTGGTCTGGGTTTTTATCTTTGCTTATTGTCAGCATAGATATTTATTTTCTTTTTAAAATATGAGAAATAGCAAGGTGGGCAGATCTCTTGAGGACAGGAGTTCCAGACCAGCCTGGCCAATATGGTGAAACCCTGTCTCTACTAAAAATACAAAAATTAGCTGGGCGTAGTGGCACGTGCCTGTAATCACAGCTACTCAGGAGGCTGAGGCAGGAGAATTGCTTGAACCTGGGAGGCGGAGGTTGCAGTGAGCTGAGATCCTGCCACTGAACTCCAGCCTGGGCGATAGAGCAAGACTCTGTTTCAAAAAAAAAAAAGAGAGAGAGAGAGAGAGAAATAGGAGGAAAATTGGCACCTAACTAAATCTATCTCCATCCTACTCTGCCATGAAAGAGAGAAAAGTCAGCCCTGAGCAAGAAGAAGAAAGTTAAGGCCTATTTGTGTAGGGGGTTGTTGTAAAAATTATGCAAGCTTTTTAGATAGGACATAATTTAGTGCAATGAAATTAAAAGTAGAAATTAATTTTCAATTATATGAATTTCCATTTTACTGTGGTCTTTTACCTTAAGCAAAGGGAGAAATGTTTTTAACACAGACTACTTCAATGATTGGAAACAAAATAACCTAATTCTATTCAAAATGCCTTTTTTTGTTACTAGGGTAACAAGAAAAGAGCCGTTTCCCAGAGTTCATGACAGCCACGAGACTTCTGCAACTGCAGAATACACTCTGAAATAACACCAACAGACTCTGCTGCAAAATTAGGAGGCAGACTCCAGAGGGGAAAGTTTATGCCACTCCAAGTTGAATTGCCATAATTAACATGAAATAGGAAAAGAGCACAGCAAGGAGATGAGCCCCTCTGACAATACAGGAGCAACATTTGCTGCAAAAACACAAGGAATCACACATAGGCAGGGAGGTAGCAGGGGGAATATCAAAATCTTACAAGGAAGAAAAAATATCTACAGTAAACTGAGGCAGGCAGGTGAGCAGAGAAATGCTATCAAACTTACCTGGTGTACAAGTCATTGGAGCTGGATCAGCTGTAGGTGAACACACACTCCTGGCCATCAGGAAGAAAAATTACAGGACCCGTCTCCACAGCCATGGCTACAAATCAATCAACAGCAGGAGAAACAGAAGCAGCCACTCCCTTCAGCTCAGAAACGTGTGAAGGGCACTGGGTTGCAGATTTCTGTCCTTACCATCATCCCTCCTTACCATCATCCCCACACAAGTGGATGATAAAGTTACAGTTAGATAAGGCTTCAAAGATGATACGCACAACGTGTGTGTAATAAAAAAAAAAATACGACGTAATGAGACAATCAATGCAATTGAAAACATGGACCAAATAATCAGTGCAATAAAAGACATCGATCCCAACGCAGACAGAAAAGTGCTGCTGAAGATTTAGACTTGGCAACAGACAGACGGAGTTCAGGCATATGCAAGCAGAGACTATAAATAATGAAATGATGCTCCTTGGGACAAGATATTTTTCTATTAATCTTTATTTATATGATGGTTCTCTGGAAAGCACTTCATTTTAAAACCTGTTTCTGAGATAAGTAGCATAAGGCGCATTTGAAGAAATACTATTGTTGTATCACAGAGAACTTCCATGCCTTGAAATCATTTTTTTCAGAGTATTATTAATAAGATGGTCTAGCTATGCAGAGCAAAAAAGAAAAAAAAATCTTCAAAAGCCAAGACTGTCAGGCACATGAAGGTATGCATAAACGGTCTTCACATTTAATTTTGTATGATTCGGGAGATACCTCCATGTACATCTAACCAGGTCAGGCAGCATAAGTCCTCAGTAACCCTGGGTGTGCCGGCTTCAAGCCAAAGTATTCTGTTGAGTTTGGTTTGTGGAGAGACATTTGAAATGTTGCTTCATAGCTTCCATTTTCTAAAAGAAAAGGCAAATATTAGGGAAAGACTGTAGAGAAAGACACAGAATGTTTACCACAATCTTCATCACTTAACATACAATAAAGGAAAGTGTTGCCTTTTATTCTATAAACCACTAGTCATCATTTGCTCCCCACTGAAAGGAAAGGGAATTTGTCTCATGGAAAACTAAGCTAGATTTATATCCTTTCTCTGCATAAACACATATCAAACACCATAAGGAAGACAACATCTCCAATTATAATTTCCCACTGTGTTTTCATGGAAAATAGGCTGAATTGACAGCTTGGTCCCAGAGGCGGAGCTCTAAATGGTTCATGGCTACACCAGAAGAAGGTATTAAGTGGCAAGCTTTGGGGAGGTAGAATCCAGTCTCATATTGGACATTATTTGCCCTGGGACTCAAACATCAATTTAGATTCTAGGTCAGACGTGGTGGTTCATGCCTGTAATTCCAACACTTTGGGAGGCCAAGGTGGGCAGAGCACTTGAGCCTAAGAGTTCGAGACCAGCCTAGGCAACATGGTGAAACCCCATCTCTACAAAAAATACGAAAATTAGCCAGGCATAGTAGTGCGTGCCTGTAATCCCAGCGACTCAAGAAGCTGAGGTGGGAGGATCACCTGAGACCAGGGAGGTCAAAGTGAGCCATGACCTCACCACTGCACTCCAGCCTGGGTGACAGAGTGAGACCCTGTCTCAAAAAATAAAATAAATAAATAAATAATAATAATAATAGATTCTGACTCCAACTTCAACTATGGGAAATGAGAATTCTTTCATAGTTCCATTCATTGCCTTGTTCTGTCTAAAATCGTCTTTTCAAATAAAATGCATGGATAATCTATGAGTTATGAGATGGGTTTGTTTTTGGAAGCCAAATAGTTTGCAGAATACCTGACTGCATCATCATGTCGCATTTTAAAGGTTATTGACTCTCTTCGGGAGTCAGTGGCTGGGATTTAGGGTGCTGCCTGGTTTACTCCTTCACTGTCAGACATTTTGACCTCACAACAGACTATTAGGGACTGGATTCCAAACTAGAACCCATCAGAGAAACAGGCAGAATGTGCTAGCCACAACTGTAACTTGCCTTTTTTTCTTTCTTTTTTGGAAATGGCCTATAAAGAAGCCATCTGTCTACATTAAAGATTCTCTCTCGGCTGTGCCATTTCACATCCAATATTTCTTTATAATTATCACATTAAAACTGCACAATTTTTAAAGAACTTTCCAAGCTGAGTGAACAGACATGGATTTAAACAGGACCAATGAGTCTGTTACTGTGGGTTTTGCTTTGTTTTGTTTCTGGTATGAGGATAAATATAATCATATTTTCATTTTCTACCATTCTTCAGGTAGAATATCTTAAGCTTGCCAGTTTCCTTTTTTTCAAAAATGAGTCCCAACCCACTCCTTAGAAATGGAATTGTAACCAAGTGGCAAGCAGAGGGCTTTAAAGTAGAAGTCTGTGGGTCCAGAGCATGAAAGAAACACCCTGGAGAGACATCAAATCGTGGGCTAGAATCACTTTCTCATTCAAGCAAATGAATGACAAAACCTTTATGGTCCAATAACAAAGTGTGATGGCCACCCTCACTAGCTCCAAGATGCTCTAAAAATAGATTAAGTGCTTTTTATATCAGCTTTTTTTTGTAAGTCTATTAAGAAGGGACATCCCTACTATTCAAATTGGACTTTGGTGCAAAGAGCATTGCTATTTGTCAGCCAATTTTTAAAGAGCACCAAAGATTTCTTCTTCCTTCTCCAAATAAACCCTTCTATCCACCCTTCTTTGTACATGCACCAATTCTTAACTAGAGACCTGCCTGGGGAACATGGTGAAGTCACTTTAGGTATCTTTGACAAGTCAGCTTTTGCTGCCTTGTAATTTTAAACTTCTACTGACGATGGAAAATAATTATGTAATTCTTACTGGTTTGATAAGTGTCTCTCATTTAGAGAATAATGAGTGCATATTCCATCATTATCTCCTGAGAGTAACAGCCCAAAAAGCCGTCTTAATTTTCAGTGGAGGCATAATATGGGAGATAAAAAGACTAAACTTTTTTAAATTTTTTAAAAAACGCTTATAGCTCCAGAGCAAAACCATGAGCAATGTTGCCCTAGAGAATAAACTATGGCCTCAAATTCAGTTGCAAAGCCAATCATATTAATAATAATACAACATGTACCTAGGTATTTGCCAAATATCAGGAAAAAACAGATATTTTTATAGCACTTAATGTCTTCTGTTTTGTTTTGTTTTGTTTTTTGTTTTTGTTTTTGTTTTGGAGACAGAGTCTTGCTCTGTCACCCAGGCTGGAGTGCAGTGGTGCAATCTTGGCTCACTGCAACCTCTGCCTCCCGGGTTCAAGTGATTTTCAGGCTTCAGCCTCCCAAGTAGCTGGGACCGCAGGCATGAGCCACCCCACCCGGCTAATGCACTTCATGTCTTTAGGGGTTTTCACGCATGCTGTCCTATCTGTATGGCTCACAATATTTAAGCATTCGCCCATGTCCTCAAGATCCATTATCAGATTCTATTGTCTTATTAACACTTAATAAATGTTCACTAATATGTGGCACTTATCAAACTAGTAAGAATTACATAATTATTTTCCATCATCAAGGGAAGTTTAAAACCAGAAGGCAGCAAGAGCTTACTTGTCAAAGATACCTAAAGGGACTTCACCATGTTCCCCGGTGTTTCCAGAGGAGCGTTCTGGTTAATAGAAACGGAAATGGAGTACCAAGCACTGACGACTAAACCCGTGGCAGCAATAATTTTCTTTCATGACTCAACACCAGCTTTGTGATTTTTTAAGGTTATAATTTATTGCCATCATTCTGAACATCAGTAGTCACCCCCCTAAAGTTGTACATGTGGTTGGTGGAGGAGTTGAGGTTACAGAATGCTGATAAAAGGACACTTGCTGTATCTTCTCTCAAACAAAGTTTATATAGAGGAAGAGGAGGAAGTAAATGCAAAACAAAACTCTTCCCTGCATCAAAGGTGCACTTTTTCCTAGAAATCCCATCAACCATAGCCTTCTGTGCCCTAGTGTGCAAGAAACAGACCCACGAAAGGTCAGCAGCCCCGCAGCTCTAGAAAGGAGCTGGACCCCGCCAGAAAGGTGTGCAGACCAGGGCTTTGGAAGGAGACAGACAGCCCTGAATTGGAATTCCCTTTCTCCTGTTACTAAGCAAAATGTGCCGCAGATAGCATACAGTACGGTAACTAGCAGCTTTTCCACCCCAGAATCCTGTAGCTACCTGGAGAAGTGGAAGAAATGAAGCATGAAAAGGCCTAGGAATCTTCGTCTTCTCCAGGCTCTTCTCCTTCTGCAGTTTCTTCCTCCTCCTCGGCTTCCCCTTCCGCACCCTCCATGGCTATTTCTTCCGTCTTATTTTAACAAAACTTACATTAGTATTAAGAAGCATAAGGGCCAAGGATACAGTGAGAAAAAGACTGTAAAATGCTGGACTAGAGGTCAAAGCCTCCCACACCCCACCACACAACACACAAACAAACACACACAACACACAAATACACACACCACACATGCCACACAAACACATGCCACACACACACCCCACACACATACCGCCCAAACACACACACACCACGGAAACACACATGACACACAGCACACACACCCCCCCACACACCACCCAGACACACATCCACGCACACACACCACATACACACCACACACAAATACCAAACACCACATAGCACACACACACACCAGACCACACACCCCACACACCACATCACATATACCACAAATACACACACAATATACACATACACATCACACATACACATACATACCCTCCACACCATAACATACACACCATAACACACATCACACACACACACACCAAACACACCACACACCATATACACCACACACAAATACACATACACCACACATACAACACACCACACATACCACACATACATACACACACATAAAAAAAATCATCCTTCTAAACACAGAGTCCTCAATTTAGAATGGTGCTTTAGAATGATATGTTAATCCTAACAGGTTTTATAATCCCACCTAAGTGTACAGTCTCCACTCATATTAACAAACCATTCTCAGCAAATAACCTTTACAAATTCAGAAAGTATATATATATATATATATATATATATATATATATATAGTTAGAAGAATCAAATACAAAAAGAATCAGCAAATTGAATTTTGTCAGGATGAGCTGTTAAATGCACAAGTTGGTTACATTTTCTTGTAACAAGCTAATTTCTTGAAGCAAAAGTTATCAGCAACCTATATATATAATCTGGAATTTCTTCCAAATTAACAATATGTTTTTATCTTATTTTTAAAATTCTATTTTGAAGCTGGCCTAGCAAGAGAGAAACAAAAGAAATAATTATTGGAAAGACGTAAATATTGAGAAATCATGGTGTAGAATATACTAGAAATAATCTATAGGTCTAAGAAGAGGGGTTGGTTTGATATATTAACATTTAAAATGATGAAGCAGATCTGTACTGACTACCTCCCCAAATATAGACACATTCCATGAAAAAAAAGGAGACTACAAGAGTATTCACCAGAAATTGATGGGGTGTGTGTGTGTGTGTGTAGCTACAGTGTGTGTGTGTGTGTGTGTGTGTGTAGCTACAGTGTGTGTGTGTGTGTGTGTGTGTAGCTACAGTGTGTGTGTGTGTGTGTGTGTGTGTATGTAGCTACAGTGGTTATCTCTGGGTAACGAGGGTTAAAAGCTATGTTCATTTTCCTCTTCTATCTGCATTTTTTAAATTTTCTATAAAGATCATGAATTTTGTCATTTCAAAAGTTAACAAAGGCTGGGCGCGGTGGCTCACGCCTGTAATCCCAGCACTTTGGGAGGCCGAGGCGGGCGGATCACAAGGTCAGGAGATCGAGACCATCTTGGCTAACACGGTGAAACCCCGTCTCTACTAAAAATACAAAAAATTAGCCGGGCGCGGTGGCGGGCGCCTGTAGTCCCAGCTACTCGGGAGGCTGAGGCAGGAGAATGGCGTGAACCTGGGAGGCGGAGCTTGCAGTGAGCCGAGATTGCGCCACTGCAATCCGGCCTGGGCTAAACAGCGGGACTCCGTCTCAAAAAAAAAAAAAAGTTAACAAAAGTTTCTTTGGGGGGATTTCTTTTGACATTTGGGACCCTTTTTAATGTTGATGACCTTGTGCTGAAACATCTAGACAATACACGTAACTTAGTAAATTATTCTCCCTACCCTTGTGTTCATAATTTTAAGTTAGTTCTCTAGCATTTTAAAGTGATTAATCCAGGCCCAGTGCAGTGGCTCACACCTGTAATCCCAGCACTTTGGGAGGCCGAGGTGGGTGGATCACTTGGGGTCAGGAGTTCAAGACCAGCCTGGCCAACATGGTGAAATCCCATCTCTACTAAAAATACAAAAATTAGCCAGGTGTGGTGACACGTGCCTGTAATTCCAGCTACTCAGAAGGCTGAGGCAGGAGAATCGCTTGAACCCAGGAAGCGGAGGTTGCAGTGAGCTGAGATCACACCACTGCACTCCAGCCTGGGCAAGAGAGTGAGACCCTGTCTCAAAAAAAAAAAAAAAAAAAAACAATAAAAGTGATTAATTCAAAGATGTTCAAAAACATAAACATAGGTGGAATCCCTCCCTCAATGAAAACACCACTAACCACCATGCAGGATGCCTAAACCCAGTGCATTCAACAGGGTGGAAAAGGACGAGGAGCAGGCATCTCCAGCCAGTGCCCTGGCCTGGCCTGGCCTGATGTCAGTGAGAAACCACGGAAGACACCTTCACCTGAGGGGGCTCCGAACAGAGTCCACAGCCAAGCCCCGTTTCTCTCTCCACCTCCCTCGGACAAACTTATCTCCAACTTACTTTCCTTCTCAGCATGTTAAAGGAGGATTTTCTGGGTGTGTGGGTTGCATCGCTCTCTTATGTTATTAAGAACGTGCCTCAAGCTGCAATCCTCCCACCTAAAAGATGTTTTTATTAAGCAGATTAAGCACAGCTGTTAAAGATGGTCGACCGTACCTCTTCTGTGGCTGTCTCTCCTTCTTCTTCCTTACATCCATAAATCAAAATTAAAGAAAAAAACATAATTCAAGTACGTTTAAAGTCAAATCTGAAAATCAAGCAAACTATAATAAAATACAAGCTAATCAAAATGAACAACACATTAGTTTATCCATAAAATAAGTAAATAGCAAAGATATGATAGCTGGGTGATCCCTACTTCTTTCATACATTATATTTCAAGCTCTTAAAATAACTGTGAGATTAAAGACCGTTTCCCATCACTTGAACTCCTGAGAAAATGTAATTATTAATACTGCTTAGTAATACATTCAATTCTATTTCTAAAGCATACCAAAGATTGATAGTGCTATCTAGCGAAATTCAGACCATATGCAAGCAATGTAAAAATTTGAACAAAAATGTCTTTTCTGACTTTATGCCCTTATAACTATGTCTTTACTTCAGGTTTGAACAAGTTAATAAAAGTAGGTCAAAAACTTTTCCTCTATGAGAACAAAATGATAACATTTCTGAATCACAAAGTATTTTAAATACTGATTTCTGGGTAAAGAAAGAAATTTGCAAGGTAAGAGTGGGTGGGGTCACCCAAGGCTCAAATAGGTCTCTACTGTGCAAGCCACCAGCCCACTGGAATTTCTATTTCCCCCAGATCAAAGCAAAATAACCAGGTTACAGCTCCTAAAAATGCCTCTAAGAAGAAAACAAAAGCTTTTCCATCCCTTCCCAGAATGGTCCGATAAACCTCCCTGAAGCCAGAGTGCCACAATTGCTTTCATTAAAGAGAGAGATGTGGTTCTTGAGAGCAGTCCCTAAAAATTCCTAATGCCTTACAATTCAGGCAGTGAGCTCAGGGAATCATGGACGGGGGGCACTGAATGTGATCTTGCAGTCATATACATTCTCTACCCAGCACCATGTTTATACAGATGAGGACACTGAGGCCACAGAGGGAAGTCATTTGCCAAAGTCAAAGGTCACAGGACAAGGAGTCAACACAATCAGGACTCACTGCAAGTCTACTGATTCCTAATTAAGTGTCTTTGTTACACTACCAGGCAGCCTCTCAAGATTAATAATGGAAAAATCAAAATCACAGAAGGTGGCAGAGTACAACAGCTCATGCCTGTAATCCCAGCTCTTTGGAAGGCTGAGATGGAAGGATCACTTGAGGCCAGGAGTTCAAGACCAGCCTGGGCAACATAGCAAGACGCCCCCATCTCTATGAAACATGTTAAAAATTAGCCAGGCATCCAGAGGCAGAGGCGGGAGGATCACTTGAGCCCAGGAGTTTGAGGCTGCTGTGAGCTATGATCATGCCACTGCACTCCAGCGTGGGTGACAAAATAAGACCTTGTCTATAAAGTAAAATTTTAAAAATCACAGAAGGTAGGCCAGGCACAGTGGCTCATGCCTGTAATCCCAGCACTTTGGGAGGCCAAGGCGGGCAGATCACCTGAGATCAGGAGTTTGAGACCAGCCTGACCAACATGGAAAAACCCCGTCTCTATTAAAAATATAAAATTAGCTGGGCATGGTGGCGCATGCCTGTAATCCCAGCTACTTGGGAGGCTGAGGCAGGAGAATCGCTTGAACCCAGGAGGCGGAGGTTGCGGTGAGTCAAGATTGCGCCACTGCACTCCAGCCTGAGCAACAAGAGCAAAACTCCATCTAAAATAAATAAATAAATAAATATCACAGAAGGCAAGTTATACAGCATCCAACACACTCCCACATCTCCTGGCCCAACTTCATGTTTTTAGCCATTTCCAGAACAATACCTTCCTATTTCTGAGACGGGCACTGAACTTGAAAGCCTGACAGTGCCAGCCAGGTCTGAATCAGGCCAAGAGGACTTTTTCAGCACTGGGAATCTTCAAACTAACCTTTACGTTAAATGCCACTGGTGACACCCCAAGTTTTGGTGCTCAAATAATGTGCAGGAGAAGAGTCTGGCACTTGTTGCAAAATCCAGGGGTTGCTTTCACAGCGACGTGTTGATCGTGCCTCTTTAATCCTGCCTAATCCTGCCCATGTCTCGCCCCTCCTCTGCCATGACCACCATCTTTGCTCACTGGGTTGCTGAAGGAAGCTCCTAAAGAGTGATTATCACCTCCTCTTTTCTTTCTCATCTCCAATCTGTGCTCCAGACTGCAGCCAGAGAGATCGTTCCAAAAAGCACCCAACCTTACTGTACTACCCTCATCTTTAGAAACTTCCATCTCCTCAAGATACTCTATCCTCCTGATATGGTTTGGCTGTGTACCCACCCAAATCTCACCTTGACTTGCAATCATCACCACGTGTCAAGGGTGGGGCCAGGTGGAGGTAACTGAATCAGGGGGGCGGGTTCCCCCATACTGTTCTTGTGGTAGTAAGTCTCACAAGATCTCATGGTTTTGTAAATGGGAGTTCCCCTGCACAAGCCCTCTTGTTTGCCACCATGTAAGACATGGCTTTGCTCCTCCTTCGCCTTCTGCCATGATTGTGAGGCCTCCCCCGCCATGTGGAACGGTGAGTCCATTAAACCTCTTTCCTTTATAAATTACCCAGTCTTGGGTATTTCTTTATTAGCAGCGTGAGAACAGACTAATACACCTCCTTAGAACAGTGAAAAGGCCATCTGGCTCTGTGTACCCCTCTGGCCTCATCCCTCACCACTCTACTTCAGCCATTCTGAGTCACATGCAATTTTCTCACATTGGCCACACCTTCCAGGATATGCTCAAAACATTTCCAAGGAGACTTTCCTAACCCATAAGGTTGAGTTAAGGACCTTCTCACTTGCTCCCATAATCATCATTTACTTATCTGTCTCCCTCACTAGTCTGTGTGTTTGGGGGCATAACCTGTGTCTTATTCATTTTTGGATCTCTGGGAACTGTCTGGCCCCTCCAGGCCACTTTCTGGAACCAACAGGCAAGCTCGATAAATAGGTGTTAGTGATTGGATAGAAGAACACATGAAATCTGTTAGTAACTCTTTGGATCTCAAAGAACTTTGATTTTCTTCTTCTTCACATAGGATCAGAATAAAATTCATTATATGTACCATAGAATTATTGGTTATGTAGAGTTTTACATTCTTCTGAATCCAATTATTTTTATTAGTTATATTCAGTTGAAACAAATGAATTAACCAGATACTGTCAACCGTAGAGCTAGCCTGGGGGGCAGTAGGAAGTCTTATAGGAATGTAAGTCTCAACTTTTATAGTTAGCTAGCAACAACTATGGAGGAACCTAGCACTCTTTTTTTTTGAGACGAAGTTTTGCTCTCGTTGCCCAGACTGGAGTGCAATGGCGCAATCTCAGCTCACTGCAACCTCTGCCTCCTGGGTTCAAGCTATTCTCCTGCCTCAGGCTCCCA
This sequence comes from Homo sapiens, assembly GCF_000001405.40. Classification (NCBI taxonomy): domain Eukaryota; kingdom Metazoa; phylum Chordata; class Mammalia; order Primates; family Hominidae; genus Homo; species Homo sapiens. The sequence goes on along the minus strand of NC_000021.9, from coordinate 39,505,656 downwards.
AGGAGCTGGGATTACAGGCACCCGCTACCACACCCAGCTAATTTTTTGTATTTTTAGTAGAGATGGGGTTTCACCATGTTGGCCACGCTGGTTTCAAACTCCTGACCTTCAGGTGATTCACCCGCTTCAGCCTCCCGAAGTGCTGGGAATACAGGTGTGAGACACCGCATCTGGCTCCTAGCACTCTTTATCAATATCTGAATTGACCTTAATTTCTTAAAAGATATGTTTAGCAGGGAAAGTGATTGCTCAGGGGAAGTGATTGCTCAGAGAATGCATAAAAATACTTAGCCTCGAAAGGATAAGTAAGCTTGGAAGAACTTTGGGTATTACCACCACAAGCTTCCCCAGAACATAAGCTCTGTGGGGGCAGTGACTCTGTCATTTTCACTGCTCCCTCCACAGTCCCTGGAGTCCTGCCTGGCAAGTGGCAGCACTCAATCTGCCCATAAAATGTTGAATGACTGCATTTGTGTAATGCTACTCCAGCTCAGCTTCAAATCCCCCATAGAATGAGGTGGGATATATTAGTTTTAAAAATAATGGCTGGGCGTGGTGGCACATGCCTGTAAACCCAACACTTTAGGAGGCTGAGGAGGGAGGATCACTTGAGGCCAGGAGTTTGAGGCCAGCCTGGTCAACAGAGCAAGACCCCATCTCTACAAAAAATGTAAAAATTAGCTGGGTGTGGTGGCCTGTGCCTATAGTCCCAGCTACTCGGGAGGCTGACGTGGAAGAATCACTCGAGCCCACTATGATTATGCCAATGCACTCCAGCCTGGGTGACAGAATGAGACTCTGTCTCTAAAAATAAATAAATAAAAATAATAATAATTAAGCTTCCAACCTTGGTTCATAGAATTATAAAATACTGGAATTAGGCAGATCCTTAAAAGTTATCTATGTAAAATGCTTGAATTGACTTTCACGGCTGGCAAGTAATTATAGGCACAAAAGCATTTTTTTAAGATAATTATAATCATCCAGTCAATTAAGCCAAGATCTCACATAATCACCATTTGAGGAAGCATACACCTTAAAGTAATTTCACCTTGTTTTTCAGAGAAAGCCAGAAGAGAGAAACCTCAGAAGTGGGAAGTCTTAGAACCTTCCACAGCAGCTATTTTTGTTGGAAACTTGGCCAGAAAAGCAGACTGCAGAGGTGGTGCGTGGCCAGAACTAAGGACAGGTGTCCGTGGTGGTGAGTGCCAGGCAGCGTTCACTGGGAACAGGTGGCAGGTGTGGGAGATAGTGAAGGACTAGCCCAGCGTGACCTGCAAGGGCAGCCAGCCTCAGAGCGGCTAGAGATGAGAGGACAGAGGCAGAGTCCTCTCGAGCTGCAGGCACTCCAGGGACCCAGGCTGAGACCCATGACTCCTCCCACAAACCTACATCAATGTTTGCCCCTTGAAACTTTTCTCAAGACTGCTATTGGAGGAAGCCAGAGAGGGGTGGTTACAGACCATAATCATGTTATCTGTCAAGCAAGGGCCTCATGACTTTCAGATAGGATGACTGGGTTCACAAAGCATACAATTTTAAATAATTGTACCTTGATCAAAAAACACAAACCAAACCTGCACAAGGTGCAATGTTTCCAGCATTTTCTAAAGCTCTCATGATGTCCCAGTCTGCAGTTCATTTCTTAGAGAATGCCCAGAAGCTGAGCTGACTTTCTGTTTTCCTCCTTTACTCCTGAGGCGCCGGTTCCTTAGCCCCTCACCCTCCCCTGGGTTATCAGGCCAGGCCCCATGAGGTCCCCTATTTTCTAAAGTTACAGGTAAGATCTTCCTAGGCATGAAGTCATGGTCTTTTCGGTGTTCACCCTCCTGACCTCCCAAGTCCTCCTGCCTCAATCCTTTATCAAGGACAGAATTTACATCTTGGCATCTTGTCTTTAAGAACCCTGGAAGTTGAGGAGGTGGTCAGGGGAAGTCCATATCATTAAAGAAGATAATAGTTTTTGTTTCCATTTCTGTTGATTTTTTTAATCAATGTCAAACATTAGGTAAATATTCCTCTCCATTAAATGGAATTGTATGAGTGCCTACAAGTGTGCATTGAGTATGCATGTTTCATAGCAGAGATCAGATAAGCCTGTCCCTGACTTAGGCATTTACCTGGTTTATCACTCAACTGAACATTGCCAGGTGCTGGAGAGAGGTTTTTTGCTCGTTTTGTGTTTTTACTGCACACATGACAATTGTTTTTAACACACAAATGAAGGCAGGTTTTTTTAAAAAAAAGGTAAAAACTTGATATGGTTTGTCATCTAGTTAACAGAAATGCACCAATGCATTGCATTTCTGGTTTCATTAAGGCTAGATGAGATGTCACCATTTGGGGAAGTTGGGTGAAGGGCACACAAGACTCTTATTTTTGAAACTTCCTGTGAGTCTATAGTTATTTCAGAATAAAATGTTTAAAACTGTTTTTATTCCTTCTCATAATAAGTGTGGCTGAAGGCCAGGATATGAATTGTGACTTGTTCTTTCTGCTACACAAAGCTGAGGGGGTAGAGGGGTCAGAGTAAGAGTTATTTTCTCTTCCCACAGGCGACCTATTTGTTCTGGCTTTCCACCCCTAAGGAAGAAAGTATAGACCTTGGTTTTCAAAACCTTAGGCTAATGGGGTGATAAAGCTAGGCGGTCCCTGAGGAAAAAAAAAAAAAGAGCTTGGAATTGGCAAGACGGAGGTGGCCAGACTGGGGAGGAAAGAAGGATTTTCCAGGAGGGGTACTGCCCAGGCCCTGCTCATACACAGAAACAGAGCCAGGGACCGCTGGGGCATTTAAGTAACACAAGGCACTCTGTACAGGCAGCAGCGTCCGCGGTCAGAAGGCCAGCCACTGTGAAAGGCCAGTCTGTGTCCAGCCAGAACAGAGGGTCTGGCCCATGCCAAGGGACAGACAGCAGAAACACCACCACAGACAACCAGCACCCAATCCCTGCCCAGTCACCACTAACGACCCCAGGATGGCTGTGAGACCCTCAGGAGGACAGGGTCTTCAAAACACCCCACCCAGCTGGAAGCTCCTGCCAGCCATGAGGTGGGCACATGGAGCAGATAGAGGGAATTTAAAGCAATAAAGGAAGCTGACATTCCTTGCCCAGGAGTCTTAGGAACCAAATGTGGGCCCACGAATATTCTAAACTTTATATCCACCGCAGCGTGTTGGTTAATGAGGGAAGCCCAGGGGAGCACCTCTGTTTTAACCACAGCAAGCCAAGAGGAGCAAAAAGAAATAGCCTCAAGATGGTTTCAACGGAGCCAGGAGTTTGAAAGCCTTGGATTTATCTGAGGTGTCATACCTACATGAAACTACTAGGATGTGTCTCATACTTTCAAAATCAATGTTCAAAACACACAGAGCTCTCCCTTGTCTTTCTGATTCCCTGTCAGCCTGTCTATGCCTGGGGTGCCCTGGGAGGAGAGATGCCTTTACAAATAGCCCACAATGTCCTCCCATTTCAGCAATTTTTTTTTGAGATGGTCTTACTCTATTGCCCAGACTGGAGTGCAGTGGCACGATCTCAGCTCACTGCAAACTCTGCCTCCCGGGTTCAAGCGATCCTCCCACCTCAGCTTCCCAAATAGCTGGGATTACAGGCGTGCGCCATCACAGCCAGCTAATTTTTGTATTTTTAGTAGAGACGGGGTTTTACCATGTTGGCCAGACTGATCTCAAACTCTTGACCTCAAGTGATCTGCCCACCTCTGCCTTCCAAAGTACAGGGATTATAGGCGTGAGCCATGCGCCCGGCCCCATCTCAGCTTTTAACAACAAACCAGAGACCGTCAAAACAAGCCAGTAGGTTCTTGAAGCACAAAATGCAAGCATTCTAAATATCTAAGTGGTGTTTGTCTCCTTCTTAAATTTTAAAATTCAGCCTATTTTCATATACACTCATAAGGGTTAATCATGTTTTTACAACATTTTTCATCTGTTTACTGACAATCACAGAGGGTTTTTCTAATTTAATTGAATTAAAGTAAATCAAAGAGCATGTGTTGGTTTTCAAACAGGAAGAAGTCAGAATCTGTCTTTCTGTAGGATAAATGGCATTAAAGAGTTGAAAAGTAAATTTGATAATATGATGTTAGTAATATATTCATATAAAATAAAAATATTTTTCACTTACGGTCATTTCTTCACCATAGCCCACACAAAAATAACAAAAAATGGTTTTTTTAATTCCTACCAGGATTCACAAGATTATAATTGACTTTGTCAAAGGCTCACAATTTTAAAATGTAGTAGCAAAGAGAACGTCCAAGCTGGGTGATTCATCACTTCACAGAACTAACCCAGCCCAGTGGCTGAGAAGCTGAAGCAAAGCCCACCCTGGCTATAGGAGGCAGGATCTGATTATAAATATGCTACCTTCCTGCTGGTCTCACGGGAGAAAGGGGCTGGGGTGTAATGCTTTTCATCTTTGTCTCTATGTCTTAAAAGAAGCAAACTCAACTTCAAAGTATTCATCAATATGACTGTAAGGGTGCATTAGGCAACTCATGCAAAGTTCAAATTGTGAAACAGATTATGTTTTAATTACAAGATAATGAAATGGTCACTATATTTAATTTTTAAAGTATTGTTTCTGAATTATACAGGCTGCCATGAAACACCGTCTAACTTCTAGGTCAAGATTGAAGATTTTGTCTTTCTTTAAAACAAAAACTTCAGAGTTGTAATATCAACATTTTGAAATAGCAGTCTACTTCAAATATAAGTCTAAATATCAGGGAATTTCCTTCCCTAGCCCCTCCCAATTTAAGTTCTTTGAGGTAAAGACAAATGGATGCCCAGCCCCACACCCCTTTTTCCATAGCGTGGGTGTGGGTCTCAGCCCCTTTCTAGCCACATTCTATCTGGTGAATGAGGATCCAGCTCTCATAAAAGCTCCCACACCTCTCCCAGAATAAATAAATTAGCAAACCATCAGGGTTTGAAAAATAGTCTTTGCTACAACTGACCCAGTGGAGAAGCCCTCTAACATTCTCCTCTAAGGAGGCCCAGAACAATGCCTGCACCCCATTCCCAGCCCCACCAGGCTCCTTCCTTGGCGCCTGGTTTCCCAGCACATTTTCAGAACTCCTTGAAGAAGTGGCCCATCCCATCCCCTATTATGTCAGCTTGGCACTCACAGAACCACAGTGTCCCCCAACATTGCCCACTCCTTACCCTGCTGCTACTGCATGGGAACCCCTTTAGAATTAATCATGTGACTTCACCAAGATCTGCTATTTCCCTGATTGAACTTAAATTAACTGAGTGTCAATTTCCCTCCCCAAGGAGTCCTTTTTATCCTCAAGTTCCTCTTGTCTTCCGCCAGATATACTGCACTCCCTTAGCTCTATTTCCCCACTGGGCAGGGCTCCTGGGTGGGTGTAAGCTAGGAGTCTGTCATTAATCATGATCAAGCAGAAAGGTCCCTTGTTTATAAAGAGCATACACCTAACCTAGCCATAACACCACCACAACAAATTCTCCAAGCCTTGTCCAGCCGGCTCCCTCCTGGTCTGGGTTCAGGCTCCTTTGTCTTCCCTTTAGCCCTCTCTGCACCAGGATTCCAGTGCTTAACACATCAGTAGAAATTACTTGCTTCCTCCCTGGCTAAACTCTCAGCTCCTTGCCCTCTTTCTGACTGCTTGTGCCCAGAGTCAAGTTGTACAAGCCCTGTAAAAGTCTCGAACAGCAGAGAATCCAGTCAAACTGCTGTGAAAAAGCGAAAACTCACATTCTTCTCCTGGGCTTCAGGGAGGTTGCCCACATCTTCACTGCCCTCTTTTTGTGCCTCAGTTTCTCCACCTTCTTCAGCCTTCTCTGATCCCTGGTCATAAAGGAAACCCAGGATATGAGCTCAAAAACAGAAAAAAGAAAAAAAAAAACAGGCCACATATGCTGTGGCTTTCTTATTTAGACACACAGTATATAAATGAAGCAAACATAGACTGCCCACTCATTAGGTCACTTAGCGACTAGAGCATAGGATCTCCAAACTCCAAAATGCCGACTGGGATAAGTCAAAGATCCAACCTATGTGCATTGCAGGGTAACAAACTGCCTAAGTGAGGAGTTTCAGTTCACCCACTTCAGGCTGATGAGGAGAAGAATTCTATCTTTACACAGTGTTTTCTATTGCTTGTATGGAGGGAGGCTTATAATTTTAGAGATTAAAAATTAAGAAGATAGATAAGGTAGAAAGATAAAGTAGACAGGTAAACATACATAGATGGATAAATGGATGGATGCATGGATGGATGGAGAGATGGATGGATGGATAGATGGATGGATGGATAATGTTCAGAGACAGACAGACAGACGGAGGAATGGATGGATGGGCAAACAGATGGGTAGGCAGGCAGACAGACATAGATAGATAGACAGATAGACAGATGATAGATAGGTGGATGGATGGATGATAATATGGTTAGGCTTTGTGTCCCCACTCAAATCTCATCTTGAATTATAATCCCCATAATGTCAATAATCCCCACATGTCAAGAGAGAGACCAGATGGAGGTAACTGAATCATGGGGTGGTTTCCTCCATGCTGTCCTCATGATGGTGAGTGAGTTCTCACGAGATCTAATGGTTTTATAAGGGGTTCTTCCCTCTTCGTTCAGCACTTCTCCTTCCTGCTGCCTTGTGAAGAAGGTGCCTTGCTTCCCCTTCACCTTCCACCATGACTAAGTTTCCTGAGGCTTCCCCAGCCATGCTGAACTGTGAGTCAATTAAACCTCTTTCCTTTATAAATTACCCAGTCTTGGGCAGTTCTTTATTGCAGTATGAAAATAGACTAATACAGATGGATAGATACAGATGATAGATGATTGATTAGACAGATGAATAGATAATAGATAGATGATAGATGGACAGGTGGATGGATAGAGAGAGAGAGAGATTAGGACCAAGTAGACATTTTGAGGAAACGGGCATGGGGACGATGGCTCGAGACACCAGTGTTTACCTCTGTGGTGCTCAGTGCCTCTCCCACTACATCACCATTGGGAAGGGACGATGCTTCCTTGGGTGATTTTGTCACCCGCATTATGTAAAGTGAGAGTGTTTGAGAATTTTCTTAAGGATAATAGCTTGCATTTCAATGTCTTAACTATTCAAACTATATTTCTCTTCATCCTTAATCTTCACTAAGTAGGTAGGGCAGTCATTACCACCCACACTTCAGAGACAGGAAAATAAAGGCAGAAAATGTCACATTGTGAGTTAGGGGAAGGACTAGGTCTACACCTCCTCCCTGATGCTCTTTTAACTTACAAAATGGGTCCCAGCCTTTTAAAATATCAGGTTATTTTTATTACAGAGGCTCTGCAAGCTCATGGGAGCAAATTAAGCCACACACACACACCCTCCAATCCCACCCTCCTGTGATAATCAGTATTAAAAATGTGATACGGTACCTCTGCATCCTAATACATAAAAGCTATTTTAAGGGGGAATTGATTGTCATTTTTCTTTTATTTTTGTGGTTTTGAAACAGAAATGGGAACACAGTATGCACAACTTCATTTTTAGCTCAATGTACCATGGACATTTGTCCAGGTCAATTCATATGATTGATCCTATTGAATCATTCTTTTTAACATCTGCTTCATATTAAATATACGATAATTTATTCAAACATTTCCCAGTCAATGGGTGTTCCAAATGTTTATATGTTTCTTCCACCACAAATAACACTGTACTAAACTGAATAAAATGGTGAGGCTATTCTTATTAGTTTTCAAAAAGGTGGCAGCAATTCATATCCCCACAGCGATATATGAATGTCTCCTTCTCCTTTATCCTCATAACCAGTGAAGATGATTGTTATTTCTAATGTTTACCAATATGTTGAGAAGAAAATAGAATTTCATTTTTGGTTTCACTTATACATTTATCATTATTGGAAATAAGGGCATATTTTTTATAAATTTTTAGCTATTTCTATTTCCTCTTCAAATAATTGTCTTGATATGTTTTGCCCATTTTATTTGATTTTTTTCTTTTTTGTAGACATTGCAGTGAATGCATTGCTCATTTTTACTTGAGTTGTTTGTGCTTTACTATAAATTTTTAGAGTATCTTTCTATATTAAAAATTTTAGTCCTTTGTCATGTTACAAATGTTTTCCTCCAGTCTACAGTTTTTACAGATTTTGTTGTATTTTTTTTAGTTTTTAGTCTTTTTATGGGCAAATTTATCTAACTTTTATTCTCTAAAATATGCTTCTATTACTTTATATTGTTATTAATATCTAGAGCTTTAATCCATCTGGAATTTAATTTAGCATATAATGTAAAGTCGACGTCTACATTTGTTTTCTTCCAGACAGATGGCAAATTATGTCTATATTATATATAAATCATCATTTCCCATTACATTCAGATTATATATTTGTCATTTACTATAATATATATAAATTGATGTTTCTACACTATCCTATATATAAATACTGATACAATGAAAATAAAAATTAAAATATTTTATATAAACATATAAATATAAATATATTCTCAGATATACATATAAATACATGTATTAGTTCCAAGACCAATATACTGCTTTTATCACTGTAGCTTAGAGGACATATTTTAATATTTGGAAAGTCAAGTTGTTACACAAAGTATTTTTCAAAATTTTCTTGGCTCCTCTCAGACAATTATTATTCCAAATACATTTTAAGATAATGTTTCTTAGTTCCAAAAATTAAAAAATAGAATTTTGATTGAAATAGCACTAAACATTTATTAATTTAGAAAATTTTCATTCCTTATTGTTAAATCATTCCATCCAGGAACACTGCAGGTTTATTTCTTCAGTATTTGTTAGTGTCCTTCAGAATAAAATTAAACTATGTTCTTCACAGAGGCCCTGTATGTTTCTTGATAAATTTATTCCTAAACATTTTACAGATTTTTATCACTACCATGAATGGGATACTTTTCCTTCTTACATTTTAACTTACTACTTATAATTATTGATGTAAACAAAACCTACAAATTTTTGTATATTTTTCTTTCATCTAGAAACTTAAGAAACCATCTTATCAATTCTAATGCATTTCACTGGAATTTTAAAGATTTTTAGGCATGCAATTATATCATATGCAAATAAAGATAATTTTTTTTTTTTTTTTTTTTTTTGAGACGGAGTCTCGCTCTGTCGCCCAGGCCGGACTGCGGACTGCGGTGGCGCAATCTCGGCTCACTGCAAGCTCCGCTTCCTGGGTTCACGCCATTCTCCTGCCTCAGCCTCCCGAGTAGCTGGGACTACAGGTGCCCGCCACCGCACCCGGCTAATTTTTTGTATTTTTAGTAGAGACGGGGTTTCACCTTGTTAGCCAGGATGGTCTCGATCTCCTGACCTCATGATCCACCCGCCTCGGCCTCCCAAAGTGCTGGGATTACAGGCGTGAGCCACCGCGCCCGGCCAAATAAAGATAATTTTAAATTTTATCCATGTCTTATATACATAAGACTTATTACACATTATTACATTATTACAATAACTACGGCTCCTAAAACAATGTTTAATAATATGGTGATGACAGGCATGCCTATCTTGCTTCTAATTTTAATAGAAATGCTTCAGTATTGCATGGTTCATTATGATACTTATAATTACCTTCTGATAAATGTATTTTATGTTTTGTTTCTTTCTACTTATATTTTAATCCATTCTTAACTAGAAATATCTGATAAATTATATCGAATATCTTCTTGGCATTTATAGGTGCAATCATATGGTTTTTCTCCATTAATCAGTTCATGTAATGAATTATGGCAACTGAATAAATTGTTTGATGATGGTGAATTATCTTTAATTCACTTCTGAATATATTTCGCTAATATTTTATTTAGACTTTTCAGAAGGAGCATGATGGCTTACATCTGTAATCCCAACACTCTGGAGGCCTAGATGGGAGGATCACTTGAGGCCAAGGGTTCAAGACTAGCCTGGGCAACATAGCAAGATCCTTCCTCTACAAAAAAAAATTTTTTTATTAGCAAGGCATGGTGATGTATGCCCATAGTACCAGTTACTTGGGAGGCTAAGACAAGAGGACTGCTTGAGCCCAGGAGTCTGAAGCTGCAGTGGGCCATGATTATGCCACTGCACTCCCACCTGGGTGACAGAGCAAGATCTTTACTCAAAAAAAAAAAAAAAGAGACTTTTACCCTCTGATTCATAACTGAGATTGATCTTGGTACAACTGAAAGTATCCTAAGTAATAGGATAGCTGCTACTAGAAACATAGAGTTTGCTGTTTGGGTCCAACAAAGTAAATGCCTGCTGAAACAAACACAATAGTCAATGTTTTTCAGAAGAATGTAACAAAATACAGAATCTCCACAACACAAGACTCACTATGTTCAAGATACCATCCAAAATACTTAACATACAAGGAACCAGGAAAATGTTACTCATTCTCAAGAGAAAAAAACAACCAATGAAGACCAACACAGAAAAGACCTGGATGCTGGAATTTGCAGACAAGGATTTTAAAGCAGCTATTAAACTATTCTCAAAGATGTAAAGGCAAACATGCTTGCAATGAACGAAACAACTGATTCTCAATAGAAAAATAGAAATTAAAAAAATCAAACAAGTGTAACATTTCAGAATTGAAAAATACAATATATGAAATAAAAAAATTACTAGACTGGATGCAGAATGAAAATGACAAATACAAAAATAAGTGAACTTAAAATAAATCAATAGAAATTATCCAATATGAAGATCAAAGAAAAACAAGACTGAAAAAATTTTAAGCCTTAGGGAAATGTGGAATAATAACAAAAGATTTAACATATATGTAATTAGAGTGCCAGAAGGGGAAATGAAAACAAATGGAGCAGAAATAATATTTGAAAATATAATGGTTGAAAATTTTCTAAATTTGGTAAATGATATAGATTCAAGACTCTCAGAAAACCCCAATAATAATAAGTACACAAAAAAAAACATAGGTAGGCATATCATAATCAAATGGCTGCAGACCAAAGATAAAATGAAAATCTTAAAAGCACCCAGAGAAAAATCATACACTATCTACAGGAAACAAGATCATGTCTCATCAGAAACTATGGAGATCAGAAGACAGAAGGGAAAAAAACACATCCAAGGTGTTGAAAGGAAAAAAACCTGTCAACTAAGAATCTTATATCCGGTGAAATATCCCTCAAGAATGAAAGCAAAGTAAAGACACTTCAGATAAAAGAAAAGTAAAGAACTTATTGCCAGCAGACCTTCACTATGAAACAATGCTAAAGGACTAAAGGAAGTTCTTTGGGCTGAAAGAAAATGACACCAGATGGAAACTTCACTCTTCATAAGGCATCAGAAATTTAAAAGTCTGGGTAAGCACAAAAGATTACCTCCTACTTAAAAAAAAAAAGAAGAAGAAGAAGAAGAAGAGGAAGAAGACTGTTCAATGGGAATATTACATAGTAGAGTTAATGGTATATGGAAATGTGATACACATGATCGTATAGCATAAAGGATGGGAAACAGTCAATGGATGCATATGATGGCAATGTTTCTACATATTACATGAAAGTGTTATAACATTAAGTCTAAGTAGACTGTGAGATGTTAAGAATATATATTATACACCTAGAAAACCCCAAAGACTCCTCCAAAAAGCTCTTAGAACTAATAAAAGAATTCAGCAAAGTTTCCAGATATGAAATTAATGTACACAAATCAGTAGCTCTCCTATACACCAACAGTGACCAAGTGAGAATCAAATCAAGATCTCAACTACTTTTACAATAGCTGCAAAAAAATAAAATACTTAGGAATATACCTAACCAAGGAGGTGAAAGACCTCTACAAGGAAAATTACAAAACTGCTGAAAGAAATCATAGACGACACAAACAAATGGAAATACATCCCATGCTCATGAATGGGTAGAATCAATATTATGAAAATGACCACACGGCCAAATGCAATCTACAAATTCAATGCAATTCCCATCAAAATACCACCATCATTCCTCACAGAACTAGAAAAAACAATCCTAAAGTTCATATGGAACCATAAAAGAGCCCACATAGCCAAAGCAAGACTAAACAAAAAGAACAAATCTGGAGGCATCATGTTACCTGATTTCAAACTATAGTATAAGGCCATAGTCACCAAAACAGCATGGTACTGGTATAAAAATAGGCACATAGACCAATGAAACAGAATAGAGAACCCAGAAATAATACCAAATACTTACAGCCAACGATCTTTGACAAAGCAAACAAAAACATAAAGTGGGGAAAGGACACCCTATTCAACAAATGGTGCTGGGATAATTGGCAAGCCACATGTAGGAGAATGACTGGATCCTCATCTCTCACCTTATACAAATATCAACTCAAGATGGATCATGGACTTAAATCTAAGACCTGAAACTATAAAAATTCTAGAAGATAACATCAGAAAAACCCTTGTAGACATTGACTTAGGCAAGGATTTCATGACCAAGAACCCAAAAGCAAATGCAATAAAAACAAAGATAAATAGCTGGGACTGAATTAAACTAAAGAGCTTTTGCACGGCAAAAGGAACAGTCAGCATAGTAAACAGACAACCCACAGAATGGGAGAAAATATTAACAATCTATGTACCTGACAAAGGACTAATATCCAGAATCTACAATGAACTCAAATAAATTATCAAGAAAAAACGTCCCATCAAAAAGTGGGCTAAGGACATGAATAGACAATTCTCAAAAGAAGATATACAAATGGCCAAGAAACATATGCAAAAATGCTCAACATCACTAATGATCAGGGAAATGCAAACCAAAACTACAATGTGATACCACCTTACTCCTGCAAGAATGGCCATAATCAAAAAATCAAAAAATATAGGTGTTGGCGTGGATGCAGTGAACAGGGAACACTTCTACACTGCTGGTGGAAATGCAAACTAGTACAGCCACTATGGAAAACAGTATGGATATTTCTTAAAGAACTAAAAGTAGAACTACCATTTGATCCAGAAATCCCACTACTGGGTATCTACCCAGAGGAAAAGAAGTCATTATACAAAAAAGATACTTGCACACACATTTATGGCAGCACAATGCGCAATTGCCAAAATATGGAACCAACCCAAAAGCCCATCAATCAACAAGTGGATAAAGAAAATGTGGTGTGTGTGTGTGTGTGTATATATATATATATACACACACACACACACACACACACCAAGGGAAACTACTCAGCCATAAAAAGGAATGAATTAATGGCATTCGCAGCAACTTGGATGGAATTGGAGACTATTATTCTAAGTGAAGTAACTCAGAAATGGAAAACCAAACATCGTATGTTCTCACTCAAAAGTGGGAGCTAAACTATGAGGACGCAAAGACATAAGAATGACACAATGGACTTTGGGGACTCAGGGGGAAAGGGTGGGAAGGGGGTGAAGGATAAAAGACGACAAATAGGGTGCAGTGTACACTGCTTGGGTGATGGGTGCACCAAAATCTCACAAATCACCGCTAAAGAACTTGTGTAACCAAATACCACCTGTCCCCCAAAAACCTATGGAAATAAAAAACTTAAAAAATACATACATATTATAGCCACTAGAACAACCACTACCAAATAATGCCAAGAGGCATAGTTAAAAATACAATAGATAAGTTAAAAAGGAAGTCTAAAACACATTCATAAAGCCCAAAAGAAAGCAAAAAAGCATACAACAGAGGAATAAAAATGGGAGACCAGCTCCAGTCTGTGCCTCCAAGATGACAAATAAAAGAAGGAACAAAGGTCATACCAAAAAGGGCCATGGCCACGTGTAGCCTATTTGCTGCACGAACTATACCTGATGTGTGCCCAAGAACAAGGCCATTAAGAAATTTGTCATTTGAAACAAAGTGGAGGCCACAGCAGTCAGGGACATTTCTAAGCAAGCTTCTTCGACACCTATGTGCTTCCCAAGCTGGATATGAAGTTACATTACTGTGTGAGTTGTGCAGTTTATAATATTAAAGCAAAGTAGTGAGGAATCAATCTCGTGAAGCTTGCAAGGACCGAACACCTCCACCCCTACTTAGACCTGCGGGTGCTGCCCCACGACCCCCACCAAAGCCCATGTAAGTAGCTGAGGCCTTAGAAGACTGAAGAAAAACTATTCTCTGGAGAAAAATAAAATGGAAATTGTATTTTTAAATAATAAAAATTGAAATGGGGCTGGGCGTGGTGGCTCATGCCTGTAATCCCAACAACACTTTGGGAGGCCAAGGCGGGTGGATTACTTGAGGTCAGGAGTTCAAGACCAGTCTGGCCAACGTGGTGAAACCCCCGTCTCTACTAAAAATACAAAAACAGCCCAGTGTGGTGGCACCCGCCTGTAGTCCCAGCTATTTGGGAGACTGAGGCAGGAGAATCGCTTGTACTTGGGAGGCGGAGGTTGCAGTGAGCCGAGATCACTCCGTCTCTAAAAATAAAAATAAAAAATAAAATAAATAAATAAATAAATAAAATGGAGGCCAATAGAAAAAATAAAGAAATAGTAAACCTAAACACAATTATGTCAATGATTAATTGTTAATGAACTAAATACTCTGATTTATAACAGATTATCAAGATGAATTAAAATGCTCAAGACCAGCCGGGTGCAGTGGCTCATGCCTGTAATCCCAGCACTCTGGGAGGCCAAAGAGGGAGGATCACTACAGCCTAGGAGTTTGAGACCAGCCTGGGCAACTAGTAGGACCCTCTCTCTATAAAAAATTTAAAAATCAGCTGAGGATGGTGGTGCATGCCTGTAGTCCCAGCTACTCAGGTGGCTGAGGCAGGGGCATCATTTTAGCCTGGGAGGGAAGTCAAGGCTGCAGTGAGCTATGATCATGCCACCGCACTCCAGACAGTGTGAGACTGTCTCAAAAAAAAAAAAAAAAATGCACAAAACCCAATCAGATGCTGTCTCCAAAAAACATATTATAAAAACAAAGACATAGGAAGTTGAAAGGAAATCGATGGAAAAACTATCCCAGGCAAACCATAAGCATAAGAAATCTAGAGTAGCTTTATATAATACAGATATAAAGACAAAGGGCGTTACCAGAAATTGTAAAAGACAGCTGATAATTACAGAAGCTGTAACAATTATAAATACAAATGTGCCTAATAATATAAATTTTTAAAATACAAGAAGAATAAATTGACAGGATTAAAGGGAGGAACAGAAAATGCACAATCATGGTCGGAGATATTCTCAACTGCAGAACAGCTGTGCAAAAATCCAAACGGATCGTCTCTTTTCTTCCAGGGAATTTTAGCCTTTTCAAATTTATTAGAACAACTGATATAGTTAGTTCAAATGCTTCTGCTGTATTAATTCATGACAGCCTGTCTTCTCTCTTATGCTTTTTCCCTTTCCTTACTATTGCTGGCTAAAGTTTCTCTTCACTCTGTTTTCCTCAGCTCTGCCTCCCGGCCTTGTTAACATAAATGTTCTGAAATGCTTCTCTATCTCACTACTGTTTAGTTTCCTATTCATAATAGTCATCATTAAACATAATTCTCTATTAACATTCACAGTTACACAATACATGGGTTCCCATCAAGATAGTTCACCTGCAATTGAGATGCGCCCTTTCGAACACTTACACTTATTTCCCTTCTTTTCTCCATACCCTCATCCATGAACAGAATCCTTGTAATGGATATTTTCCTATATCTCCTTTCTCACATAGTTCCATCCACAGTGATGAACTCACTAGTGATACCAGAACTCCTAGATCTTTCCAAGATAGTTTACAATTCTTGATTTCACTATTATTCAATGTTTTCCTTTACAGAAGTGGCTCTCCACATTGATAAAACATTAGGTTCACCTGGGAGCTCCCTGACTGAAGCTTCTGCTTAATTGCTCTCAAATGTAGCCCTGGCATACTATTTTTAATGGCAAAAACCGCAATTACTCTTGCACCAACCTAATAGCTTTAACAGCTCCCCAGAGATTTCTAATGTGCAGCCAGGGTTGAGGCTGACTGCCAGTATCTAAACTTCTCTCTGTCCCTCTGGAGTAAGAATACCTCCCTCAGACCTGCTGTGCCTCCCCACCCAACTCAGTGCTCACTGCCCTGCCCTGTTGATCACTCTGTTGACCACTGTGTTGACCCCTGCCAGGTCTAAGAGCAGGATGGAAGTGGGCTCTGCCTTTCAAGCTCCAAGCCCATGCCCAGGCCCTTCCTGCAACTGGAACACACCACTGAGGCTGTGCAGGGCCCACAGAGCCACTCCCATCTCTGACAGGCATTTGGACCTTGATTTCCTTCTTCAAACCAAATGTTTTTGCTTTCTAACCTTTCAGGGATTCTCCCATAGTTTCTAGTCCTCAGGCAGCACCCTTTCTGGTTTTCCTGCAGTCATAAGATAAGGGGATGGAGGGGGCTGCAGCAGCATCTCCAACTGGAAGACCCTGGCATCTCTCGAATGATTAGCCCTCTTCCATCTGGTCTTTTGTTGTTTCTGGAACTCCTCTCGTGCACATATCAGGTCTCTAGCATCTGACTTGCAAACTTGTACCTTTCACTCACAATTTCTATTTCTTTGTGTTTTATTTTATGTTTGATGCCTTCTTCCCTCTGGTCTTCTTGAATGGAGGCCTGAACACTGTTCATTCTCTCTGTTGCTCATCTTGTAGTTTTTGTTTGTTTGTTTGAGGGTTTTGGGTTGGGGGGAACAGAGAACAAGTTTATTGGTGAATGCTCATGGCAAGCATTATCCAAAAGAGACAAGATGGGAAGGGTGCTGTGACCAGAAAGCCTTCGGGGCTAGATACACAGTGTCTCACAGGGCAAAGGACAGGGCTGGGGGGATGCTGGGAATGTGCCCAGCTACTCAGCACCACACAGACGAGCTCTTCAGAGTTGACAACCATTGCTGTCCTCATGCCCGGCCGCCAGCATCTCTACTTCTGCCTCTGTCATCTTCCCACCCAGTATGACAAGGACTTGCCGGATTTCAGCGCCCATGATGGTGCCCTTCTCTTCCTTGTCAAACACCCAAAGACCTTCCATATAATCCTTGGACTCGGACATAATCCTAAAACTAGGCACCCTAGTCCTTGTTCCTGGCCACAGTCTGCAGCATGGGCAGGAAGTGCTCAAAGTCCAGCACCTTCACATTCATCTCATCACTCCTGAGGTTCCCCCAGGACCTGGAGCACCTCGGCATTGGTGGGGCTCTGGCCCAAGGCCCTCGTCATGTCCCCATACTGGCTGTAAGGGCCTTGCCATCACCCATTCAGTCAAACAGCTGGAAGGCCTCCTTGAACTCTGCGGTCTGGTTCTCAATGAAGTTACATGTCGGACTGCTCAGCTCTGCTCAGCTACAGGCCAGAATGCATCACCTTCCGTGAAGAATGACTGCTCAGAAGCCTGTCATAAAGGATTATATGCTAGAAACTTTGGAGTACAGGTTTCTGATGGTATTGCTTAAAGAACTGAGGCCATACCAGTGGGCTTAGTCAAAATTTCCAGAACTTTAGTTGAGAAGCAGATGGCTTCCTGAGACTACTAGCCCAAGATCCAGTGGAATGAGGATTCATTACACAGGACTAAATGAATTGGTGAGATATCATACCCTTTCCTGCAGTAAGGACCCATCTTGTAGTTTCAAATTAGAAAATTCCAGAACATCTTTTGAATGAATTTTGTGCTCCAAATTCATATCTTTTATGCTTCTCAACAAATGTTCCTCCAAAGCTCCTTCTGCTTCTTCCTTTTGTACTCCTTCAAGTGAAGTCGCCTGTCCTCTGTCCAGTTTGGCCTTCCTCCTTCAGGTCACCAGGAAATGCCACACTTACTTAAATATTTTGCCATTACTCAAAAATGCTTTCAATAGGCACTCGCTAGTGATACCGGAAAATGAATCTCAAAACTTTTCATCACAAGTCACTTTTGGCCAAAAGTTACATGATCCAGATATATTATCCCTGCCTTATTCATTAGACTGAAATGTGTTCTACAAGAAAATCCATCTTCCAATAGAAGATGTTACTATGACTCTAATAGAGGGATTTGAAACCTCTTTTGAGCAATGTTTGTCTGGCTGTTGGAATGTTAGAACTTCCTAATGTGGTTCCCATGAGAAGGACAGCCCTCGCTGGGATGTATAAGCTTTGGCACTGAGGAGTTACACACCAACAGCAATCTGTAAAGGTAACACTTTAACACTGCTATGACAGCTAGGCATGATGGCTCACACCTGTATATAATCCCAGCACTTTGGGAGGCTGGGGTGGGAGGATCACTTGAGCCCAGGAGTTCAAGTCCAGTGTGGGCAACATGGTGAAATTCTGTCTTTACAAAAAATACAAAAATTAGCCAGGCATGGTGGTGCATATCTGCGGTCCCAGTTACTAGGGAAGCTGTGGTGGGAGGATCGCTTGAGCCCAGAAGGTCGAGGCTGCAGTGAGCCGTGATCAGGCCACTGCACTCCAGCCTGGGAGACAGAGCAAGAACCTGCCTCAAAAAACAGAAACAAAAAAACATTGTTATGGCTGTGTATATCTCTGTCAATTAAGGGCAAATCTAATTGCCTAAATAACTGGATGTCTTTCATTGATATAATAATATTCCCCTGACTAAATTAATGTACTAAAAGACATTGATTGCTGGATGTGGTGGCTCACATCTGTAATCCTAGCACTTTGGAAAGCCAAGGCAGGCAGATTATCTGAGGTCAGGAGTTCAAGATCAGCCTGGCCAACATGCTGAAACCCCGTCTCTACTAAGAAAATACAAAAATTAGCTGGACGTGGTGGCACACACCTGTAATCCCAGCTACTTGGGAGGCTGACGCAGGAAAGTGCTTGAACTTGGGAGGCGGAAGTTGCAGTGAGCCAAGATTGTGCTACTGCACTCCAGCCTGGGTGACAGAGACTCCATCTCAAAAAATAAAAAATAAAAATAAAAAGACATTGATTATATTGTTGTTTTGCCTGGTATCAGACAACAGGTGCTTAAGTTATCAACCATAACTTCAGTTGTTTTAAATGTTAACTTGATCCTTCTTTAATCTGAATCTAGCATGTTTTACAACAGTGTTTTTCGATTGGGAATTCCCATCATATACTCATACAGTTTTATTAATAAATAGATGTTTAGGACCTACTCCAGACCTACTACATCTTGTTTCTTGATATTCTTATCATATGCTTGGTATAGTCAGAGTATATTATGTCTCTGAATAATTACATCAAGATTTTTGCTATGCCCACTTATTGTTGTAAATTAGATATAATGTTTTCTGTATTCTTTGAAATAGGCCTAATGATTATGTTTATAAGTAATTTGTCTAAAATTTGGGGGGTTGATTTTATAGTTTCGTTTTGCATGTCACAGAAAACAACAAATTTTCTCATCAAATATATTATTCTTGTTATGACTTTCTAGACTTTCACTTTTGAAAATTATAAGCAATGAATAAATGGCACCCATTTTAAGTTTTTTGTCATCTACAGATATTTTTGTTAGCATGTTTTGCTTTGATGCTTCCCTGAAGTTATTTGTAATGAGCTACAAGCAAAAATGCTTCATCTTTCATGAAGAATGACTGCTCAGAGCCCCACAGTAAAGGGTTATATGTTAAATACATTTGGGTTCAGGTTTCTGATGGCATTGCTTAAAGAACTTTGAGACCGGCCGGGCGTGGTGGCTCACGCCTGTAATCCCAGCACTTTGGGAGGCCGAGGCGGGCGGATCACGAGGTCAGGAGATCGAGACCATCCTGGCTAACACAGTGAAACCCCGTCTCTACTAAAAAACACAAAAAATTAGCCGGGCGTGGTGGCGGGCGCCTGTAGTCCCAGCTACGCAGGAGGCTGAGGCAGGAGAATGGCGTGAACCCTGGAGGTGGAGCTTGCAGTGAGCCGAGATCGCACCACTGCACTCCAGCCTGGGCGACAGAGCGAGACTCCGTCTCAAAAAAAAAAAAAAAAAAAGAAAACAACTTTGAGACCATATCCGTGGACTTAGTCAAATTTTCCAGAACTTTTGTTGAGAAGCAGATGGGTTCATTAGACGACTAACCCAAGATCCACAAGATCCAGTGGAATAGGAATTAATTACATAGGATTAAATGAATTGGTGAGGGATGATAGTAATTTTTGTCTGGAATACTGTTGATGTTATTTTAATGTCTTATTTTCCTTATATATAAGGAAGCCCTTTTTGCTTTCTCTTAAGCTTTCCATACATCATAATAATGTTGTAGATTCTGCTTTTGTAAGCTGAAATGAATCACTTGTAAATGACCTCTTATTCTCCCTGCCCGATTCCTCTGGAGTTCAAAAATTCTTATTGAATCTGCTTATTCAATCAGAATACATATATATTTTTTGGCAATATACTTATTTGCATAACTTCAACAAGAATCTGTCTTCCTTCTTGCCAGGGCATAATTGAAAACATTGGTTATGTAACCTAGGTCCTGCCTGCCATGTCCTATTAAGAATGATGTTCATTTAATCAGATATGACCACATGCTTTTAAAGAACTAAGGTTGACTTTATGGAACCAATGCTTACTTACAAAGCCCTCTTGGGAAAACTGGTCTGGTCCTTGGCCTAGAACAGCCTGTCTAAGACAAGAAAAATGTTCTAAAAGCAATGATGCTGCATATGATGATACGTTTTATGAGCATGCATTTTCTACATAATTGTCAAGAGTACCTATTTTTAGCTTGAGTGAGATTAATTTTCCTTGCTGACACCTTTCCACAATCTTGTTTACTACAACATGACACCGTGATAAGTAATGTTTCCATAAATCAGATGTCGTCTTTTCAAAGGATACTGGAAGTACTCTGTCCCTGCGCACAGTATAAACACCTATCAACCTAAGCAATGCTGACAGCACCAAAGGCTCTAGCACGAACTGTACTGCTAATTAGCGGGGTTCTTTGTACAAGTCACTTAAGCTCCTTGGGCTTCATGTTGCTTCTCTCAGAAGAGAAGAATCTGGACTGGACGGCCTCTTAGGTATCTCTAGGCCAGGTTTCATAATCCTGTGGCCATCCCTTTCTTCCACAAAACAAGAGTTTTATATAATATGACAGTACCTGAGCACAAATCAGGGTAGGATCTAAAAACGGAGATTAGATATTAAAATAAAAATGAGATAAGATAAAACACAGCAGAGGCTGAAATAGATTTATACGTATTAGTATAAATAGATCTCAAAATATAATTTTTTTTAAAATAGCAAGTTACAATAAACAAACCTGTCCCATTTACATTCAATTTGAAGAATGGTGCTGAATATCTCCGGAGTGTTTCATTGACTTTGGTACCCCAGTTAATTATTGCCTCGAATTTCAGAGGTGAACACCTACTACGAGTTATGAGCTGTATTTGGCTCTGAGGATGTAAATATGAAAGATATAGTCCCAGATTCTGCATCTTATCTCTAACAATCTTCTGTGTTGCTGTCTGAGTCAGAGGCTTTGTGAAATGTAAATCACTCCACACTGACCTTTTCCCATCATTCTCATTGCCAAGAAAAAAGTCCAGACACAGAAGGCCCTTTACAATATCATCCCTACTAACTTTTCTTGCCTCAGCTCTTATCTTTACCCACTTCCATATCCTGGGTTCTACTGAAACCTCTGATTCCATCCAAAGTATGACTTCACTGAATGAAACATACTCTCATAAATTTCATTGCCTTAGTGTATAAATCCATCTTCCCATAGTGTCTTGACTATCTTTTTCCACTTACTGAGCTCCTACTAAATCTTCCAATACCAAGTGAGGTATCAACTCTTTTCGGAGACTTAATATAAGGCCTGAGATTGGTGGACCATCTCCATATTCACATAGACAGTTATTTTATCTACTTACAGAATGCTCACATCTAACTATTCCTCTAGACCATAAAGTCCCTTCAATCAACCAGCCCAGTGTCTGGCCCAGCATGTACGCAAATAAATTCTCTTGAAAGAATAAATTATAAAACAAATACCCCTAAGAGGTAGGTGGTCATATTTCTCTCTTCATTTTATAGCTGGGAAAACGTTAAAAATCTTGCCCCCAAATTCAGGGTCAGCAGGTAAAAAGTATGTAAGGTTTTCTAACTGAATCATATGTTCTTTTCCACTGGAGTTCCTCTTCATTTCATGCTGAATGAGACAGATTATGGATGGAAAGAAATACCAGGACTACAAAAGCCTCGATGAGAAGAGAGGTGAACTCTGAGACTTCTCAGGAGAAATGCAAGAGAAGGGGTCTAGGAAGTGGGATGTCCCTAGACATGAATGGCAAGTCATTATCTCAGAGAAAGAAAAATGGCAATATCTATGTTGATCAACTTCCAACCATTTATTTTATTTTATTTTTGTTGCTGAAAATATGAGATTGATCCTGGACACTCTGCACACTGGAAAATAAGTTCATCTGCTCTAACTTTTCCACATAATTTTCTAAAGTCTGTTTTTTTCCCTGTAAAACTTAAAGCAGCTTTAGACATAGTAACTTTGGACACGGCCATTTGCCATTTGTGTGTCTTTCTGCCTTGAAACAAGTTTTATTTGAGTTGTGTTCTTCTCCATTTAGAGCAATCCTCCTCAAGTTTTGACTAGGACATTTTAAGGGCTTTTAACTAATAAGAGCAAAGGCAATACAACATTGCCATATGCTTAGCTCCAAATCCTTATTGCTCCAGGCCAGGCGCAGTGGCTCATGCCTGTAATCCAGCACTTTGGGAGGCCAAGGTGGGAAGATTACCTAAGGTCAGGAGTTCGAGACCAGCCTGGCCAACATGGTGAAACCTCGTCTCTACTAAAAATACAAAAATTAGCTGGGCGTGGTGGCGGGCACGGGTAACCCCAGCTACTCTGGAGGCTGAGGCACAAGAATTGCTTGAACCCAGGAGGCAGAGGTCGCAGTGAGCTGAGACTGCGCAACCGCATTCCAGCCTGGGTGACAGAGCGAGACTCTGTCTCAAAAAAAAAAGCATTGCTCCAGCTCTTCATTATGAAAATTTTAAAGACAAAGAAAAGCTTTTAAAGATGAACTACATAGATTGAACACTTGCTAACATTTTCATCTGTCTTATCAAACTGCACCCTTAAATATTCTAGTATCATCTTCTAAAAACAAGGGCATTCTCTTACGTAACTCCAGTATTTTTATCACATCTAAGAAAACTAACAAGAACTCCCTAATGTCATCTAATATCCAATTCCTTTCCAAATTCCCCAAGTTGCCTGCAATAAATATTTTACAGTTACTTTCTTTAGACTTGAACCTCTTAAAACATATTAATTGCATCTGATTCTCATATTTCCTCAGTCTATTTTAGTCTAGAACAATTCCATCTCTTTTTATTTATTTCTTTCATGACACTGAATGTTTTAAGAATCTGGGTCAGTTATCTTGAAGAATGTTCCAAATTTTTGTTTTGTCTGATTCTTTCTTTGTGATATTATTTAACTTGCTCCTCTTCCTCTGTGTTTTTTATAGACTAGAACTTGGAGCTGGAGACTGGATTGGATGCAGGTGAAATGATTTAGCAAGAACACTTGACTGGTGAGACTATGGACTTCACGTTTGCAACAGGCAGCATTTGATATCAGTGAGTCCCATTAGTAGTGACAGTGGTTTGGCTACTTTGTTAAGGCTGTGACCAATAGATCTCTTTATTATAAAGATCGGTTTCCCCTTTGAATTTAGCAAATAATGTTTGGCGGGGCTAATACTTTAGCACAGGAAATTTAACTGATTCCCCCAAGAAACAAATTCACCTAATGCCTTTTACCCAGTTTTATTATCTATTCATTAGCTATGCTGTAATCAATTATTACATTGGCTTTGGCAAACGGGTTATTTTTCTAATTCTATCATTTATTCGATATTTGACCTACAACAAAAAGTTTACTCTCAACAACCAGGTATGAATTATAGATTCTAGTTTAAAAGGCAGAAAAAAAATGTTTGGATCTTCTCTTTTAATTATTAATTTTAGAGTAAAATATTGGGGTGATAGTTATCTATATATGTGACAAATGAGTTTTTTAATTTTAATAGACTTAAGCGTAGATAGGTTTTCTATAAATGTAGCCCTAAACACAAGGGAGTGAAGAGGATACTGGGTTAATAATCAGAAAATGTTGAAATCAAATTCTAGGTCTACAGATTATGAGCCTTGTGACCTGGAGCAATCTACTTGAACTTGTCAGCCTCATTATTCACTTATCCATATATTTTCTTTGACATCTATTAATGCTATTATATGAGTTACTTTTTTTAATGGCTGGAATTTCATTTGGAGCTTCGCAATATCTGTTAAGTTGCTAGCCCTCTAGGAGTTTGTTTGTTTTTGTTTGTTTTTGAGAACAGGGTCTCACTATGTTGCCCAGGCAGGTCACAAATGCCTGGGCTCAAACTATCCTCCTGCCTCTACCTTCCTAAGTGCTAGGATTACAGGCACGAACCACAATGCCTGGCTAAGAGTTTGTTCTTGTTGCGACTGCTACTACTATTGTTGTTTAAAAATATTAATAAAATGTCCATGGTGTCTTTTTAAAAAGCAGATTTCATACAATATAACAATTAGGCATTGAAAATACAGCACAAAAAGATGTCTTGCTTGTGGAAAGAGAGATACCAAATTGATGAATGCAGGAGAGAATCAGGAATGGGGAAAGGAACAAAGTGGCCTTACAATTTCCCTGCCTATTTGAGTTTCTTAACTAAAGCAAATAAGATACCACATTCATTCTGGAGAAGCATATACATGAATATTAGTTAAATGAGTCTCCAGTGTAGTGGTTGTTAAACAGAAATGAGCATCAGAATCAACTAAGGGACTTTTTGCAAATGTAGATCCCTGGGCCTCTCCCCTGGTAATTTAGGGTCAGTAAGTCTAGAGTAAAACTCAGGCATCTGAATTTTTTAAAATTGTCCAAGAGATTCTGATACAAAGCAGCAACTGTAGAAGTATTGGAAATCGATTAAACAAAAGATACACAAATGGTCATCGCAGCAGTATTCATGATAGCCAAAACGTGGAAACAACCCAAATACCCAGCCACTGAGGAATGGATGTGTAAAATGCAGTCCATCCATTCGTGCCATGGATAGTAGTCTGCCCTAACAAAGAAAGAAGTGCTGACACCTGCTACAACACAGACAAGCCTTGACAACATGATGCCAAGTGAAAGAAGCCAGTCACAAAGGACCCCATGGTGTATGGTTCCACTGGCATTAAATGCTCAGATGAGGCAAGCCTGCAGAGAACGAAAGCATTTGAGTGGTTCCCTAGGCAGGAAGAATGGCTGAATTAGGGGGTGACAGCTAAGGGGTACTGGGTTTCTTTTAAGGATGATTACAGTATTTTGGAAGTAGACAGTGGTGGTGGTTGCACAACTCTACATATACTAAAAGCCATTGAATTGTACACTTTAAATGGGTGAATTGTGTGGTGTGTGAATTATATCCCAATAAAACTATTTTTTTAAAAAGAGCAAAGATATTAAAATCCTTAATCTCAAATTATGTAACTAAAAATAGATTAAATTAAATTAACCAACATATGGAAAGAAATTAATGGAATAACAGGGGATGATAGTTCCTTTTCAGGAAGACTGGGACCATTGAAAACTACAGGCAGTTTCTAGTTAATCATGAGAAGCTGAAAACAGATATTTGCTTTGGCTTCTTACCAGAGCCCCACTGACAATACAACAAAGATGTTAAAAAGAAAAGGATAAATTCACAAGAACAGGGTAAATGGACAAGAAGTCTTTTTGCAGGAAAAAAAAAATGTCTACGGAAATTCAAAGGCAGTAAAGGGAATCGTTGAGTAATAATTGACTTAACCAGAAAAAATCTGAAACCTAATTGCTTACAAAGAGCGATGTGAGAGAAAGAAGAAGTAGATTTAGTTTCCCTCCTCATCCCTGGACGGCAAGTGACTGTCCCCTTCTAAATAAGCAGTTTTTGTCTCTGTAGAAGCTGAACTAGAGGAAATATGACCTCCTGGGCATGAGGCCAGCTGAAGTAGGCAACCATACTGAAAACAAGGGGTCTATATAAGAAGTTCACATTCTGAAAGGGGAGACCCTCCATTCCCTTCCCTACTTGCTTCTAGAACACTGGCAGCCAGATTTATCTCCCACTTTCCATCACCCCCACCTCCACTACCATCACCACCACCAACACCAACATCACCACCACTACCATCACCACCACCATCACCCACCTCACCACCACTACCACCATCACCACCATCACTGTCACCACCACCACCATCACCACCACCATCATCTCCACCATCACCACCACAATCACCACCTCTACCACTCCACCACCACCATCACCACCATGACCATTACCACTACCACCATCACTATCACCACCAGCACTACCATCACCACCACCACCACCACCACCACCACCACCACCCTTACCACCTCCACCACCACCACCACATAGCCTCGTTATGTTGCCAAGACTGGCCTCGAAACCCTAGGCACAAGCAATCCTCTCACCTCAGCCTTCCTAGTTGCTGGGAATACAGACATGCACCCACCACTGCCAGCTCAGTACTTTGTTTTAAATACAAACAGTCAAAGATCACCAAACATCTGAGGAAAACAACTTACATAAAAATAAAAAGGAAAGCAAAGCAAACAGAGAAGAAACAGAATTAGAGAAAACAGAGAATGCAATGAGTTGAAGAAGATGTAAAAGAAAACTATATTTAATAAACTCAGAATTAAGAAAAATAATGAACCTACATAATAAGAATAGGAAGCTATTTAATAAGGGAACATGCAGAGATAACAACAAAAAAGAGCTTTTGAGAAGTTCAGATATGATTGATAGGAGAAATGGAAAAAAACTACCAATAGAGGGAAGATAAGGTAGAAAATTAAGAAAATATCCCAGAAAGCAGAAAAATACAAAAATATGGAAAATGGGAGAGAAAAGATAAGAAAATTAGAGAATTCATCCAAGAGGTCCAACATTTAAATAAGAAGAATTCCAAAAAGAAAAGAAAGTGAAAATGAACTGGAAATGAATCCGCATAGAAGTCCTCTAACATTTTGTTTTTCAGAGCCAAGGCACATGACCTTCCAAATTAAAGGGTCCCAGCAAATGCCCAGCACAAATAACGAAGACCTCTACCAGCTACCTCATCGTACAACTTCAAAACCAAAAAATTGGACCCTAAAATCTCCCAGAATTGGGAAAGACAAAAATAGGCAGATAAAAAGATCTGGAGACAGACTGGCATCAGACGTGATCTCAGAGCAGCTCTGGAAGTGGGAAGAGATGATGGAGCGGCACCTTCCCGGTTCTGAGGTGCAGCAACGTCCAGCCTGGAATTCTGCACCTAAGCACACTGCAGACTAAAGCAGGAAAATATAAGGCATTTTCTGGCATGAAATGTTTAGCAGGACTGTTTTTTTAAAAAGTAATCTTTGTAGGACTATTTGACCTTTCCAATATCATATATGTAATATTTGAAAAAAGTTATTTTTTTAATATTCAGAAAACAATCTTTTATAGCAAAATAGTCTGTTAGGAGAAATAAGTTCAAGATATTGATTTTACAAGATAGTGACTATAGCAAATAACAATGCACTGTGTTTTGAACATCACTGAGAGTAGATTTTAAGTGTTCTCACCACAAAAAAAAAGTATTCAATGAAAGGCAGATGTTAATTAGCTCAGTTTAGCCAATCCACAATGTATACGTATTTCACAACATCACATTGTACATGGTAAATATACACTTTATTTGTCAACTTAAAAAATAAAATATCACACAAAAATGAAAAAATATACATTCAGTTACAAAGACACTTAAGACAGACATTTATCAAAACCAAATTCCCTCCTCATAGCACAGTAAAACCAGAAACAAATTTCTAAAATACAATTTAATGGTCCTAAGATCAAGGTCATTAAAATGCTCATATCTGGAAGGTACAGTGAAGCTGGTCCACCACAGTGCAGCAGGATGAATGTTATAATCCTCCCAGAAAGTAATCTGGAGGCACGTTCAAAGCCATAAAAAGTTGTGTGCATTTTTGTCTCACTGAAAGAGCTACCGGGAATTTATCCTAAGGAAATACTCCAAAATAAAGAATACTATTTCATGGTGAAAATCAGTGCAGAGTTATTTGTAATTAAAAATAATGAGCAACCCCAGGTTCAAAAATATAAGCATAGTGAAAAAATATTATGCTGGACACAGTGGCTCACACCTGTAGTCCTGGCTACTTGGAAAGCTGAGGCAGGAGGACAACTTGAGCCCAGAAGTTCAAAACTAGCCTGGGCAACATAGCAAGATCCTGTCTCTAAAAAATAAATAAATGAACAAAAATTTTTTTAAATGCATGGCACATCAACTTGATGGAACATTATACAAAATATTTAGATGACATTATGACACCATAATAGCATAAACATGTTTATGACACAATAATAAGTAAAAATTAAACATATAGGAATAAGGAAGTCAATTATGATACATCAGTGTAATAGAGTATCAGACAAAAGTTTTAAATGATCATCATGAAGGCTATAGCCACATGAAAAAATAAAAGATTCTAATGCTATAAAAAAAGGAATAAAAAATAAAAAGATATTGCAAAGGGAAGAAATAAGGAAGACATGATTCCTGGAATTTGTGATGAACAGACAGAAAATATATTTTTCTACTACCGTCTCCCCTTCTGTTTATTGGGACTCTTGGTGAAGACAGTAACTCTGTCAAAAATTTGACCTACAAAAGGTTAAAAAAAAGTCATTTCAAAGCTTTGCCACATTATTATTGACCAAGGATAGAAAATTCCCTTTTGTTTAGATAACCCCCTAGTGGGCCTTTGTAAAAACTAGACTCTCCCCTCCTACCACCCACAGGTCTGGGGTCTGGAAGAAGGGGATTGAGAAGTAGTAGGAATACGGGAGATGTCTACTGAAAGACAGAGAACTTGGGTTAAGACGAGAGATTGAGCTTGGGTAAAGAACAGAGATGGGGGAACTTTCCAGAACATAGGGAGGAGAGAGGAAGCTAGGGAACCGGCAGCAAGCAGGGACGCAAGGGACTCTGCCCAAATTTCCAGTGGTGGGAAGGAGTAGGGCATTTTTTAAAACAATGATGTCTGCCATTTTTCTCTTTCACTCTGTGGGAAAATTCCCCCAAAATAATTGTCTATGCATAGTCCCTCGTTCTCACTACCAGCCCTCCTTAGACCACTCTGTCTAGACCACATACATCTGCTTCCACCTCTCCTCAGAAACTACTTCTGTCATGGCCTCTAATGACCTCCATGTCATCAAAGCCAGTGGTCACTTTTATGGCCTCACCTGACTCAATCTCTCAGCCGCATTTGTCACAACTAACATCACCCTCTTCTGTAAAGAGCCAAGCTCCTCCTGGGCTTCCATGACGCCACACGCTCCTGGTCTCCTCCTGCCTTCCCTACTCTCCATCTTAGCCTCCTCAACTGGTTTCTCATCTTCCAGGCAACTTTAAACTTGAAGTCCCACCTCCACCCCCACTCTGGTCTCCATCCTGTCAACTCTCTCATTACTCTGTTTCATCCACTTTTCATGACTTCAGCTCCATCTACATGCGTTCGCAGCTTCCACGTGTGTGTCTCCAACCAGACTTTGCAGAGACACAGATCAGTATGCAATTGCCTACCTCACTTCTTCACTCAGCTGTCTCATTCAAACTTAACTTCCCCCCTCAATATGGTCCTCTCTCAGAGTGGATTTTTACACACACTGATTAGAAGTCATCATGGAATCCATCCCTATCCACATTCAATCCATCAGCAAGTCTTAGCAAGTCACATGAATTAAACATGCACACAAGTCAAATTCATGGTTCCTGCTTTATTAGCATAACTCTCTATTTAATTATACATAATCAAAGATGAGACGTCACTGGAAGAAAAAAATCTGATAAAACCTACCTTGTCGTTGAATCGAGATCTTACCTGTCCCATTTTTATGAGACCAAAATGTAGTTTGGTTCATTTAAATAGAAATAATGTAAGGGTATATATCATTATGAAATTAACTCATATAAAGCTATATGAGAAGTCAATTCAAAACAAAATAATTGTATAAACACAACCTAGGAGCTCAAATGTTTACATATTTAATGAATGCACTTAAGATTATTCAAAGTAATGATATTTCCTAACTTAGGTATTATAAAATTTATTGTAACAAGGTGAAAACACAGCATAAATATGAAAAGCATAATTTTGGAACTTTTTTTAGTAAAAACTGCATTCTCTCTATGCATAGGACTGCATCAGAATAAGAAGTGTACTAAAGTAATGTTAATTTAGAGATCATCATGTATTAAACAGTCTTGGATGCGGTGATTTCTACCTTCATTTAGTATTACCTGTTTTGAACCCCAATGGAGTTTGTTCAAACTTACCTTTGAGTCTGGAGGAGGAGCCAAACCAAGGAAGGAATAAATAATATTCTCTTCTTTTGCAGAGAAGAAAGAGTCAAAATCCTTGAAGCAAAGAAAAAGAAAGTTTAAAACTACTGCACACTTGTGAGCCAGTTTATTTACGGAAACTGATCTTTTGTATTTCTTAGTCCTTAAGTTAGGAGCTCACACAAAAAGTCATCCCAGTTTGCTTTATCAAAGATGACTAACCTCCAGAGTTAAGAAATCTAACCATGAACTTTACATTTGTTTTTATACACTTTCATTGTGCTTGTATACCACAGCAAGAGCACACACACACACACACCCCTACCCATGCTCAGGAATTGCTGACAAGACCCAAATATACACAGTAAATGGCTTTTCCAAGTTTCACACCACTAGCTGGTTTACTTATAATCTGGCCCTATGCATATGGTCCCTGATCAGCTGAGACTGAGATGATACAGGCTGTCCATACTGTGATTAAAGTATCTCTAAGGGCCCAGATGCATCTCAGGCCCTCCCAATACGAACAGGCACAAGACCATGGGGGACATAGAGGGCGACTGTTTTGGCAAAATAGGAACAACTGGAGTGATTGGAAACTTGGTAGTGGATTGAAATCTGATGCTCAATGAAGCTACCACCCCATCCAGATCCTACCAGGGCCAGTCCTTCACCAGGCAGGTCCAGCCCTAAACCACCTTCCCAGTAATGCAGCTGTCAATAGCTTAGAAGAGTTTCAATTTTTATAATTAAAACATAAACGATATTCCCCCAGACTACTTTATTACTGCCAATCTTCATCATCAGGGCCTTGATGCAATTTCAACAGTGTTGCAAAAAGGCTCACAAAGTCACAGGTGTTTGTCCTACAGGGCAACACACAAACCAACTTAGTTGTTCTTTGCCTACCCTACTCTTAGTGTATGTTCAAAAAGCTTAAAACCAGCCAGGCGTGGTGGCTCATGCCTCTAATCTCAGCACTTCGGGAGGCCAAGGTGGGAGGATTCCTTGAACATGAGTTCAAGACTAGCCTGGGCAACATGGTGAGACCCTGTCTCTACAAAAAATACAAAAATTAGCCGGGCACGGTGGCACACACCTGTGGTCCCAGCTACTTGGGAGGCTGAGGTGGGAGGATCACTTGAGCCTGGCAGATCAAGGCTGCAGTGAGCTGTGATTGTGCCACTACACTCTAGCCTGGGAAACAGAGCAACACCCTGACTCACAAAAAAACCCACAAAATCTTAACACCAAATACAGGTCACAGCTGTTGAGAAAAAAGTATTATGTATTCCTGTGTGTTACTGTTTTTTGTTTTTTTTTTTGAGACAGAGTCTCACTGTGTCTCCCAGGCTGGAGTACAGTGGTGCAATCTCGGTTCACTGCAACCTCTGCCTCCTGGGTTCAAGCGATTCTCCTGCCTCAGCCTCCTGAGTAGCTGGGATTACAGGTGCATGCCATCATGCCCAGCTAATTTTTGTATTTTTAGTAGAGACGGGGTTTCACCATGTTGGCCAGGCTGGTCTCAAACTCCTGACCCCAGATGATCCACCCACCTCAGCCTCCCAAAGTGCTGGGATTACAGGCGTGAGCCACCATGCCCAGCCTCCTGTGTGTTACTCTTATTCAAAGCTTTATTGTTTTCCTATCCATTGCCTCAAGTCTCTCAGTGATTAATTTTATTCTTTTATACTGAATACATGGTTGGAAGCTGCCTCAAATCTTGGTTGAAAGGAATATAACATCATGAGTAAGTGCAGGAACTTTGGTATCAGAAATTCTGATTGATTCCCAGAGTACACACTTACTAATCATTGTTAAAAGATTACATGAGATAACACGTTAATAGTAGTAGCAGTAAGTTGGTGAAATGTAATAAAGTAAATCTATGCTATTTCCCAGAAATTCCATATATAAAGTTCTGAAAACTTCTTTAGTTGGCCAACTCTAGATTTCGAGGCAAGAAAGGTTTTATTATAGTTGAGTGAACTAGTCTTTTGCTTCAATTTAAGACCAAATACCTTCTTCAGAATTTCAGAAGGCTGAAGAACAATTCATCATTATCTTTGACTTGATGCTACCAAATATATGTAGAAAATAATGAACATAAAACAGGTTTTCAACTCCCAGTTCTGCTACTATGGCAGATTAGAGGCCCTAAAAGTTGTCTCAAAGAAAATTTTTAACCCAATTAAGAAAAAAAAAAATTTAAATACACTGCTGACCTGGCATAAAAGAGTCCAGCCAGTGAGAGCGTGAATCCTGAGAATAAGCACACACCAAAGCCACCGATCATGCTGAGAGTTTCTGACACACACATGACACCTTTACCATCACTTTGACACTGAAGAGGAAAAAGGGGGATGTAGATAAAGCCCGGAGCCTCGTCAAGCTGGGGAGTTTCATAAAGCACACACACCAGAACTTCAGAGGGTTCTGCCTTCAAAGTAAATATGAATGAGAAAATACCCCACCAGGCAGAACAGAATGGAAGGAAACTTCCCTGATTCAACTTTGCTTCTGGGTGAAGGGGAAAATATTCTCCTCTGAGAATTTATAACCACAAGTAGAATTCATGAGAGGTTGCAGTTCAAATTCCCATGCCATGTGTGATCCTAAAAAATCTTAAAAGGAAATCTGAGTTTAAGATGTGTCTAGGTTTGATACAGTTCTAAGGAAACTAGCAGAAATAAACCCCAGGCCTCAAACAGTATCCGCTGCTGTGATTTGAATGTCTCCGCCAAAAAGCTTGTGTTGGAAACTTAATCCCCAATGCAACAGTGTTGGGAGGTGGGGCCTAAGGGGAGCTGTTGAGGCCATAAGGGGACCACCCTCATGAACTGATTGATGACATTTATAAAAAGGCTTGAGGCTGTGAGTTTGGGCTCTCCCTTTCTCTTGCTCCTGGGATACCTTCAGCCATGTTTGATGCAGCCAGAAAGCCCTCATCAAATGCTGCCCCTCGATCTTGGACTTTCCACCTCCAGAGCTATGAGCCAAATAAACTTCTATTGTTTATAAACTACCCAGTCTGTGGTATTCTGTTTTAGCAGCACAAAACAGACTAAGATAGCCACTAATAAAGTTTTTAAAAATGAGCAGTTTGAAGCCAAAAGTTACAATATAAATAAGGGAATAAAAAGAAAACATAGTGAGAGCATGAAGAAATAACAGAAGGTGGAATTAAAAATCAGAATCAGATATTGGAATTATCAGGCAAAGAATATAAAACAGCTATATTTAATATATTTAGTGAAATAAAAGAGAAACTCGAAAACAGAATAAATACCTAGAGAGAACAATCAAGCAAATTTAGAAAGGAACCAAAAAGAACTCCTGAAAATAAAAAGATATAATAGCGGAATTGTAAAACCCAATATGTGGATTAAACAAACACACGTGAAGAGAAAATTAGCTAATTGGAAGATGCAGTCAAAGAAATCATCCAGGCTGGGTGTGGTGGCTCATGCCTATAATCCCAGCACTTTAAGAGTCAGAGAAGGGAGGATTGTTTGAGCCCAGGAGTTCAAGACCAGCCTGGGCAACATAGCAAGACTCTGTCTCTATTTTTAAAAATAATAAATAAATAAACAAACAAACAAACAAACAACAAATAATCTAGAGAGGAAAAAAGATGAAAAATGTGGAGGAAATATTATTGTATGAAAACAGTGTGAGAAGAGCTAACAGATGTCTTATAGGAGCTCTTGGAGAAGCAAATACAGATTATAGGGGAAAACCTAAACTCAAGCATACAATTGCTAAACATTTTTTTTTTGTTAATTTAATTGTTTGAGACAAGGTCTCACTATGCTGCCCAAGCTGGTCTCCAACACCTGGGCTCAAGCAATCCTCCCACCTCGGCCTCCCAAAGTGCTAGGATTATAGGCGTGCAACATCTCGCCTGGCCAATTACTAATAATTTTCTAGACTTATTGAAAGATAACAACCCTTAGTCTCAGGAAGCCCAATCAATAATTCTAAAGTAGATAAATAAAAATAACTCTAAACCTAGACACATCGTAGAGAAATATTATTAAAAGCAACCAGAGAGAGGGGAAGAAGAAGACGAAGAGAAAGAGGAAGAAGAAAAGGAGACAGAATGGACAGAAGAAGAAAGGGAGGAAAAGAAAAAGGAAAAAACAAAGTTTCCCAATAAAAGAATAGTGATGAGACTGACAGCTGACTTCTCAATAGCAACTTAGAGGCCAGGTGAAAGTAAAATAATAATTTCAATGTGTTTAGAAAAAATAAACATCAGCCCAGAATTCCAGACTCAGTAAAACTATTTTTTCAAGCATGAAGGTGAAAGAAAGACATTGTCTGGAAAATACCTTTTTTTAAACAAACAAAAACTTAGAGAAGTTACCACCAAGAGAACTTCACTTAAAGAAACTTATAGGATGTATTCAGGAAGAAGAAAATAATTCCAGATGGAATATCTCAGATTCAAGAAGTAAAGATAAAATTAATAGTAAATATGTGGGTAAATCTAAATCTGAACAAACATTGATTGTTCAACCAACAAATAGAAATGCCTAATTTGTGAAGCAGGATGAGAGGCCAACTGAAATACTGAAAAACCAAACACATGTAAACAGAGTGATTAGGGTGAAAGTGTCTAAAGGCCCTTTTAATGTTTGGGACAGACTGGGTGTGGTGGCTCACATCTGTCATCCCAGCACTTTGGGAGGCCAAGGTGGGCGGATCATCTGAGTTCAGGAGTTCAAGACCAGCCTGGCCAACATGGTGAACCCCTATCTCTACTAAAAATACCAAAAAAATTAGCAGGGCATGGTGGTGCGTGCCTGTAATCCCAGCTACTCAGGAGGCTGAGGCAGGAGAATTGCTTGAACCTGGGAGGTGGAGGCTGCAGTGAGCCAAGACTGCACGACTGCACTCCAGCCTGGGTGACAGAACCAGACTCTGGCTTTAAAAAAAAAAAAAGTTTGGGACAAAAGTAAGGTTACTGATTATCTTTAACTAATTTAAGTATGTATGTTAAAATAGCTAAGTTAACCACTAAAAGGATAGATTATTTGAATTGAGTAAAGGGGAAAATAAAATTAGAAAAAAGAGACTTTAGTAAAATTACATCAAGAAAGGATTAAAAAAACTGCAAAACTGAGAAAAATTAAAAGCATATAATAAAGTAGAAGAAACTCCAAATGTACTCATAATTTCAATACATGGGTCAAAAAAGAAAGGTATAAATATCTTAACATTTATACTTAACAATAAAGAAAATACTGCAGGCTGGGCATGGCGGCTCACGTCCATAATCCCTGCACTTTGGGAGGCCAAGGCTGGTGGATCACCTGAGGTCAGGAGTCCAAGACCAACCTGGCCAACATGATGACACCCTGTCTCTACTAAAAATACAAAAAATTAACCGGGCGTGGTGGCGCCTGTAATCCCAGCTACTCAGGAAGCCTGAGGCAGAAGAATCAATCACTTGAACTCGGGAGGCAGAGGTTGCAATGAGCTGAGATCGGGCCACTGCACTCCAGCCTGGGCAACAAGAGCAAAACTCCGTCTCAAAAAATAATAATAATAAATAAAATTAAATTTAAAAAAAAGAAAATACTGCATATCAAAATATATGGAATGAACTGACAGTACTCAGTGAGAAATTTCTAGCCTTAAATATTGACATTAGAGAAGAAAAAAAGGTTAAAAGTGAGCTAAGCATCTAACTGAACATTAAGGTAAGGGGAGGAAAAAAAAGTGTATAGAAGGAAAAAATGATACAGGCAAGGGCAGAAATTTTAAAAATAAGAGAAAAATTAGCTATAAAGATATAAGTATAGAGAGATCAGAAAGAATCAATAAGCCAAAAGACCAAAAACAAACAAACGAACAAAAAACTATGAACAACATAAACTTAAAAAAAAAAATCAGAGAAGACACAACAGAAACATTAGGAATAAAGAGAAGACATAACTACCTATTTTAAACAGGTCTTAAGAATATCTTATTTAAAACTTGGGGGGATGTTGATAATGGGGGAGGCTCTGCATGTGTGGGAACAGGGGGTACATGGGAAATTTCTGTACCTTCCTCTTACTTTTGAAAAAAAATGTTATACTAGACTTTAAAACTTAAAAACAAGCTCAAGGCTGCCATGGGCCATGATGGCACCACTGCACTCCAGCCTGGGCAACAGACAAAGACCCTGATTCAAAAAAAAAAAAAAAACTAGACATCTTAGAATTTATAGAAACAGAATTATGAAAACCAACTTATGAAAAAGTAGAAAGCCTAAACAGTCCATTCATTAAGGAAATTGAAACATTTCCCACAGAGAAGAACCCAAGCCTAGCAAGCTTCCCAGATGAACAAGAGGCTCTCTAAAAGAAAATTATATTTGTTTGGGAATAAGGAATTGCAATGGGAACACATGTGTCATAGTAAACTATGTGCATATTCAGGGAGGTAAAAGAAGACAAAGGTTTTTAAATGAAAAATAAGGTCTAGGCATAGTGATTCACACCAGTAATCCCAGCACGTTGGGGGGTCAAGGCAGGAGGATTGCTTGAGCCCAGGAATTCAAGACCAGCCTCAGCAGCATAGGGAGATGCCATCTCTACAAAAAATACAAAATTTAGCTAGGTGTGGTGCTGCACACCTATAGTCCCAGCTATTCAGGAGGCTGAGGCAAGAGGATCGATCGAGTACAGGAGGTTGAGGCTGCAGTGAGCCATGATCGTGCCACTGCACTCCAGCCTGGGTGACAAAGCAAGACCCTTTCTTTCCAATGACTATCACTGGTGCAGAGGGGAAGGGATGGGATCAGGGAGAGAGGCACACAGAGGGCTTCCACATTTCTGGTAATAGTATACTGTCCTTCTTAAACTGGATAGTGCATACAATGGTTGCTCACTGTATCACTCCTTTTTAAATTATGTATTTCTTATCACATACGGCATATTTCAGAATAAATTTTAGGAACATAACATAGTTTGTTCAGTAACATCGATATGTTGAGAAGCCCTCTCCCCACCCTAACTGGGTTTGCATCCTGTGTTTCCTTACAGCCCTGAGTACCCGGAGACACTCATACCTCTGCTAAATGGGCACCTCTGTGCTGAACGATCTAGGTCTTCTTTGTTTGTGTTCAGTCAGGCCCAGGCTATCTTGGTCCCAGGCAGGCACTCCGGCCCTTACCTGGGCTAAAATGCACAGATGCCAACTTGTCATCAAGAGATGTGTCTGCTCTTTCCAGTTCACATTCCTCTGTCAGGCGGGGAGCCTGGCCTCAACTGTGCCTGGCTTCCAGTGTGGTGTCTCCTTTCTCAATCTAACAGTTGTCTGCCCTGGCTCTCAGGATAATATCTTCATTTGCTCTGCATAGAGTAGCAGAAGTTCAAACTGGCAGGGGCAGGAAGGCACTGAGGACTACCCTTGATGTCCAATCCCCTCACTGCCCAATGAAATCTACTGCTTGCCTCTGGGGTCTCCTTCCACCTGCTGCCATCATCAGGCATGGCATATGACTGACCAAGAATCTTCAGAAGCCAGGGAGACCACTTAAATAATAGTTATATACATTTTAATCATGTAGAAAGAGACATTGACTATCTAGACTAACATTATTTTGAGCCTGCATATCCTTCAGAATTTTTGAGTCTCCTTTTAAAATCTGAGCATACAAATAAAAATAATCATTTTTACCTACTTTCTGGAAACAAAGCCCTCTTCTTCATGAATATACTTTTGTAAGTGTGTCCATAGACCACAGAAAAGCAAATTAAGCAAAGCTTCTCATAAGGTAAACTACAAATACTTCTCTGAAGGTAGAAATAAAAAGAATAGAAACAGTTAAACATGAAATAATTTGTATATTTATTTCATTAGATCCATATTTGTTATAGGAAAATACATCTTAAAAATAGCAGTCATTATTTGGAAAACCTTTTCTTTCTCCTCCGCAATTAAAATGAAAAAAAAATTACTAGATCACAGCAAACTGGGATAAGAGATGACTTTGAAATCTTCTTTTTTATAGCAGAAAATAACTGTAGTAATTTTATCCTAGGAGTTAACATTGGTGGACACCTACATTAATCTTGTGTCTACTGTAACTCACTTAAATTTAAAAGGATGATTAAAATAAGCAAACTAAGACATTTAAAATCTTATTTTCCCTGGAAAAGTACTAGAAGGAAACATGAGATGATTCTTCTGATAATTTCTGAGCACAGAAAGCTTTCCTTAACAAAAATCTGAATTCAGGAATCACAAAGAGAAAAGATTTAATATATTTGGCTACACAAAAAAAATTTAAGTTCTGCATTGCAAAAAAAAAATCCCTTTTGAAAGTCAAAAGACAAGTAAGAAATGTGGAGGAAATATTTGCAACATCTATGGTGATATGGTTTGGCTGTGTCCCCACCCAAATTTCATCTTGAATTGTAGTTCCCATAATCTGTCTCATAGAAGGGACCCAGTCAGAGGTAACTGAATTATGGGAGTGGTTCCCTCATGCTGTTCTCATGATAGTGAGTGAGTTCTCATGAGATCTGATGGTTTTATAAGGGGCTTTTCCCCATCTTCACTCTGCACTTCTCTCTGCTGTGGTCATGTGAAGAAGGGCATGCTTCCTTCCCATTCCACCATGATTGTAAGTTTCCTGAGGCCTTTCCAGCCATGCTGAACTGTGAGTCAATTAAACCTCTTTCCTTTATAAATTATCCAGTCCTGGGTACGTCTTTATTAGCAGCGTGAGAATGAAGTAATACATATGGTCAAAGGGCTACTTTCTTTCATATGCAAAGACTCTTACAAACCAGTAAACATTACCTATAACCCAATTGGAAAACAGCAAAGAATATGCATAGGTAAATCATAGAAAAAGCACAGATAATTTATAAATGTAGTTTTAAAAGATGTTCAATTTACCCATAAAGAAAGAAATCCAGGTAGAAGCAATGAGAATTCATGTTTTACCAAACAGATTGTCAAAGTTGCAAAAGTATGCTATGCACAGTGTTGTCAAAGTCACGGAGAACTAGCCACTCTCAAACTCAGCTGGTGGAAATGTAAACTAGTACAACTGCAACAGAGGAGCATTTGCCAATATTGATCAAAATGTGAGACGCGTATGTACTTTAACTCAGATGTCTTCCAGGAATTTATCCTACATATATATATACACACTCATACCGGATACAAAGATCTGTTATGTATAAAGATAATTCCTACAGCACTGTTTGTAAGGGGGAGAGGCTGAAAACAACCTGAATGTTTTTCATTAGAGGACCAAGCCAAAAAATTGTCACACACAATGGAACATTTTGCAGACATTAAAATATGGGGCAGCCAGGCACAGCAGCTCACACCTATAATCCCAACACTACGGGAGGCAAGATGGGTGCATCACTTGAAGCCAGGAGTGTGAGACCAGCCTGGGAAATACAGTGAGACCCTATCTCTACAAAAAATAAAAAACATTAGCGAGGTGTGGTGGTGCACACCTGTAGTCCCAGCTACTGAGGAGTCTGACACAGGAGGATCGCTTGAGCTCAGGAGTTTGAGGCTGCAGTGAGCTATGATTGCGCCACTGCACTCCAACCTGGGTGACACAGTGAGACCCTATCATAAAATTAAAACAAATAAAATAAGCATGGGCAGCTATACTGTGAACTCTGAGATGCAGTTATTAAGTCAAGAAAACAAAGTCGTATATGATACACTCTGATTTTTTAAATGACATTCAGTTGTAAATCTACATAGAAAATTTCTGCAAACCCAAACACGAAATTGCCAACACTGGCTGCCTCAGAGTAGGACGAGCTACAGAATTCAAAAGAGCCAGTGCAAGATGAAAACATGAGGCCCTTCCTTCAAAAATGGTTGAGAATTTCAAGACAGCAATAGGAGAACATTAAACAAGTACAGAGCCCTCCTGTGGATGGGGTCCTGTGTGGTATCCCAGATCACAGGCCCACAGAGCCAGCCTGGCTCAGGGGAAGGTAGCCAGAATGACAGGGGTCAGAAATTGGAGGGGATACCAGGCACAGTGGCTCATGCCTGTAATCCCAATACTTTGGGAGGCCAGGAGTTTGCCTGAGGCCAGGTGTTCAAGACCAGCCTGGGCAACACAGTGAGACCCCTTTGTCACTACAAAAAATTTTAAAAATTAAAAATTACCCAGGCATGATTGCACCACTGCACTCCAGCCTGGGCAACACAGCAAGACTCTCTCTCTTAAATAAATAAATAATAAATAGAAATGGAGGGGAATAATTTTCACTAGATACCATTTTGAATCACCTTAATTTTTCAGTGGGCATATATATTAATTTTTCAATTATATAATAGAAATGATTTTATAAGAAATAAAATTCCTCATCACCACCATCCCCCCTAAAAAAATATTATCCCTTTCCTTATCCAACAAGAGCCACAATTTTGAGAAATGTGGGTCAGGTAAAGGAAGGTGGGGAAGATGTGGGTAGGACAGGAGCGAGGGGTGAGGAGGAATTTGAACTGGACCACATGTTCACCTTAATATATGCTACCACATTAAGATTGTTTGAAAATACTTCCACACCCACAGGACTTTTGGTTAAGCCTCTGAAGAATGCTAACACAACCACATAAGTTTGTATAGCCCTCTGCTGGACTGAACAGTGTCTCCCATAAATCCATGTCAGCCTGGAACCCCAGAAAGTGACTTTATTTGGGCCGGGCGCGGTGGCTTACACCTGTAATCCCAGCACTTTGGGAGGCCAAGGCAGGTGGATCACCTGAGGTCAGGAGTTCGAGACCAGCCCAGCCAATGTGGTGAAACCTTGTCTCTACTAAAACTATAAAAATTAGCCAGGCGTAGTGGCACACGCCTGTAATCTCAGCTACTCAAGAGGCTGAGGCAGGAGAATCACTTGAACCCAGGAGGTAGAGGTTGCAGTGAGCTGATACTGCACTGCTGCACTCCAGCCTGGGAGACAAGAGAGAAACTCCATCTCAAAAAAAAAGAGGGTTACCTTATTTGGAAATAGGATCTTTGTAGTTGTAATTAGTTAAGATGGGGCCATACTGGATGAGGGCGGGCCCTATTCCCATGACT
The DNA here is from genome assembly GCF_000001405.40 of Homo sapiens. Classification (NCBI taxonomy): domain Eukaryota; kingdom Metazoa; phylum Chordata; class Mammalia; order Primates; family Hominidae; genus Homo; species Homo sapiens. Next base: position 39,464,138 of record NC_000021.9, on the reverse strand, counting down.
GCTGTCCTTATGAGAAGGCCATGTGAACACAGAGAGACACACTCCATGTGAGGATGAGGGCAGAGATCAGAGACACTTCCATAAGCCAAGGAGTGCTAAGAACCGGTGGCAAGCTTTAGAAGCTAGGAAAGAAGCATAGAACGAATTCTCCCTCAGAGCCTTCAGAAGGAACCAACCCTGCACCCACATCTTGATTTCGAACTTCCAGTCTCCAGATCTGTGAAAGAATAAATTTCTGTTGTTTTTAGCCACCGTGTGTGTGGTAGTTTGATACAGCAACCCTAGGAAGCTAATACAAGCCCCCAACAACTACACAATTCATCCTTCAAATGAGAGGTCCGCAAACTTTTCTGTGAACAAGCAGATAGTAAATCTTCTTGGCTTTGTGGATCATATGGCCTCTGCTGCATCTATTCAAATCTGCCATGGTGCTAAATCAGCCACAGACAATAGGTAAATGAATGAGTGTGGACATTCATTTATAAATTTATAAAACAGACAGTGGCAGTAAACAATTTTTTAAAAAAGTAACCTAAAGAACCAGCAGTTCTGTGCAGCAAGAGAAGAGGTCAGATAAGATTCCTCCACCTGGCTCCAGCAGTCCCAGGCGCATGGCGCTGAGACATTCCCTCTACTTCACACAGCTCTCATTTCCTCATCTGCAAAAACCCTAGATGGCTTAGATGACCTCTAAGTTAATTTTCAGTTCTCATATTCTGAAGTCCTTTTTTAAAAATATTTCTTTCCAACGACTTGATTTATTAAGTATGATCTATAAACTCTGGGGAAAAAAAGTGATCTCATGGTGAAATGAACTATCAAATGTATAAAACAAAATTGTTGTTATAACCAAAATGCCCAGAACAGTTTTCAAACTAATTAAAGTTACACAAATGTATCTTGTATCTATAGTAAGACTTTATTTCTACAAATCAATTTTATAAAAGTGAAAACTTGCTGGGCACCGTGGCTCACACCTGTAGTCCCAGCACTTTGGGAGGCCAAGGCAGGAGGATCACTTGAGGCCAGGAGTTCCAGAGCAGCCTGGGCAACATAGGGAGACCCTGTCTCTACAAAAAATTTAGAAATTAGCTGGGTGGAGTACTGCACTCCTGCAGTCCCAGCTACTCAAGAGGCTGAAGTGAGAGGATCGCTTGAGCTCAAGAGAAAGAGGCTGCAGTGAGCCATGATTGCACCACTACACTCCAGCCTGGGTGACAGAGAAAACTTACCATGTTCCTCTGCAGATACACGTGTGTGCACACTGCAAGGCTGAACAGAATTCCTAGCTAAATGTATGTATTTTCTGAACATGTGACCTCAATTCTTCAAAATAAAACAAAGAACCTGAAATAATCCCCAAAACTTCTGAATCATCATGATATTGTTTCTGTCCTTTTCTAAATCTTAAATATTGATTATTCATAATGGATCTACCATCCAGCTATTGGATGGCAGAAATAGACCATGACCTGACAGTTGTGAATAATTTCAAATGCTGACTCAAACTTAATCTGCTTTAGAAAATTTCTAATAAACACACACACAGCAGGATTTTTAATAGAAGCACATACTCACCCCACAGTACTGCTCCTCATTGAAGATCTGGGGAGGCAAAGGAATCCCATTTTGAGGTTTTTTCTCTCCAGGAACATTCTCTCTCATCCACCTCCTGTTGTCTTCATCTCCAGCAATATCTAATTCCTTAAAGTCGATTTTATTCGCTTCCAAAAAACCCACTACTTCTTGCTGTTTCTTCCTAATCTGGTCAAGAGTAGAGAAATATTAGGCTGTTTATGAAAAATATTTTGCTTACATTTACAAAAATTAAATCCTTCCTCTAGTTATACTATACAACACAAATAATTTTGTTAAGTATTCAAACAAGGAAAATAATAGAATCACACCTCTTTGTTATAAAGGGTCAACCAAATGACTATTTAAATTCTGAAATTTTAGTATCATCAATGCTTAAATTATTATATAATCAGGCTGGGTGCGATGGCTCACACCTGTAATCCCAGCACTTTGGGAGGCCAAGGCAGGTGGATCGCTTGAGGTCAGAGGTTCGACACCAGCTTGACCAACGTGGTGAAACCTTGTCTCTACTAAAAATACAAAAATTAGCCAAGCATGGTAGCACACGCCTGTAATCCCAGCTACTTGAGAGGCTGAGGCAGGAGAATCACTTGAGCCTGGGAGGTGGAGGTTGCAGTGAGCCGAGATCATGCCACTGCAATCCAGCCTGGGTGACAGAGCAAGATTCCATCCCAAAAAAATATAAATAAATAAAATAATTAATTAATTATTGTATAATCAACTGTTAAAACTAAATTTGGGCTTTAGAAGACTCCATAGGAGTCCTAGGTAATGAACTGCAACCTAGCTTAGTACATAAACAAACTGAAAACCTAACTAGAAATTTGCCTTTGTAACCAGAGCTGAGTTTCAGTCATTGACAGCAGACAAGCTTCAGCCAATCACAGGCGGCCAACTGTTCAAACCACTTTCAAATAAGGCAAATACTGAGTTATAACCCAACCTAGCTGTCTGTACCTCACATCCTTTTTCTGAATGTTATTTCCTTTTCTCTGGCGATAAATATAACCTGCACGTGTGGTGGGGCAGAGCTTTGTGAACCATTTTTTGGTCTGACTGCTGCCAGATTCTGGAATCACAAAAGCCAATTAAGATCTACAAACAGCCAAGCACAGTGGCTCACACCTATAGTCCCAGCACTTTAGGAGGCCAAGGTGGACAGATCACCTGAGGTCAGGAGTTCAAGACCAGCCTGACCAACATGGAGAAACCCCATCTCTACTAAAAATACAAAATTAGCCAGGCGTGGTGGCGCATGCCTTGTAATCCCAGCTACTCGGGAGACTGAAGCAGGAGAATCGCTTGAACCCAGGAGGTGGAGGTTGCAGTGAGCCAAGATTGCGCCACTGCACTCCAGCCTGGGCAACAAGAGCAAAACTGTCGCAAAAAAAAAAAAAAAAAAAATCTACAAAACTAGATGAGTTGTAATGTTGTCTTTTCACATGACCTAATTGGAATAGAGATGCTCTCGTATCTTTTTTGCAGTCTTCAAAATACTTTTAATTTTTTGCAAAGCTTTAATGGCCAAAAAGTAAGTCAGAATTGGGAAGACAAGGGATTGGGAAAAGGGAAAGAAGAGAAAAAAGAGGCCAGACAATGTGGCTCACGCCTATAATCCCAGCATTTTGGAAGGCTGAGACAAAAGGATTGCTTGAGCCCAGGAGTTCGAGGTTACAGTGTGCTGATCATGCCACTGCACTCCAGCTTGGGTGACAAAGCGGGACCCTGTCTCTTAAAAATAAAATAAAAATTTTGTTTAAAGAAGAATAGAAGGCTGGGTGCGGTGGCTCACACCTGTAATCCCAACACTTTGGGAGGCCAAGGTGGGTGGATCACGAGGTCAGGAGTTCGAGACCAGCCTGACCAACATGGTGAAACCCCATCTCTACTAAACATACAAAAATTACCCGGGCGTGGTGGCATGCGCCTGAAATCTCTGCTACTCGGGAGGCTGAGGCAGTAGAATCACTTGAACCTGGGAGGCGGAGGTTGCAGTAAGCCCTGCACTCCAGCCTGGGCGACAGAGTGAGACTCTGTCTCAAAAAAAATTTTTTAGTTTAATTTTTAAAAAATAAAGCAAAATAATAAAATAAAAAAGATACTTTACTATGAAATTCAAATATCAAGTATACCCACACTAAAATGCATTTCATTCAGTTATGAAAATAAGAGTATTAGTCACATTGAACTAAAAGTAGCTTTAGAAATATTACAGGAGATTAAAAAGCTCACACAGAGACTACTGGAGGGGAAGGGCACAAGCAGAGGCTAGAAAAAGCTGGAGGATGTTTCTCCCAGCACATAAAAAAGCCACACAACAAAACAACCCTTTTCTCCCACAGATTCCTCCTTTCCTACTCACACCTGGCTCCTCTCTGAGTTCAGTGCAGCCACACCTAAGGGAACATGGTTGAATGTCCTTTCTCTACCTGTGTAACACGTAATGACTGTATCTGCCAGTAGCCATTTCTTACCAACGTGGCCATCTCTCACACTTAGAACTCCTTCCCCATAAACAATTACAAAAGCAATTACAATTTTCTTTCTTCAAAGAATTCACTCCTGAAAATGTATGATGCCATCTTTTATAAACACTGGCAAATAAGTTACAGCAGACTGTGTGGACCCCATTTTAATAACCACAGGGAGAAACTTACAAAAAGTGTAATCAGACCAGGTGCAGTGGCTCACACCTATAATCCCAGCACTTTGGGAGGCTGAAAGTGGAAGAATCACTTGAGCCCAGGAGGTCAAGACCAGCCAGCCTGGGCAAACAAATTTTTGTCGAGATGGGGCCTCTACAAAAAGTTTTTGTAGAGACCACATCTCTACAAAAAATTTAAAAATTAGACAGGTGTGGTGGTGCATGCCTGTAGTCCCAGCTACTCAAGAGGTGGGAAGATCACTTGAGCCTGGGAGGTGGAGGCTGCAATGAGCTATGATCACATCACTGCACTCCTGCCTTGGCAATAGAACAAGACCCTGTCAGAAAGAAAAAGAAAGAAAGAAAGAAAAAGGCCCAGGCATGGCGGTGCATGCCTGTAATCCCAGCACTTTGGGAGGCCAAGGTGGACGGATCACAAAGTGAAGAGATCGAGACTATCCTGGCCAACATGGTGAAACCCTGTCTCTACTAAAAATACAAAAATTAGCTGGGCATGGTGGCACGCACCTGTAGTGCAAGCTACTTGGGAGGCTGAGACAGGACAATTGCTTGAATCCAGGAGGCGGAGGTTGCAGTGAGCAGATATCGTGCCACTGCACTCCAGCCTGGCGACAGAGTGAGACTCCGTCTCAAAAAAAAAAAGAAAGAAAAAGAAAAAAGGAAGAAGGAAGGAAGGTAGGTAGGGAGAGAGGGAGGGAAGGAGGAGAAAGAAAGGGTAATAAAACAAATAATCAATCAACAGTTATTTATTGACTCTCTACTTTGCACAAGACATTGTGCCAAGTCCTTCATGTGAACAGATTCTTAAACTGCTTGTTTGGGTGAAAAAAAAAAAACCACAGAACTAATTGGTACAATATGGATATAGAATACACTCAGGATACTGAGGCAAAAGTATGGCCATTTATTAAGAGTAAGATTAAAACTTGGCCGGGTACGGTGGCTCAGGCCTGTAATCCTAGAACTGTAGGAAGCTGAGGCAGGCAGATCATCTGAGGCCAGGAGTTCGAGACCAGCCTGGCCAACATGGTAAAACCTCGTCTCTACTAAAAATACAAAAATGAGCCAGGCGTGGTGGCGCATGTCTGTAATCCCAGCTACTTGGGAAGCTGAGGCGGGAGGATCACTTGAACCCCGGAGGCAGAGGTTGCAGTAAGCCCAGATCATGCCACTGCACTCCAGCCTGGGTGAAAGAGTAAGACTCTGTCTCAAAAAAAAAAAAAAAAAGTGAGATTTAGGCCAGGCACAGTGGCTCATGCCTATAATCCCAGCATCTTGGGAGGCCAAGGTAGGTGGATCACCTGAGGTCAGGAGTTTGAGACCAGCCTGGCCAACATGGCGAAACCTTGTCTCTACTAAAAATACAAAAATTAGCTGGGTGTGGTGGCACGCATCTGTAATCCCGCTACTCAGGAGGCTGAGGCAGGAGAATCGCTTGAATCCGGGAGGCAGAGGTTGCAGTGAGCCAATATTGCACCACTGTACTCTGGCCTGGGCAACAGAGCAAGACTCTGTCTCAAATTTTAAAAAAAATAAAAATAATAAATAAATAAATAAACTTTAAAAATTTTCTTTGACATGACAGTATCTAATATCTCAATTTTTTAAAAGTCTTCTGAATAGAATACCATCTCATATAAAAACAACTCACAAAAATGTTTTACAGAGCACAAGAGCCCCTTGTCATTTTCATGTGCCTTGTTTACAAGAAGGACTACACTTTGAGGGTTTCAAACAAATGCTGTAAAAGGTACATGTCTATCCCAAATCTAATATCTCGATGCAAACCCTCTTTTAACTAAACTCAACTCCTTTCTTAGAGACATGTAAACCAAAATATCTATTTTATTCACTTTTGACAAATTTAATGACTCATGTATAGGGTGTTAGGGTGTTTCTTTGTTTGGGGTTTTTTGTTTCTTGTTTTTTTTGTTTCTTGTTTTTTCTTTTGACACAGGGTCTCCCTCTGTTGCCCAGGCTGGAGCGCAGTGGCACGATCTTGGCTCACTGCAGTCTCAATCTCCCCAGGGTCAAGTGATTCTCCCACCTCAGCCTCCCGAATAGCTGGCACTATGGACGCACACCACCACGTCTGGCTAATTTTTGGTAGAGATGGAGTTTCACCATGCTGCCCAGGCTGGTCTCAAAATCCTGGGCTCAAGTGATCCACCTGCCTCAGCCTCCTAAAGTGCTGGGATTACAGGCAAGACCCACAGTGCCCGGCTGGGTGTTTCATAATATAAGGAAAGGTAAGACAAATCTGGATACTTAAGCCCTAGAACCAAATCACCTCCAAGACCAAATTATATAACTATATAATATATAATAATCTTATATATAAGATTTATATATAACTATATAATATATAATAATCATATATATAAGATTTATATATATAACTATATAATATATAATCTTATACATAAGATTTATATATAACTATATAATATATAATAATCTTATATATAAGATTTATATATAACTATATAATATATAATAATCTTATATATAAGATTTATAGATGTAACTATATAATATATAATAATCTTATATATAATAAGATTTATATATGTAACTATATTATAATAATCTTATATATGACTTTTATATATAACAATATAATATAATAAGATTTTTATATTTAACTATATATGATTTTTATATAATTTATATAATATAATGTAATATAACTTACATAATATACATAATTTATATGATTTATATATAATTTGTTCTTGATGGTGATTTGATTATATATGGTATATAATATAAATTAATATCAAGTAATTCTTAATTTTTTTAAATTTTATATTTACTATGTTAATTTTTAAAACAAAATTGACAGTCAATATATATTATAAAATTTTATATAAATAAGTATACAAATCACATATAAACTTATATAAATGGTAATCACGCATTTAATTTAATTAACACTTATACCATCAATATAAAAAAGACAATGGAACTAAAGACAGTGGATCAATAAATTAAAGGCTCTGTTTGCCACAACACAACACTTACTCAATCTGTAAGACTCAGGCCAACAAAGGTACTGCAGTTTGGGGCAAGCACGGACAAATAAATATAGATAGACAGAAAGGTGTGGAATGATGGAATTTCTCTTAAACTTCTGGCATATGGACTCTGGTAATTCCCCAGGATCAGGCCTATGAGAACCAAAGGAGGAGGTGCGTGCTCCCCACCAAGGTGCCCTCCTCCCACAGCTGTGCCGTGGATGCCTGGCACTAGATCTGCTACCCCGCATGGAATCTGCTACCCCGCATGGAAACTGCTACCCCACACGGAAACTGCTACCCCACATGGAAACTGCTCCAAATTCCACAGTTTCACGGCTGAATTTTCAACATTACAAAATCCCATCAGACCTGATGACAGGTTGTTGGACTAAATCATCATTTTAATTAATCGCATTCTCTACACATCTTTTCCAACCTGTCCATAACTATTCACGCCATTTTATAAAGCACTTATTCCCTTACATCTTTTCAGAGACGACTTTGCTGTTTCAAAGAGTAGAGATGCCTTCATTTTAGGCAGTTTTACTTTTAATTAACTATTCAGAAGGCAACTCCTTTATTCGGTCCAAACCCCTGTCTGCTCTTTCTCCAAAGCCTTCTAAGATACCCTCTTGGGAGCACGAATTGGCCTGGGAGGCAGCTGGCCCAGGTCCAAGCCACCTCACCAACATTATTTCTATCAACCATGCCTCAGGGCTTGATGTGGGATGGGAAAAAAGCTATATTTTATTCCATAATTTTGGAATAGATGAAAAATATTTCCAAAAGTCTTGACTTATGTTTCTTCTATTAGAAAGGCAAAAAGAGATGGAGACAATGGGAGGGGAAGACCATGCTTGCGATTAAGCTTCACAAGACAGGCAATTGCATCCAGGTCCATTGCGGGACTGTTGGACGCATGGCATTGTGTTAAGTGCCATTTCTCAGCCCTCATCCCCAAAAAAGGAGAAAAAGAAGAAGAAAAATGAAATCTGTTTGCCCCCTGTAATCCCCCAAACACTAGTCATTTAAACAGAGCCCAGTGCATTGCTTATCACGCTATTCAGGGCACTTGAGTTCTGCCTGGGCTGGGAGCCTGCAGAAAAGGGTCTTAGGATCCAGGCCAGAGGAGGGAAGAGGGGAGTGAGCACATGAGCTAACCTGGCCGGCACTGTCGTCTTGCTGCACCCCTGTGCCCCGGCTCTAGCATGGGGCCCCTCTCCTCCAAAATCCTCCCCCTTGCAGGGTCCCTGATCAAGGAGCTCCTGTGGGCCTGCAAAGTGCAGCTCCTCACAGCGCCTGCTGAGCTGACTCCCAGGGACACAGTATCAGCTCTTGGAAGAGTCCATCTCTTTATGGCCCAGAGGGAGGGGTGTGCATAGCACCCCATCAGTTCCCATCATGGACACACTCCTACTCTTCACCTCTCCCCCTTTGCCCCTTCTCCACCCTCCAGGGTGCCATGGCCCATGCTGGCCCCCCAGGCTGCACTGTCTGTCCTGAGTAGTGGCTCTACAGGATCTGGGGGTATTTGGGGTGTGTGTCATTGTTTGGAGCCTTTGGGACCTCAGTGAAGACTCAGAGAGCTCCGTTTTCCTATCCTGTTACATTTACTTATAAGAAAGTATTGTTCTCTGTCCTAAAGTCACCCAGACACTGTTAGCTACTAGACTGTGTCAGAGTGATCTGACAGCAGCACCTCTTATTGCCACTCACTTGGCACCTCTCGTTTATTGTCTTGTACAGTTAGGAGACTTTCCAACTGAGATCACTGTACTGTAGTATAAAGCACACTGGATTCGAGCCAGAGACGACCTGTGTTTCCATCCTAGCTTGGAAGGCTGCTTTCTGAGCAAGGGCTCTGATCTCCAATTTCTTCATCTGCAAACTGGATGTAACAATGCCTTCCTCACAGTGTTTTGGTGGGAACTGAAGAAGATGATGCATGGAAAAGCATTTTGTACCTTAGGCTGAAAACCTGCACTGTCAGGCACCACATAGCACACTACCATCCCAGTGCACTGTCACACGGGCCATCTAGGTAGGTATTTGGATGGCTATTTTATAACAATGCTGAGGCTCCAATAAATGAATGAATTTTCCAAGAATGACACTCAACGATCTAATTCAAGAGTCATATTTTTCCCACGATATTTACACTGTCAATCAAAATGGAGAAAGGACTGTGAAGCCCAAGAGCCACTATGAGGGTCTGTCCTTAAAGATCGGTTCCAGGGGCTGTGCATCTTGGAGACGGCAGGGACTGTCCTCTCTCCCTTTGTCCCCCCTGCCCCACTGTGGCCTTCTGGAAGAGAGGAGGGTCCTAGAAGAAGTCACGCGCCCTCTCCTGCTCCCCAGGGTCTCTTAACCCAAATCCGTCCAGAACGTGGTAAAATGTGCCACAGCTCTTTGAAGTCAACTATTAAAATTGAGATGTAATACACAGCTGCATGTATTTAATTCCTCATAAGGAGACTACAATTTGCTTTTCCTTTCTCATTTATTTCATTCAACCAACAGAAGTCAGAATGCCCTTACTGATGAGGTATCAGGCAAGAATCCATTTTTTAAATGTACAGGCTGAAGAAATAAGTAGGAAAGGCTTGGCAGACTGACTGCCACACAGTAGCATGGGCACAAGAAGCCACTCTAGGGTTTTCCTGCCAAGAAGTTTTGAGTGAAATTTCTCTACCCATGAAAAATCATTAGCACTGACATCGCAGGGATAATCAATTCTCATTCTTACGGCTAAGGCAGAAATTCTCTCATGTATGTGGTTCTGGAAAATTCTTCTCACACATACTGATCATAGACCCTGATCTACTAAATAATATTAGCTAATAATTATAGTAACTAATAATTGTAACTGAAATCCTAATTAATATTCATTAACTAACTAATAATAACAATTATAGTAGCAACTAATATTAACTAATAGCAGCTAGTAAGTATAAATAACATTCACTAATCATTAGAATATTTCTTGAGTGCTGATAAACACTTGACACCATGCGGGGCACCCACGCACATCATTTCATCAGTCCTCATGACAACACTATGATGTAGGCACTATTCTTATCCTCATTTTACAGACAAGGAAATTGAGGCTTAACAAGGTGAAATAACTTTCCCAAGGTCATACAGTTACAAGTGGCACTGAAACATTTGCTTAGGGAACCAAAACTAATGGCTTTTCCAAGACCCTGGGATGAACATTGCCTCTCCAGGTCATCCAAAGCTAACTAAATTATGGGCCCAAACTTCAAGAACACAGGACATCAAATAAACCTTAAAAATCCATTAACTTATTGATTGTCTTCTGAAGAATATGTAGACCAGGTCTACAGAATATATAGAGGACTGGCTGGTAAGAGGTAAAGTTTTTAGCAATGAGCATCAACAACGTATTTAGAGCCCACCAAAACCATTTTCCCCCCCAAAAAAATTTTTTTATCCAATAGCCAAAAAATTTACTCCTTCTAGATCAACTGAAAGTTTCAGCAGTCATCAATAGCCACAAAAGATTTCGCAGAGTTTCACATTTGGAGTGTGTTCTCATCTTTTTCGGCTAATTTGTTCTAGAGATCACTAAAACAATAGCTGCTCAGTTGTACTTAGCAAAAGGGACAGCCAAGCTATTTTCTCTTGCTTTCTTCTCACCCTCTCTGGAAACCTCATGAACTTTCGGGGCTGGGAGTGGTGGCACTCAGCGGCTGCCTTTGGGGCTGTCACCCCAGCCAATGGCTTACTCTGGGTACTGTTTCTGGCAGAGTGGCTGCTGAAATCCCAGCCGAAACCTGAGATCCTCCAGAAACTAGATATAAAAGGAACAGCCGCCTTGCTGGTCTCTAACTCTTGGGTTTAATAAAACTGTTTTTTCTCTCCACAGCCTTCCTAACTGCTGCTAAAATGCTGGTCGAAATATCAGTTCCAGACAGACAGACACTATATAGGTTCAAGCCTAAAATCAAAGTCTGACCCATTTCCAAAGAGAAATGTGTCACTTCATCACCCCTATTTCTTACGGCAGGTCCAGCTTGCACAGAATGAAGGCCAGAATTGAAGAGGTAGATGGTCTCAAGAAAATTAGACAAAGCACTGGTTATGAAGGTCGGCTTTCAGCTCTTATTTTGGGGCCGTCTGAATGCCTGGAGTGTTTATAACTGTGGCCTGAGAGATGTCTGCTCTGGTCACTGTGACATCACTTTCCTCAAACAATGGATTACACATGCTAACTTTACACTTTCAGTATGGTTACATCATTACATGGCATATACAAGTGATTACACCCCAGAGTCATTTTAGCAATCTGGTTCATCATCCGCTCCAAACAGTGTTACACAAAGTATCATTTATTTACAATTTTAAATTAGTTTAAGCCTTGCAGAATGAATGGCAGAAACACATACAAAAAAGTCCCTGCTTCTATGATATTCACAAGGCAACACAACACAAATCACATGTTAAAAATTCTAGTGTCAAGCACGCCTCCTTACTCGAATCCCTTTTCACACCCAGCCATCCAGATTACACCCTTTCCATGCTTTTTCAACACTATGAAATCAAATGCAGAAAGCAAAGGGCGCACATACTTATTGCAGAGCCACAGCTGACTACACGCAAAAAAGAAACTGAAGGCCAACGTTGGCCATATTTCCAACCCTAAGTTATTCAGAAAAGAGTATAGGAAGAAAGAGTCCACCAGACACCTACCGCTATGGACCCAGAAGATGTAGCAACAAACACTTTGATAACCATTTCGACAGTTGGAAAGAGGACTCCCCCCAACACACCCCTGTCAGGGAATGCGCCGCTAGACAAATCCTGACAGTGACACAGGCAAGCAAGTGCCAGGTCGGGGCTGGCAGCAGCCCAGGGGTCCACTGGGCTCCGGCAGTCCCGCTCCAACTTAAGAGGCTCTGTCTCTCCAAGGAGCAGCAGAGGCATCTTGGGCTCCTCCCTCCATTGGCCCAGGAATATTTTGGGATCTGTCAGGAAAATATTTGATTGGTCGATAAAAGCAGCCACTGGACCCTTTCCCTATCACTTTAAACGCGCGACAACAGTCCCTAAAAGGCCAGGCTGTGCTGTGCACCAATCGGAGACCTGTGCAGAGATGCCTTGGGGCCAAGGGAGGTGGGGCCCCGGTAACAGAGCAGCAGGAGGCGAAAGAAGTGAGGGAGGAGCTCTTGGGAGCTGGAAAAGCCCAGAAAACACCACCTCAGTCTAGGAGGAGGCTGGGTTTAAAGGGCTTTTGGCAAACAAATAAACTGGAAGGGTCAGAATAGCCACAGAGGCCTTTAAGTAAAGAGCAACTTTGTTTTTTTTCCTGGCAGGTTAAAAAAAATTTTTTAAGTAAACTGTCATACAATAGAAATGCCTTTAAGAGTGGCTGTTTCCAGTGTGCTCTCTTTCCCACCTGTTTCTCCTAAAGAACAGAAACTGACCAGCCATGGGCCATCTAAAGTTTCACTGACATCCAGGGAGGTAGGGAAATAGCCGCTGGCTTCTCAATACTCATGGCTGCAACAAGCCAATTGTCTCACTATTTTATTTACTTGTCACTGACTTGAAGTTTATTAACTATTTTAAAGTGCTTGGGGAAAAAACCAAAATAATCTGTTTATAACAGGCTCTTTGTTTACATAGGTATTTTGTGTTTATTTATATATATTTGTGTTTATACATGTTAATATTTATATAGGTATTTTGAATTGTGTTAAAAGTTAGAGAAGGTCCGGGGCAGTGTCTCACACCTGTAATCCCAACACCTTGGGAGGTCAAGGCAGGAGGATTGTGTGAGCCCAGAAGTTCAAGACCAGTCTGGGTAACATACTGAGGTACGACTTTACCAACAACAATAACACAAAAAAAAACAGCCAGGCATGTTGGCAGGCGCCTGTATCTGTATTTCCAGCGACTTGGAAGGCTGAGGTGGAAGGATCCCTTGAGCCCTTTAGCCAGGAGTTTGAGGCTGCAGTGAGCTATGATCACACCCACGGCACTCCAGCCTGGGTGACAGAACAAGACCTTATCTCTAAAACAAAACCAAATCAAACAAACAAACAAATTAAATTAAAGGAATACAAAATCTAGCAAAGAAGCCCAAATGCCAGTTATGCAAATTCTTCTGATAGATTTCAAAATCAAGATCAAGGGCATTAGGGACAAAGGGCTAGTTTTTCAAGAAGCACTTGGGGGATATTTAGCTTAGATAACTGAGTCTCTTACTGTCTCTCTCTCTCTCTGTTCTCCGGCTCCCTTTTTAAAATCCCCTGCTGCCCATCATGGATTGGGTGGCACCGACGTTCCGAAGCAGAGAGGAATCTCCCAGGCTTCTGTACTCCCTCTTCACCTGAGTCCCAGAGCCCCAGAGGCATGTTTCCCACCCCCTCAGGTAGGTGCCTGCAACGAGAAAAGACATCCCAGTCCCCGGAATATCCCAGTTCCTGGAATATCGCTTAAATGCCCCTACATCACAATGAATGATTGAGGTGACTACCAACATTTAACTTTTGGCTTCAACATGCAAAGTTAGCTGCTCCAAAAATAAGGTCCTTGATGAAGATGATTAATGGTTCCCCAAATTTAAGTCAGTAGAATTATAAATTTTATTTTAAAGCACACCAAGGATTACAGATCAGTTTTTCTTTTCTGCATTTTCAAAATTTCTACAGTACGTATTATTTTTTCATACAATTATATATTTTCACACCTTAAAGTCTGCCACATAAGCATGCCATATTTCTCCAAATATTACTTGAAGAAAGTGGGGGCATATTTTCTAATGACTTTGTAAGTTAGTAGCATAAACTATAGCTGGATTCTCAGGTGCTCTAGAGAATACGCATCTCTTGATTATATCAGGTGAAAACTGCCCTCAATAATGACACCTCCTCCATCTGCAAACCCTGGGGAGAAATTAATTTCCTACTCAAATAACAGCTAACAATTTGTAGGTGTTGTCCATGTGCCAGATCTGCTCTAGGTGCTTTGCATAAGCCACTCCCTTAACCTGTATAAGAACCCTAAAACTGTGTTCCATTATTATGCCCACTCACCATGAGGACACAGAACTAGAGATGATGGGAATAGGAAATGGCATATCCAAGACTTAAGCCTCACCCATTCCTCTCCACACCACATGAGAAGCTCCTGAGATGCTACCCTCAAATTCCTAGTGCCCCCTTTTCACTATGAATTTTTTTAAGTTTATTCTTTTCGAAATGACCATAAAAATGTACAAATTAAAAATCTGAAAACTCCAGCTGAAAGATTCCTTCTAATGTATTATTACACTAATGACACAAACGAGCTTCAACATAATTAACAGGAATAGCGAACATTCCAAATGCATCTTAAAATAAAGCTCAATGAACCCCTGACTTACAAAATCCACTTCAGAAAGAAGGTGTATAATTTAGTGAAGATGCAAGCAGCCAACCATTCAACATCTCCAGTGCTTGCTGTTTATGTCTGTTCACAAAGACCAGGAGATCCACGGAGGAAGGAAAGGAGATTTTATTTTTAGGGGGAGATACAACCTGCAGATTGGGGAATGCAGCTTACAGAAAAAACCAAAAATGCACATGCTGCAGAAGGGAGGAAGGAGCTGGTATCTGTGTCTTACAGAGTCAGCCTTACATACATACTGAGCAAGGTTGCAGAGGATCTACTAATATTTATGAGGAAATTCAGGCATGTGTGCAGTGGGTAAACATATATGTATCATACATTCCATGTTCACCTTGGGGTGGAGTTCTAGCATTAAAATGGGATGGAATTTGGCTCTTTATATCAACAGGTGAACTATAGGGCACAAAGACATTTTATGTGCAATTTCTATAAGCTGGCCAAAATTGGCTGGAGGTCTGCAGCTGTTTATCAATAAAGAATGTTTATAAGACCAGTCCTTTGTCCAACTGGAGTTGTAGTAGGTCTGCAAGGCGTTTGGGGGTGGGGGCGCATACTGAGGGAGGGAATGTTTCCATTGGCTGGCATCAGGCAGTCTATCGGGGTCAGTTGGAAATTTTCCAGCTGAAGTTGTGTTGGCTATGCTTTTTCGAAGCTGGTTTCTGCTTACTTAATAGCAGTTAATAATGCAAAAATACGTAACTAACCCCTCATCCTTCTGGCTGTGACATTCTGGAGGTTTTGTTTTGTTTTGTTGTTTGTTTTTTGTTTGTTTCTGTCACCAGGCTGGAGTGCAGTGGCTTGATCTCAGCTCATTGCAACCTCCACCTCCCACATTCATCTCCTGCCTCAGCCTCCCGAGTAGGACATTCTGTTTTTGGTGCATCTCATTTTAGGAAACAGGAGTTCATTTTGTCCGTCTGTTGGAGTATATTTTAACAAGTCAAATAACATCACTTTTTGATTTGATTAATTTTGATTTAAAGACATGAGGTACTGGGCTACAAACTTCATAGAGACCCCCAGATGATCTCATGATAAATGATACCAGATGATATGTTTTGATTTACATAACTTTACAGATAACTTAAAATGACAAATAAAGACACGTCTTTATTATGTAGAATGATGGAAATGATTACCATAATAACTGTAGTGGGTTGAATATTGTTCACCAAAATTCATGTTCAGCCAAACCTCAGCATGTAACCTTATTTGGAAATAGAGTCTTTACAGATGTAATCAGTTGAGGGGGTCTTGTGATTAAATCATCCTGGATTTAGGGTGGGCCCTAAGTCCAATGACTGGTTGTCCTTATAAGAAGACAAGACAGGGAGACACAGAGAAGAACACCCTGTGAAGATGGAAGCAGAAATTGGAGTGGTGCTGCCACAAGCCAAGGAATAGCAGGAGTCCCCATAAGCTGGAAGACTCAAAAAATTCTCCCTAAGAGCCTTCAGAGGAAACATGGACTTTCAGACAACTTGGTTTCATACTTCTGACCTCCAGAAATGTGAGAAGATAAAGTTCTATTGTTCTAAGCCCCTAAGTTCGTGGTAGTCTGTTATGACATCCCTAGGAACCTAGGAACCTAATATAGAGAAATAAAGGCTATGCTTTTTATGTGGCATGATGGAGATGGCCCCAGAATAGTGAAAGGCCATGGCTCTTCTCCTTCCATTGTGTACACAGAAAAGAACACCCCTTCGAAAGCAAAAGCAAAGGCCAGGCACGGTGGCTTATGCCTGAAATCCCAACATTTTGGGAGGCCGAGGCGGGCAGATCACTTGAGGTCAGGAGTTCAAGGCCAGCCTAGCCAACATCGCAAAACCCCATCTCTACTAAAAATACAAAAAGAATTAGCCGGGTGTTGTGACTCACACCTGTAATCCCAGCTACTCAGGAGGCTGATGCAGGAGAATCACCTGAACCCAGGAAGCGGAGGTTGTGGTGAGCTGGGATGGCGCCACTGCATTCCAGCCTGAGCGATAGAGTGATACGTCTCAAAAAAAAAAAAAAAAAAAAGCAAAAGCGAAAGCAAAGAAAGATTCAAGGGCAGATTTGCAGTGACTTATCATGTCTACAGACTGGGAAAAGCTGGTAGAAAAGAGGAGGAAACCATTCTCAGGAAACTCTACCTTTCAATTCCTCCAGTCATGAGCTCCAGGGTTGGATGCTCCCGCAATGGCAAAACTCCGCTCTCGTTACTGTCATGGGGCCACCACCACCCACCAAGCATCAGCCCATCTTTCCATAATGTCAAGTCTAGAGTGACATTTGTCTAATGTTTGCCTACCTGGAGATGTTGCCCCGCCCACCACCACCAGCAAAAACAACCGGCACCCATCTTATACGGATAATTCCCTACCTAAGGAGTTCTAGAAATGCATGGCCCACCAAAACTCAGGGTGGGTCATGCATTTCTAGAGGAAGAAATGGTGATATGGAGAGAAAGCTTGTCCTAACCCACTTCTACCAAAGTAGGATTAAAGTCAATTTGAAAAAAAACACCCGTTTCTCCTTTTATATAAAAACCAAATGCAGAAACTATAGAGAAATGTAATAAGCTTGACTCTACACAAATACCAAAATACACTGTAAACAAAATTAAAGGTAACTGACAAATTGAGGAAATATTTGCAACGTATATCACAAGCCAAGTTTTCAAGCATCAAAAGTCCTTACAAAACCCATTTTTACAAAGATGAATGTCAAGTTTTAAAATGGACAAAAGACAGGAAAATGCAAATCACACAATAAGGACAAATGGCACTCAAGATATGGGAAAAAGTCTATTCTTCCTACTAAAAAGGAAGTGAATACAATTAAAGATGCCAATTTTTGACAATAAAATGGGCAAAAAAATTTTAAGAAAAAAGAGAATTTCCAATGCGGGCCAAGTATCGGGACACTTACTGGAAGGCAGTTTCCCTCTACCTTTAGAAAGCCTCAAAGTGAGCATATGCTTTGGCCCTGCAACCTCGCTTGTAGGAATTTATCCTAAGGAAACAGTCAGGGGTGACCTCAAAGATTCATCTGCAAGGATATTCAACATGGCTTTGATGCAGGAAAAAAAGTAAATAAATAAAAGGAAACAATGTAAGTCTTCCTAAATTATGCCAAATTCCTATGCTGTCATTAAAAAACATCTATAACTCCATCATCTAGGTGATTTTGACTTTTGCTTTGGACTTGCCTGTACATTTCTAAATTCTCTATGCCAAACATGCATTGTTTTGTCATCAGATTTTGTTTTACAAAAAAAAAAAAAAAATCGTCTTTATGACAAGGGGTTAATAGGGGAACTGTGCTTCCCAGGAATTGACCAGGCGTCTACACCCACCTACTGACTCAAGTTACCTAAGACTGACAGAGCCTTAAGAGGTCAGGAGAGCGCCAGAGCGCGTGACAGGCTCCCTCGTCTCGGTGCGGCCACGCGGGAAGGCAGGGTCCCGGGCGCCGAACAGGGACGGCAGGAGGATCGTTTACAGACGTCTACACAAGAAACTCACTTCCCGTCACCGAAGACAAACGCGAGGCCACACTGACCTCCAGGCCCAAGACGCCCCTCCCCGCCGCGGCTCCTGCTGCCCGAGTGCGCATGCGCGCGCCCAGCCCCCGCAGGCCGGCGCTTCCCAGGAGGCCCCGCGCGCGGGTTTCCATGGGGACGCGCCGGCGCTGCGGCGTTGGCGCAGTCGTGGGAACAGCGCGGAGCAGGTAACGGCCCCGCTGCTGCCGTCGTCCCCCTCAGCCGGTTACCCTGTTACAGCCCCAGCTCTGGGCCCTTCCGGACCCTCCTGCTACGCTCTTTCTGGGCTTCCAGTATCGCCGGTCACTCAGTCCTCGCCCCTGCCTGCCTCGCTGGCGCCCCGCCGTTTCCTCCTCGCGGCACAGTTTGCCAAGGAACAGCTACCCCGGCTCGGCAGTGACCGGGCGCCCCGGCGACACACGTACTCTCAGGCCCGCTGGGCAGGGGGACGGCCTGGGCCGAGGTGACCTAGCGCTCCCGGGGCCGCGCCTGGGTCTGGCGAGGGGGCGGAGGCCGATCTCACCGCCGCCCCACCGAGGGAACTTTGGGGTTTTTCTATCTGAATCTTCTATCTGACCTCCGATTTTGCCTCTGCTTACTTGCTGTTTTGCTTTGGATTAGTTTTTCTTTCTAACCTTAGCGCTGGCATCTCCCTATCTCGTAGGAATCTAAATCTTTTGAAATGTCTTCTCTGTCTGTGTTTGTCCCCCACTCACCCAGCCTCGGGGCTCTTTATCCACACCCTCCCCTCAGCGTGTTAACGTTTCGTTGCCACACTTAAGCCAACGGTTAACTTTTTTCAGAGACCAGTTTTCACGGCTGAATGTGAGCTTGAGCCTTTTTTCTGTCTACACTCAATCCCTAGATGAACTCATCCAGTCGCCTGTACTCAGAGCCTATCTGAATTCCAGTGAGCCCCAAGTGTGCATTCCCAGCCCTCGCCCCTCCCCTGAACACCAGATCCCTGCATTTAGCTGCCTGCCACATCCCTACTTGGATGTCTACGGCATCTCAAACACAGCTCGTCCAAGATAGCGCTCAATAATTCCCCAAGCCAAGCCTGTCCTCCCACAATCTTAATCCATCATAGTTGCTGGAAATTCCATCCTCCAGTTGCCCGAGTCTTGCATCCTGTTTGAGTCCTGTTTTTCTCTTCCTCACCTTCAGTCTGTCAGCACTGCCTTCAAAATGCACCCAGAATAGATTCACAATTCTACCATTTCTCTCAACCGCCACTGTCACCACCTTGGTCCAGGCCCCCATCATCTGGTGCGTGGATTATTTTACTTGCTTCCTAATTGGTTTCCCTGAGTCTGCCCCTCCCCCACTTGAGCATGACAGTCTTAATGGTATTTCCCCGTTCTCTGTTATTTCGTATGAGTAAGTTTTTTAAAGGATTATATAAATTACAATTTCCTTATATAAATTACAACTTCCATAGGTAAAAGTGCAGTATTTTCAGTATGTATTTTGCAAATTGCAACTTTTAAACCGGGTCAGCAAGGCCATATAAGCATCCTGCTAACAAGCTAAAAATGTAAAGACACCCCTTAGCTTTGTTAGGTATAAATATGACAGTGCCCCTGGAACAGAACTATGGCAAGAGCTTTACAAGGGACTGTCCTGAAGAACAAAAGAACCCAGAGCCTTCTTCCCAGCGCAAAGACAGGAATCATGTAGGAGTTTAAGCTCTTCCTTTTTTATTTTTTAGAGAAGCACCAAAAGAGGCAAACTGAGATGCAGACAAATGATCATCCGTATGCTGATCATTTTGAATAGTAAGTACCTGGGTGCTGATACCGCGATCAATGTGACAGGTCCCTGCCCTCAAGGAGCTAAGGCCCCTAGCCAATCTCTCTTTTTTTGTTGTTTTTTTTTTTTTTAAGACAGAGCCTTACTCTGTCGGCCAGGCTGGAGTGCAGTGGCAAGATCTCGGCTCACTGCAACCTCCATCTCTGGGCTCAAGCAATTCTCCTGCCTCGGCCTGAGTAGCTGGGATTACAGGTGTACGCCACCATGCCCAGCTAATTTTTGTATTTTTAGTAGAGATGGGGTTTCACCATGTTGGCCAGGCTGGTCTCAAACTCCTGACCTCAGGTAATCTGCCTGCCTCGGCCTTCCAAAGTGCTGGGATTAAAGGCGTGAGCCACTGCGCCCGGCCCTACCCTTGCCACTCTCTTAAACTCCTAGCCCCATCTTTTCTCTTTTGCCATCAGGTAAAACCCCAATTAACCAAAGTAACAGAGTAGGATTGCCACGGTTAGCTGAGGGTCTGTAGGAGATTGCATTTCATAAATGACCATTTTCCTCAGATTTGATCTCCCACCACGCCCTTGTGCTGTCACTTCATAGAGAAGCTTGAAGCTGTCACATGGGAATCCCCTCATTCTTCAGCTCCCAAAACTGCAAGCCTTACTTATATCTGTTCCTACCTTCCTTCCTCCTCCTAACCAAGGCCACTCCCTCTCCGTGCTTTGGATCCCATCGCTTTCCACTCGCCAAAAACTCTACCCTGTCAGGTATACATTCCCTCTCCTGTATGATCACCTGTTCCATCTCAGCTGGCTCTTTGCCATGGTTTTGAAGCATGTTCAAGTCTCCCATCACAAAAGAGAAAAAAAGAATCTTCTTTGACCCCACGTTCCCCTTCAGTTTCCAGTTATTGTCCAATCCCTTATCCCTTTCGACAGGCAAACTTTAAAGAACTGCCATATTCAATGCCTCTATTATTTGTCTCTCACTCCTCAGCCAGTATGGCTTCCCTCTTCATCTCTGCTAAAACAAAAACCAGGAATGAGACTTTTT
The DNA here is from genome assembly GCF_000001405.40 of Homo sapiens. Classification (NCBI taxonomy): domain Eukaryota; kingdom Metazoa; phylum Chordata; class Mammalia; order Primates; family Hominidae; genus Homo; species Homo sapiens. Next base: position 39,443,107 of record NC_000021.9, on the reverse strand, counting down.
CAGGCTTTGTCTTGCTCAATCTCTCAGCGGCATCTGAAACTGCTGCCCCCATTTCACTCTACAAACACTGTCTTCCCTTGGCTTCTGTGACCATCCCTGACTCTTCTGCTTTTCCTGCTGCCATTCTGGCTCACCCTCCTCTCCCAGGCTCCTTAATATTGGAGATTCTCAAAGCTCGGCATCTGTTCCCATTTTATTCTCCATTGCGCCCCTTCATCTAGCACAAGGCACAGATTCACACGCACAGCTTTTAAGTTCCAGCCCTGTGCTCTTGACTCCTACCTTTCTCCAACTTGACCCTTTCTCAGCTAGACTCGTACGTTCAGCTAGCTGCGTGACAGTGTTTCTTAATACCACTCAGTCTCCTCCAATTCAACATGCACAAAACCAAACAACCCCACTTCCCAACCCCAGCTGGAACCTCTTCCGTTGTACCTAGGATTCCTCCTTGACCCTTATCACACCCCAACACCCAGTGAATCCTTAAGCCCAGGTGAGGTTGTCTCCTGGGCATCTTTCACATCTCTTCATTGTCGTGGACACCCAAGTGCAAACCACCACCTTCATTCAGCCTGCCGCAGTCCTGTACCAGCTTGTCTCCCCACATTCCCTCTGGCTTTTCTCGATTCTTCACCCTGCAGCCAGAGTAACCTTCAGAAGGCAGAGCTGATTATGCCACCCCTCCCGCCTCCCTCTTTTGCCTACAGTTAGCTTCCCATTGCCCTTGGATTAATGATCCACATCATAAACACGCCTTCCGAAGGCCCTGCAGCTGTTCACCCCCGCCTGCGTCTCAAGACTCATCTGAAACCGCTGGCCCTTCTCACTGGGCTTCAGCCACATGGGCCTCCTCCACCCACCAGGCCTTGGCATTCTTTCCTCTCTGTCTGCATTGTTTTTCCCTCCTCCCTCTCATCCTCTCTTGCCTAATTAGTTCCCACTGACCCTTCCTATCTCAACTCAGACAGTACTTCTACAGGGATAACTTCCCTGATCGCTGTCAGGATCAGGTTTCTTTATCTTCACAGAGTTGTATCTCCTTCCTTGAAGACACTCTGGACAGTCACTATTATGATTAGTTCATTACTGACATAAGGCCCACAAAAATAGAAACATTTGCTGTTTGTGTTCATCATTGTATCTCCACACCCCACATAGTGCCTGGCACATAGTAAGCACTCAAATGGGTGCTGAAAGAATGAATGAAATGAACATTCTAATATGTAAGAGATACTAAGCGCCGTGTGTTTTAATACAATTCTATTAAAATAGAATGAAAATCTAGTAAAAATAATCAGGCAAACACTGAAAATTAAAAAGAATGTTGTGTCAGGGTAGCTAAAAACGGGTACTTGTGTAAAGATTTGTAGCCCTTTACTCAGTGCAGTACATTGCACTTGCCACCACTTGGTGGAAGTAGAGAGGCACGGGTTCTTATCCTGAAGGTGACTAGGGTGTCAGTCGGGTAGTGAATTCAAACATTTGTTCTAAAATATATAAAGTTGTTAAATTACCAAAACCTACATAGCATAGCTAGTCTGTAACCATCCAAACTTTGAACGTGGCACATTTTCATGTTATCAAATAAACTTGAAATTGCTTATATATATAGGTATATTTCATTTATGGATTTTAGTGCTAGACTGGACCTTATATGTCACTGAGAAATCACCTAATTTCTTGCCTTAGACATTTGAGGCCTAATAGCTAGTTGTATTGGCAGAACTGGGAACATACCTTTTTTCTTCCACAGTATACTGCCTCTCAATCAGTGTTTTGTTCGTTTGGTTTTTTTTGGTTTTGAAACAGGGTCCCACTCCATCCCTCAGGCTGGAATGTAGTTGTGCGATCACAGCTCACTGCATCACTGCGGCCTTGACTTCCTGGGCTCAGCCTCCTGAGTGGCTGGGACTGTCACACCCGGCTAATTTTTTTTTAGGAACAGGGTCTCACCATGTTGCCCAGGCTGCTCTCAAACTCCCGGGCCCAAGTGATCTGCCCACCTCAGCCTCCCAAAGTGCTGGGATTACAGGTGTGAGCCACCACGCCAGGCCAATCAGTGTTAAGAATCATAACCTCCCTTTGTCAATGTTTAGAGTGACTCGCAAAATTTCTGAAGCAAAAAATTGGGACACATAAAAGTAGATAAAGTGTTTGAAATAATGTTCTTGAAAACCGTAAGATATTGATTATCTTAGCTATATAATACCACATTTATAAGCTTAGAGAAGAGCTTTTCTGTTCATTTAACATTTTTGTCAAAGAGTTTAGAGTTTAAGCCTTTCATTCAATAGGAAGACCCTGAACTTGGGTCTGGCTGATGTTTTTTTCTAACCAGACAGGCTGTGCTTGTGGCAGAAAGACCACAGAAGTGGTGCTGTGATCTTCTCAAGTGCCCATGGACACTAGTGAATGTCACCTGTCCCACCCTGGTGACATGAACCTTGATTACCTGTTCAAGCACAAATCTGCCAGTTTTCTCCACAGCCACCTGTTTTCCCTTTGCATTTGATTAGTGCTTTGGGAAGAGATACTCTGACGTGGTAAATCCCATTTTGTTTTGTTTTTTTTTGAGACAGGGTCTCACTCTTGTCCGGGCTGGAGTGCAGTGTTGGCATGATCAAATTCACTGCAGCCTCAGCCTCCCAAGTAGCTGGGACCATAGGTGTGTACCACCACACCCAGCTAATTTGTTTTGTTTTGTTTTTTATAGAGATGGCATCTCCCTGTGTTGCTCAGGCTGATGTATCCTCCTTATTGGTATTGATGTTCAAATTGCCCTATCTTTGACTAGTGGGAGCTTCTTAAAGCTGGCTCCTGTGCCCTTTTGATACACACCAGCCTTTCTTCTCTTTGCCTGCCTCAGGCTTAGGATCATCCATTTCTCCAAGGAACCCCAATTCATTATAGCAGAGAATGGTATTTAGTGGAGAATGGTACACAGTGTACTCATTGTTTCTGGGGTGTCGTTGATTCTAGGCCCTCTCAGCAGAGTTAGGGGAAAAATACACGCACACATATACATACATATGTATATACACATACACATACATTTATAGATATATATGCACATAGATCTGTAACTGTATATAACTCCTTGTGTGTGTATGTGTGTGTATTTGAACCTAGCATTTCTCATTCTAATCCAACATTTCAGGGTTCTTTCCAGCCTTCCCTCTTTCAGACAGTAAGAAATTTGACCCCATGATTCTAAATATATTTACTTATGTCCTCAGTTAATTTGTTAGCTCTAATTAATTTCCTAACTTTGCCAGCTACCTGACGCCTCTTTGTCACTCCTCCCCCTTACAACTACTTCACTCTGCTTTCTCAGCCTTCAGCCATGCTTCTGCCACTGCCTCTGCAGGAAAGCCACCTGCTTTAAAAAAAAGTCTTCATGGAGTGCTTATGAGAGGGTCGGCTGTTTTCTCCAGCTCATTTTTCCAAAGCAAACAATCCCACCAGCTATCTCAGGTTGGTCATCTTGTTCCTAGATATAGTCCAAGGCAAGGTAAAGCAAGCTGGTTTCTGGAACAATTAAGATATTTCCCCAAAACGTTTGAACTCACCATCTTCTCTGACTTCTTGAAATTTATAACAGTGCAATTCATTTGCATTTAATAGCCTGCTTTTAGTCTCATTTTAATTTGTGATGTTTTTCAAGGTACCTGTATTAGTTCTGTATTGCTGCTATAACAAATTACCACAAACTCAGTGGCTTCAAACAAATTTATTTTCTTACAGCTCTGGAGGTCAGAAGTCTGAAATGAGTCTTAAGGGGCTAAAGTTAGGATGTCAGCAGGACTGATTCCTTCTAGAGGATCCAAGGGAGGATCATTCCCTTCCCTTTTCTAACTTCTAGAAAAGCCTGTATTCTGTGGCATGTGACCCCTTCTTCCATCTTGAAAGCCAGCAGCGTCGTGTCTTCTCCCTCTGACTCTGCTTCTGTGATCACAGAGCCTTCTCACTCTGACCCCTCCTGTGTCCTTCTTAGACAGGCCCATGTGATTACATTAGGTCCACATGGATAATCTGGGATAACTCAAGATAATCTTCCCACCTCAAGACCTGAAACTGATCACATCTGCAAAGTCCCTTTTGCTATATATAGTAACACAGGTTCTAGGGATTAGGACATGGACATCCTTAGGGGACCATTATTCAGCCTACCACTGTACCAAATGAAAGTCTTAAATCTTAAAAATGAGAATTTAACTCTATTTTACATGTAGACATTGATTGGAAAATGAACGTATCTTAGAGAACTTTACATATCTACACATACACAGATATGCTTTATTTTTTATAATATGCATTATCAGTATTCATCACAGTTATAATAACAATAATATGTTTTATCTGATTCTTTAATTTTTGCCATTCTGGTAGATGAAAAGCGGAATCTAATTTGCATTTCATTATGAGTAAGTTCGAACATCTTTTTATATAACTCTTGGTTTTCTGTGTTTCTGTAATGTGTTTATGCTGTAATGCATTCATATCTTTTGCCCATTTTACTAATGGATTATTTTAAGAGGTCTCTGCAAATTAAGGAAATTAGGTCTTTGTCATATGTATTGAAAATCTTTTTTCCAGTTTGTAAGATGCCTTTGAACTTTATTATTTTTTTAATTATAAGGAAGTTTTATATTTTTATGCAGTTATTTTTATCAGTTGTTTCCTTTATGGTTCTAGGCTTTATGTTTTTCCACACTCTGTGTTTTCTTTTAATAATTTTTTAAACATTTACATTTTGAACCCATCTAACCGTCATTTTAGTGTAAGAAATGCAATAAGAATCTGCTTTTGTTTTGATTTCCAGGTAGATTCTAGCCTACCTCTCATCATTTACTGAAGTCCACTTTCTCTACCTTTATCTTAGACTAGGTTACCATATGTATTTGTTTGTGTTTCTGTTTCTGAACTCTTTATTCCAGAATATTGTTCTGTCAAAGCATTAGTATCAGGCTATTTTAGTGACTGTAGTTTTCTATCTCAGTATCTGATCAAAGTAGTCCCTTCTCATCATTTTTGTTCATATTTCTTTGTATTCTTTCATATTTATTTCTCTATGTGAATTTTGTATCGTTTGGTCAAATTTCACAAAATTACTCAGTATTTCATTGAGAATACATTGATCATGTAGATTAAATTAGGGAGAATTTACAGCTTTATAATCTGTGTCCTTTTGATATAAGAACAAAATGTGTCCTTCACTTAAATATTTTATTTCAGTAGTTTTAAAGTTTCCTTCATATTATTCGTAGTAAACTTAGATGTTTTAAATATTTGGATATAGTAAGTGGGGTATGTTTCATCTATTTTCTAAGTCGTTTTATTTTGCATAGAGGAAAGATTATTTTTAGGGCCAGGCACACCTATAATTCCAGCACTTTGGGAGGCCAAAGTGGGCAGATTTCTTGAGCCAAGGAGTTTGAGACTAGCCTGGGCAACATGGTGAAATCCCATCTCTACAAAAACTTGGCCAGGCATGGTGGCACGTGCCTGTAGTCCCAGCTACCCGGGAGACTGAGGTGGGAGGATCACCTGAACCCAGGAGGTTGAGGCTGCAGTGAGCTGTGATCACGCTACTGCACTCCAGTCTGGGCAGTGGAGTGAGACCCTGTCTCAAAAAAAAGATTAATTTTATAGCCATTTTGTAACCTATGGTGTCAATTTAATTCTCTTGATAGTGTTTTATAAGTATATAATCATTTCATTTCATTTCCACATAATAACTTGCCTCTTCTTTTCCAATATTTAGACCTAGTACCTCCAGAACAATATTAATGAACAACAGTGATAGTAGGCATTTCTTATCTTAATTCTTACATCAGTGTAAATTAATGTTTCACCATTAAGCTTAAAGCTGTTTTTTTGTTTGAGATAGGTATTTATCACATTGGGAAAGCTTTCATTTGGAGCTTTTCAGATTGGGTTAGCAGTAATGAGAAGTTTTTTCAGGAGTAATGGATATGAAGAGAGGAATTAAGCACAGAGGCATCCGGAACATTAATTTATTTGATCAATATTTATTGGACACTTAATATTCTCAGGAACTCCTCTAGGCACTGAGGATATAGCAATAGACAAAGGAGCCAGAATGCATGCCTTGTGAAGCATGCAGTTAGTGGGGAAGCCAGGCTACAAACAGGCTGAGGAAGTAAAATGGGTGTTAGGTTAGATAGTATGTGTTAAAGAGAAAAAATGAAATGGGGAAGGCAATAGGAAATGTTGAGAATGGATAAGAAAAGAGGGAAAATTTGCATGCTGAGTAAGTTTTTTTTCCCAAGAGGCAGGACTGGTTAAGAATATAATTACTGGCCGGGTGCTGTGGCCCGGATCATGCCTGTAATCCCAGCACTTTGGGAGGCCAAGGCAGGTGGATCACTTGAGTCTAGGAGTTCTAGACCAGCCTGGGCAACATAGTAAAATCCCGTCTCTGCAAAAATAAAAAAATTAGTTGGGCATGGTGACACATGCCTGTAGTCCCAGCTACTTGAAAAGCTGAGGCAGGAGGATCGCGTGAGCCCAGGAGGTCGAGACTGCAGTGAGCTGAGCTAACACCACTGCACTCCAGCCTGGATGACACAGTGAGACTCCATCTCAAAAAATATGTATGTAATTACCTACCCATAGAATAATTTCAGCCAGAAACACAGATGTAATCATTTGAATTAAATTATCCTTATGAATTAATTATAAATTTACTACTGAATTTTTTTCATTATATGCGTGTAACAAAATATTTACTTTTAAGAATTAGGATTTTCTAGTTGTATTATTAACCAAGAATCTGATAATTCATGAAAGTATGGAACCAGAATACATTTTAGTATATAATACTAAATCAGTCACTGTCTCTGCTTCTAAAATACAATCCAGTGCTTACAATTAGCTACCAAGAGGGTCGTCTTTTTGTTATTTTTATTGTTGACAGGCAAGAAACACATAATCCAAAAACTTTAATTATTTATGTTCAACTCTGTACTGGAAAGAAAGAGCAGGCAGGTGAGCCACAAGATCTTTTCTGCCAAAAACTTGAAAAGGCACTGCTGTGTATGGCTCCTTCAAATCTTACTTCAACATCACTGTTTGATAATCACATCCAAGAATTTCCCAATCAACTGCCAACAGGTGATTCACTTTCATAGAGAAAAAGCCGCCTGTGGCCAGGTGCAGTAGCTCACACCTGTAATCCCAGCACTTTGGGAGGCCAAGGTGAGTAGATCACTTGAGGTCAGGAGTTTGAGACCAGCCTGGCCAACATGGTAAAACCCCGTCTGTACTAAAAATACAAAAAAATTAGCCGGGCATGGTGGCGGGCGCCTGTAATCCCAGCTACTCAGGAGGCTGAGGCAGGAGAATTGCTTGAACCTGGGAGGCAGAGGTTGCAGTGAGCCAAGACCACACCAATCCATAATACAAGGGAATATATATATATTAATTAAAACTGCTTCAAAACCTTATTCTTATTACATAAATATGTTTCTTTGTGAGATTGTAACATTTTCCTTTTGTAATACCATTTTAGGTTTTTTAAAATATATTCTTTCTTTAAAAAGAGACCAAAACCTGTCAAAAAAATACTACCGTGGAAAGCTCATAAATACTACAGTGTGAAGAACCCTGTGCTTATCTTCAGTTTATCATCAGACATCTTAGGGAAGTTTAATAAAGAACACCAGGTATGCAGTAATCACTTTCAAACATTTTAGTGTGTTTTATTTTCCATCTGCCTTGTTGCAAAAGCAGGAGAAAAGACACCTGACCGTTGTATTCAGAATGATTCAGACATATACCTTGATCTTGAACATTCTTATTTCTAATTCACTAATTAGATAAGCATAATATAGAAGTTTACTGTTCTTTTAAGTAGCCATCCCTTTCACCATAGTGCATTCCGGGAAAACGTAACCTCAACCAGATCAGATTTTTTCCATTAGAATAGTGTTTATAATTACTCATTGTGTTCCCGAGTCATAACAGCAAAGAAACAACTATAAACTCCATAATGATAGAGACATAATAAAATTATGCTTCATGTGCAGTAAAATAGGCACCACTATACTGTAAACTGTTCAAAATATAAATGCTGCCAAACTAAATCTGAACTATACTGTAAATTTGATACAAAAACTAGTGTAACTATAGTAGATATTAATTTTATAATTACTAACTTTGCCTATTTTAAGATCCTTTTGCCTTACCTTCTTCATAACCCCAGACCCTGGAAGACACTAAATAAATGTTCTTTGACTGAACATATTAATTAATTAAGAACATCAGTGGCCGGACATGGTGGGTCATGCCTGTAATCCTAGCACTTTGAGAGGCTGAGATGGGAGGATTGCTTGAGCCTAGGAGTTCAAGACCAGCCTGGGCAACATAGTGAGACCCTATCTCTTCAAAAACTAAAAATATTAGCCAGGCATGGTGGTATGTGCCTGTAATCCCAGCTAAATGAAAGGCTGAGGTGGGAGAACTGCTTGAGCCTAGGAGGTCAAGCCTGCAGTGAGCTGTGATCACACCACTGCACTCCAGTCTAGGCAACAGAGTAAGACCCCGTCTCAAAAGAAAGAACAGTAGGTGGTTGGTTTAAGGCCTGGATTTTTCAAAAATGCACCACATAATCAGAAATTTGTATGTGGAAACTACACTTTTTATTGATAACAATAGAGAAGTGTAGTGTATGTATATTAATATGAAGATTTCTGAAATAGTTTAATCAACTTAAAAGTACAGTTATAGGCCTGATACTAGTCATCAGTCAATTTTTAACAGGTCAGTGAGAAAACTGGTATTTAGCAGACTGAATATATGATCCTACTTGATACCTGCATTCAGGACACATTCATTGCCAACTATAGTAATAGCCAAGAATCAAACTGGGTTTTACTTTTGTTTACATTGCTGATAATGTCTCTCAGTCGCCATTTCATGGAAAAGAATAGAACTCACACAGTGCCAGGTGAACCCAAACATACCTGTATTGAGGTCATATAGGTAGAAATTTTAGGATGGTTCTGGAGTCCTGGGAATTCCAGAATGCTAGGAATATCCTGTCTCTTTGATGAGTATAATTTATGTACAAGTAACTCTTTTGGAAATTTACCTACCCTGCCAAGGCAGGAGAATTGGCAAAACTCTGTCTCTACAAAAAAAAAAAAAAAAAAAAAAGCTGGATGTGGTGGCATGGACCTGTAGTCCAGCTACTTGGGAGGCTGAGGAGGGAGGATCACTTGAACCCAGGAGGTGGAGGTTGCAGTGAGCCAAGATCGTGCCACTGCACTCCAGCCTGGGCAATAGAAGAAGACCCTCTCTCAAAAAAAAAAAAAAAAAGCTACAGTAACCAAAATAGTGTGGTATTGGTATGAATATAGAGAAACAGATCAGTAGAACAGTATAGAGAGCACAGAAATAGATCAACATATGAATATCTGGGTTTTTACAAAGATGCAAAGGCAATTGAGTGGGAAAAGGATAGTCTTTGCAACAAACGGTGCTGAAGCAATTAGATGCCCATATACCAAAAAATGAATTTTAATCCATAATAAGTAACTCAAAATGGATTACAGATTTAAAGTAAAACTTCTAGAAGAAAGAAAGGAGGATATCTTTGTGACCTCAGGTCATGCAAAAATTTCTTAGATACAGCACCAAAAGGATCTTTTTTTTTTTTTTTTTTTTTTTGAGACAGAGTTTCTTGTCACCCAGGTTGGAGTACAATGGCGCAATCTCAGCTCACTGCAACCTCCACCTCCTGGGTTCAAGCAATTCTCCTGCCTCAGCCTCCCAAGTAGCTGGGATTATAGGCGCCCGCCACCACGCCCAGCTAATTTTCTTATTTTTTGGTAGAGATGGGGTTTAAATTTGTTGGCCAGGCTGGTCACGAACTCCTGACCTCAGGCAATCCGCCTGTCTTGGCCTCCCAAAGTGCTGGGATTACAGGCATGAGCCACCGTGCCCGGCCAGGATCATTCTTCAAAGAACAAATTGATAATTGGGCTTCACCAAAATTAACAGTCTGCTCTTTAAAAGACATTTTTAAGAGAATGAAAAATCACAGATGAGGAGAAAATGTTTGCAAAGCATATATCTGATAAAGGATTTATATCCAGAATATTCACAGCAATTTTATTTGTAATAGCCCAAAACTGGAAATAGCTGAAATGTCTGTGAACAGATGAATAAACAAATTATGGTTTATACATACAATTGGAAACTACTCAGCAACTTAAAAACAAAACAAATGAACTACTGATATTGATGCACATAGTAACATGGATGAATCTCATAATAATAATGCTGAGTGAAAGAAGCCAACCAAATAAAAATACATACTGGATTATTCCATTTATATAAAACTCTATAAAATGCAAAATAATTGATAGTGACAAAAAAACAGGGTTTGCCTGGGTTGGGAGTGAGGCGCAGGGAAGGATGAGAGGAATTACAATGGGGTGCTGGGAGGCTTTGGGAGATTATGTGGTTGTGTTCACTGTCTTGATTGTGGTGATAGTTTCATGGGGATACACATTTCTAATCTTATCAAATGGTACTCTTACTAATTTTCTTTGATACCTCAATAAAAGAGGGTTAAAAATAAAGAATTGTATCCCAAAGGCTTAGGAATCAGTTGTGTTAAATATGTACGCTCAGTAAGCCAAATAAATTGACCTATTTGATACATTTTTTAAAATCTTCATTTTAAAATGTTAGCGAATCAGGTACAAAATTCATTTAAGTGTTATTATCATCTGGTCCCAGTTTTTCTTATGACCTCTTTTTGTCAAAGACTATGCCATTAATATTAAAAACAATTGTCTATTTGTTGTAGCAAAAAGAAGCATACTGAGTTTACCTAAAAGCCGATTTTACCTAAAAGCTGATTTTAGTGACACTGACATTAATAAGCTGTGATAAACACTGGGCCAGTCAGTTTATACACTGATCTTACCAAGTTGTAAATATATTATTTCAAAAGAATATAGCATCTAAATATACTCTATAAAGCATTCATGACAACTTTTAAATTTAGTAAGCTCCCAAAAATTCAGTGTCTTAGGATATGGATTGAAATTATGATTTTTGATTTTCAGATATTTTTGCCTATTTAAGACAAATCGGTGAACACAGCAATTAATCTGAAGTTGCTTGTAGCTTTTTTTACATGAGACAGATTAGGTTATAGTAGTGATCAATAGTAGAATTGATCACTGCCTTATACTATGTGTTTTAGAAATTTGACAAAAGCAAGTTGACAGTACATCCACTAGAAAATTTATGGCAGGCCAGGCGCGCTGGCTTACACCTGTAATCCCAGCACTTTGGGAGCCCGAGGCGGGCAGATCACAAGGTCAAGAGATCGAGACCATCCTGGCCAACATGGTGAAACCCCATCTCTACTAAAAATACAAAAATTAGCTGGGCTTGGTGGCACGTACCTGTAGTCCCAGCTACTTGGGAGGCTGAGGCAGGAGAATCGCTTGAACCCGGGAGGCAGAGGTTGCAGTGAGCCGAGATCATGCCACTGCACTCCAGCCTGGCGACAGAGCAAGACTCCATCTCAAAAATAAAATAAATAAAATTGGTAGCAGTCATTTTCTACTCATCCATTCCACCAACAAAAAAAAAATTGTCTTTATGGTAAGACCACCCTTTGCCCATCCTGAGGAAACTAGATCCCTAACGTTAGGCTAGGCAAATTATTGAGCAGGAAAGATTGTGGATAATTTTGCTAGTAAGGGATCTTCTCACTGAAACATTGACAGATTTTTGATTTTTCAAGCATTTTTAAGAAGCTACAATTACTTCTAGCTATAAGGATCCTGCAAAATACAGACATCCACTGGAGCCAGTAGGTAATGGGACAACTCAGCATCCACAGAGGCTTATGACTTGCACATCCACGTGGAGAGGGCGGTAACACCTTCCAATCCACCACCTTTCTCACAGCTAAGTCTAGAAAGCCTCATTAGGGGACATTTTAATCTGGTAGAATTGTTTTAAGAGTGAAGTTATTTATAGTCTTGTTTATTCTTATGTGGCTCTACAGGATTTCCATTGGAATTTTTTTTCTTTTTTGGCTGTTACATCAATTTTTATTAAACTAAGAGACTAAGATGGCTAGGCTTCTACTTTATCAAACATGGGACAATTGAAGTTCACTTTAGTCTTCTGTGAGAGGCTTGCATTTTTTAAAGAAAAAAGGACAAAGTCAGGAGAGGGACAATTGCAAACGTCGTTTTTCAGGAATTCTCATTGGTCTACAGAAATAACAGTGACTGGCGATTAGATTGTTGTTTGAACCACAGGGTATGAGCTGTGGTGTCCAGCATATGGCATTGTTAGGTTAATTTATAGCTATTGGTGGTGTCAGTCAGAGCCCACGGAGCAAGCAGCTTAGAAATGATTACTTAGCTCAGCTGGGGGGATGGGGGGACGTGACTGCTGTCTCATTCCAGTGCCTCTTTGGGCCTGGTCATTTAAAGGGGGTTGCATTCCTCAGATAAGCTTCTTTTCTTTCTCAACCCTATGGGATTGGTGGTGTCACTCACATTTTACAGATGGACAAGAGCACTTAAGTGACAGGCAGACCCAAGTTCAAACCCAAGCCGGTCTGCCTTCAAATTGTCCATCACCTTCTACTCCATCCCACTCCCTCCCACTACTGTAGCTGGACAATTTGTGAATGTAACATGAAAAACACTCTTGAATTAAGCCTTTATCCAAAATTGCCTGCATAAGAAGACTTGTTGAAGGAGTGTTCTAAAGTGAGGAAGAAGGAGGGGCTTTAGCAGAAGTCAGCCGAACTCTAGCTTGAGTCAGAAACAACTGGCCAAAAAAACAAATTCTTCTTGCGGATTAGCAACCATTGTTTGAGCCATTTGGATTTACCAAGATAGGTGAGGAGGAAATTAGGGACTGAGGTCATGAGCAAGAGGGCAGGGAGGAACAGCTCCTGGGGACAAGGACAGGCAAGGCTATGAGGGCTACACGGGAGCATTTGTAGTCTTTCAGGGTCCCTTACACCAACATCTGGGATTCTTCTTTTTGTTTTTGTTTGTTTGTTTGTTTGTTTGTTTGTTTTTGAGACAGAGTTGGCCCTGTCACCCAGGCTGGAATGCAGTGCCGCGATCACAGCTCACTGCAACCTCTGCCTCCTGGACTCAAGCAATCCCACTTCAGCCTCCCAAGTCGCTGGGACTACAAGTGTGCACCACCACACCCCACTAATTTTTGTATTTGTTTTGTAGAGACGGTTTCGCCATGTTGCCCAGGCTGGTCCTAAACTTCTGAGCTCAAGCTATCCACCCACCTCAGCCTCCCAAAGTGCTGGTATTTCAGATGTGAGCCACAATGCCCAGCCTGGATTCTTCTTAATCTAGATGCAAAGGTTCACAAATAAGGATCTGCTTCTGCCCACCGCTACACAGCAGAATGTGTCTGGAAAGAGAAATTCTTTGCCTTAGGATTGTGTAATGCTCCCACCAATGTGGTGTTGCAGTCATGGTGCTTAATGAAAAAAGCACTGCCCCTGGAGCTAAGAAACAGGGACAGTCTCTGAACTTTAAACCTGTCTGAACCTATTCCCTCTAGGTGGCTGAGATGAGGTGATGTGAAATAAGTTTGTACAAAGTAAGAGCACTAGTTAGATATTAAGTGTAATGCTAATATTAATTATTACTAAGATCATTTGATTTCTTGTAGTGAGGAGATTGTGGACTGCCTAATATATTTCATCAGAAGAGAAGGCTGGAGAATTAAGCAGATGCAGCAAAAAGCAGAAACTGACTTCAAAAAAAACCCTCTCAGTAGAGAAAGTGATATTAGATTCCTATTGCAAAGGATCTAATGCCAGTTAAATTCTCTTTTGCTTTCTTGATAAAACAGGAGAATTGAGAATTAAATGAAAAGGTAAATCCTTTTAAAGACCTCAGAAGATGGATCTGTTTGTTTCAATCTGCTTTTGAGGTAAGCTGCTATAAAAGAGATACTTGTGGTGGTATTGTCCTTAGTGCAGTAGCATAATAAAGAAATGCAGAACCATCTGCTTTGTAACTAATGTTAATTTTATTAAGGGTATAAATTTGGGGTCTTTCTTGTATTTCACTTTCTATTCCTTCCATTTTAAATTATCACTTTAGACAACTAAGAGGGCTTATTGAAAGTATTCAAAGTTTATGTCCATGGCTGAGCATGGTGGCTCACGCCTGTAATCCCACCACTTTGTGAGACCAAGGTGGGAGGATCACTTGAGCCCAGGAGTTCAAGACCAGCCTGGGCAACATAGTGAGACTCCCATTTCTACCAAAAAATAATAAGTTAGCCAGGTGTGACGGCACACACTCGTAGTCCCAGCTACTCCAGAGGCTGAGCTGAGAGGATCGCTTGAGCCCAGGAGGTCAAGGCTGCAGAAAGCCATGGCCACACCACTGCACTCCAACCTAGGCAACAGAGTGACACCCTGTCTTTAAAAAAAAAAAAAAAAAAAAAAAAAAAAAAATATATATATATATATATATAAAATAAAGCATAGGTTCATTTTAATGTCAATAAATTCAAAAATACTTTTATTAGGTTTTACTTTTCTTTTATTAGGTTGTTTGCTATGTCTTTGGCTGATCTAACAAAAACAAATATAGATGAGCATTTCTTCGGCGTGGCATTAGAAAACAATAGGAGGTCTGCAGCATGCAAGAGAAGCCCAGGCACAGGCGATTTTTCACGGAACAGTAATGCTTCCAATAAGAGTGTTGATTATAGCAGATCTCAGTGCTCCTGTGGAAGTTTAAGTTCTCAGTATGATTATTCAGAAGACTTTCTCTGTGATTGTTCAGAAAAGGCTATTAATAGAAATTATTTAAAGCAGCCTGTGGTAAAAGAAAAGGAGAAGAAAAAGTATAATGTTTCTAAAATCTCCCAATCTAAAGGTAAGGAGTAAAATTTCCCAAGCAAGACCAAATTTCTGTCATAATGATGTTATTTTACTGCACTAGTGTTTGAAGTGGTTCATACTCAGTTTTATTGTTTTCCCATATTGTAAATGTGTATTATAGGTGAACTTTTATAGAATAAATTAGGAAATAGAGAAATTAAGAGTAATTATAAAATAACAGAAAGGCTTCACATGTAAAGCCTAGCCCCCTGCATGGCTTACCCTACTGGAGCCTACTAGTGAGGTTAGTTCTGTTTTTAGTTAACAGGTGGCCTTGTTACAGAGTACCACAATATTTGGATTTCACTGGCTTCTTGCCTTTCATCTCAGCTGAAGAATCAGTGTTTGAATTGCCAGTGAAATGTAAATACCTATCTCAGCACCCCAAGAGGATGGTCTCCAAGTCTGGTGAGACATATTGGCAAACACCATCTTTTGAAACAGAGATGGTTCAAAAGGCTGTTAATAATGTCATTTCTTTGTAGATTTTTTTTTTTTTTTTTTGAGACAGAGTCTTGCTCTGGTTACCCAGGCTGGAGTGCAGTGGCGCCATCTCGGCTCACTGCAAGCTCTGCCTCCCGGGTTCACGCCATTCTCCTGCCTCAGCCTCCTGAGTAGCTGGGACTACAGGCACCCACCACCACGCCCGGCTAATTTTTTGTATTTTTAGTAGAGACAGGGTTTCACCGTGTTAGCCAGGATGGTCTCGATCTCCTGACCTCGTGATCCGCCTGCCTCGGCCTCCCAAAGTGCTGGGATTACAGGCGTGAGCCACCGCGCCCGGCTCTTTGTAGATTTTTAAAGTACCAGCTCTATCAACTCCCAGCTGTCCAAATTGGAATTAGCTTGTGTTATCTTTGATCTCCTTTCTTCCTCCTTCCCTGCCCAGACTGTAATTCCTTCCTCCCATTTGAGGCAATCTTGAGCTCATAAGTATTCCTTATATAGAAACAGCTGGGGCTCTTGTCCATGTTGACCATCAGAGCACTTCAGTCAACAGGAGGACAATAAAGGGCCTGCTGTTTGGGGAGTGCATCTGCCACCGCCATGTCCACCTTGCATCTTGCATCCCCAGTCTGCTGTTACCAGCTGTGTCCAGGACCCTCTGTGCCACTTCTGGAACACCCAGAATCTTCAGTTCCCCTGCTATAGCACAGGGATTCTTTATCTAAGACACATGTCTGTGAACCCCATGAAATTCTATGCATTTTTTTGTGTCTATGTGTGTTTGTAAACTTTTCTAGACGGCCCTGTACCTTTCATCAGAGTCTCAAAAGGTTAAATGTTACTTTTCTAGAGAGCTGGGGGTCCTACCTCCACTGGCAAGGCCCAGGGCAGGAAATGAAAAGTCCAGTACTTCTCTCATGCCTGGACTCCATCAAAAATGAACATCATGGTTAGATCCTACAAACACACAATTCCTTATCCACATTTGAAATTTACAAATCTCCAAAAACCCAACATCTTTCATATCCTTGGCATCAAAGTTGATTTGGCAACAAAAACCTTATTTGAACTAATATGAAGCAGATCTTTAGTTATTTCACTTAGTGTGAATAGTGATTATAATTTCACTGCAAAAATATAGTTTCATTAAAGGGTGTTGTTCCAGACCCCAATGAGAGAACTGTGGAAAATACCATATATGCACTCACCTTTAAAACCCACCCCCAAATTCTGAAACAGTCTGGTTCCAAGGGTTTACAATAAGAGATCTTGAATCTATATACTACATTTTATATTGATGGTAAGCTTTTGTGGGATCATGCAAGAGGGCAGTTGGCATTTATAAAACTTTCTACAAGAGAGAAATTGCATTTCGAATTCTAAGTACCTTATAATTTAGCTTTTTAAAGCTGATTACTCTTGGAGTATATATTCCTCCATCAAGTATGCGTGATGGATACAGTATGAATTTGTTACATACCCCTCAAATGCAAGTGGTGTACTTACCTTTCTGAAGCCAACAAACCTGGCTTGTCCTCCCCACCCACTCACTAGGGTAGACAGGAAAGTCAATCTCAGACACGTTTGGGGAATAAGGGAATATGAGGGGGCAGGGACATGGAAAGGGCCTCACACAAAGAAGAATACTGGGGGAGAAGCCTCTGCCCTTCATTTTTACCACTTACATGTTCCTTGTCCAAGCCATATGATCTTTAAAAGGCCAGCACCTCCCCTTTCCAACGCATCCATGCCCTCTGTGCACTTCTTGACTCCTGGGGCCTTGGCCAGAGCTCCTGTGGCCATGGCGTTTAGTCCCTTAGCACCCTCTCATGCCTCTGCCCTCCCATCACTTGAGCATGGCATGAGAGGGAAATATAAGCCTCCAGTGCCCATGGATCCCATCACGCATCCTTCTCATCTCAGTGAAATCCCTCTCCTCCAGGGTCAGAGCACCTAAGAGCTGGAAGACATTACAAGTTGGGGGTCAGGTTCAGTCATGCTGGCCATAGTGTAGAACATGTCAGTCCTCGCCCACCCCTGTTTTAAACCAGCCTGATCCATACGGCCTGGGTCTAGAGCTTCCCTAGCCAGTGCCCAGAGTATTAAAGTGTACGGCCTCAACAAAACCACAGACACCTCTTCGCAGGCCTTCTAGTAGATGTCCTAGAGGCTGGCCTGCTCTGCTTTCCACTTACTGTGCTCAGAAGCCTATTCTAAAATACTTAATATTCAGCCATAGCCCCTACTAAACCATGGGAAAATAAATACACTTGAAGGTATAATTGCAAAGACAGGCCACCAGTTATTGATGTTATACTGTGTTGTATAATCTATGAGTTCTTTCATAGTTATGATTCAAATGTTTTATCCCCAGAAAGCATGCTTTGGCTCTCTTGGTTCATTGTTTCTATCACAGGTAGAATTGCCTTTCCCACCACCTGGAGCAGACATATTAAGCCACATCTCAGATGTGTCCACACTTGGACCAGTAGTTTAAGGTTAGGACTTGGGTGACACTGGCCACTAAGTGTCCTTCCCTCTCCAGAATGAGGATCAGACATTTTTAGAGTTTAGAATCCAGTTTCAATTTCTCCTTCTCCGAATCTAGATATATGAATACATACACTTGCACACCACATATACATTTACATACACAGGTGCACACATACATATACCTCTATATCCTACAAATGCACACACCTGTGGGGCACTAGCATAGGCACATAGACAATGGGCTCTGTCTCACCACTTCCTAGCTGTGTGCTCATTGACAAGGGACATCCCCAAGCTTCCATGTGTTTATCTTTAAAATGGGATAATAGTACAGTGATTTACAAATGTATTTAACATACTCAAATTCAATTAGGTAAGTTTGGTGCTAACTGATAATTTTTAGAGACTTTTTGTTTAAGATAGACCCCTGGACACATGCCAATTACTTCATTTGGTGCCCAGCCAAAGTAACAGGAAAAATTAACTGTGTTGGATTTATTGAGAGATGGAAAATCGGTATCTGTATAAACAGATAGACTCTTATGCAATTTGATGACCTTTTGAGGGTCATTTTGAATATATAAGTTCTTTACATTGGATTCTCATGTTATACTCTAATTACCCATAACATATTGTTGAAAGGATTACATCAGATAATCTACAGAAAGCATTTAGTTTAATGCCTGACATATGATAAGCACTTAGTAAATTTCAGCTATTGTCATGGGGTTGGTTTGTTTGTTTTTGAGACAGGGTCTCACTTTGTCACCCAGGCTGGAATGCAGTGGTGCAATCATAGCTCACTGCAGCCTCAAACTCCTGGGCTCAAGGGATCCTCCCGCCAAGGCTTCCTGAGGAGCTAGGACTATAGGCATGTGCCACCATGTTAGGCTACTTTTCAAAATTTTGTAGAGGCCGGGCACAATGGCTCCCACCTGTAATCCCAGCACTTTGGGAGGCCAAGGAGGGTGGATCACTTGAGGGTCAGGAGTTTGAGACCAGCCTGGCCAACATGGTGAAACTCCGTCTCTACTAAAAATACAAAAATTAGCAGGGCATAGTGGCAGACACGTGTAATCCCAGCTACTCGGGAGGCTGAGGCAGGAGAATCGCTTGAACCCGGGATGCAGAGGTTGCAGTGAGCCAAGGTTGCACCACTACACTCCAGCCTGGGCAATGGAGGGAGACTCCATCTCAAAAAAAAATAAAAATAAACATTTAAAAAAATTGTTTTTTAGAGATGGGATCTTAACTCTGTTGATCAGGCTGGTCTCAAACTCTTGTCCTCAAGCAGTCCTCCCACTGCAGCCTCCCAAAGTGTAGAGATTACAGACATGAGCCACTGCACCTGGCCTATTATCACAGCTTTTAGTCTAGCTGTTATAATAGAAATCTAAGTACAGATTTTAGAGTCAAAGAAGACCTGGTTTTCAATCCATTCTGTGTCACTTCGTGGCTATGTAATCTTGGACAAATGATGTAAAATCTCCAGCTATAAAATATATTACAACTGATCTTAAAGAATTGTATTAAATGAGGTAGTTATATATAAAGTACCTAGCCTAAAGCATGGGTATTCATTAAATGATAGTTTTGTCCCCTTCTAGTTACACTTACGCTTGTGTGTATGTGTGTGGTGTGTGTGCATGGGGGCATGGGAGAGAGATTATGCATATGTGCATATTTGCATATCTGTATATTTTACTAGTAATAAACTGGATTTTCTGCTTACACAGGCCAGAAGGAAATATCAGTTGAAAAAAAGCACACCTGGAATGCATCACTCTTTAATTCTCAAATCCATATGATTGCCCAAAGAAGAGATGCTATGGCTCATCGAATACTCTCAGCAAGGCTTCATAAAATTAAAGGACTAAAAAATGAATTAGCTGATATGCATCATAAATTGGAAGCCATCCTTACAGAAAACCAATTTTTGAAACAACTTCAGCTTAGGCATTTGAAAGCTATAGGAAAATATGAGAATTCACAAAATAATCTACCTCAAATTATGGCTAAACATCAGAATGAAGTAAAAAATTTAAGGCAACTACTTAGGAAATCCCAGGAAAAGGAAAGAACTCTATCTAGGAAACTTAGAGAAACTGACAGCCAGTTACTGAAGACTAAAGATATCTTGCAGGCACTGCAGAAACTTTCTGAAGACAAAAACCTTGCAGAAAGGGAAGAACTCACTCATAAATTATCTATTATCACAACAAAAATGGACGCAAATGACAAAAAAATACAGGTCTGTATTTCAGGGGCCCAGACAGTTTAAGATTCCAAAGTTAATAGAGAGAGGGTGTGAATTAATCATGGATGCGCCCCCTCTGTAACAAAGCATTACTAACTGCTTCACTTGGCGTGCTGCACTAAATAATTATGTTGTCTAATAGAGGGCACAGAAAGGGAGTGGTTTGAAGGAAAAACAGAAGCAGCTCAAACTAGAAATGTTCATCTGTTGCAGTGCACAAGAGTTCACTCTGTGGCTGGACTGGTTTATCTGGAAATGACCATTCTCTAAGAGAGCACAGCTACAGTGCTAAGGGACTTTTTCCCTGTGCTGAAAAGATTGCATTGTGTTACGTGAAACCTCTCTTTGAAGTCAACCCTCTACCTTAAACTGTTGATTAAAAGGCTACTTCCCTAAAAACCTACTCAGTGCATCCGTTCAGGGCCTTTGTATTCTCCCTCACCATTTTGGCCAGGAATTACCACACAGACATTTGTAGTTATTTTCAAAATAGCAGCTTTTCCCAGATAATGTTCCTGGGTAGTAGGGAAGGAAAAGGAATTAAAATAATTAAAGAGATGACTGGATTGATTTTCCTCAACAGCACTTGGTTGTCAAAAGCCTGGGGATTACATTATAAGGGATGACTTGGGAGAAGGCATTGATATCATATTAAGAATTCTCCTGCATATCTTACATTAGCTAGTTTGAGTCTGTATAGACATAAACATAAATGGAATTAATTTAGGATTTAATTCTGTAATATTTGATGCTGAAACACGAGTATTTTCTATGATCTTGAAGTAAGTAAATATCAGGTTCGTTTCCTCCACGTTTTAATCTCAGTTATTTCTTCTGTTGTTAAAATTCCCTATTTTCCAATAAATTTTTTTCACATGAAATTAATATGTGATCTACAGAAAATAATGAGCAACCTCAATTTTCACTCTTGTATACCAAAGTGATATTATTGGGCCTTTTAGGTAATATTGTATTCATCTTAGCGTATGTCTGTCATGTAAAAGCAAATCTGTTTTCATGTATGTATCTAAGTTGTTCATGTTTTTATATCTATACATAAAACCAAAACAAATTCCATAACTATTTTCTTTGATACAAAAAGCACTTACCAAGTATGAGAAATTTCTGTTTGGTTGTAGGCATTTAGTGGAGGAAAACTGTTTTGTGGACCAAAACATGTTATTTCTTTAACATTAATGTTTTAGGGAGTGGTATTTTTAGTGATTCTTTCCCCTTGTAGCTTTCCATGTCTTCCACTTTTCCTGTTTGGGAAAGTACTGCTGTTATAATGGAGGAGGTCCTACTTTATGTTAAAACAAAGAAAAGTGGTCCTTTTGGTAAGCTTTCTGTCAAGTCCAGATCTAACAGTTCTCCAATAAAATAGTTCTCATTCCAGAGAGCAGATGAATATATTTATGGATGGTTATTGAATTAAATCAGTCATTTCATTGTCTTACAGTCCATCAGTGTGGATGGATGTGGTGGTTTGAGTCCCTTTTATAACATTCAGTTTCTGTTGTCTGGGAATGCCCATCCATGATGTCTACTGATTTTCAGGATCTGGTCAGAATGTTTAAATCGGGCAGGGCACAGTGGCCTCTCGCCCGTAATACCAGCACTTTGGGAGGCCGAGGTGGGCCAGGAGCTTGAGACCAGCCTGGCCAACACAGCAAAACCCTGTCTTTACTAAAAATACAAAAATTATCCAGGCATGGTGGTGTGCACCTGTAAACCCAGCTACCCAGGGGCTGAGGCAGGAGAATCGTTTGAACCCAGGAGGTGGAGGCTGCAGTGAGCCGAGATCGCACCACTGCATTCCAGCCTGGGCAACAGAGCAAGACTCCAACTTAGAAAAAAAAAAAAAAAAACGAATTGTTAAATCAAATTTTAGAGTATGTAAAAAACAGGCTCCAAACGTGTGATATTTGTTCTCTAGAGCTGGGATCTGGGATTTGGGGTCTTTCTTTCGGTTATACTTCATTCCAATATATGTCCCCTGTATAAGTCATTCACTAAAATTGTATTGAAAATGTGCACTTTTCATAAATGTAGTTAGTTCCATGATAATTGAAGTTTTTAACATACTAACTTGGTTGCAGAATAGTTATAATATATACTGTTTTCAGAGCTTGGAAAAACAACTGAGGTTGAACTGCAGAGCCTTTAGCCGGCAGCTGGCTATTGAGACTCGGAAGACTTTAGCAGCTCAGACAGCTACCAAGACTCTGCAGGTGGAAGTAAAACACCTTCAACAAAAACTTAAGGTATTTCTTTTAAAACAAAATGTAAGAATGAAATCCTGTTTCCCGAAATATATGAGCTATTTATGTCTATTATATCTTTAAGTGATTTTTTATTTTACATACATATATAAGGCTCCTCTACCCTTTGTAGGGGGCCTGGGCCCCCATCCACAGTTCTGTTTATCTTTTTTTTTTTTTTTTTTTGAGATAGAATCTTGCTCTGTCACCCAGGCTGGAGTGCAGTGGCATGATCTCGGCTCACTGCAGCCTCTGCCTCCCAGGTTCAAGTGATTCTCTTATCTCAACCTCCTGAGTAGCTAGGAGTACAGGCATGCAACACCACGCTTGGCTAATTTTTGTTATTTTTAGTAGAGACGGGCTTTTGCCGTGTTGGCCAGGCTGGTCTTGAACTCCTGGGCTCAAGTGATCCACCTGCCTTGGTCTCCCATAGTGCTGGGATTACAGGTGTGAGCCACCGCACCTGGCCTAAATTATGTAACTTCATTAATATCTTTCTCAGATATTTTCTCTACAATCATATGAACAGACAAAGGATCTGCAATTATTAGAATGAGTTAACAGCTTGGCGAATGTGTACTGTCATTAGAAAAATAGAAACTCTATTCATTAACAAGGCTTCTTGTTAGCATTCCTATTTCATCACGTTAAGTAATACAGCGTTTGTTAACATTTTAATGTAACTCAAAATTAACGTTTAAAAACATAATATTTAAGATAAATTTTAATGACTCATAAATTTATCTTAGTTTTACTTAAAAATGTGTTTGAAAAACTGTCTTAAAAATATGTATACTGCTTTAAAAATAAGAATTTTTAAAATATTTTGTCAGGCTTTTTGCTATCTTTCTGCCTTCAAGATTGGTAAAATGTCCAACAATTTAGATAAGATGCTTAAGAAATACGCTGTTTCAAGCCTCAACTAATAAATCTTAAGCTTGATTCTTTAAGACAAGGATCTTTAACTTTTTTATTTTTAAGGAAGGCAAAAATGAGCTCCTTTAGGCCTCTTTTACAAGGGCACTAATCCCATTCACAAGGATTCTGCCCTTGTGACCTAATCACCTCCCAAAAGGCCCACGTCGTAAAAGTATCACTATGGGGGCTAGGATATTAACATAAGAAATTTAGCACTATATCAATAATTTCCCTTTCTTTCTTTTTTCTTTTTTCTTTTTTTTTTTTGAACAGGGTCTTGCTCTGTTGCCCAGACTAGAATGCGGTGGCACCATCCTGGCTCACTGCAGCCTCGAACTCCTGGGCTAAAGTGATCTTCCCACCTCGGCCTCCCAAGTAGCTGGGATCACAGGTACATGCCACCATACCCAGCTAATTTTTAAAATTTTTGTAGAGACGGGGTCTCGCTGTGTTGCCCAGGCTGGTCTCAAACTCCTGGGCTCAAGCAATCCTCCTGCCTTGGCCTTCCAAAGTGTTAGGATTACAGGTGTGAGCCACCACACCCAGCCTGATCTTTAACTTTTTTGTGACAATTAGGCAATTTAGATTTTCCAGGAGCCTTGAGATGACTCAGAGACAGGAGAAGAATAGTGGGGGGTGAGGAGTTGGGGCGGAGCTGGACGAGTTGGATAATTCATCTGATGAATTATGTTGGTATCATTGAGAACTGGGATTTGGAGGATGAAAGAAAGAAAATTTTCCCTTTGTAAAGAAGAAAAAAGAGTTCCTTTTTTCTGTGGAGTTCCAGGAAACTTCAAAAAGAATACATAGAACATAGGCATGGCTATTGCAGCTAGCTGAGAAATCTAACAGAAGAGACTTCAAGATCCCCTGGTCACAGCAAACACACACACATATGGAGACACAATTGGGGAATTTTAAAATAAATTTTATGCTTCCTCATGCAGACATATGAATATGAATAACATGCAGCCATTAAAAAACCATTTCTGGCCAGGCATGGTGGCTCACACCTGTAATCCCAGCACTTTGGGAGGCCGAGGCGGGCAGATCACCTGAGGTTGGGAGTTCGAGACCAGCCTGACCAACATGGCAAAACCCCGTCTCTACTAAAAATACAAAAATTAGCTTGGCATGGTGATGCGTGCCTGTAATCCCATTACTTGGGAGGCTGAGGCAGGAGAATTGCTTGAACCTGGGAAGCAGAGGTTGCAGTGAGCCAAGATTGTGCCACTGCACTCCACCCTGGGTGACAGAGTGAGGCTCCATCTCAAAAAAATTTAAAAAAAATAAAATAAAAATAACCATTTTTAACAGAGAAATGCTTAATACTTAATGAAATGCTTAATGAAAAGATAGAAAATTCTATATACAGTAAGATCCAAATTTATTTTTAAAAAGAAAATTAAATGTACCTCCACACAATGGATATCTATATATCTGTAAACAGCAATGAAGAATCTTGATGTACTACTATGGAATAATCTCTAGGATACACTGGTAAGTGAAGAAAGGAAGGCAAACGAAACTGTAATATCCTTGATATGGTTTGGCTGTGTCCCCACCCAAATCTCATCTTGAATTGTAGCTCCCACAGTTCCCACATGTCAGGGGAGGGACCCAGTGGGAGGTAATTAGATCATAGAGGCAGGTCTTTCCCATGCTGTTCTTGTGATAGTGAATAAGTCTCATGAGATCTGATGGTTTTATAAAAAGAAACTCCCCCGCTGGGCGCGGTGGCTCACGCCTGTAATCCCAGCACTTTGGGAGGCCAAGGTGGGTGGATCACGAGGTCAGGAGATGGAGACAATCCTGGCAAACACGGCGAAACCCCATCTCTACTAAAAAATACAAAAAATTAACCAGGCATGGTGGCGGGCACCTGTAGTCCCAGCTACTTGGGAGGCTGAGGCAGGAGAATGGTGTGAACTCGGGAGGCGGAGCTTGCAGTGAGCGGAGATCACGCCACCGCACTCCAGCCTGGGCGACAGAGCGAGACTCCATCTCAAAAAAAAATTAAAAATTAAAAAATTAAATAAATAAATAAAAAGAAGCTCCCCTGCACAAGTCCTCTGTTGTCCACTGCCATGTAAGAAGTCCTTTTGCTCCTCCTTTGTCTTCAACCATGATTGTGAGGCCTCCCCAGCCATGTGGAACTGTGAGTCCATTAAACCTCTGTCCCTTATAAATTACCTAGACTCAGTTATGTCTTTATCAGCAGCCTGAAAAAGGACTAATACAATCCTATTTAAGATAAAGGAAGCAATAGAAATATATCCATCTATTTGCCTACATTTAAAAAATAAACCAGTAATAGGATAACAGCAGAAAAAGAGAGAATAGAGTAGAAGGGACAGCTCTAGAACCTAGATTTCATGAATATCTTTATGGAACCATGAAAATATTTCCATAAGTACAAAGCAGAATTAAACGTAAAAAAAACTAAAAAGCAGCTGGGTACAGTGGCTCATGCCTGTAATCCCAGCACTTTGGGAGGCCAAGGTGGGCGGATCACCTGAGGTCAGGAGTTCAAGACCAGCCTGGCCAACATGGTGAAACCCCATCTCTACAAAAATACAAAAATAAAAAAATTAGCCAGGTGTGGTGGTGCGCGCCTGTAATCCCAGCTACTCAGGAGGCTGGGGCAGGAGAAATGCTTGAACCCAGGAGGCGGAGATTACAGTGAGCTAAGATCGTGCCATTGCACTCCAGCCTGGGTGACAGAGCGAGACTCTGTCTCAAAAATAAAATAAAAAGCTATCCCTAAATATCCAAAGTAAAATGCAGATGAACCCAAATGTGTATACAGTTAGCCCTTTGTAACCGCGGGATGCAGAACCTGCAGACAGGGAACGCTGACTGTATCCTATTGGTGGCACAAAGCCACAGAAAGAAGCCATTCCAAGTGACTTAAAACACATAATGTCATTGCATATGGCCAGTGAGATACACTGTAAGGACACAAATAACTTTACAAAAAAATCTTACACTGTTTAGTAATGATATAGTTGGTAATGATGTTGATGTTGTTGTTTTGAGAATGTTGTGTGTATCTTATGGGATAAAGCTCCTGATAGATTATGGTGTTGTCATTGAGAACTGGGATTTGGGGGATGGACAAAAAAAAAATACAGAAGTAAGATAGAGTCAAATAAAAATCCTATAGTCCTGATTTTGATCTGAAGTGAAAGTATGCAATATTCTCAGAGTAACCAGGAGCAATGAACACCTCCAGCACCCAGATTATGGTCTGTAAGTTCCATATCCCACTGAAACAAACCAAGGCTCCCTAAAAAAATTCTAGGTCTGGTGCAGGAAATACACTAGATGAACCTGGAACGTATTGTCATACAAAAGCAAAGAAACTATTAAGGACCATTAGGGTAGTATCAAAAGGACTCAGGCCCATCTAGAATAGGTTCTTACTGGCCAAAGATGGGGATATTTGAGGATCAATAAAGATAACTGCCCAGGTTAAAACTTATCAAATGAATCCACACTTCATAATGATACTTAAAAGACTAAACACCTCAGCGATGAGTCACTTGTGGAGGATACTAGGGAACAGCATGCTGTCTTGAAGACTGGTCAGTAGAGGACAAGAAGCAAACATTTTTACCTTCCCTGTATGAACGACTCCTCAGAGTAACCAAATCGTTTGTGAGGGGGTAAGATCCTCCTTATAAAAGCATTCCACTCAATAATGAAGAAGGAATGACAGGATTAGAATTGTCACTATTTTGGAAACTCCTAATGAATTAGTGGCTCTAATCAATGATCATCAGTGGCTCCTAGTATCACATAAGAGATACGCGCTTCCTGACAGAGGTACACACCACCACCTACTCATGCCAACGAACCGAACCTAAACCTAGTTACAGACTGGGCTCTACCTACCAACTGAAAAAAGAAGAGGGGAGAGGAACATGCTCAGGATGGGATGCAGTCAGCAGCATGAGACTGTGGGAAACTGCATTACAGATACCCCCATTTCTACGATTAAATAGCAAAGCAGAAAAAATAAGAGGTGAGAGTGAGAATCTATAGATTAAAAGACAGTAAGAGATATATTAATCAGTCGCAGTGTTTTGAACCTTGTTTAGATTCTAATTCAAACAAACCTTTTAAAAACTATAGAAAATGGGGAAAATGTTAAACAAACTGGATATTTGATTATGTGAAGGAATTATTGATTGGGGGAAGTGGAATGAAGATACTGCAGTTAGGTTTTAAAAGGGATACCCTTGTTTGCTACAGATACTGAAATAAGTTATTAGAGGTCTAGATTTGCTTCAAATAAGCCAGGGCTGGGGAGTGGTCAGAGAGAGTGGGAAACAGCACATGAGTTGTTCATTAGTAAAGCTGGTTCATGGGCTCATGGAGGTTTACTGTACTATTCTACTTTTATTTTTTTATATATTTTAATTTGTATAATAAAGTTTCAAAGGGAAAAATGCTTTTGAAATTACATATTTTATGCATTTTTAAAAGAGTAGAAATGGCTAGATCAAGAAGGTGGCCTCAACACATGCTTTTTGTCCCTCCCTGCCAAAGCCCCATGGAAATGACAGAAAATGTTATTTTTAAAATAACACTCCAAGCCAGGCATGGTGGCTTACATCATTTTTTGGGAAGTTGAGGCAGAAGGATCTTTTGAGCCCAAGAAGTCAAGACCAGCCAAGGCAACAGAACAAAGCCTGTCTCTACAAAAAAATTTAGAAATTATCTGGGCATGGTGGCACAAGCCTGTAATCCCAGCTACTCCAGAGGCTGAGGCAGAAGATCTCGAGCCCAGGAGTTAGAGGCTTTAGTGATGGCGCCACTGCACTCCAGCCTGGGCAACAGAGAGAGACTCTTGTCTCTAAAAATAAATAAAATAATCCAGAATACCAGAAAGGAATACCAAAACTACCAGATCTAACAAAGAATTTCTGGAAGATAAAAAGGGGTTTTTCTTTTTTGTAGATTAATGAAACCAAACATAGACAATCACAAAGTAAAATATGCACAGACACACACACACACACACACACACACACACACACACAGAGAGAGAGAGAGAGAGAGAGAGAGAGAGGGAGAGAACCAGACAGATGCAGTACTGCCTTTTATGACCTAGCCTTGGCAGTCACGCAGCATCACTTCTGCCTCACAGCATTTGTCAGGGCAGTCCTAGGCAGTTCAAGCAGTGAACTCCACCTTTTGGTAGCGAGTCACGAGGTTGTTGAAGAGCATATAGGACTAGAAATCTTGTCGTGGGAATTCTAGGAAAATACAGTCTGCCACATTAACGAAAGTCATAGTTTGAGCTTGGAAGAGTCTGGTCCCAAAGGTCAAAAGTTCGTTTCTTTACTTTGAAACTCATTTTCAAAGTCATCCCACACCGAGTTCTAGGCCCACTTCTGCAGTATGAGCCGAAGTAAGAAGAGGGATGTCAGCCTTCCACAGCTCCCACGTGAGGTACTGCCACCCGTCTTACACCCAGGCTACGGTCACACTCCTGCATTAAGACACTGCTTTCTATCTAAGTTCCGGAAGCCATCAATGCTGACCTTAATATGATTCCACACCATGACCCAACTTCCCATTTAACTCTTCCTTGATACCCTTTGTGCTTGCGGGCAGGCTTTGCGCTGAGTATTCCACGAGCATTGCATGAACACTCCCAGCCACGGGTTAGCTTCTTGTTTCCCTTGACTGACTGAACCCAACCACACAAGTATCCCGGGTTGTGTTCCAAACAGGCTGTGTTAGACTTCTGGCCCAGCTCTGTCGTGGTGCCCAACCTGAAGCTCTGCTCCAAGCCGCAAGGAGGACCGTCCTCCAGGTTGCTTCCTTTTGACCCACGCCGCCCCTGTCGCAGCCTCTTGTTGTTGTTCTGTTGTTGCTGTGCCTCCTTCCTGCTCTCGGTTGCTGACCTCCAGGTGTCCAGACCAAATCAAAAGATAGAACTGAATTTTTCAGGTAATCAAAATGTGTCCCTGTAAACATGAAAATGTTTCCTAACCAGTGTGGATGAAAACTCATTCTAAAATGTTTTACACAGTATCCTTCATCTGAAAGCTATTATCCAGAATACACCTGATCAACTTTTCATGGTGATGAACTGTCAGCATTTACTGTTCTTTTGGCTGTTACCACAATAAGAAAAGAGAGATGAACTGTTAACATTTTTGCCTCCAGAAACTTAAATTCTAGAAAAGATTAATATTCTCATGTTTTATCCCTTTGTGTACCTCTGATAATAAACTAATTTTATGATTCAAATGAGTAGAAAATTTACACTGTACAATTCAGGTACAAAAATATGTCATGTTCTTTATTTTCTGTAACTAAGCCATACTTCCTTATGAGCCCCAGTCCCACAAATTAGGGATGAGGATGGCAGTTGGACAAGAAGAAATGGATAAAAGCTTGTCTCAGTCTCTTCTAACTCAAAACAGTCTTATGCTAGGTTGTCTCTTAGACTTGCAGACTTTTTCCTCATCCCTATCTTCTGTCTCAGTGGAGATGGCATCCTGGGCATGAGAGAAAACATATGTGTACTCTTGGTGGAGTGAAAAAGAGGCCTCTGGTCTGTGTTCTGCCCTCTGGCCCCTCTCTAGAGCTGGTTCTCCTGACGAGTGACTAGTCTTAAATCAAATTCCCAGGACCCTGTCTGATGTGTACTGAATGTGGCTGCTAAAACTCCTGGCCTCTTCTCAGTCTGGTCAAATAAATCCTGGTGATTGTCCCCTGCTGACTGTTGATGCAAATGCTCTGAGATGCATCCTCCATCTGATCCCTGGCTAGATTCTCTGTTGCAAAGCCTGTGCTATGGGAGCACCTGGATCTGTAACCTTAAGGACTCCAGGGCAGGTGCAGCTCCCTCCACAGGTCCCACTGGTTGCAAGGGTAAGGGAAGCACAATCTCTGGCCTAGAGAGGGTATTTAGCCCTTTCTAACTTACACTTGGGCAATACCATGTTACTTTAGCTCCATGATGAATGGGGCGGCGGGGGAGGCGCTTTTTAAGGGGCTTGCAATTTTCCTGGACCACGCCAAGGCCTCTTGCACTGAGACTTTCCCAAACCTCAGAGATGTTTCTCACCCCCTGAATATCCCTTGGCCCATAGATTTGACCCTAAGGGGCACAAGGAGACAAGAGCTCTCTCTCCCCGCCCCACCCCCCGTGTGTGTGTGTGTGTGTGCACATGCACGTCTGTCACACTCTGACATCCCTGGGTTCCTTCCTCCTTACTTCATATATGCCCACCTCTCTTAACCATGGTTGTTACTAAAATTCAATGGTCTTGAGTCCAAAGCCTTTCTTGCCTCCTGGTGTACATGTAAGAAGGAGCATTTGATATTTAATAAAAACCCTTTCTTTGTTCCTCAACAAGTTAAGGTTTCAAAATGTCTGTTTTGCCAAGACTCAAAAAAATCAATATGAAATTTAAAATGGAACAATGATACCCTTGTTCTAGGCTTCCCCCCCGGCCCTTGTCTAGACGTAGCCCTGTCTCATAGAACTTTCTATTAGATGGTGGAAATGTTCACCTGTGCCATCCAATACTGTAGTCACTAGTCACACACAGCTGCTGACCGCCTATTGGAAATACAAATAGTGTGGCTGACGACCTAAATTTTAGTTTTACTTTCATTTAAATGAAATCACAACATATAGTTAGTGGCTACTGTAATGCACAGTACAGAAGAATATTTCATAAACTTCAAGGCCCACAGGACAGAAGGAAAACAGTGGACAAGCTGACCTGCAAGGCTCTTCAAAAATACTGTCCCGATCACAATAATGTGTCACTTTGTTTAAAGAGCTAGTACTTTTCGATGTCAGGAATGGTATAGGATGATATGGCCTATTTCTGTTTCTTCTAAAATCTACAGATTTTATTCATAGGATACTGAGCTCATTTAAATTGTTTTTAAAAGAAATCAGGGTTGACAAAAGCAAGCATTTATAGAAAAATTGGTTTTGTGGTTCTTTTTAGGAAAAGGATCGTGAGCTTGAAATTAAAAACATCTATAGTCATCGAATACTTAAAAATTTACATGACACAGAGGACTATCCAAAAGGTATGTTTTAATTACTTTTGCTCAAAATCTATTTTTAAGTATCTAGTCAGATTTTCCTAATTTATATAGACAAAATAATGGATATTTTCAAAAATCACTTCATTAGGCATTAAAATACATTTTGTGATTCTAGAAGAATAACGAGACTGAGATGGTGACATGGCTAGCAAGGAATAGAAATGCTTTCCCGTTCTCCCATCCTCAGCACACCCCTTTATGTCCTTTCTTCAGGTGGAGCAAAAGGATAACTTCAGCTTGAAGCAAAATGTCTGCCAAAAAGTGAACTTTCTAAGTGTATCTGTTAGCCAGTGTATGGCTTTTCAAAATGAACTTTATTGGGGTATACTTGACCTCAATAAAATGCATCCATTTTAAGTGTGCACGCAGCTCAGTGGGTTTTGACAGATGTTTATACCGATGGAGCCACCACCCCAATCAAGATATTGAATATTTCCACCTCCCCAGGAAGTTTCCTCGTGTCCCCTGCAGTCAGTAGTCCCCTACCTCACCCGAGGCAACCACTGACTTTCCTTTGGTCACAATAGCCTAGGTTGTCTGTTCTAGAATTTCATGTAAGTGGAATCCCACAGCTGCACCCTTTTGTATCTGGCTGCTTTTGTTCAGCATAGTGTTTTTGAGATTCATCTATATTGATGCCACTATCATTAGTGTATACCTCTCATTGGTGAGGTCTTCTTTTCTTCAAGAGCACGTGCACTGCTTTCCCCCCAAAATCTCCCAGCAACAGATTCGACTCAGAAGTACCATAGGAATACTCACCTCTGTTTTATTAGAAGAAGTAGCTACATGTTTACTTCCAGATGCAACAACCTCAAATTTCCTTGCCTGCCTTTGTTTGCTTCTGGCTTATAATCTAGAATAATAGAGACAATGAATCAACCGAGGGGTTGTTTAAATGATATAATTTCCTTCACTTTTCAGGAAAGTGCAGTCTAGATTTAGTGGTCATGCGCTTCAGCATGGACAGTCTAACCACTGATAATCAAGAGCTCCGCCACAGGATAGCTCGGTGGCCTGGCCTCTCACAATTACACGTCTACCTTGCTGAATCCCATCCACAAAGGACAGCCTTGTCCTCCAACAGCAACAATGTCTTATCCTAACACCTACTTGTTTTATACTCAAACACTGTGAGGCCCAAAGTAAGACAAAGCAAGGGCCCTGGAGGGAAAAACAGGAAACTAACAAATGCTTATATATATATTGAATATTTAGAAAATACTTAGTATACTTTATTATTACATTGCATAAAAGTTATTTTATGTTTAAAATCAATATTGTATCCAAATGTAAAATATGTTTCTTACATATAATCTACCTGTTCCATAGTTTCTTCAACAAAATCAGTCCAAGCAGACAGAAAAATTTTGCCATTCACAAGTATGAGACACCAGGGAACCCAAAAATCAGATGTTCCACCTTTGACAACTAAGGTACAGCAAATTTGGAATCTTGCAGTGTCTGATTAAACATGTCTTAACAAAAATAGGCTACAGTCACTTGTTCTATGTGAAAAGTATTTGTAGTCATTAGAATAAAATGCAATTTTAAGTTATCTAGACCCCCCAAAATGTGTTTTTGCTGCTTTTCTAAATTACAGGGTAAAAAGGCAACAGGAAACATCGATCATAAAGAAAAATCAACTGAAATAAATCATGAAATTCCTCACTGTGTGAATAAACTACCAAAGCAAGAGGATTCTAAGAGAAAATATGAAGGTAATTTTAACTCTTTAAAGTCTATCTTATCTGATTTCTTTAAAATTGTGAATTACTATATGTGTATATAAAGCACACATAAAACAGCTGGGCAT
Organism: Homo sapiens; assembly: GCF_000001405.40. Lineage (NCBI taxonomy): Eukaryota > Metazoa > Chordata > Mammalia > Primates > Hominidae > Homo > Homo sapiens. Next base: position 39,409,883 of record NC_000021.9, on the reverse strand, counting down.
GGCAGCTCGCACCTGTAATCCCAGCACTTTGGGAGGCCAAGGCAGGCAGATCACCTGAGGTCAAGAGTTTGAGACCAGCCTGGCCAACATGGTGAAACCCTATCTCTACTAAAAAATACAAAACTTAACCGCACATGGCGGTATGTGCCTGTAATCCCAGCTACTCAGGAGGCTGAGGCAGGAAAATCGCTTGGACCCAGGAGGCAGAGGTTGCAGTGAGCCAAGATCGTGCCACTGCACTCCAACCTGGGTGACAGAGTGAGACTCTGTCTCAAAAAATTAAAAAAAAAACATAAAACCGTTTCCAGAATTATAATGAAAGGAACACCTATGTACCCAGTAGCCTGCTTAAGAAACAGTGGATGAGTACTCCTTGGAACACCCTTGGGCCCTTCACAATCATATCCCCTCGCCCTGCCCACCAGAAACCACCACCGTCTTGGGTTTTAGGCCAGTCATTCCCTTGCTTTCCCTCACAGCTCCCTGTCTTTATATGTAGCTACATTCGTCTGCTTGGGCTGCCATAAGAAAATACCACAGACTGCCGGTTTAAACAACACTTATTTATTTTCTCATGGTTCTGGAGGCTAGGAAGTCCGAGATCAAGGTTCTAGGCATTTGGCTTCAGTTAAGGCCCTCTTCCTGGCTTTAGATGTCCCGCTTCTCACTATGTCTTCATGTGGCGTTTCCTTAGTGCTCGCACGAGGAGAGTCGGGGAGAGAGCACCAGTGCTCCAGTGTTTCTTTTTATAAGGACACTAATTCCGTCATGAAGGCCCCAACCTTGTGATCTCATTTAACCTTAATTACTTCCTTAAAGACCCAGTCTCCAAATATAGCCATACTGGGGGTTACGGCTTCAACATATGAAATTTGGGAGGAAGGAATACAAACATTCATTTCATAATAGTATCCTTAAATAATATATTCAGCTTTGAAAAACTGAGTAGCAAATTATTCAAATCCAGCTGAGCAAAGGGCAATATTACCACTTTTGAATAAAGACTTCCAGAAAAAGGACCCCAGCTTCAGCTCCCTTGAATATACAAGGGCCCAATCAGTGGGTGAGGTCCTGAATCATCCTGGGAGATAGAAAAACCCTCAGATCCATGGCATCTGGCAGAGCTCTTCTGGGCAGGCCCAAGAGAGCTAGGGCCAAGAGAACGGGCTGCCCAGATTTTCCTATTCTAAGATCACCAAAGCTTACCTTCAGCTCTTGGGAGTAGGTGGAAACAAACTGCTTCTTTGGGTTCCAAGGAGAGTCCTCAGCTGGCCCAGACTGCAGGGTTTGATAGAGAGTACAACACTTCATCAGCCATGGGCAAGACAGGCCAAGGCCCTGGCTCACCTGGTGTTTGGGACCTGGAGGTCTAATGGAGCAGGGGTCCTAGTCTGTCTCCTCATCTCTGGTGTGCAGCTAACATCCTGGGATTGCCCTTCATCATTTCCTGCAGATTCCTGTCACTCCCCTTCTCTACTGGATCTTCTCTTTCCTAAGCCAAGTCCTCCTCTTTCTTGGTAAATTCCATCATGTTTTAAAGAGCACAACCTTCACTAGCTTCTTGTAAATGGGTGCAGGTAAGGTAAATTTGTATACCTCTCATCTGGAAGTGTCATTATTCTGCCCTTACACTTGATTAATACTTGCCTAGATAGGAAACTCTAGGTTGAGGGTCATTTTCCTTTGGAATTTTGAAGATGTGGCTCATTGTTTTCATGTTACATTACCACTCGTGGGAGATCTGGCTGCAGCCCCGCAAGGCTGGGTAAGAGCAACTTCTGAGGAAAGTACATGCATGATGAATGAGTCCCAGAGTTCATTCAGGGCTGCAAATCAGATGTGTTCCCTTAGGCAGCATGGAGAGCCCTTGTTGAACACATTGGGCCTTCAGTAGAGGCCCAAGGGCCTCACCTTAGTTGTAAGGCCAAATAATGTTTAAATAACACAGTAGTTTGACAGAACTCACCGGCAAAGCCACTCTCTCTGTTGCAGTTTGGTGGAAACTGATCGTCAGTTGCAGTTGCACTGTGGTCACTGGTGTGTTTAAATTTTCTGCTTATTTTTCAGTCCATTGTCCTAATTCATAGTGTCCTAGAAAGTGTATCCATTCATTTGACAAATACTTTCTGAGCATGCACTATGTGTCTGACACTGTTCTAGGCATTAGGGAGACAGGAGGAAGCAAATGCAAAACCCTGCCCTCATGTGCTTATATTCTGTAGTGGGAACATCCTTCCCCATCAGTTCACATGGATCCAGCTCATTGTCTATAATAACTGCCTGGAATTCCACAGACTGCACGTGCCATACCTTATTTAACCATTATTCCTTTGGCAGATGTTTAGGAGGTTTTATTGTTACTAACCCACGCCACAGTGAACATCGTTGCACTTATCCTTGTCTATTTTTTGTAGGTTCGTTCTAAGAAGAAGTTGTTAGGTCTAAGAGTATATTCACCTAAAATCTTGATACTGCCAAATTGCCATCCAAAAATGCTGTACCAACAACACACCCACCAGCGGGGACCAAACATTCCAATTTCCCCATCTTCTCACCAGCTCTAGAAATTATTTGCCAATTGGATGGATGAAAAATGTTCTCATTGTGTCCTGTTCTGTTCTGTTCTGTTCTTCTGTTCTGTTTTGTTTTGTTTTGTTTTGAAACAGCTCTGCTCTGTTGCCCAAGCTGGTATGCAGTGGCACAGTCACGGCTCACTGCAGTCTTGTCCTCCTGGGCTCAAGTGATCCTCCCACCTTAGCCTCCTGAGTAGCCAAGACTACAGGCAGACACCACCACACCCAGCTAATTTTTGTATTTTTTGTAGAGACAGGGTTTCGCTATGTTGCCCAGGCTGGTCTCAGACTCTTGGGCTCAAACAGTCCTCCTGCCTCAGCCTCCCAAAGTGCCGGAATTACAGGTGTGAGCCACTGCACCCAGCCATCATTGTTTCAACTGGCAGTATGTCCAGTTAGTGATGTTAAACATCTATTAATAACCTTATTGGCAAATTTTATTTCTTCTTCTATGAATGTCATTTTTCTTTTGGTTTCATAATTCCCATCTGCTTGGGAAGTTCCAAGAAACTGTAACATAACACATTTGTTAATAGCACCTTTCTCTGTAATCTTTTGTCTATGCATCTATTTTCTTACCTTTTCTGTCATTTCAGTGTGCTTGTGAGGCGGTGCACGTAAGTGTACTAGACATGCCATCTTGAAATAGAGATCCATTCATTTTAAACAGCACTAAATTGCCTATTTTTCTAATATAGATTTATCAGGGGAAGAGAAACATTTGGAAGTCCAAATACTGCTGGAGAATACTGGAAGACAAAAAGACAAAAAAGAAGACCAAGAAAAGAAAAACATTTTTGTGAAAGAAGAGCAAGAACTACCACCAAAAATAATTGAAGTTATTCATCCTGAAAGAGAAAGCAATCAAGAAGATGTTCTAGTAAGAGAAAAGTTTAAAAGAAGCATGCAGAGAAATGGTGTGGATGACACACTTGGCAAAGGCACTGCTCCCTACACGAAAGGCCCCCTCAGACAAAGAAGACATTACTCATTCACAGAAGCAACTGAAAACCTGCATCATGGGCTTCCTGCTTCAGGGGGGCCAGCCAATGCCGGCAACATGAGGTACAGTCATAGTACAGGCAAGCATCTCAGTAACAGAGAGGAAATGGAGCTAGAGCATTCTGACAGTGGGTATGAGCCCTCATTTGGTAAGTCTTCCAGAATAAAAGTGAAGGATACAACTTTCAGAGATAAGAAAAGCAGTCTCATGGAAGAACTCTTTGGATCAGGCTATGTCTTGAAAACTGACCAATCAAGTCCTGGTGTTGCAAAAGGCTCAGAGGAGCCTTTGCAAAGTAAGGAGTCGCATCCCCTGCCTCCCAGTCAGGCCTCCACCAGCCATGCTTTCGGAGACTCTAAAGTAACTGTGGTAAATTCTATTAAGCCATCGTCACCTACAGAAGGAAAAAGAAAAATAATTATTTAAATATAATCAATATCCTAATGCATTCTGGTTTGATATAATGCTGCTTATGTGCCTTGCATCTTATTTTTGAAATGTGTGAGAGAGGGAGTGTATGTATGTGTGTGTTTTAGTACTTAATTGACTTTCGATAATTAAATTTTTGTTTGATTGCTAATCTAGTAAAAAATCTATTTTATATTAGCCAATGATAACACTTCAAATACAAATTTACATCTTTACAACTGAAACATCCATTATCTTCTGGAAGACTGGTTTACTATATGGTTTTAGTATTCTGTGGGACTCCATAGCTAGTAACTCTTAAGTTAGTCAACCCAAGACATGCATCTCCTACACAACAAAATTTATCAGCAATAGAGTTGAATTGTAACTTAAAAACATGGAAGCAGGCCAGATGCAGTGGTTCTTGCCTGTAATCCCAGCATTTTAGGAGGCCAAGGTGGGAGGATCACTTGAGTCCAGGAGTTTAAGACCAGCCTGGCCAACATGGTACAACCCCGTCTCTACAAAAATTATAAGAATTAGCCAGGTGTGGTGGTGTGTGCCTGTAGTCCCAGCTACTTGGGAGGCTGAGGTCAAAGAATCACTTGTGCCCAGGTCGAGGCTTCAGTGAGCATGATCGTGCCACTGCACTCTAGCTTGGGCAATCGGAGTGAGACCGTGTCTCAAAAAATAAAAACAAAATGTGGCAGCAGCTTTGAAAGGGAACAATATGATCAAAAGACTCTTTTTACTAAAAAAAAAAAATAGGCTGGGTGCCATGGCTCACGCCAGTAATCCCAACACTTTGGGAGACCGAGGTAGGTGGATCACCTGAGGTTAGGAGTTTGAGACCAGCCTGGCCAACATGGTGAAACCCTGTCTCTACTAAAAATACAAAAAATCAGCTGGGTGTGGTGGCACATGCCTGTAATGGCAGCTACCCAGGAGGCTGAGGCAGGAGAATCGCTGGAACCCCAGGAGGCAGAGGCTGCAGTGAACCAAAATAACACCACTGCACCCTAGCCTGGGTGACAGAGCGAGACTCCATCTCAAAAAAAAAAAAAAATACATATATGTATGTATGTGTGTATATATATAGTGATTACCAAGCTTAGTTTCATGAAAATCTTTTTTTTTTTTTTTTTTTTTGACAGTGTCTCAGTGTGTCACCCAGGCTGGAGTGCAGTGATAACAATCTTGGCTCACTGCAACCTCCGCCCTGCCGGGGTTCAAGCGATTCTCGTGTCTCAGCCTACAGAGTAGCTGGGATTACAGGCATGCACCACCACACCCAGCTAATTTTTCTATTTTTATTAGAGACTAAAAATGGTTTTGCCATGTTAGCCAGGCTGGTCTTGAACTCCTGACCTCAGGTGATCTGCCCACCTCAGCCTCCCAAAGTGCTGGGAATGACAGGCGTGAGCCACCGTGCCCAGCCATGAAAATCATTTTTGAGTTTCTCTTATTCAGCTAACCTGGGTATCCAATGTCCTGCCTTTGTGGGTGATGCTTTCCTTGTGTACACCTGAGATCCAGTATCATTTATTGAGATTTGTTGCATACCTGTATGTTGACCATTTTTCTGTTAACCTTGTTCTAAAAACCATAAAACAGTACCATGGCCCTGCTGGTGTTTATTCGAGCTAGCTGCTCAGTCCTAACTAATATATTTACTAAACTTAGGATATTTTAAATTAGGACTGTAAAAAGGAGGCTATACTCCCAGCCTCACTTTATTTAGCTTACTTCATTTAGTTATAAGGGCAACTTGTTTATAATCTAGACCATACTATTTCCTTTCCAATGATGTTTATGTGTTGGTGTGTAATATTAACTGTAATGGCAGCTACCCGGAAGGCTGAGGCAGGAGAATCGCTTGAACCTGGGAGGAGGTTGCAGTGAGCCAGGATCGTGCCACTGCACTCCAGCCTGGGCGAAGGAGCAAGACCCTGTCTCAAAAAATATAAAAATAAAAATAGAGCCGGGCGCAGTGGCTCACGCCTGTAATCCCAACACTTTGGGAGGCTGAGGCGGGCGATCACCTGAGGTCGGGAGTTCGAGACCAGCCTGACCAATTTGGTGAAACCCCGTCTCTACTAAAAATACAAAAATTAGCCATGCGTGGTGGCCAGCATCTGTAGTCCCAGCTACACAGGAGGCTGAGGCAGGAGAATTGCTTGAACCTGGGAGGCAGAGGTTGCAGTGAGCCAAGATCCCGCCACTGCACTCTAGCCTGGGCGACAGAGTGAGACTCCATCTCAAAAAAAAAATAAAAATAAAAATAGTAGACCGGGAGCGGTGGCTCACCCCAGCACTTTGGGAGGCCGAGGCGGGCGGATCATGAAGTCAGATCGAGACCATCCTGGCTAACACGGTGAACCCCGTCTCTACTAAAAATAACAAAAAATTAGCCGGGCGTGGTGGCGGCGCCTTTAGTCCCAGCTACTGGAGAGGCTGAGGCGGGAGAATGGCGTGAACCCGGGAGGCGGAGCTTGCAGTGAGCCGAGATCGCACCACTGCACTCCAGCCTGGGCAACAGAGCGAGACTCCGTGTCAAACTAATTAATTAAAAAATAATAAAACCAAAGATGAGATAAATACTACAATTGGCATATGCTTTGATCGTTTATGAAAAGCAAGGTGGAATAACATAGAAAAGAAGAGGACGGAAGGAGTAAGGGAGGCAGGGAGGGAGAGCTCTCACAGGCTCATAAGGGGAAATACGCAAATTAAGTGAGATGACATAGTGGCCTCAATTCCGGAGAAATGTATTAAAAGGACTCCTGGAAATGGTATGCTGAGTAACATGACAGTGTCTACTCCAGCTTCATAGCAGACAGAGGATTTTCCAAGGGATCTTTTCTTATGCCCACCCACAATGAAAGCACACATCGTGATATTAAATCAGAGCTATATTTAGAAGTGTAGAGAACTAATTTAATAAAAATACAATCTAAGCCTGTTGTTGTCTAGTCATCTTAACTGTATGAATAAAAAAGTTAGAGGGTAACAGATTAACATGCTAACTTTTTATCTCTGAGTATTATGAGATTGGGGCCAATTTTTAATTTACTTTTAGTGTTTTCTACTCTGGCTTTCTTTCGCATGTTTGCTATGATGAACATAACTTTACGATCATGGAAAAAAGATTTTTAAAAACAAATCCATTTCCTGAGCTCTGAGAGAGAAGGTACTCCAACACTCTTGCTGTAACAAAAGCTAAAAATGCTGTACCAACTATAGAAAACGTTTCTAAATCAGCTGCTCAGCTGGTAAACACGAAAAGAAATTAGGCACCCAAGGAGATAAGTAAGCAAAGCACTAAAGTAAGCTTCTGCCTAAAGGGCATTTGCCGAATATGTCTGAGCAACACAGACTCCTCCTGAGGACAAAACCCAGGCAGCCCAAGTTAGGGGGTCCGTTTTCCATACAATGCTGGGACCTCCCTGGGGTCTCCAGCTCAGTGAACTAAAAGATTGTAAGTAAAGAACTCAGACTCTTTACAGGTGGCTCAAGACTGTAATCCCAACACTTTGGGAGGCCGAGGCAGGCAGATCACTTGAGGCCAGGAGTTCGAGATCAGCCTGGCCAACATGGTGAAACCCCGTCTCTTACTAAAAATACAAGTATTAGCCAGGTGTGGTCGTGCACGCCTGTAATCCCAGCTACTCGGGAGGCTGAGGCAGGAGAATCGCTTGAACCCAGGAGGCAGGGGTTGCTGTGAGCCGAGATCATGCCACTGCACTCCAGCCTGGGTGACAGAGCAAGACTCCATCTCAAATAAACTAATTAATTAATTAAATAAAATAAAAGCTAGCACGAAAGACACGCAACTCTTCCTTGCACTTGAACATTTAGAGGTCATCATTATTATTGAAATTAGGGGCCAATGTTGCCCTAATTTCAACATTTTTGTGTCTTAAGGAATAGGGAGCCCTGGGGAAGGGGGAGAGACGGGAATGGCCAAGTCAGTGGTGCAGTCAGCACACACACATTTATACATTAAATCTGCTGCCTCATACGGGTGTAGTTCTTGATGCCCCAAAACAATTACAGTAGTAACATCAAAGATCACTGATCACAGACCACCATAACATATAATAACGAAAAAATATGAGATGTTATGAGAACTACCAAAACGTGACACACACACACAAAGTGAGCACATGCTGTGGATAAACGGCGCTGACAGACTTGCTCGATGCAGGGTTGCCACAGACCTTCAATTTGTGAAAAATATAGTCTCTACAGAGCACAGTAAAGTGAAGCGCAAAAAAACAGACATGTCTGCGTGCTGAAAAGCATGAGAAACCAAACAATGTATTTTTACAGATTCAAGTATGTGATACAACTCTGACGAATAGGAAATGATAAAATTCAGAGCAGTGGTGTTACCTTTACTCAGTGGGGATCGCAAAGGTTCTTCTAAAACTTGGGTGAAAGATACAAAGATTTGTATTGTATTTTTATTCTTTAAAATTTACATATTTTAAATATTTTATACCTCTCAATATTTAATAAAAACTATTTTTTAAAAAGACTCAGGAAAAATGGCTGGACACAGTGGCTCACACCTGTAATCACAGCACTCTGGGAAGCTGAGGCAGAAGATCACTTAAGGCCAGGAGTTTGAAACCAGCCTGGGCAACATAGCAAGACCCCGTCTCTACAAAAATTTAAAAATTAGTCCAAAGTTGTGGTACACACCTATTGTCCCACCTACTTAGCAGGCTGAGGCAGGAGGATTACTTGAGTCCAGGAGTTCGAGACCAACCTGGGAACACAGTCAGACCCTCCTCTCTACAAAAATAAAAAATGAGAAACAGCCAGGCATGGTGGCGCATGCCTGTAATCCCAGCTACTCAGGAGGCCAAGGCTGGAGGATCACTTGAGACCAGGAGCACGAGGTTGTAGTGAGCTATGATCATGTCACTGCACTCCAGCCTGGGTGACAGAATGAGACCCTGTCTCTAAAAAAAAAAAAAATACAGGAAAAGAATTTGGCCAACATAAAGGAATGATTACCCTACCCTTTAGAGTCCAATATCCTTTCCCACAATATTGGCTAAAACTACACAATATTCATGCTATTTATGATTGAATTCACTAGTAAGAGTCAGCACTCTGCGTGTCAATAGATTGATACGCATTAGAACCCAAAGATGCATGCAGGAAAGCCGACCCACACAAGAACCCTGGGTCCAGAGACAGGATGAGCTGCCTGGCCTGGGATTCCAATGGTGTTCAAACCAGTCACACATGGCTTTGAATCTGAGATGTCATCAAAGTGCTCCATACCGCAGGCCTTATAAGAGAGCAGCACTTAGAAAATTCTCCTGACGGTTGTTAATTGCTAACATTTCAACTGCAAAGAAAACAGACTCCATACACGGCTCTAGTGGAAAACCATTATGTGATTGTGAGTTAAATACTCTTGGGTACTGACTGAAGGCATGCAGGAGGAGTACAGAAAAGCTCAAGGAATAGTCTCTGGCCCTAAAGGCACTTGCGTCATCACTGAAATAACCTTTTATCACACACAAAACAAGGATCTACAACAAGAGAAACAAAACCACAACAGCAGACACAACAAATCAGTCATACAGATAGTATTTTAAATGCTCAGATGAGGATGGGAAAGAAAGGAAACCACCACCATAAGGGAGAAAGCTTTAAGTCTAAAGCTCCGGTTCCGGGGGGCTGTCAGCACGTGCGCGTGCACACACACACACACACACCTCTCCCATGATGCACTGTGTAAGAAAAACTATGGAAGGCCAGAGAGCCCCCCCAGGTCAGGGGACAGTAAACCAGTTTGCCTAGCATTCCAGCCCCTTATGGTGGCAACAGCACATAAAATGAATAAAAATTGATTATGGGCTGGGCATGGTGGCTCACACCTGTAATCCCAGCACTTGAGCCCAAGAGTTTGAGACCAGCCTGGGCAACATAGTGAGACCCTGTCTCTACTTAAAAAAAAAAAAAAAATTAAAAAAAGATTATGGATTTGTATATTTAAAAATTTCCCTGCTTGATTTACCATAAATTTATGACAAAATCGGTATGAAGAGAGCTTTAGATGTATTTTAAATCAAAGAGATACCTGCTTTCACGTGAAGCTATAAAATATATCCAGTATTTTTAAAATAAAAACAAAAACCCACTGGGCGTGGTGGCTCAGGTCTGTAATCCCAACTTTGGGGGCCTGAGGCAGGTGGATCACCTGAGGTCAAGAGTTCAAGACCAGCCCGGCCAACATAGTGAAACCCCATCTCTACTAAACATACAAAAAATAGGCGTCATGGTGCAAGCCTATAGTCCCAGCTACTCGGGAGGCTGAGGCAGAAGAATCACTTGAACCCAGGAGGCAGAGGTTGCAGTGAGCCGAGATCGCGCCACTGCACTCCAGCCTGGGCGACAGAGCAAAACTCCATCTCAAAAAATAAAATAAATTTAAAAAAAATAAACCTATCATTACCTTTCAACATTATACACACATATATGCAAAAAACAAAAGCACAGATGCTAACGCCAGTCACCCTAGTTCTATGGAGTCATAGGTTTTTCTTCCTTGCTGCTTTTCTGTACTTCCCAAGTTCCATTTTTAAAAAAAAACAGTAAATAGGTACTACTTTTGTCTTTTTAGGTATTATTTTTATACCTTTAAAACATGTCTTAAAAGCACATGCATGAATATTCATAAATGCATGGAATATCACTGGCAGAATCATAAAAAACTGTTAACAGAGGAAAACTTTGGGAAATTGGGGGACAAGAGTCGTAAGATGCACATTTACTGTAGCTCTTTCTCTATCTTCTGAATTCATCACCGTGTTCATCATCTGTTAAAACAAATGGCAGGCCGGGCGCGGTGGCTTGCGCCTGTAATCCCAGCACTTTGGGAGGCCGAGGCGGGTGGATCGGCTGAGGTCAGGAGTTCGAGACCAACCTGGCCAACATGGTGAAATCCTGTCTCTACTAAAAATACAAAAATTAGCTGGGCGTCATGGCGGGCGCCTGTAATCCCAGCACTTTGGGATGCCGAGGCGGGTGGATCAGCTGAGGTCAGGAGTTCAAGACCAACCTGGCCAAATCCTGTCTCTACTAAAAATACAAAAATTAGCTGGGCGTGACGGCGGGCGCCTGTAATCCCAGCTACTTGGGAGGCTGAGGTAAGAGAATCACTTGAACCCAGGAGGCAAAGGGTGCAGTGAGCCGAGATCACACCACTGCACTCCAGCCTGGGTGACAGAGCAAGACTCCCATCTCAAAAAAAAAAAAAAAAAAACTGTATAATTTCTAAAAAAACACAATAATGTGAAACATAAAGGACATTTACATTTCCCCTATTTAATCATCACAAACTATTCACGCATGGGGAAAGTTAATAGCTGTGAACCAGAAATTTTTACCTCTAGCCTCAGTGAGATTTGTCAAAATTCTTGTAACAACTGAATGAGAATATCTTTAAGAGATACGGGTATCATCATGGACACTGTATGCGGATGAGTGATCCCAGCAGTTCCCTGGGCACGCTCTACATGGCCGGTGCACTGTTGACTGTCCACCATCATTTCTGCCTGCAGCTTACTAAAACGGGAGTTAGGCACGTGCCCCCTTGGTGCTATATTTCGTCTGAAGGACTAGTTCCTGCAGCTTCCGTGTGCTACTCTCATCTCCTCCCCAGGTTGGCTTCTCATCCTTTGTGGGCAAAATGTATCCCGTGTGGTGACGGACACTGGAAGCTGGTGTCCAGTTCCTCCACCAGGCTGTGGCTGCGTTCCCTGCTCTGTCCTTTCTTAAAGCTAAGTAAACTTGGTGCTGGGTAAGCCTGCGTGCATGTGTGTTTGAGTAAGTGGAACCCAAAAGCTGCTGTGGTGGCCTTCAGCATGACAATAAATAAAGGACCACAGCACTTTGTCTTCTCACAGTCCAATCAGCTAAAATAACAACAAACTACTTATTAGATCATTAGGAAACAAAAGAGTACAAATATGAACTTGCAGAAACTAGTGAGAAAATTCAGCTTTACTGGGATATGGTGACTCAGTTAACAGCCACTTGTCAGTTGCGGGTGGCTCACAGCAAACAAGTAGCTGTAAGGCAGGAAGTTACACAAGCATTTGCAAAGATTTTAATTAGAAAAAAGTGTTTTAAGGAACATTTAATAGAATTATACTTTGTAGGCCACACAGGTTATTGGTTCAGATTAATCAGGACTTATAAGGTTTGTTTTCTGTGTTCCATTCTAAAGAGCATAAATATTAAATGCTTATAAAATACACTTCATTCAAAATGCTTTAAATACAAAACACAAGTTGAGCACAAAACAATGCATCATGGTCTCGTGGATACATTTACAAAACACTGTAATGAAAAATTAACAGCCTCAAGTAAGTAGATAATACTATACAACTCTTGCTCAACAAATGACATTTTAAACAAAGGGAGAAAAAGCCCACGCAATGTCAATTAGTGTTGTTCTTTTAACCATATTGAATGTGATTAAAGAAGAAATTTTCGAATTTTTAGTAGTGGTATTAAAATTAAGTTACTTTCTAAACTGGATTAAAAACAGCACTAAGTCTTCAAAGAACTTACTTAAAGTTGTTAGAAAATTTTGACTTTCCAGTTGGCAATATGACCAAAATACATAAGAGGGCAAATCACAAGTGACAGCATGGAGATGTCCCTAAACATTTCACATTTCGTACAGATCGAGGACGGTGTTCACTAGTACATACGTGTCATAAACTGGACTTTCTTGGCTCAATGACAGGTGTAGAAAATCGTGATTCTTATAAGACTCTCTCATAAAGTCCAAGAACAAACATATTCAACAAAAAAAAAATCTAAACTATGCACTTTTGTTTCTTAAAAAACAAAACAGTGTAAATCAGATTTTAAGCTAGGAAGAGGAAATCCGTTTTTTAGCCTCGCGGCTGTATCCATCCTCCTGTTCAGCTGAACGGATGAAGCACAATAGCGACAACTTTGTTACAGACTAAAATCCAACAGGTAATTCCAACACCACCTGAAAACAAAGACATTCACCATGAGAGCGCATACCAGCAGTGCTGCCCCCATCTGTCTCTGCTGTCTTTAACTCACAGCAAAGAGAGTATTTCCATTCTTTTTGAGCAGTGCTGGGCTGAAGTGAAGTTTATGTTTCATAGGTTCAAATTTGTCACTTTCTTTTTTTTTTTTTTTTTTTGAGACGGAGTCTCGCTCTGTCCCCCAGGCTGGAGTGCAATGGTGCGATCTCGGCTCACTGCACCTCTGCCTCCCGGGCTCAAGCGATTCTCCTGCCTCAGCCTCCCGAGTAGCTGGGATTACAGGTGTGCACCACCACACCTGGCTAATTTTTTTTTTGAGACAGAGTCTCGCTCTGTCACCCAGGTGGGAGTACAGTGGCGCGATCTTGGCTCACTGCAAGCTCTACCTCCCGGGTTCACGCCATTGTCCTGCCTCAGCCTCCCGAGTAGCTGGGACTACAGGCGCCCGCCACCGCACCCGGCTAATTTTTTGTATTTTTAGTAGAGATGGGGTTTCACCGTGGTCTCGATCTCCTGAACTCATGATCTGCCCGCCCCGACCTCCCAAAGTGCTGGGATTACAGGCATGAGCCACCGCACCCGGCCGACACCCGGCTAATTTTGTATTTTTAGTACAGACACGGTTTCACCATGTAGGTCAGGCTAGTCTCAAACTCCTGACCTCAGATGATTTGCCTAACTCGGCCTCCAAAAGTGCTGGGATTACAGGTGTGAGCCACCATTCCCAGCCCGAATTTGTCACTTTCTATAGAATCATAGGGCTGTATTCTTTACTAAGCAGGAATTGCAGTGAACGGTGGACCCTGGGCTGAATTTCCCTTTCCTGCCAGAGAGATGTGCATTACTATTTATGATATTAATAGATTCCAAAACCAAACCTGTAAGATTATTTATTTTTCCTTTCTCAGAAAGCATTATAAACAAAGCAATGTCTACCTATGCCTTTCTTGCCCCACCAATAATGGAGAGGCATACATATCCCCCTGTCCAGGAAGACAGGCTGCAAGAGTGACCCATGGACCTGCTGGATGCATGGAAGGGTGGCTGGATGCTTCTCTGGCCGCAGTGCAGAGCTCCTGGCCTAGGCCCAGCTGTGTCAAACAAAGGAGAGGGGAAGGAAAGGGTGGGGAAGGGGACAGGGGTGGTAGCTAAATTGGGAGTCTTTGAAACAGCCATTCCTGGCCAGGCACAGTGGCTCACACCTGTAATCCCAGCACTTTGGGAGGATAAGGCAGGTGGATCACCTGAGGTCAAGAGTTCAAGACCAGCCTGGCCAACATGGTGAAACCCTGTCTCTACTAAAACTACAAAAACTAGTCGGGCGTGTGGTGGGCACCTGTAATCCCAGCTACCGGGGAGGCTGAGGCAGGAGAACCACTTGAACCTGGGAGGTGGAAGTTGCAGTGAGCAGAGATCACACCACTGCACTCCAGCCTGGGCGACAGAGTGAGACTCGGTCTTAAAAAAAAAAAAAATAGTCATTCCTTTTGATACAGTATTCACCTCTAACATAATCACAAATCACAACCAAAGACCAGCAAGTATGTGTGCTGCAGCATTATCTTTAATAGCAAAAAATCAGGACCGGAATAAATATCCTTCATCAGGAAAATCTGCAAATGAGATATCTAAATGAAGAACAGCTACTGAAAATTCCTTAATAAAGAAATTTGCCAGGCAAGGTGACACACCTATAATCCCAGCACTTTGAGAGGCTGAGGAGGGAGGATTGCTTGATGCCAGGAGTTTGGGACCAACCTAAGCAACAAAGCAAGACCCCATCTCTATAAAAAACTTTTTTTTTTAATTAGCTGGGCATGGTGGTGTGCAACTGTGATCCTAACTATTCAGGAGACTAAGGTGGGAGGACCGCTTGAGCCAAGGAGTTCCAGGCTGTAGTGAGCTATGAGGGTGCCACTGCCAGCCTGGGCAACAGAGCAAGACCCTGCCTCAAAAAGAAAAGAGAAGAAAAAAAAGAAAAGAAATGTACTGATATGGTGCTATGGTCTGAATGTTTGTATCCCCCTAAAATTCATATGCTAATATGCTACCCCCCACAGTGATGGCATTAAGAATTGGGGCCTTATGGGAGGTGATTAAGTCACAAGGGCAGAGTCCGTGTGAATGGGATTAGTGCCCTTATAAAAGAGGCCTAAAGGAGCTTGTCCTTCCACCATGCAAGGACATAGTGAGAAGACACCATCCATGAACTGGAAAATGGGCCATCATCAGACACCAAATCTGCCGGCACCTTGATTTTGGACTCCCCAGCCTCCGGAACAGTGAGAAATAAATTTCTGTTGTTTATGAGCTACCCAGTTTATAGTATTTCACTTAACCCTAACAAACTAAAACATGTGGGAATAGGCTTACCCTATAAAGTAAAAAGGAGGCACAACATGTGATGTGCCAGGTGACCTTAACTATATCAAAA
The DNA here is from genome assembly GCF_000001405.40 of Homo sapiens. NCBI lineage: Eukaryota > Metazoa > Chordata > Mammalia > Primates > Hominidae > Homo > Homo sapiens. The sequence goes on along the minus strand of NC_000021.9, from coordinate 39,394,409 downwards.
TAAATGGGGAAAAAAAGGCAAAGAAAAACATATCACAGCATTAAAAGCTAATAGGAATCTTATTTTTTATTTATTTTATTTTATTTGACACAGATTCTCACTCTGTCACCCAGGCTGGGGTACACTGGCGTGATCTCAGCTCACTGCAACCTCTCGGATTCAAGTGATTCTCACACCTCAGCCTCCCAAGTAGCTGGAATTACAGGCACGCACCACCATGCCCAGCTAATTTTTTGTATTTTAGTAGAGATAGGGTTTCACCATGTTGGCCAGGCTGGTCTCAAACTCCTGAGCTCAGGCAATCCGCCCACCTTGGCCTCCCAAAGTGCTAGGATTACAGGCGTGAGCCACTGCACCCAGCTGGGATTTTTAATTGATAGCTATATTTCTAATCATTCTATAGTGACATGTACTACTTTTAATATCTAAAAAAAATTTATCTTCAAAAATAAAAGAACGTGGCTGGGCATAGTGGTTCATGCCTGTAATCTCAGTACTTTGGGAGGCCAAGGCATGAGGATCACTTAAGGTCAGGAGTTTGAGACCAGCCTGGCCAACATGGTGAAACGCTGTCTCTACTAAAAATACAAAAATTAGCTGGGCGTGGTAGTGCATGCCTGTAATTTCAGCTAGTTGGGAGGCTGAGGCATAAGAATTGCTTGAACCTGGGAGGCAGAGGTTGTTGCAGTGAGCCAAGATCGCACCACTGACTCCAGCCTGGGTGACGGAGTGAGACTCAGTCTCAAAAAATAAAAAATAAAAGAATAGCCAGGAGCAGCAAGTGCTACAGAGAAGCCAACCATAATAGGGATTGAAAAGATACATAATTTTGGAACTACGGCTAGTGTTTCAATGGGGTATCAGACTTGACGTATTGGGCATGGATCCCGGAAACAGACCTAGGACTGAATCCTAGCTTTGCTCCTTAACATTTTGGTGACACTGGACAAGTGAAGTAACTTTTTCAGACCTCAGTTTCTTCATGGGAAGCCTCATGTGAGGCTGAGACACAAAACCCCGCTCACTAAATGGACGGTGAGGAGGATGTCAGGCTAACTTAATCTTCTACCACACACCTCTACATAAGCCTATTCACACTCTTCCACTGCATCTTCCAGAAAATTCTTACCTGCTACTCTAGTAGGAAAGGCTACCAGGCGGTCTAGAGGGGTTATCCATTTACTCGGCACGACAGCCACAGGGACAGAATAATACTTCCAAATGAGTGAGATCATCAGGGCAGCCTGTAAAGACACCTCTGGTGAGCAAAGCAGCCTGCCAATCACACAACCGACCACACAGAAGGGAGGACAGGGAAATGCGAAAATAAAACCAGGAAAACTCTCCAGACTGAGCACCTCAAGCCTAGGAACCCAGTCCCCACAGACAACAGATGAGCACGCACAGCCACTAATGTCCCTTGGTGAAACCTTGAATGAGAAAGTCAAATTAAAGACGAGCTCAGCAGCATGTCTGAACACTGCCAACAAGTAGGCGAGCCTTCCTATGTGAACTGGCATTTCACTGTTTTAGGATGAACACAATCTACACATAATTTAAATTAGCTGATAAACTAACCAAAGTCTCCCATAACACGGGTGTGCTTTTCTCACTGAGTATCTCGTTTGAGTAGCCAGACTGTATGCTCAACACACCTTATTAGTGACGAAAGCCATCCTTGGAAAAAATAGTGAATTCTCCCACGTACACCAGTGTTAGCAAGGGACGCAGAGGTGAGCCCTGTGTAAGTTTCAATGGTGGGGGATGCTTTATTTCCCTCCATCCCCCCACAGCATTCCTTCGATTGTCATCTGTCCCCTTCCTGGCTTGAACAGGCCGCTCAGAAGAGACATGAAAGAGGGTTGCTGGCCTAACTCCTTTGTCTGCGGAAACTTATCTCTTAGCAAATGACAGTGCCTCAGAATTAATTTCCTTCAATATACCCTGCCAAACTAAGCTTTTTTGGGGGTGGGCTTGAATCCTTTGCCTTGGTTACCGGATCACATGGTACTGCAACTCGGATATTTACGGCAGCTGCTAAAGGTGTCTGGGCAGCACAACTGCACTCTCGGGGCAGAGCAGAGCCCAACAGCTCCAGGAGAGGCTATGAGGGTTAAGCCCCAGGCAGGGAGGCTAGAAGCCAATTCCAGTCGGAAAAGCTGGTTCTCTACCTGGAGGGTGGAGAGCGTGCATGAAGTACACCAGGTAACAAGTAAGGGCCAAAAGTATTGAAGATCTCAGAAAAAACTGATGTCATCTATAAGCCTCTCGCTTCATCCCACCAGGCCCTTCAAACCACACTGGGATGCAGGCATGGTGAAAGCTCTCCGAGAACTTACTTCACAGTCCATCTGCCAAAAAGTCCCAAACTTTAACAACTCTCCTCAAGAGAAAGGCTTCCTTTTAGTCTGACTTAGAGACCGAGAGTGTTTAGAGCTCCATGTGGGCAGGGACACACGACACGACAGCTGAAGGTGGAACAGCCCGAACTCCCAGCCCTGGATCTGCAGACACGGCTCTGGAGGCCGGGGTCACCAACTCCAATGACCCGGCTGACGCTCTAGCACACTTACCTGCAATACGTAGAAAGCGACACTTATCACCCATTTTATCTTGGCTAATTGAGCTGTCCGAGCTTTCACTGAAAGGAAAAACAGGATAAATAATTATGTCAGTCCTGAAAAATTAACAAAATATTCAAATACACAGAAATGTTATTTTCCCTTATAATACACTTTCTGATTATAAATGGAACAATCGCTCAACATATTTAGAAAATATAAAATAGAATTTTTAAGTCACCCACCATCTCATTATGCCATTATTTAAAATAGTATCCGACTCAGATTGAGATTTGAATAGCTTTAATTTTGAAAACTCTTAAAACGACTCATGAAATCAAAGATTCTTTGTATAATACAGTTACCACTTACCAACAGGACTAAATTTTCCTCCTTATTTCCCAGTGTGCACAGTACACGAACCCCTGGTGGGAGTCCAGCTTGTCCTGGGCCTGGACAGGCCCCTCTGTCTGTTTTCCTAGCCACAGAGACAGCTCTCTGACTGTGCACACACTGTGACCGGGGTCCCTCAGCACACGGGCTGCCCTGAGAAAGCGCTCTTCATCACAGGACACTGGACCCGGGAGGTGACACTCAGAAGAGGACACTGCTGGGCATTTTTCTAGAGAGTGGAACAAAAGCCTCTGGGAATCCACTGTGAGACTTTTTTTCTGGGCTTCTCTCAGAAAAGTGATGAATTTAAAAATGAAAACCTACAATTTTTAAGAGTTAGCTTAAAATTTTAAAGAGTTGGCTCTGAGGAAAATCTGAGAGGATCTTAGATATTTCTGTGCTTAGAAAGCAAAGGTTCACCAGCAAATAAGAGGAAAGTAATACTTATTACTGAGTTTCCTCCAGATAACTTAAGTTTCCATCAATATTCAGAACATCCAAGAAGCAAAGTATGTATTCTACTAATCTTCACATACAGACTTCTCTATTCATCCGCTCTCATGAAGCCTCCAGGCTGCAAGGGACACAGTACCATGGGTTTTGAGCTTATCCGTCATCTTGTTGATCTTTCTTTCCAGCCTGGCATATCTGGCAAACTCGTCCATCATGTTGACTGTGGAGAGCTCCTGCTTCATGTCCTGGATCTCCGCTCTCATCTGTGACTCCTGCTCCGCGTCCTTCTGCAGCACCCTGGACATCTGGCAGGGCGGACAACGGGGATCAGCACCTTCCAACACGGGTCACAGGAGGGTTCCCCAGTCCCCCGCTACTTTCTGTCTATGCCCTGACCACTCTGTGACCCAGCCAGTTGTGTGCGTCCCTGCAGGACTGAATGCAAACTGCGGCCGTGAACGTTCCCAGGACTGATAAAGAGCAAAGGCTGTTGCTGGAGAACACTGGGAGATTCATCCTGCTGAGAAACACCTACAAACTAGCCCCACCATGACAAAGTCCTTAAACTCCCACATACACTCCATACCCCAACCCCCGGGTGGCAGACAGCCCTAGGTAAATGTCCCTTTCTCTCACTGGCTGTCCCGGGACTGCCGCAGCTCTTGTAAGTTCCCGTCATGAATGCTGTGGACTTATCACCCTGGCGTTTAGTGCTTCTTTCTTTGGAATCCAAGCCAGCCCCATCTCCAGGCAGTCTGGAGCAGCCCCTTGAGGGAACTCCCCTGCCACTGCTTTTGAGGTGACTCCAGCATGGGTTTGGCCAGACAGAACCGGTACACCTTCCTCCAACATCCTACTCCCACCTCTGCCAACTGGGCAAGCTGCCCTCTACCTACACAGCCAGCCTCTGCTGCCTTTTTCGGCTCCCTATAACGACCACAAAAAAAAAAAAAAAAAAAACTCATATTCAAATTGCTATTCAAACTATATTTTTCCTTTTACAGATATGCCCATGAATTTGCTCCAATACAAATGTTTGTCTGTTTCACTATAAATAAAATTGCAATTGTGAAATGAAAACCAATTCCATCACCAGAGCTGTTATTCCAGTGACAGGGAACATGTAACCTCTCCCCTCCCAGAAGAATTCAGTCCTAGATTAGACGGGGCAGAGCAAGGTGCAGGTGCAGGGTAACAGTGGTGAGGCAGGGGCCCAGGGCAGAATGTCAGTGCCCAAGCTCAGTGCAGAGGGCCTTCCCACAGAATGGCACCCTGGCAAGAGGCATCAGGGCCAGGCATGGTGATACAGGGGTCCCCAAGAAAGGGCAGCCTGACACAGGAGTCAGGGTCTGTAGGGTGAGGGAGACAGACATACAAGACAAGAAGGAACCCTGCCAGGGTCGGAGCCCAGGTGGGGAGAGGCATGCATTCACTTGGGTAACAGTGGGCGGTGGACACCAGAGATTAATTACAAAAGGGTGATCACAGAAATAAACATATTGAGAGTAACGGAAGCCAGTCTTCTCACTTTCAACAAAGACACTTAGAAAGATGCCTCAGCCTGGCATGGTGGCTCGGCCTGCAACCCTAACACTCTGGAGGCCGGGGTGGGAGGATCTCTTGTATACAGGAGTTCAAGGCTACAGTGAGCTGAGATCATGCCATGGGACTCCAGCCTGGGCGACAGGGTGAGACCTTGTCTCAAAAAAAAAAGGGGGACAAAAGAAAAAAGGCCAGGTTCGGTGTCTCATGCCAATAATCCCAGCACTTTGGGAGGCCAAGGCAGGTGAATCGCTTGAGCCCAGGAGTTCAAGACCAGCCTTGGCAACATGGTGAAACCCTGTCTCTACAAAAAATATGAAAAATTAGCCACTTTCATAACCTGGTGAAGGAAGGAAGGGAAGAAGGGAGGAAGGGAGGGAGGAAGGAAGGAAGGAAGGCAGGCAGGCAGGCGTCTCGGAGAGAAGCAGAATGAATCTTGTGGTGTTGGCTTCAATTGGAGATCTGTGGTTTCCACAGATAGGCAGAGAAATACAGACATAAACAAAGAAGCACGCTCCCCAGGCTGGCCTGGCTGGTCCCTGTGAGCAGAGGGGCCCCGCATGACCTGGAGGCCCGCCTGCGCAGCCCCCGCAGGCCCCTGTTCCCTGCACCAGCCCCAGCCGTCCACTCTCCAGGGAACGGCCCGGCCACGGCACCGGGATGGGAGAGGTGACTGGAGCGCAACGGAGGAGTCGGCAGTGACCGCCAGGTGGCGCCCGCAGATCTGCCGGGAAGGCCTAGTCCAAGGACTGCGCGGGCGCCCCAAGACCAGATCCCTCAGTGGCGCCTCTGGCACCTACCCCAAGGGATCAGCGAACATCCCCAAATCCCAGTCCCACACCAGCGGATGAGACACAATGAGAACACAGCACTGCCTCTCAGAAATCCCTACCAAGTATCAGACATGCCAGTAGGCGTCCCTTCTGCGAAATCACTGGCCTCTGACACCCACAAATGACAGCCATGAAAGTCAAGGGAAGACTGGGAAACTCCTCCAGACAGGAGGCTAGAGGCCGGGAAATGCAATGCATGATTCCGAACTGGGTCCTTTCCCTGTTAAGGACATTACTGCGAAACGTGGGGAACCTGCATGGGGTCTGAGGATCAGATCGTGGTAACGTACTTGACGCCTGCATTAGATCTCGGCTCACTGCAACCTCGACTTCCTGGGCTCAAGCGATACTCCCACCTGAGCCTCCTGAGCATCTGGGACTACAGGCCTGCACCACCACACTCGACTAATTTTTTTTTAGTTTTAGTAGACACACGGTTTCACTATGTTGCCAGTGAACTCCTGAGCTCAAGCGATCCGCCAGCCTCGGCCTCCCAAAGTGCTGGGATTAAAGGCGTGAGCCACTGTGCCCGGCCCCCAAGATTCTTTTGAATACCAAAGTATCTCGGAATGAGGGGGTTTGGGTTGACAACTTCCAAATGGTTCAGGAAACAAAATCAGTTATCGGTATTGACTGTATATAACTTTTCTGCACATTTGTGTTTGTTTCGAAATTTTAAAAATAGATTAATAAAGACGAAATGTTATAGTGTATCTAAAGTGTGCCTGGCACACAATAAATCAGATCCCCCCCCCTCCCCCTTCCAGCTTACAGGTCTCCTCCGCCTGCCGCACAGTAGGGACAACTCTCCATTTAGAGCTTGGAAGCCGCGACCCGCCAGTCGCCTGAGGGTGTCTGCGCATGCGCGTGGTTTCTGACCCGCCCAGTGATGCCGCCTACCAGCGCCTGCGTGATGAGGCAAAAGTGGGGGGGGGGAGTGTGGGGAGTAGGGGGGGTGGAGGGGTCTAGGGGCTCATGCGCAGCGTGTTCACTGCAGCGCAGCTTCTGGCAGCCTTTGCGCAGGGAGTAGGGGGTTCAAATCCAGCTCTCTTTGTGGTGCCTCTGCCCTGGCCACTACCCAGCACTATAACCGAAGGAGCTATACTCCAGCCTGATCCACTCTGGAGAAGGAAATAGGAATGGGCCAAATTCTCTTAGATGAATCACAAAATTATCTTTCAAAAGCAAGGAAAATCTACAGACACTGCTAAGGACTTTTTGATAATTTCGCCTTATACAAATTACACTTCAATAAATCTGACTTTTAAAACCATATTTTAAAAAGAAAAAGAGATTCCAAGACATTATTTAGCATTATAGGGAATACACAAAACAACTCAGGAATGGGAGGTGAGTGAAGGCAGAAGGGTGAACTTCAGGAAAACTGAAGGCAGCTTTGTAAGGTTAACAAAAACAACTGGTGCTTGAAAAAATAATTACATCTATTACATGTATAAGCACAATAAAAACTGTCTGAGCCAGGCGCAGTGCAGTAATCCCAGCACTTTCGGAGACTGACGCGGGAAGATCGTTTGAGCCCAGGAGTTCGAGACCAGGCGGGGCAACATAGCAAGACCCAATCTCTACCAAAAAATTAAAAATTAGTCAGGTGTGGTGGTGCACGCCTGTGGTCCGTGTGGCCCCAGCTACTCAGGAGGCTGAGGCGGGGAGGGAGGGATCACTTGAGCCCGAAAGGTTGAGGCTGCTGTGAGTTATGATGGCACCACCACACTACAGCCTTGGCAACAGAGTGAGACCCTGTCTCTAAAAAAAAAAAAGTTTTAAAGTATAAATTTGCAAATATGTATCAATGTTAATCCAAGACCCACGTATAAGTGTTAAAATGTTCTAGAATCATGCAGTGTAAGATTTAATATGAATCTAAATGTAATAATGCAAATATTAATTTTTAGAACAAAAGTGAATCTCTGAATTAATTGATGGCATGACAACGTGCACACCCCGTGCTAGTCCCTGCCAGCAGTAGAGCAGGCAAACCCAGGAACCACCAACTCAGGTCACCCTGAGTCCCTGAACACAGAGGACAGGGTCTTCCAACTCAGGAAGCTCCAGACCCTGAACAGCCCCAGATGCCACTCTCGGCCAGGAACCCTACCGGCAAGGGCGGAGAAGCGGGCAGCTCTCCAGGCCACCAGCCCCAGTCCTTGGCTGCTGCCCCCACGAGAGCCCCACTGGAGGCCCTGCCCGCACATGCGCACTTCACAAGCGCGCTTCTGAGTCACAGGATTCTGGGGTAGGTCCTGTGAAGCAGAGAGTCGTCCTCCTAAACTAATACTTGGGGACCATTCCCAAGCCTGGTCCATGGCAGGGACTCACTAAGCAACGGCTCTGAGGAAAAGGGTGTGGGGGCGGAGGGGGTGCTCTCTAAGAAGATGACCACAGAGGCAAACCCTGCAATATCCTCCTCTCGCTTCAGTCCCCTAGAGGAAAAAGGAGGTGGCCACTCTTTACAGCAGAAAGTGAAGGATAATTTAGAAAAAGTTGAATCTCAAAGGGCACTCGGCCCGTAAGCCCAGAAGGCAACACACGCAGAGTCCTTCATCTGCAAAGCTCGGATTGAGAGGAAGGGCCTCCTGGCGCCTGCGCAGTGCATGTGGCTCGTGTGGCCACTCAGCCCACACCAGCTCTGGGGCGCCTGCGCAGTGCGTGCAGCTCGCAGGGACCCTGAGCCAGCGCCAGTCCTAGGGCGCCTGCACAGTGTATGCGGTTTGCATAGACTCTGAGCCCGCGCCAGTCCTGGAGCGCCTGCGCAGTGTGTGCGGTATGCGTGGACTCTGAGCCCGTGCCAGTCCTGGGGCACCTGTGCAGTGCGTGCGGCTTGCATGGACTTTGACCCCGCGCGAGTCCTGGAGCACCTGCGCAGTGCATGCAGTTTGCACGGACCTTGAGCCCGGGCCAGTCCTGCGACGCCTGCGTAGTAGTGCCGTTCGCATGGACCCTCAGCCCCCGCCAGTCCTGGGGCACCTACGCAGTACACCTCCCCTGCACCCGCAGAGCTGCAGAGCCGGTGCTCACCAAAGGCGTCTTTGTTCCCCTCTATAGCTGAAGAAAGTCCTGGACCACCTACTGAATGAACTAGGCGCTCTCAACCATGCGTCCCCGTGACCAGCTTGAAGAGAAGGGAGCGATCCCAGGAAAATTCCAACCACGCCAACACCACGGACTTGGTGTCCTTACCAGGCATCCCACCCCCACCGCAGCGGACAGCTGAGATCGCCTCCCAGGACCTTGCTAGGCTTAACTGGCCCAAGGACTTCTGATACTTCAGACCTCCTAAGGCCTCACGCGGGGGGAGGGGGGAGACCAGTGCGGGGACCAGTGCGGCCTAGACTGAGTGCTGAGATCGGGGTGCTGCCTCCCTAACTTCTGCTAAGACGAAAGCTTCAGAAACATCCCAACGGAGGTTATAATCTAAGTACCTGAGCGCGGCCCCATCCCTGAGGGCACTGTTTTCCCAATTCGACTTTCTGCTGCTTGTCATGAGTCTTTCCCACTTGAATCCTCAAATCAGAGAGGCTGTGATGAAGTAGCCTCTGACGATGGTGAAGGAGCAGCATTTGACCCTACTGAAGACCAGCGCGTTCCTTACAGCTTTTCACAGACTCTCACCACAAACCCAGTGACCAGGCCAAACATCTCTCTTACCGATTACAGGGTGGGTGTACTCTGCTGGGATAATAATTATGTTATCCTTCTGAACCTGGCTAACAACAAGTGTTAACAATCATAGGGAAATGGGTTTAGGAAAGCTAACTGGGTTGAGGTTAGAGAGGCCATAAGGTTGTATGAGGCAGCACAGGATGTGGCCACAGGTCCTGAGTCACAGAGCAAGACCCGGCCTCTAAAAACAAATTTTTCTATTTTGGAGGGTGGAGGATAGGGGGTGGGAGGGAGACAATCAGGAAAAATAACTAATGAATACTAGACTTAATAACTGGGTGACGAAATAATCTGTACAACAAACACCCATGACACAAGTTTACCTATATAACAAACCCGCACATGTATCCCTGAACTTAAAAGTTAAAAAAAAAAAAAAAAATTGTCGGCCAGGTGTGGTGGCTCACAGCTGTAATCTCCGCACTTTGGGAGGCTGAGGCAGGTGGATCACCTTAGGTCAGGAGTTCGAGACCAGCCAGGCCAACATGGTGAAACCCTCTTTCTACTAAAAAAAATACAAAAATTAGCTAGGTGTGGTGGTGCATGCATGTAATCCCAGCTACTCGGGAGGCTAAGGCAGGAGAATCGCTTGAACCCAGGAGGCAGAGGTTGCAGTGAGCCGAGATAGCGCCACTGCACTCCAGCCTCGGCAAAAGAGCAAAACTCTGTCTCAAAAAATAATAATAATAATAATAATAACAACAACAAAAGGAACTCAACAACAAAAAACAACTGGATTTTAAAAGGGGGCAAAAGATTTGACTAGACATGTCTCCAAAGATAAACAGATGGCCATAAGCATCTGAAAAGATACTCAACATCACTATTAGGGAAATGCAAATCAAAACTAAAATGAGACACCACCTTACGTCCATTAGAATGGTTAGTATTACAAAAAAAAAAAAAGGCCGGGGGTGGTGGCTCACGCCTGTAATCCCAGTACTTTGGGAGGCCCAGGCAGGTGGATCACCTGAGGTCAGGAGTTCGAGACCAGCCTCGCCAACATGGCAAAACCCCGTCTCTACTAAAAATACAAAAATTAGCCCAGCATGGTGGCATGCACCTGTAATCCCAGCTACCTGGAAGGCTGAGACAGAAGAATTGCTTGAACCTGGGAGGCGGAGGTTGCAGTGAGCCAAGATTGAGCCACTGCACTCCAGCCTGGGTGACAGAGAGAGACTCCCTCTCAAAAAAATAAAAATTAGCTGGGCGCAGTGGCTCAAACCTGTAATCCCAGCTACCTGGAAGGCTGAGACAGAAGAATTGCTTGAACCTGGGAGGCGGAGGTTGCAGTGAGCCAAGATTGAGCCACTGCACTCCAGCCTGGGTGACAGAGAGAGACTCCCTCTCAAAAAAATAAAAATTAGCTGGGTGCAGTGGCTCACACCTGTAATCCCAGCACTTTGGGAGGCCAAGGTGGGCAGATCACCGGAGATCAGGAGTTCGAGACCAGCCTGGCCAACATGGTGAAACCTCGTCTCTACTAAAAATACAAAAATTAGCCGGGCATAGTGGCGGGCACCTGTAATCCCAGCTACTTGGGAAGCTGAGGCAGGAGAATCTCTTGAACTCGGGGGGCAGAGGTTGCAGTGAGCTGAGATTGCGCCATTGCACTCCAGCCTGGGCAACAAGAGCAAGACTCTGTCTCAAAAAATAAATAAACAAAATAAAATAAATAATAAAAAAAAAAATAGGCTGGGCGCGGTGGCACAAGCCTGTAATCCCAGCACTTTGGGAGGCCAAGGCGGGCAGATCACAAGGTCAGGAGATCGAGACCATCCTGGCTAATTCGGTGAAACCTCGTCTCTACTAAAAATACAAAAAAATTAGCCGGTTGTGGTGGTGGTGGGCACCTGTAGTCCCAGCTACTCGGGAGGCTGAGGCAGGAGAATGGTGTGAACCCGGGAGGCGGAGCTTGCAGTGAGCCGAGACTGCGCTACTGCACTCCAGCCTGGGCAACGGAGCAAGACTCCATCTCAAAAAATAAAAATAAATAAAAAAATAAAAAGAATAAATAAATAAGAAAACAAAATACATGTTGAAGGATATGGAGCAACTGGAACCCTTCTGCACTGCTGGTGAGAATGTCGAATGGTGTGGCTGCTATGGAAAACAGTATGGTGGTTTTTCAAAAAAATTCAACATAGAATTACCATAGATTCAGGAATTCCACTGCTGGGTATATGTCCAGAAAAACTGAAAGCAGAGACTCAAAGAGATATTTGTAAACATTTTAGCATTATCTACAATAGTCAAAAGGTAGAAACAACCCAAGTGTCCATAGACAGATGAACTAATAAACAAAATGTGGCCTATACATACAATGGGATACTATTCAGCCTTAAAAGGGGAGGAAATCCTGACTCATGATACACCATGGATGAACCTTAAGGATATTATGCTGAGTGAAAAGAAGCCAGTCACAAAAGGAAAAATACTGTCTGATTCCACTTATATGAGGTCCCAAGAGTAGTCAAATTCACAGAGGCAGAAAGTACAATGGTGATTGCCAGGGAGAGGTAGGAATGGAAAGTTGTTGTTTAATGAGTGCGAGAGTTTCGGTTAGAGGAGATAAAAAAAGTTCTGGGATGGGGCCAGGCGTGGTGGCACACGCCTGTAATCCTAGCACTTTGGGAGGCCAAGGAGCACAGATCACTTGAGGTCAGGAGTTTGAGACCAACCTGGGCAACATAGTGAGACCCCGTCTCTATTAAAAATACAAAAATTAGCCGGGCATGGTGGCAGGTACTGGTAATCACAGCTACCTGGGAGGCTGAGGCAGGAGAATCGCTTGAACCTGGAAGGTGGAGGCTGCAGTGAGCCAAGATCAGGCCACTGCACTCCTACATAGGCAACAGAGTGAGACTCTGTCTCAAAAAAAAAAAAAAAGAAAATGTTCTGGGAGCGGGGCCACGTGCAGTGGTTCACACCTGTAATCCCAGCACTTTGGGAGGCCAGGATGGGTGGATGGCTTGAGGTCAGGAGTTTGAGACCAGCCTGGCCAACATGGCAAAGCTCTGTCTCTACTAAAAATACAAAAAAATACCTGGGCGTGGTGGTGCATGCCTGTGGTCCCAGCTACTTGGGAGGCTGAGGTGGGAGGATCACTTGAACCTGGGAGGCAGAGGTTGCAATGAGTCGAGATTACACCACTGCACAGAGCCAGACCCTGTCTTAAAATAATAATAATAAAGTTCTGGGATAATGGTTGCACAAAAATGTGAATGTACTTAATGCCACTGAACTGTACACCTAAAAATGATAAAGATGATAAACTTCATATTATGTGTATTTTACAATTAAAAACAAGAAGATGAGCATGGGCCAGCTCATCAGGAGTCTTTTATGCAATGCCTGAGACATCATCTTAAAGACTGGATAGCATCAGGAAAGATTCTGAAGGAGACTCAGGGGTTAAAAGAGAATTCCCTATATCTCAGGACAATGCAGACAGTAGGACAATTGAGAGAGTAAGAATAGAGTTTTGCACAAAACAGGCACTCAATGAATACTGGTGGAATAAAATATCCTCCACTACTACCAATTTATCTTAGGAGAGAAAAGCAAGAACTGTTTTCCAAGACAACGCTGAAACGAATGCGCCCAATCTTTGAGGACTCCGCCTTTGCCCAACAGCTCCTCATTTCTGCTGTGGGCATACGGAGGGCGCTCATTCTCGGGGACAGTTCCCAAGGTACCCCCGCCTTCCATGGCCACACCCCACCACGCCCTGTCCAATTTGCCACCAAATCCCTATCCCTGCTCCAAAAGGCAATCAAATCTCCACCTCCAGTCACTAGGTGGATGACTTAGTGCCACCACTAAATTCTCTTGAGCCAGACTCCTCCGGGAGGTAAAGGAGGGTGGGATGATAATACTCGCCTCTCCCAGCAGCCGTGAGACAGAGGTAATGTACTCACTACCTGGCAGAAAGAGAGTGTTCCCCAACCTGGTTGCTCCCTTGGATACTGAAGGCATCACGCTGTACTGAGATTCTCTCTACACCTGTCTCCCACCCTACCCACCCCAAGAATGTGGGCTCCTGGACGCGAGGATCCATCTCTCCGGGACCTGGAACAGCTGACTTCGCCCGCCAGGCCTCTGGGAAACCCTGGCCGAGGGCTGCTCGAATGCCTCTAGGAACCAGGATTAACGGAAACGAGGCTGACAGCGGGGCACTAGGAACTCCCAGTGTGAGGTTCGCCGCCGCCACCCACAGCCAGAAGAGTCCAGGGTTGCCCGGTGTTTCTCCCAACCCCCTAGAACCCAGAAAGTCTGATTTTGGGGTAAAGCGTCGTACCTTTTAGACGCTAACAACTATCTCAAAAAAGCTTACGGACCAACCAAGACGCTACTACGGCCTTCAGTCGCCCAGTTGAGACCCCTGTACCTACGCCAGACCCGCCGGGGGACTGGGGCGGCATCCCCACCGGCCCTTGGGAGGCCAGGCAGCCACTTACGAAGGATGAGAAGGACGGGAGGAGGATCCTAAGAACATTGCATCCAAACACGAAGCTGAGCACCAGCAACCACGCCCAGTGGTCGGCCGCGGCTGAGCTCATCCCGGACGCTCCTGGCTGTGCTGGGTCCGCTACGGCAGCTCCATGGGGACCACAACAACAGCGGCGACCGCGCCTGCGCGGTGAAGCCAAGCGCCCCAGAACAGGCGCGCCGACGCGCCTGCGAACTGCGTCGCCCTCGCGGGAGGCGGGGCCGTTTTTTCGTCCGGCTCCAGTTGGAGCGGTTAACACGTTCCGGGTTTCTCCTGGGCCTTCGGCGGTTCCGTAGCCTTCTAGCACCCATCCCTACTGAACCAGTTTTCTGACGTCCGTGTTTCTTTTTTTCCTTCTTTTTAAAATTAAAAACCTTCTCATAGTACCAAACTCTGGTTTCAAGTGCTAACGACTCCCTGCTTTTGTCATAATTAGTACTTTCTTTAAATTAACTTTTAATTCTAGATAAGTTTAAGAAAAACTCTTCCATAAATAGAAAACTACCGTTTTTATAGTAGCAGGTAACTGTCGTGTTCCAAGCAGTTACATGGAAAATGCCTTACGTTTTCGTTCCAGATCTAAACACTGTAGTAAGTCTAACCAATTTACACAACTGCATACCTGAAAAATAAGTTTAATAGAATGCACTGTTCACAATCATTAGTAATAGTTAATAAATTAACCTGAATCTAGGTGAAGATCAGGTTTTGCAGCGAAAGAATCCCAACTCAAATGTATGCAAAGTGAGCAGGGCGAGGTGGCTCACGCCTGTAATCCCAGCACTTTGAGAGGCCGAGGCGGGCAGGTCATGAGGTCAAGAGATTGAAACCAGCCTGGCCAACATGGTGAAACCCCGTCTCTACGATACAAAAATTAGCCGGGCGTGGTGGCGCGCGCCTGTAGTCCCAGCTACTCCGGAGGCTGAGGCAGGAGAATCGCTTGAACCCGGAAGACGGAGGTTGCAGTTAGCCAAGATCGCGCCACTGCACTCCAGCTCTGGCGACAGAGCGAGACTCCGTCTCAAAAAAAAAAAAAAGTATGCCTAGTGGATAAAGCAAGACATGTTCAACTGTCTCTTCTGCCATGCTGCCATGACTGGTTTCTGAGGACTAATTCCTAATCAAAATGATGCAAGATTGCGGGTACACTGGCTCACGCCTGTAATCCCAGCACTTTGGGAGATCCAAGCAAGGTGGATCACAGGCCCAGGAGTTTGAAACCAGTCTGGGTAACATAGTGAGATCCCCATCTCTACAATAAAATATAAAAATTAGCCGGGCACTGTGGCACGTGCCTGTGGCCTCAGCTACTAGGGAGGCTGAGATGAGAGGATCGCCTGAGCCTGGGAGGTCGAGGCTGCAGTGAGCTGTGATCACACCACTGGACTCCAGCCTGGGCGACAGAGCACAACTCTGGCTCATTATTATGAACCAGTTAAAATAATTATGCGGCTGGGCACAGTGGCTCAAGCCTGTAATCCCAGCACTCTGGGAAGCCGAGGCAGGTGGACCACCTAAGGTCAGGAGTTCGAGACCAGCCTGACCAACATGGCAAAACCCTGTCTCTATTAAAAATACAAAAATTAGCTGGGTGTGGTGGCGGGCACCTGTAGTCCCAGCTACTCAGGAGGCAGAA
The DNA here is from genome assembly GCF_000001405.40 of Homo sapiens. NCBI lineage: Eukaryota > Metazoa > Chordata > Mammalia > Primates > Hominidae > Homo > Homo sapiens. The sequence continues at coordinate 39,378,818 of NC_000021.9, read as the reverse complement.
GAAGGAGAATCGCTTGAACCTGGGAGGCGGAGGTTGCAGTGAGTTGAGATCGCACCATTGCACTCCAGCCTGGGTGACAAGAGTGAAACTCTGTCAAGAAAGAAAGAAAGAGAGAAAGAGAAAGAGAAAAAGAAAGAAAGAAAGAAAGAAAGAGAGAGAGAGAGACAGAAAGAAAGAAAGAAAGAAAGAAAGAAAGAAAGAAAGAAAGAAAGAAAGAAAGAAAGAAAGAAAGAAAGGGAAAGGAAAGGAAAGAAAGAGAGAAAGAAAGAGAAAAAGAAAAAGAAAAGAAAAGAAAGAGGCTGTGGTTCTACAAATTTCTGTGTCAAGAAAACATGTGAAGCAAAACTATTCTGTAGTGGTAGAGTGAATTCCTTCCCTGAAAGGACTTATTGGTTAAGTGACTTCTGAACTGACCAAAACAAAGAGCAGGAGTCTGGCTCTCCTCCATAGCCTTCCCTTCCACCTGGATGGACCACGCAGCACGGCAGCCAGGCTCCTGGCTCCTCTCTCACTGGAGATTGAGATGGATTTAGAAGGAGAAACTGCCTCTTGAAAAGTGATGACAGGCCAAGCATGGTGGCTCATGCCTGTAATCCCAGTATTTTGGGAGGCCGAGGTGGGTAGATCACCTGAGGTCAGGAGTTCGAGACCAGCCTGATCAACATGGTGAAAACCCATCTCTCCTAAAAATACAAAAATTAGTCGGGCGTGGTGGCGCATGGCACACGCCTGTAATCCCAGCTACTCAAGAGGCTGAGGCAGTAGAATCACTTGAACCCAGGAGGCGGAGATTGCAGTGAGCCCAGATCACACTGTTGCACTCCAGCCTGAGCAACAGAGAGACTCAATCTCAAAAAACAAGAAAAAAAAAAGGAAAAGTGATGACAGCCCCGACCCCACTGGACCCCTTTCACCCGCCCCCAGTCTCTGCCTCTGGCTAAAGAGAAGTCCACTACCACACCCCACTGCCACCTATCTTCAGGAAAAGGATTACCTAATTCCTGGACAGTCGAGAACTCCTAACAAAAAAAAAACCCTGGAGCATGTCCTCAACTTTGCAGCAGCGGTGGGAGAGAAGCAGCAGCACCCGGGCTTCACAGGCAACCCAGTCTGAAGAACTCAACCCTCTCCTGTTGCTTCCTGTGAGCAGCACTTCACAAAAGCACCAACAATGGAAGGCGGAGACCCTCTTCCAACACATGGAAAGCAATGTGAGAGCCAGGGTGTTTCAGCATGAGTCAATCTACATCTAGCACAGGTTAAGATAGTAAACAAAGCTCATAACAAGAACAAGACTGTTCATTTCTTAATGCTGCTGTAACATATTACCATGAACTCAGTGGCTTAACTTTATTATCTCACAGTTCCAGGAGAAAGATACCTGAAATGAGTCTTATTGGGCTAAAAATAAAAGCAAAGCTGAGTTCCTTCTGGTGGTTCACGGGAGAATCCATTTCTTTGCTTTTTCCAGCTTCTAGAGGCTGCCTGCGTTCCTGGTCTTGCATCCCTCTTCCTTGTCAAATCCAGCAGGCACAGTTCTCTGACTCCTGCTTCCATTGTTACATCTTCCCTGGCTCTCCTGCTTCCCTCTTTCACTCTAGAAGAATCTTTGTGATTATACTGGATCCATGTGGCTAAACCAAAATAATCTCTCCATTTAAAATTGTTAACTTAATTACATCTGCAAAGTCCATTTGCCACAAAAAGTAACATATTCACATGTGCTGGGGATTAGGTTGTGGACATGGTGGGGGGACAGTATTCTGCCTACTGTAAATACCATAATCATTCGTGAAAATGAACCAAGATGGCAGCAAGAGAAACTCCACAGAGAAGAAGCCTATTACTGGTTTATTAATGAACATGGTGTTGGTTGCCAGAGGAAAACCATAAGCTTCCAAGCACTACTGGAGAAATAACATCAGTTGCTTCCAATCAATCACTGTTCGATGGATCCAGGCACATGCCCCACCTCAGCCTGACCTGAGAATAGGGTAATTGGGACATATGTCAGAGGCTCAGGAGTCCCTAAAAAAATTTCAAATAGAGAATCTTTTTAAAATGTCTGAACACCTTTTATTGCACATAAAATGCACCTTAAAGTGGACAAGATGGGAACCAAACATTGAAATCTGTGAGTTGAATAAATCCAGTGAAGAGTGTTGGCTTCAGCCAGAAATCAATATAAATCATGAAAATAAGTGGATTTTAAATTCCTGGTCAAAGGCTGGGCACGGTAGCTCATGCCTGTAATCCCAATAGTTTGAGAGGGTTTTGAACCCAGGAGTTCAAAACCACACTGAGCAACATAGCAAGACTTCGTCTCTACAATCAATTAATTCCTGGTCAATGTGATATGGGTATTCAACTCTTAAACCCCAACAGAAATGATGACCTAAAAACAGGTGCTGGCTGGGGGCGATGGCTCACGCCTATAATCCCAGCACTTTGGGAGGCCGAGGTGGGTGGATCACCTGAGGCTGGGAGCTTGAGAGCAGCCTGGCCAACATGGTGAAACCCCATCTCTACTAAAAATACAAAAAATAGCTGGGCATGTTGGCACACACCTGTAATCCCAGCTACTTGGGAAGCTGAGGCAGGAGAATCACTTGAACCCAGGAGGCGGAGGTTGCAGTGAGCCGAGATGGCACCATTGCACTCCAGCCTGGTGACAGAGTGCAACTCAGTCTCAAAAAAAAAAAAAAAAAAAAAAAAAGAATGTTTACTTACAATATAGGAAAGATTAGAAATGAAATTTGGAATCAATAGGCAAGTTCTAGACCTATTGCTCTGCATGCTAATTTACTTAGTGGTTATGCAAGCCAATCAGATAGTAGTGAATTCAGGCAAAAGAAGGAAAACCATTTGGAGAAGCACATATTTGGGGAAAATAGTGCTAGAATCATTATTACAATGAGAAACACAGTTCAGAGACTAGAGCCAACAAGGTTACATTATACCTTAAATAATCAAAGTTGTTGGCCAGGCATGATGGCTCATGCCTGTGATCCTAGCACTTTGGGAGGCCAAGGTGGCAGATCAACTGAGCCCAGGAGTATGAGACTAGCCTGGGCAACCTGGCGAAACCTTGTCTCTACAAAAAAACAATTAGCTGAGCATAGTGACTCAAATCTGTAGTCCTAGCTACTCAGGTGGCTGAGACACGAGGATCTCTTGAGCCCAGGAGGTTGAGGTTGCAGTGAGCTGTGATTGCACCACTATACTCCAGCCTGGGCAACAGAGCAAGACCCTGTCTCAAGAAAATAAAATAATAAAAGTTGTTTACCAATTCAGAAACAACTATACTGCTTATTCTGAGGAATATAATTCACAGAGGGAAAAAAGATCTTTACACAGACTTTAGAAGGTCTATCAGGAGAACAGCTATAGCTCTTTCTTCTTAAGAGACAGAGAACACAGAAAAGTTTCATTCCTTAATTCAAGACTTGAGTCAAGTAAAGCAGTGGAAGAAGAAAAAGAATACAGCAGGTCCAAACTGCTACCAACACCATCCAACTATCACACTAGACTGTCAAGTTAAAAAAAAAAAAATCACCCTGTAGAAAATAGAAATTGGGACCGGGCACAGTGGCTCACACCTGTAATCCTAACACTTTGGGAGGCCGAGGCAGGAGGATCACTTGAGTTCAGGAGCTCTAGACCAGCCTGGGCAACATAGTGAGACCCCCATGTCTACAAAACATACAAAAATTAGCTGGACATGGTGGCACATGTCTATAGTCCCAGCTACTCAGGAGGCTGAAGAGAGAAAATCATTTCAGCTTTGGAGACGGAGGCTGCAGTGAGCCAAGATCACGCCACTGCACTCCAGTCTGGGTGACAGAGCAAGACCCTGTCAAAAAAAAAGGGGGGGAGGGGAAAGGGAAGTGGAGGGCAGGGGAGGGGACAGAAGTGGAGGGGAGGGGATAGAGATTGGGACAGTGTTACAAATGGATCTGAGCCCAGAGCAAAACTGTCAGAAAATGCAAATACCAATGAAAGCAGCAGCGGGGGCTTTTGTCAAACCACTTCTTGTTCAGAGCAGACAAGTACCAGGACTTCTGTCATAATAATCTTTCTTTTTTTTCTTTTTTTCTTTTTTTTTTTTTTTTTTGAGATGGAGTTTCGCTCTTGTTGCCCAGGCTGGAGTGCAATGGCTTGGTATCGGCTCACTGAAACCTCTGCTTCCCGGGTTCAAGCGATTCTCCTGCCTCAGCCTCCTGAGTAGCTGGGATTACAGGCACACACCAACACACCCAGCTCATTTTTGTATTTTTGTAGAGACAGGGTTTCACCATATTGGCCAGGCTGGTCTCGAACTCCTGACTTCAGGCGATCTGCCCGCTTCGGCTTCCCAAAGTGCTGGGATTATAGGTGTGAGCCACCGCACCTGGCCAACAATCTTTCTTCGTCGGACTTCAGAGAGCCAGGCTAACAAGCCCTTCATCGGTGGCTTTTATATCAATTTTAAACCAATCATGACTGAGTTTGGAGAGCTGAAGTCTCTTCAGGGAGACTACATCTCAGTCAGAGACTCAAAGGAACATCAGCACTGACCAGCAGTGTGATCAGAACTGAGGGAAGCAGGGTCAGTTACTGAGGGCAGCAAACGCAAGGCAGATTCAAGAGAGCACATCCAGAAGGCAGCACTGAAATGCAAGGTGAAAATGAGCTTGCCTCAACTCATTCTAAAACCTATGAAAACAGAGTCGACAAAGAGAGAAGGAATTTAGTGGGAACTGAAACTTTCCCTATTCTTAGCATTATCCACTTGGTTTTACTAGATGACAATAATGATGATCATATTGATGATTACACACAGGTTGAATTACAGAGCAGACTGACCATCTTTCCCCCAGGAACTAGGAAGCATCAGTATTCAGAGCGAATCAAGTAAAATCTGCAGTGTTTGTTTCAGTAGCTGACTGGCAGGAACTAAGCTCAGGCAATTCCTCACATGCACGCGTTTTACAGCCATCGTATTGCTCAGTAGCTGCGAGACACCTACAGTCATCCTGTATGTTGGCAGCCTGTTTGAGAATCCAGGATGGCTAACAAAGAATGAAGAATTGGTGTCTTTTGGAATACTGCATTTTAGTATAGCTGAATTTTTAAGCCTTTGTGTGTGTGTATAGCTAATCTGAAAGAAAAACAGAATGTAATATGAACTATTTTGCTATGCTTAACTAGTTTTTGATTGTTGTTGTTTGCTAGAGACAGGGTCTCGACTTGTCACTCAGGCTGTAGTGCAGTGGCATCACTATAGCTCACTGCAGCCTCGAACTCCTGGATTCATGCAATCCTCCCACCTCAGCCTCCCAAGTAGCTAGGACTACAGGTGTGCAGCACCACACCTGGCTAATTTTAATGAGGTTTTTAAAAAGTGTGTATAAAAGATAATATTTAAGGTGATGGATATCTCAATAAACCTGCTTTAATCTTTAACACTATATGAATGTATCAAATGATCAAATGGATCCCCAAAATATGTACATCTATTATGTACCAATACAAAAGATTCCAGGCCAGGTGGGGTGGCTCAGGCCTGCAGCCCAAACACTTTGAGAGGCCAAGGCAGGAGGACTGCTTGAGGCCAGAAGCTGGAGACCACTCTGGGCAACATAGAAAGACCCCCACCTTGGCCGGGCGCGGCGGCTCACGCCTGTAATCCCAGCACTTTGGGAGGCTGAAGCGGGCGGATCACAGGTCAGGAGATCGAGACCATCCTGGCTAACACAGTGAAACCCCGTCTCCACTAAAAAATACATAAAAGCCGGGCGTGGTGGCGGGCGCCTGTAGTCCCAGCTACCCGGGAGGCTGAGGCAGGAGAATGGAGTGAGCCCGGGAGGTGGAGCTTGCAGTGAGCCAAGATCGTGCCACTGCACTCCAGCCTGGGCGACAGAGCAAGACTCCATCTCAAAAAAAAAAAAAGAAAAAGAAAAAAAGAAAGACCCTCCATCTCTACAGTATAAAAGAATAAAATAAAAGGAGTCCAAGAAATAAATTAAATTATACATATAGAAGGGTTCTTGAAAGAACAAGAATTTAAATCTTTAAATAAAGTAAAATGTTATAAAATGGAAGTGTAGGCTGTGCACCGTGGCTCACGCCTATAATCCCAGCGTTTTGGGAGGCTGAGGTGGGCGATCACCTGAGGTCGGGAGTTTGAGACCAGCCTGGCCAGCACGGTGAAACCCCGTCTCTACTAAAAATACAAAAATTAGCCGGGCGTGGTGGTGGGCACCTGTTATCCCAGCTGCTTGGGAGGCTGAGACAGGAGAATTGCTTGAAACCGGAAGGCAGAAGTTGCAGTGAGCCGAGATCATGCCACTGCACTCCAGCTTGGTCAACAAGAGTGAAACTCTGTCTCAAAAATAAAAATAAAAATAAAAAAATAAAAAAAGAAGTTTAAGAACAAGCATTTATGCAACATTTTAAAATACAAATATTAAATTATCCTAAACGGCAGCACTATTTATATTGCTAGATGGTGTTGTGCGACATTGAATTATATGCTTTAAAATGGCTAATTGTATCTTCTATGAATTTCACCTCAGTTTGAAAAATATTGCTAAAACCAGATAACCTTTATTTATTTTTTATTTTTTGAGATGGAATCTCGCTCTGTTGCCCAGGCTGGAGTGCAGTGACACAATCTTGGCTCACTGCAACTTTCGCCTCCCAGGTTCAAGTAATTCTCCTGCCTCTCAGCCTTCCAAGTAGCTGGGATTACAGGCACGTACCACCATGCCCTGTTAATTTTTGTATTTTTAGTAGAGATGGGGTTTCACCATGTTGGCCAGGCTGGTCTCGAACTCCTGACCTCAAGTCATCCACCCACCTCGGCCTCCCAAAGTGTTGGGATTACAGGCATGAGCCACCACATCCGGCCCCAGATAACCTTTAATATGTTTTTATTTTAGTCCGTATTTTACACCAAGGCCTTCTGATTAGGTAAAGTTCAATAGGTTAAAAATTAATCTTATGGTTATTAGTGCAGCCAACTTTATTTAGACCATAAATTTTCACAGGCTTAGCACTATGCCCAGAAATTTATCTCTAAATAAACTTTCGTTTGCTTTTTAAATTTGTTTTTATTTTATGCCATGCCATCTTCGTTTTAAAAATAATTAAAATATTGAAAGTTTTTATTTTAAAATAGTTTCAAATTTGTAGAAAAGTTGTGGCCAGGCACAGTGGCTCAAGCCTGTAATTCCAGCACCTTGGGAGGTGAAGCCAGGAGAATCACTTGAGCCCAGGAGTTTGAGATCAGACTGAGCAGCATAGAGAGAGAGACCCTGTCTCTAAAAAATATTCTTTTTTCTTAATTAGCCAGGCATGGTGGTGCACACCTGTAGTCCCAGCTACTTGGGAAGCTGAGGTGGGAGGATTGCTTGAGCCCAGGAGCTCAAGGCTGCAATAAGTTGTGATTGCACCACTGCACTCCAGCCTGGGTGACAGAGCAAGACTCTGTCCCAAAATGGAAAGAAAGAAAGAAAAGTTGCAAAAAATAAAAATGGTGTCAAGAACATTCAATGTAGGCAGAGCTGGTGGTTCACACCTATAATCCAAGCACTTTGGGAAGCTAAGGTGAGAGGATCGCTTGAGGCCAGGAGTTCAAGACCAACCTAGGCAACATAGCAAGACCTTGTCTCAAAAAAAAAAAAAAAAATCCTTAATTTAGATTAACCTAGTTCATTTTACTTCATTTGCTCCTTCATGTTCTTTCTCTCCCTCTGTTAAGCAGAATACCATACACCAGTGTCAATCACTGAGAGAGAAACATCACACACTGATTACCAATCCCAAGGGAGGGCTCTAAACACCTCGTTAATTTCTGCTAAGATTCCTGCATTTGCTAGGAGATTTTGCACAAACCCAGCTGTCCGAGTATAAGTCCAGGGAGATAGAACACTTACACAAGTAAGGCAAAGCAACTTTATTACTCCCAGAAAGGCGGCAAAAGCCAACAGAAGCCTAGGATCCACGGTGAGCTGGTCCCCAAGCCTCAAGAAAGGTGCATAGGACAGAGGAAGTCTCATCTGCACGAGCTCCACTTCACACTGCAGCTGAGGGACTCAGAAAGCACACCACCCCCCAACTCTGGGTTTTATACTCTGGCCAGGACTTGACTTAACTGATCACAAGTGTTGCAGGACATCTGTTCTAGGAGGATCGTGGAGAGAGCCTGGGTTGTTCCTCTTTATCTCAGGATGTTGCAATCTTGGTACATTCTGCCTGGGAACCGCAAGCAAGAAGGGGAGAGCTGGGTTGACCAAGGTTCTTTGGGGACTTGTTCTCTGTTTCTCTCTCTCTCTCATTCTTTTCTCCTTCTCGCTCTCTCATTCTTTCTCTCTCTCTCTGTGTGTGTGTGTGTGTGTGTGTGTGTGTGTGTGTCACTAACAATGTACTCTTACATTTTTTTTGGAGACAAGGTCTTGCTCTGTCACCCAGGCTGGAGTGCAGTGGCGCAATCTTGGCTCACTACAACCTCTGTCTCCCAGGTTCAAGTGATTCTCCTGCCTCAGCCTCCGAGTAGCTGGGGTTACAGGCATGCGCCACCACTCCCAGCTAATTTTTGTATTTTTAGTAGAGACGGGGTTACACCATGTTGGCAAGGCTGGTCTCAAACTCCTGACCTCAGGTGATTCACCCACCTCAGCCTCCCAAAGTGCTGGGATTACAGGTGTGAGTCACTTCGCCCGGCCTCTTACATAATTTGTCAACTTCTGTAATGTTAACATTAATACAATACTTTAATCTGCTATTTGTGTTCCAATTTTGTCAACTGACTGCATAATTTCCTTTGTAGCATTTTTCTCCTTCAGTATAAGATCTAGGGTTGGCCAGGCGTGGTGGCTCATGTCTGTAATCCCAGCACTTTGGGAGGTCAAGGCGTGTGGATCACCTGAGGTCAGGAGTTCGAGACCAGCCTGGCCAACACGGTGAAACCCCGTCTCTATGACAAATACAAAAATGAGCTGGGCATGGTGGTGGACATCTGTAATCCCAGCTACATGGGAGGCTGAGGCAGGAGACTCGCTTGAACCCAGGAGGCGGAGGTTGCAGTGAGCTGATATCGAGCCATTGCACTCCAGCCTAGACAACGACAGCGAAACTCCATCTCAAAAACAAAAAAAAGATCCAGGGTCAGGTATTTTATTTAATTTACATGTCTCTTTGGCCTCCTTTAATCTGAAACATTTCCATATCTTTTCTTTGTTTTTTATTATATTGACATTTTTGAAGATACAGTTCTCCTGCCTATAAAAAAAAAAAAAAAGGAAAAAAAAAAAGGTTTATGAGCCAGAGCAGTGGATGTGCCTGTAGTCCCAGTACTTGGGAGGCTGCAGTGAGAGGATTACTAGAGCTGAGGAGTTGGTGACCAGCCTCGGCAACATAGTGAGACCCCATCCCTAAAAAAAAAGTATTTTGAGAAACTGTTTTGCAAAGTAGTATAACATAGTTATACCTTTTTTTTTGAGACGGAGTCTCACTCTGTCGCCAGGGTGGAGTGCAGTGGTGCGATCTCGGCTCACTGCAACCTCCACCTCCCAGGTTCAAGTGATTCTCCAGCCTCAGCCTCTCTAGTAGATGGGACTCGGAGAGATAATTTTTGTATTTTTGTAATTTTTGTATTTTTAGTAGAGATGGGGTTTCACCATGTTGGCCAGGACGGTCTTGATCTCTTGACCTCGTGATCCACCTGCCTCGGACTCAAAGTGCTGGGATTACAGGCAGGAGCCACCATGCCTGGCCAGTTATACTATTTTACATTCCTTCTAGCAGTGACTAACAGTGTACGAGAGTTCCAGTTCTGGCTGGGCACAGTGGCTTATGCCTGTAATCCCAACACTTTAGGAGGCTGAGTCGGGCAGATCACCTGAGGTCAGGAGTTCAAGACCAGCCTGGCCAACATGGTGAAACCCTGTCTCTACTAAAAATACAAAACTTAGCCGGCAGGTTAGTGGGCACCTGTAATCTCAGCTACTTGGGGAGACTGAGGTGAAAGAATTGCTTGAACCCGGGAGGCGGAGCTTGCAGTGAGCCGAGATTGCACCACTACACTCCAGCCTGGGTGACAGCAAGACTCTGTCTCAAAAAAAAAGAAATGTATTTCAAGAAACTGCTAACCTCTTTTGCAAAGTAGTATAGCATAGTTATACCTTTTTTTTTTTTTTTTTGAGATGGAGTCTCACTCTGTCGCCCAGGCTGTAGTGCAGTGGCGTGATCTCGGCTCACTGCAACCTCTGCCCCCTGGGTTCAAGCGATTCTCCTGCCTCAACTTCCCGAGTAGCTGGGACTACAGGCGCGCGCCACCATGCCCAGATAATTTTGTATTTTTAGTAGAGACAGGGTTTCACCATGTTGGCCAGGATGGTCTCGATCTCTTGACCTCGTGATCTACCCGCCTCGCCCTCAAAGTGCTGGGATTACAGGCGGGAGCCACAGCACCTGGCCAGTTATACCATTTTATATTCCCTCTAGCAGTGACTAACAGCGTACAAGAGTTCCAGTTCCGGCCGGGCGCAGTGGCTCACACCTGTAATCCCAGCACTTTGGGAGGCCAAGGCGGGTGGATCACCTGAGGTCAGGAGTTCAAGACCAGCCTGGCCAACATGGTGAAACCCTGTCTCTACTAAAAATACAAAAATTAGCCGGGCTGGTTGATGGGCACCTGTAATCTCAGCTACTTGGGGAGACTGAGGTGAGAGAATCACCTGAACCCAGGAGGCAGAGGTTGCAGTGAGCAGAGATCATGCCACTGTACTCCAGCCTGGGAGACAGAATGAGACTCCGTCTCAAAAACAAACAAACAAACCAACCAACCACAGGAGTTCCAGTTCCTCCACATCCTCACCAATACTTGGTAGTGTCAGTCTTTTCAATCTAGCCATTCTAATAAGGGGTAATGGTATCTCATTATAGTTTTCTGCTATATTTGCATTTCCCTAATGACTACTAATATTGAACACATTTTCATATGCTTGTCATTCTTATATCTTTGATGAAATATCTGTTCAGATCTTTGTTGCCCCTTTCTTTACTGAGTTGTTTATTATCTATTATAATGTTGAGTTTATTCTGTATACAAATCCTTTATCTGTAATATGTTTTGCAAACATTTTATCCCAGTCTGTGGCTTGTCTTTTCATTCTCTTAACACTGTCCTTTGAAGAGCGGAAGGTTGTTTTGTTGTGTTCCTGAGACAGGGTCTTGCTCTGTCACCCTAGTTACAGTGCAGTAGCTCAATCACGACTCACTGCAACCTCTGCCTCCCAGCCTCAAGCGATCCTTCCACCTCTGTCTCCCAGGTAGCTGGGACTAGAGATACATGACACTATGACCAGCTAATTTTTAAATTTTTTGTAGAGACAAGGTCTCATTATGTTTCCCAGGCTAGTCAGAGGCAGAAGATTTTAAGCTACGGTAAAAGAAAGTGGATCAGTGGTTACCTGGGGCTTCGGGAGTTATGGCCAGGATTGGCTGCAGATGGACAGGCGGGATCTTTTCCAGGTGATTTAAGTGTTCCAAAACTGGATTGTGGTGATGGTTGCACAGCCCTGTAGATTTACTAAGAATCCCCCAAGGCAGGTGCATCGCTTGAGCCCAGCAGTTTGAGACAGTCTAGGTAAGTAAATGGTGAAACCCCGTCTCTACAAAGAAATTTAAAATTATCCAGGCATGATGGCATACACCTGTAGTTCCAGCTGACTCGGGAGGCTACAGCGAGAGGATTGCTTGAGGCTTCAGTCCAGGAGGTGGAGGCTGCAGTGAGCTATAGTCACACCACTGCATTCTAGCCTGGGCAACAGAGTGAGACCCCGCCTCAAGAAGAGAAGAGACGAGGGGAGGGGAGGGGAAAGGGGGAAGGAGGAGGGGATGGGGAGGGGGAGGGGGAGGGAGAGGGAAGGGAAGAGAGGAGGGAAGGGAAGGGAGGAGGGAAGGGGGAAGGGAAGGAAAAAGGGAAGGGAAGGGAAGGGGGAAGAGAAGGGGGAAGGGAAGGGGGAAAAATATATTCCATTCTCAGAAAAAAATTAAATCATTCTTTCCAGCAGCATATCCAATTGGGTAGAAAAACATTATTTTTAAAAATGAGGCGGGGCGTGGTGGCTCACACCTACAATCCCAGCACTTTGGGAGGCCGAGGTGGGCAGATTACTTGAGACCAGGAGTTCAAGACCAGCCTGGCCAATATGGTGAGACCCCATCTCTACTAAAAATAAAAATAAATAGCAGGATGTGGTGGCGTGCACCTGTAATCCCAGCTACTTGGAAGACTGAGGCATGAGAATCTCTTGAACACGTGAGGTGGAAGTTGCAGTGAGCCGAGATTGTGCCACTGCACTCCAGCCTGGGCCCTGTCTCAGAAAAAATTAAATTAATTTTTTTAAAAAATGAGGCTGAGTATGATGGCTCACACCTGTAATCCCGGCACTTTGGGAGGCCAACATGAGATGATTCCTTGAGGTCAGGAGTTTGAGACCAGCCTGGCCAACATAATGAGAACCTGCCTCAACAAAATAAATAAAATAAGCTGAGGCCGGGTGCAGCGGCTCATGCCTGTAATCCCAGTACTTTGGGAAGCCAAGGCAGGCGGATCATCTGAGATCAGGAGTTCGAGACCAGCTTGGCCAACATGGTGAAACCCCGTCTCCACTAAAAATACAAAAATTAGCTGGGTGTGGTGGCAGGCACCTGTAATCCCAGCTACTTGGGAGGCTGAGGCTGGAGAATCACCTGAACCCGGGAGGTGGAGGTTGCAGTGAGCAGAGATTGTGCCACTGCACTCCAGCCTGGGTGATAGAGTGAGACTCTGTCTCAAAAAATAATAATAAATAAATAAGTTTAGTGGCCAAGTTTGGAGGCTTATATCTGTAATCCCAGCACTTTGGGAGGCCAAGATGAGAGGACTGGGTTTGGGATCAGCCTGGGCAACATAGCGAGACAGCGTCTCTAAAAAAAAAAAAAAAAATCTAATTAGTGGGCATGGTGGTGCACACCTGTAGTCCCAGCTACTCTGAAGGCTAAAGTGGGAGGATTACTTGAGCCCCGGAGACACAGCCTGCAGTGAGTGATGATCGCACCACTGAATGATTGTGCCACTGAACCCGGGAGGCAGAGGTTTCAGTGAGCCTGGGCAACAGAGTGAGACCCCATCTCAAAAAAAAAAAAAAAAGGAAGGAAATTCTGACATGCTACAACATGGATGAACCCCAGCAACATTATGCTAAGTGAAATAAACCAGTCACAAAAAAAAAAAAAACAAATATTGTACGATTCCACTTGTATGAGGTATCTAAAGTAGTCAAACTGAGAAACAGAAAGTGGAATAGTGGTTACCGGGGACTGGGGGGACGTGGACATGAGAAGTTGTTTAATGGGTAGAGTTTTGGAGATCTGTTCCACCGTAATATGAGTACTTAGCACTACTGAACTGGACAATTAAAAATCGTTAAGATGGTAAATGTTATGATACGTGTTTTTACAAGAATTACATTTTTCTCTAAAAAAAGATATTTTAAAAAAGATATTAAAGCCTTTTAGGTATCAGATACTTCACTCACTGCAGAGTAAAATATGATGATGAACCAAATATGCCCAGACCTTGTTCTCTTATGGCTTAACTAAACAACTGTAAGTACTGTAAACAATTATAAGCATGCAAAGCATTTTGAAGGGACACATAAGTTTATCTTGGTAACTGTCCACATCCTAGCTCCAAGTTGGATGATAGGTTTACAGATGCACATTATATTGTTTGTAAATAATATAAAACAAAGGAAGGATACGCATGAAATAAAAATGGGGTGTGTGCATTATTTAAGACTTTTTCAAAAAAGTAAGTCAGGCGTGGTGGCTCACGCCTGTAATCCCAGCACTTTGGGAGGCTGAGGTGGGCGGATCACCTGAGGTCAAGAGTTCAAGACCAGCTTGGACAACATGGTGAAACCCTGTCTCTACTAAAAATACAAAAATTAGCCAGGCACGGTGGCATGTGCCTCCCAGCTGCTCGGGAGGCTGAGGCAGGAGAATTGCTTGAACCCAGGAGGCAGGGGTTGTTGCAGTGAGCTGAGATTGCACCACTGCACTCTAGCCTAGGCAGCAGGGCAAGACTCCATCTCAAAAACAAAACAAAAAAGTAGTATGGAATCCTATTAAATACAGAAGGCCCTGATCTAGTGTGGAGATTGAGCATGCAAGGGTTAATAAGGGATTTCATATACTTCATTCTTTTCATCTCACTCCCATGGAAAAAATAGGCTAGACTGATTAATAGGTCTGTGTCAGAAAATTTCCAAAGAAAAATGCAACCTGTGATCTCCTTGCCTCCCCTACAGCCCCACGAGTGATACACTGAAGAGACAATTCTCCTCTTTTCTTTATAGGTTGGCTCAGAGATGAGAGAACACCCTGGAATGTTCCAAATTAAGTTTCACCAAACATTTTGAAAGTATTCAAAATAAACACACAAGTAAAATAGACTAACCTACAAGTCTAAGATTTCTCATTCCATTTAGAGCTATTAATGGAAAGAATAGCTTCGCTGGCCCAGGCAACATAACAGGCACATTTTGATAATGAGAGAGTCCTTTTTGGATCAAACCTAAATTTATGGTACTTCACACACAGTTCAGGGTGGTGAGCTGACCACATGGCAGAGTGCCATGGAAAAAGCATTTTGCAGCATGCAAATATGATCAATAAAACCAACAAGAAGATGATGCAAAATCCTGTCATAATAAAGACCTTGGCTGGGCCCGGAAGCCCATGCCTGTAATCCCAGGGCTTTGGGAGGCCAAGGTAGGAGGATCTCTTGAGCCCAGGAGTTTGAAATTACAGTGACTATGATCATACCACTGCATTTCAGCCTGAGTGATAGAGTAAGTCTCAAAAACAAAAAAAGAAAAATGTAAAAGTAGCATTTAGATGACATTTTTTTCTGCTTTTAGTTATTATCCTGGCCAACACTCCAAACCACAGACGTAGGGCAACATCTAATCAAACTTAAGGCAGCTTCCTCCTGCAGGCTTAAGAAGGGATCGCCCCTCAGGCTATGTCAGATACACATGTCTGTACCATTGCCTCTGCTTTTATAGCTCACCCGAGACAGGGAAACCTTTAGCTTGTTCATGTGATTTCAAGAGTCAGGCAGAACAAGTGCCCCTTAATATTTGAGTAGGTTTTGGGGGGTTTCACTCATGTCTTGAATATTAAATGGCTGCCCCTTAGAGGGAGTGATTATCCTTTGAAGCCACAAAAGCTGAGCCATATGGGAGAGAAGCAAGGGGCCTTTCCTTTCCATATTTGGAAAACCAGGCCTCATTTGTGATTAGGAGAGAACAATGTGGCCAATTTATGGCTGGCTTAGCGTTCTTTTTTTTTTTTTTTTTTTTTTTTTTTGAGACGGAGTCTCACTCTGTCGCCCAGGCTGGAGTGCAGTCGTGCGATCTCGGCTCACTGCAAGCTCCGCTTCCCGGGTTCACGCCATTCTCCTGCCTCAGCCTCCTGAGTAGCTGGGACTACAGGCACCCACCACCACGCCTGACTAATTTTTTGTATTTTTAGTAGAGACGGGGTTTCACCGTGCTAGCCAGGATGGTCTCGATCTCCTGACCTCGTGATCCACCCGCCTCAGGCTCCCAAAGTGCTGGGATTACAGGCATGAGCCACCGCGCCCCTCTGTGTTCTTTTTAAAATAACAATCAGCACTGTGGACTGTTAGAGGGATACATGTAACAACAGAAATCCAATCATCGTATCTAATGACAATTAATTACACAGTCATGTATCCATAAAGTTTGGAAACAGGCTAGAAACATATGCTGCACGGTGAGCTATATGTGTATATTGTGTTTGGGTGTCACTGGCCAGCTCATCCATCATAGTGATGATAGACAAGCTGTGTCAAGCCCTGTGTTTTTGCTCTCATTTGCATCCTTTGCTTCTCATCCTTCTGCAGCAGCCTGGATATCCAATACAGTGATGAGCGCTGAGCATTCACATGTTCTGACCATCACCTCCCTTCATACCTTCTCCTTGGCTCACAGGCTTGGGTCACACCTACCCCTATTTATCTTCTGTCTTCATCACGTGGACAAACCAGCTCAGACCCTGGGCTTCCTGTGAAACAGTGTGGTCCAGCACGGCAGTGTAGGATCCAGAGCTCTTCCCATTTCTTCCTTTCCCTTCCACTCTCTTCCGTTGGCTTCGTTTCTGCCCTGCCACTCACTGAAACTGCTTCATCAGGACGATGGGTGACATCCCTAGTTGCCAGGTGTAGGCATTTTATGTTCCCCATTTGACCCATCCACACGCCTGAGGTTTCAGCTCTCGCCCGAACATCTCTTTTCTTTCAAATATTTCCTTCCTCCTAAGCTCCAGGCCTGTAGCTGCAACTGCCTACCGGACCCGGATGTTTCCCAAAATGTAATGCATCAACACCAGACCTACCAGCTTCCTCTCAAACTCTCTGCATCCCTGGCAGGGCAAATGGCTCCCCATCCACACAGCCTGGCGGATACTGCTGAATACCAGGCCACATCAACTCTTCTCCTTGTCCTTTGTGACACAGCCCTCATTTTGTTCAGGTTTCCACTGTCTCCACTCCTGGCCCAACTCCAGGGGTGGGCCTGATTTGGCCAAAGGGTATCCGAGTCCCCCTGACTGTGACTACATTCTAAGCAGTAAAAAAAGCCAATCGATTGACACTCTGAGAAAAGAGACATTATTTGTCTGGATGCTGTAATCTGGATATGACACCTAGAATTTCCATTTCAGACAGAGAAAGAAGCCAACTCAGAAAGAGGCACAACAAAAGAGGAAAAAAAGAAACTGGGACCGGGTGTGGTGGCTCACACCTGTAATCCCAGCACTTTGGGAGGCTGAGGTGGGTGGATCACCTAAGGTCAGGAGTTTGAGACCAGCCTGGCCAACATGGTGAAACCCCATCTCTACTAAAAATACAAAAATTAGCCAAGTGTGGTGGCGGCCGCCTGTAATCCCAGCTACTTGGGAGGCTGAGGCAGGAGAGTCACTTGAATCTAGGAGGCGGAGGTTGCAGTGAGCCAAGATAGCGCCACTGCACTCCAGCCTGGGCGACAAAACTGAACCTCCGTCTCAAAAAAGAAAAAAAAATAACTTGGGACTGTGATAACCCATTAAGCTGCTGCATCTATGACCCAGGGCAAGCCTATTATGAATCCCACATCCATCTTCTATTGTTGGAGATGATCTCCTTTCTCGTGGTTGATGCTAATTTGGGTTCTATTGCTCACAGCCAAAAGTCTCTGTGCTCTGTCTCACATTAGATTCACTGAAGAGTCCTGTCAGTCCCCACCAAAATATATCCCCAATTCACCACCACCACCACTGATCCCCATCCCTACAGCCAAGATCCGAGTCATTCATTGCCTAAGTGAATTTACTATGTACCCCTGGTCTCCTCTGTCTCAAGATAACCCGATCCTACATCTCAACCTCTCAGGCTAAACTCTGCGTTTTCTTCCTTCAAGGCATGTCAAAGTATCCTGTTTACTGGTTTATTGTCTGTCTTCTCAAGCTAGAGCACAAGTTCTATGAGGACAGGAAGCTTGACTCTTTTTTAGGGGGGACAGGATCTCTCTCTGTCACCCAGGCTGGAGTGCAGTGGCACAATCTCAGCTCACTGCAACCTCTGCCTTTCAGGTTCAAGTGATTCTCCAGCCTCAGCCACCTGAGTAGCCGTGATTACAAGCACGTACCACTATGCCCAGCTAATTTTGTTCTGCTACTTTTTGTAGAGACAGGGGTCTCCCTGTGTTGCTCAGATTGGTCTTGAACTCTTGGGCTCAAGCAATCCTCCTGCCTTGGCCTCCCAAAGTGCTAGGATTACAGGCAGGAGCCACTGCACCCTGCCAACTCTTCTTTTTAAACCACTTTATTCAGGTATGATTAACATATCAAAACCATACATATTGAATGTAAACATCTGGATGAGATTAGGGATAAGTATACACTTGGGAAACCATTATCACCATCATGGCCATAAACATACTCATCCCCTCGCAGTTTCACTGCACCTCCTTTATTATGATCTCTGCTATTTTTGTGACAAAAACACTTAACATATTAAGATCCACTCTCTTAGCAAACTTTTAGTATACAATACTTTTTTAAAAAGAGATAGGGGTTTCCTTACGTGGCCCAGGCTGGTTTTCTCAAAGTCTTGAACTCAAGTAATCCTCCCCGCTTCAGCCTTTCCCCATTGCGTGTCCTTGTCAAAAATTAGTTGTCAGCTGGGCACAGTGGCTCACACCTGTAATCCCAGAATTTTGAGAGGCCAAGGTGGGTGGATCACCTGAGATCAGGAGTTTGAGACCAGCCTGACCAATATGGTGAAACCCCATCTCTACTAAAAATACAAAAATTAGCCGGGCGTGGTTGCGTGCGCCTGTAGTCCCAGCTACTTGGGAGGCTGAGGCAGGAGAATTCCTTGAACCCAGGAGGCAGAGGTTGCAGTGAGCAGAGATAGCGCCAATGCACTCCAGTCTGGGCGACAGAGCGAGAATCCCTCTATTAAAAATGGAAAATCATTTGTCCGTGAGAGGCTGAGGCAGGACGATGGCTTGAGCCCAGGAGTTTGAGACTAGGCTGGGCGACATAGTGAGGCCCTGTTTCCACAAAAAAATTTAAAAATTAGCCAGACATAGGGATATGCACCTATAGTCCAGCTCCTCAGGAGGCTGAAAGGAGAGAATTATTTGAGCCCAGGAGGTTGGAGGCTACAGTAAGCCATGATCACGTCACTGCACTCCAGCCTGGACAACAGAGAGAGACCCTGTCTCAAAAAAAAGAAAGGAAAGAAGGAAGTTACCAGAGGAGGAATGTGTCCATCCTAGGTACAATACTTATTTATAGATAGGATTAAAAAAAGATCATGGGGAGATGTGCTCTGCTACAAGGATTTGTGATAAATGATTAATTTTCCTAATTACTACATTTTGCAAGAATTGATATTATTATCTTTAAAGCAAAATTAGGAACGCTTCTGTTCTCAAGATATTGGGATATCAGGACATTCCTAAGTCTGGGTCACTTTAGTAAACATTATCAATCTGTTCCTTTAACCGTAAACATCTAGAGGCTAGAAATACCTGACTTTCTGGGAATGCAGCTCAGCATGTCCCAGCCTCATTTTACACAGCCCTCAAGATGGAGTCGCTCTGGTTCAAACGCCTCTGACATATTTCTCCCCTCCCTTTACAAGAGGACCCTTAACCCTAAAGTTTGCAGAGGGACAAAGATCTGTCTTCTGTAACTCCTTCAGGCTGAATAGGGGTGACGATATTCCTGCCTAATTATTGGGTCTCTTGCATTCAGGGTAGAGAGGAGCTCAGTCAGAAAGCATCAGTATGATGAGGGGTGTTCATAACTCTGAGTTCCAACAAAAGGTCATATCTGGAAGCTTAATAAGGGTCCAATTTAAGTAAGCTTGTCTTGCATTCCTACACGAAGAATATAACCGCAATATATTCCACAATAGCAAAGCAAAATAAGTAAAATAATTCCAAGTAAACTAAACAGAAAGGCCTTCTAAGAACTGGGCAGTTGTTGGAACTAAGCCGATATAGGGTCGACTGATAGCGCATCAATGGCAGAGATATGAGTGTCTAAAGCTTTCATAGCCTGAGTAACGTTATGTGAATAGTCTGGAACATACACACAACATTTAGTTTTGATCAAAACACAAGTTCCTCCTGGGGCGGCTGTTAAAATGTCCAAAGCCATACGGTTTTGTAAGGGTACCTGCCTAATCTGAGAAGTTTCCTCAGGATGGTAAGGGCATGGCAGCATGGCATGTATTACTGAAAGCTGCAACCGTGTGCTCGGCTAAGGCTTCAGCTTGTAATTTGGTAGCTGCCTGTGAGGAAAACATAGCCATGGGGTAGAACCACCAAGATGCTTGTTTTTGTCGCCTATGGCGAGCCTTTACAATTTCCCAGTTAGATGGGAGAGAGTCCAATTTGGTGAGGATACATCCCGGGAGATAACGGTGACCACACATACACCTTCCGGTCCAGTTAGAAGGTAAGTACGGCCAGCCATGAGTTCTGCAAGCCCATAACCATCCCCAAGGAGAAGGGTAGGCATCCATTTTTGGCAAATTATGTTGCCATACCATCCACATCTGGTCTGCTAATAAAAGGGTCTCACTACATTGTTGAGGTGGCAAAAATCCCATATCACAGGTTCTAGTCTGGTGGTGACTATTATTGTGCCTTTCAAAACATAGAGGTGCTTCACCTGATACCTGTATGCCTCAGCCTCCCAAGTAGCTGGAATCACAGGCATGCACAAGCATGCCTGGCTAATTTTTGTGTTTTTAGTAGAGATGGTGTTTCACTGTGTTGGCCAGGCTGGTCTGAAACTCCTGACCTCAAGTCATCTGTCAGCCTCAGCCTCCCAAAGTGCTGGGATTACAGCTGTCTTCTGCCCAAGTCCAATCTAAAGTTGAGGTGGAATTTAGTTGTTTCCTAATTAGATTAAAAATGTGCTGGCCAGGCACAGTGGCTCATGCCTGTAATCCCAGCACTTTGGGAGGCCAAGCAGGGCAGATCACTTGAGGTCATGAGCTCAAGACCAGCCTGGCCAACATGGCGAAACCCTGTTTCTACTAAAAAAAAAAATAAAAATAAAAATAAAAAAAAGACAAAATTAGCCGGGCATGGTAGCAGGTGCCTGTAATCCCAGCTACTCCAGAGGCTGAGGCAGGAGAATCGCTTAGAACCCGGGAGGCAGAGATTGCAGTAAGCCGGGGTCACACCACTGCATTCTAGCCTGGGCAACAGAGAGATACTCTGTCTCAAACAAAAACAAACAAAAAAAAGAAGTGCCTTTTGCCTCCCGCCATGATTCTGAGGCCTCCCCAGCCACATAGAACTGTAAGTCCAATTAAACCTGTTTTTCTACCCAGTCTCAGGTATGTCTTTATCAGCAGCGTGAAAATGGACTAATACAACTCCCTACCGCACGTGGCACAACCAACTCTTCAAAAGTTGAATGAATTAGGCTACAGAGTTTTGCCTCATCCGCCATATTCACCTGACCTCCCGCCAATAGACTACCACTCCTTCAAGCATCTCGACAACTTTTTGCATGAAAAACACTTCCACAACCAGCAAAATGCAGAAAATGCTTTCCAAGAGTTCACCGAATCCCAAAGCATGGATTTTTTACACCAAAGGAATGACAAACTTGTTTCTCATTGGCAAAAATGTGTTGATTGTAATGGTTCCTATTTTGATTAACAAAGATGTGTTTGAGCCTAGTTATAATTATTTAAAATTCATGGTCTGAAACCGCAATTACTTTTCCACCAGCTTAGATTCTATTTGCATTTATGTTTATCAGGGATATTGGCCTGTAATGTTCTTTTCTTACAGTGTCCACGGCTGGCTTTGGTATTAAGGCAATGATGGGCTCATAAAATGAGTTTAGAAACGCTCCTTTTTTTTCAGTTTTTTGGAAGACTTTGAGAAGGATTGGCATTAATTCTTCATTAAATGTCTGGTAAAATTGACCAGTGAAGCAATCTGATCATGGGCTTTTCTTCATTGGGAGATTTTGATTACTGATTCAATCTCCTTACCCATATTGATCCGTTTAAATTTTTTCTTTCTTCATGGTTCAGTCTTGGTAGGATGTACGTTTCTAGGAATCTATTCATTTCTTCTAGGTTATGCAAATTGTTGGCATGTAATTATTAATAGTAGTATCTTATGAGCCTTTGTATTTCTGTGGTATCTGCTGTAATGTCTCTTCTTTCTTTTATAATTTTATCTATTTGCGTGTTCTTTTATCCTTAGGCTAGCTAAAGGTTTGCCAATCTTGTTTATCTTTTTAAAAATCCAACTATTACTATCATTGATTTTGTTTTTTCTTTAGACGGAGTCTCACTCTGTCCTCCAGGCTGGAGTGCAGTGGCACGATCTCAGCTCACTGCAACCTCTGCCTCCCAGGTTCAAGCGATTCTCCTGCCTCAGCCTCCCGAGTAGCTGGGACTATAGCTGCGCGCCACCATGCCCAGCTAATTCTTGTATTTTTAGTAAAGACGGCGTTTCACCATGTTGGCCAGGATGGTCTCAATCTCCTGATATCGTCATCCACCCGCCTCGGCCTCCCAGAGTGCTGGGATTACAGGAGTGAGCCACTGCGCCTGGCCATATCATTGATCTTCTGTATTGTTTTTCTATTCTCTATTTCATTTATTTCAGCTCTCATCTTTATTATTTCCTTCATTCTGCTAACCTTAGTTTTTGTTTTTCCTTTTTTAGTTCCTTGAGGTGAATATTAAGATGTTTGAGATCTCTTTTTTTTCTTTTTTTTTGAGATGAAGTCTCGCTCTATCACCCAGGCTGGAGTTCAGTGGTGCAATCTCGGCTCACTGCAAGCTCTGCCTCCCGGGTTCACGCCATTCTCCTGCCTCAGCCTACCGAGTAGCTGGGACTTACAGGCGCCCACCACCATGCCTGGCTAATTTTTTTTTTTTTTTTAGTAGAGACGGGGTTTCACTGTGTTAGCCAGGATGGTCTCAATCTCCTGACCTCGTGATCTGCCTGCCTGGGCCTCCCAAAGTGCTGGGATTACAGGCGTGAGCCACCGTGCCTGACCTCTTTTTTTCTTAATGTAGGCGTTTAGTGCAATAAATGTCCCTCTTTGAACAGCTTTTACTGCATCCCGTAAGTTTTGGTATGTTGTGTTTCCATTTTAATTTGTCTCAAGATTTTTTTTCTTATTTGATTTCTTCTTTGATCTATTGGTTGTTTAGGAGTGTGCTATTTAACTTCCACATATTTGTGAGTTTTTCAATTTTCCTCCTATTATTGATTTCCAGTTTCATAGTATTGTGGTGAGAAAAAAGATATTTGATATAATTTCAATCTTCAGGGCTGTGTGTGGTGGCTTATGCCTGTAATCTCAGCACTTTCAGAGGCCAAAGCGGGCAGATCACTTGAGGTCAGGAGATGGAGACCAGCCTGGACAACATGGTGAAATCCTGTCTCTACTAAAAAATACAAAAATTAGCCAGGCATGGTGGTACATGCCTGTAATCCCAGCCTCCCTGGAAGGCTGAGACAGGAGAATCACTTGAACTCGGGAGGCAGAGATTGCAGTGAGCCGAGATTGTGCCACTGCACTCCAGCATGGGCAGCAGAGCGAGACTCCGTCTCAAAAAATAATAATAATAATTTCAATTTTCTTAAATTTGTTTAAACTTTATAAAAGGAAAGTTTTGTTTCGCTGCCCAATATATGATCTATCCTAGGAAATGTTACATGTGCATTTGAGAAGATGTGTGTTCTGCTGCTGTTAGATGGAATGTTCTGTGTATGTCCGCTCTATTGGTTATAGTGGTTGTTCAAGTCCACTGTTTCTCTTTTTTGTCTAGATTATCTATCCATTGTTGAAAGTGAAGTATTCAAATTTCCCACTATTATTGTATTGTTGTCTATTTCATCCTTCAATTCCATTAATATTTGTTTTATACATTTAGGTGTTCTAATGTAGGGTGCATACATATTTACAATTCTTATATTCTCTTGATCATTTGACCCTTCATCACACAATGATCTTTTTTGTCTCTTGTGACATCTTGACTTAAAGTATATTTTTTTGATGGTATAACCACTCCTGCTCTCTTTTGATTACCATTTGCATGGAGTATCTTTTTCTATCCCTTCACTTTCAGCCTATGTCTATCTTTAAATTTTTATTCATTCAGTCATTCTATGTCTTTGTTTTTTGGAGATTAAGTCTCACTATGTTGCCCAGGCTAAAGTGTAGTGGCTATTCTCAGGAACACTTACAGCATACTACAGCCCCAAACTCCTGGCCTCAAGGGATTCTCCTGCCTCAGCCTTCTAAGCAGCTGACAGCTGAGATTACAGGCACACACCACTATGCCTGGCTCACTCTATGTCTTTTGATTGGAGAAATGAATCAATTTTCATTTAAGGTAATTAGTGATATAGGAGGATTTACCACTACCATCTTGTTCATTGTTTTCTGTTTGGTAGTTCCTTTGTTTTTTTTTTTCCTTCTTTTGAGATGCAGTCTCAGTCTGTCACCCAGGCTGGAGGGTAGTGGCACGATCTCGGCTCACTGCAAACTCTGCCTCCTAGGTTAAAGTGATTCTCCTGCCTCAGCCTCCTGAGTAGCTGGGATCATAGGCATGTGCCACCATGCCTGGCTAATTTTTGTATTTTTAGTAGAAACGGTGTTTCACTGTATTGGCCAGGCTGGTCTTGAACTCCTGACCTCCAGTCATCTGTCAGCCTCAGCCTCCCAAAGTGCTGGGATTACAGGCGTGAGCCACCACGCCTGGCCACCTTTGTTTCTTTCTTCTCTTACTACTTCCTTTTAATGTCATGATTTTTGTGGTGGCATGCTTTGATTATTTTATCTTTGTCTTTTGTGTATCTACTACCAGTTTTTGCTTTGTGATTACCATGAGGCTTACATAAAACATCTTACACTTATAACAGTCAAAGCTGATATTTTCAATTGCATATAAAAGTTCTGGCTGGGCGCAGTGCTCATGCCTGTAATCCCAGCACTTTGGGAGGCCAAGGCGGGTGGATCACGAGGTCAGGAGATCGACACCATGCTGGCTAACATGGTGAAACCCCGTCTCTACTAAAAAAATACAAAAAAAATTAGCCAGGCGTGGTGGTGGGTGCCGGTAGTCCCAGGTACTCAGGAGGCTGAGGCAGGAGAATGGTGTGCACCTGGGAGGCAGAGCTTGCGGTGAGCCAAGATCACGCCACTGCACTTCAGTCTGGGAGACAGAGTGAGACTCCGTCTCAAAAAAAAAAAAAAAAAAAAAGCTCTACACTTTTACTTCTTCCCTCCCACATTTATTTTATTGATATCACAATGTATATCTTTTATACTGTGTAATCACTAACAATTTTTATAGTTATATAATAATACTTTTGTCTTTTTTTATACTAGAATTAAAATTTATATGCCACCATTACAGTATGAATATTCTGAATTTGATTATACTTACCTTTACCCGTGAGTTTTATACCTTCATATGTTTTCATGTTGCTAATTAGCATCCTTTCATTTGAACTTGAACAACTCTGTTTAGCATTTCTTCTAAAGCAGGTCTAGTGGTGATGAACTCCTTCAGCTTTTGTTTGTCTGGGAAGTCTATCTCTGCTTGATTTCTGACAGCTTTGCCAAGTATAGTATTCTTTCCTGGCACTAAGAGTACTTAGTTCTTTCAGCACTTTGAATCCCACTTTCTCCTGGCCTGCAAGATTTCTGCTGAAAAATTTGCTTATAGTTTACAGTGGCTTTCTTGTATGTGATGAGTCACTTTTCTTACGTTGCTTTCAAGATTTTTTTATTTTTTTTTTTGAGACAGAGTCTCATTCTGTTGCCCAGGCTGGAGTGCAGTGGCACAATCTCAGCTCACTGCAACCTTCGCCTCCTAGGTTCAAGCGATTCTTGTGCCTCAGCCTCCTGAGTAGCTGGGATTACAGGCATGCACCACCACACCCAGCTAATTTTTGTATTTTTAGTAGAGACAGGGTTTCACCATTTTGTCCAGGCTAGTCTTGAACTCCTGGCTTCAAATGATCCATCCACCTCAGCCTCCAAAAGTGCTGGGATTACAGGCACAAGCCACTGTGCTCAGTCCAAGATCCTTTGTGTTTGACTTTTGACAAGTTGATTATGTGTCTCAAGAACCTCATTATGCTCAAGTATTTTCAGTATTATAGGCTTCATGGGGATGGATGTTTGTTTTCCTCTCCAGATTTGGGAATTTTTCTGTCATTATTTCCTCAAGTGTAAGTTTTCCATCCCTTTCTCTT
Source organism: Homo sapiens (assembly GCF_000001405.40). Taxonomy (NCBI): domain Eukaryota; kingdom Metazoa; phylum Chordata; class Mammalia; order Primates; family Hominidae; genus Homo; species Homo sapiens. Next base: position 39,352,950 of record NC_000021.9, on the reverse strand, counting down.
TCTGTGCTCCTTCTTGGATTCCCATAACGCACATATTGGCTGCATTGAGTTGTCCCATAAGTTTCATAAACTTTCCTCACTCATTTTCATTCTTCTTTTCACTGAAAATGTTTGAGGTGATAAATGTTATATGTACTTTGTCACAATTTTTAACAATGTTTGTTCCATCTATATGGTGGAATACAATGCAGTAATACAAAAAAAGAATAATTTGTAAAGAACTGATAAAAAACAATCTCTATTGTTAAGTGAAAATGCATGGGTACCAAACAGTGTAAAAATAAAGGAGGAAGAAAAGAACATATATTAATTTGCTTCCACAAAATATCTCAAGAGGGATACCTAAGAAGCAGCAACATTGGTTTCTTCTTAGAAGTAGATAGCCAGGGGGAACAGAAGCAGAAGGCAGACTTCTCTGGAAATTTTTTTGTTCCTTTGGAATTTTTTTTTCCTTTAAGACAGGATTTCACTCTGCCACCCAGGCTTGAGTGCAGTGGACTGCACAATCATAGCTCACTGCAGCCTCGACCTCCTGGGCTCAAGTGATCCTTCCACCACAGCGTTTTGAGTAACTGGAAATGCACGTGTGTGCCACACACCCAGCTAATTTTTTTTTTTTTAATTTTGTAGAGACGGGGTCTTGTGTTGTTGCCCAGAATGGAATCTTTGGAATTTGAATCACAGAAACACATCGTCCAAAACTAAATGAAAATGTAAAAGGTGATATCTATATATAACCTACACATATATGCGGGCATCACAAACTAAAATTCCTCCAGAAGCCCAGTAGGAAATACAAAGGAGTGAAATCAGCAGGTCTGGAACCTTGGCAGCTGGAGAAAGAACACCTCCTTACAAGATACAAGGTCAAGTGCAGTCTGTGGAACGCACGCCCAAAGGACGCCAAGAGAAGTGGAAGAGCTAAATTTGTAAGTGAAAATTTCTGACTCTGACATGTTGAAAAAATACTTCACTATAGGACAGGAGCGATGGCTCACGCCTGTAATCCCAGCACTTTTGGAGGCTGAGGCGGGCAGATCACGAGGTCAGCAGATCGAGACCATCCTGGCTAACACGGTGAAACCCTGTTTCGACTAAAAATACAAAAAATTAGCTGGGCATGGTGGCGGGCGCCTGTAGTCCCAGCTACTTGGGAGGCTGAGGCAGGACAATGGTGTGAACCCAGGAGGCGGAGCTTGCAGTGAGCTGAGACTGCACCACTGCACTCCAGCCTGGGTGACAGAGCGAAACTCCGTCTCAAAAAAACAAAACAAAACAAAAAAAAACTTATATATATCCAGAAATGTATACATAGGTGAAAAGCTCAATTAGTATTCATGAAGTGAACACAGTGCAACCAACATCCAGATCAAGAAATCGAGCATGAATAGCCAGCCCCTCAAATTTTTCCATTGCTCTCTCCTCCAGTCGCTAGCTCCCCACCTCAACCCCAACCAGGAAGCACTAACCTGACTTCTAACAGACTGGATTAGTTTTGCCTGCTTTTGTACGTTACATGAATACAATCACACAGTATACACACTTTTGGATCTGGTATCTTTCTCTCAACATTATGCTAGTAAAATTAACCCACATTGTTGTATGTAGTTGCATATGGGTTATTTTCATTGCTGACGGTCTTCCATTTATTCATCTATTCTTCTGTTGACTGGCGTTTAGGTTGCTCTCTGTTTGGGCTTATAACAAATTTTTCGGCTACAAATATTCTATTTCATGTCTTCTGGTGAAAATATATAAGCATTTTTGTTGTGTACCTTTCTAGGAGTGGAATGACTGAGTCCTGAAAGTGTCTGTTTAGGTTTAAAACATACTGCCAATTGGACATGGTGGCACATGCCTGTAGTTCCAACCACTTGGGAACCTGAGGCAGGAGGATTGCTTGAATCCAGTTCTGGGCTATAGTGTGTTATGCTGATCAGGTCGTTAGCATCATTATGGTGACTTTCCACGGAGCAAAAGACCCACAGGTTTGCCTATGAAGGGGTCAGGTCAGAAACGGAGCAGGTCAAAACCCCCATGCTGATGAGTAGTGGAATCTACTGCCAAATAGTTTTTCATTTGAGTTCTGGCTGCTCCATTTGTTTGTGTTGGCAACTTAAAAAAAACTAGGCCAAATAAAACATCTGTGGACCATCAGTTGTCACCTCTGGCCTAGCGCATCTTCGGTTCTTATGGGAGAAAGTTCTTTATGAGGTAAGTCCAAAAGCATAGAGTTCGCTTGCTTAAGACCTTGCAGTATCCCTCAATCTTTGGATAATGATCGAACTTCATGACGGGCTGCTCTTCTTTTTTTCTGCCTCTTTTCCCTGATCTTTACGTCCATTTTTCGTATCTCCATCCCTGCCACTTTAAAGGTCTTGGTGGGCTGCCACACTCTAGCAAGTCAGCATGCCTTGAAATATGCTGACCCCCCCTGCCGATGGCTTCCCCTTTCTTTACTAGGCCAATTGGGTACTTTCTCTCCCCACTAAATTACTAGACCCAGTGCTTGGGATACAAACCTGGATTCTCTCTACCCCAGGGACTTCACGGTGCCTGCCACAGGGCAGGTGCTCAGTACATGCTTGTGCCACAAACTTGGGTACTCTCTGATGTTGAATTTTTTTAAGGTAATCCATGCAGATAGGAAAGTGAAAAAAAATTACACACGAGAAAAGGGAAATTTTACCCTCAATCTTCCCACTTTTCCCCAGAGGCAACCGCTGGTACCACTTCCTTGTGTATTCTTCCTGAGATATATATGGAATGTATAAGGATATATATTCAATCAATGCTATGGAGAAAAAAAAACAGCCCTCTGGGGGTCCGCGAGTGCTGGAGACGGTCGCGCACGGCTCTCAGGAGCTGCAATCTGAGAGCTGCCCTACTCTGGGCCCAGAAACGACCCTCGTGCACCTGCAGTCCTCCAGGGAAATCTGAAGAAAGTTCCACAGCTTGGATCCCCAGCACTTTGGGAGGCCGAGGCGGGAGGATCGCTTGAGCCCAGGAGTCGGAGACCATGCTGTGCAACATAGTGAAACCCCCTCTCTACAAAAAATACAAAAGTTAGCTGGGCAAAATGGTGCCCTGTGGTCCCAGCTACTCGGGAGGCCGGAGTGGGAGGTTCGCTGGAGCCGAAGGGGTCGAGGCTGCAATGAGCCGTGATCGCACCACTGCACTCCAGCCTGGACGACACAACGAGACCCTGTCTCAAATAAAAGGAAGGAAGGAAGGAAGTTACACAGAAAGGCCGCGTCGGCTCTCCTTCCCACGCCCTCCTGCAGCGCCTGCGCACCAGGGCCCGCTTCACGCAGGCCTGCGAAGCTGGAGCCCCTGGATAGCCTTTCTTGCCGACAGAGGCGGGAGAAATTTGCTACTTCCTGTATACCTTATCCTTCTCCCTTCCCAGTCTAAGATACGAACTATAAATGTTCGAACCCAATTCACCCCGGAGGGGAGGGGCCAGATACCAGTGGCCTGAAGGCGCCCAGGTATCCAGAAGAATTGTGGGTGGGGACCCGCGGTCCCGTGACGTGCGTCCGCCAATCAGCGCGCAGACCGCACTTTGCGGCTCGGCTTCAAACTACCGTGAGGCCGGAGCGCCACTGGGACCCCGCCCCCTTCGCCTGGGTCTGGGGCCCCGCGAGACGGCGGAAAGGGGTGGGGGCGCCCGGGGGGGGGGGGGGGGCCCCCGGAAGGGGGCGGGGTCCGGGATCAATTAAGGGCCCGCCTCACCTATTCCGGGCGCGGGCTGAGTCCCGTAGCCAATGGGCGGGGGTGGGGGGCGGCCCGGCCGGCGGGGAGGGGGAGCCCGCGGCCGGGGACGCGGGGGGAGGAGGAGGCGGGCTCCCAATCCGGTTCCATCCGGTTCTCCCACCGCCCCCGCTGTGGGTCTCAGCAGCTCGGGCGGCGGGAGGAGTGGCAGCGGCAAGGCAGCCCAGTTTCGCGAAGGCTGTCGGCGCGCCGCGGCCCGCAGGCACCCGGCACGCGCCTTCCCCGCAGGCACCCGGCACGCGCCTTCCCCGCCGCCACGATGCCCAAGAGGAAGGTGAGCGGCGGCCGCGGCCCGCACACGCCCCCTGGAGCCGCCGCCGGCGCCCCGCCGGGCCCCGCGAGGCCCAGGCCCCGTTGCACCCACGGTGGCGACGGGCCCGGGAGGCGCTTGGAGACCGGCGGGCGGGCAGGCGAGCGCTCGGCGGCCGCGGGGGCGGGCGTTCTGGAACGTTTGGCGGCCGGGGGAGCTGAGGGGGCTATTCGAACGGGGCGGCGGGAAGCCGTGACGTCACGCGGCCGGGCATTGTTCTCGGGGCCGGGCGGGCCCGCGAGTCCTGGGACTGCGGCCCGCCTCTATTCGTGCGTCTCCGTCTCCGCAGGTCAGCTCCGCCGAAGGCGCCGCCAAGGAAGAGGTGAGTGCGGGCCTTCTGCGGGGGGTGGTGGGTTTCCCGTGAGCCGCTGGCCTGCCTTCTCTTCTCGCTGACTCTCCTTTTTCTTTCTCCAAGCCCAAGAGGAGATCGGCGCGGTTGTCAGCTGTAAGTAAAGCGAGCCCCGTAACCGTTCGTTTTCCGCGGGTCGTCCCGGGTGAGGACGCTCAGTGCTGCTTTTGCCTTTCAGAAACCTCCTGCAAAAGTGGAAGCGAAGCCGAAAAAGGCAGCAGCGAAGGTAAGCCTCGAAACGCGCATTGGGATGCAGCGGGGCCTTAGGCTACACTGCTTCTTAATGCGGGGCTTCCATTTTGATTAGCTATTGGAGCTTTATTTATACTTTAATAATTACGGTAAATAATTTTTCTAGTGGTCGAGGCAAAAATGTAATGGATATATTCATCCTGGTTTATAGAACTATATCACACTAATGCTGCTGCAGATGTTAGGAGACTTAGGACGACAAAAAATATTAAATATTAAGTCTACAAAGGAAATTTATTCTTTGCGTTGCGTACATTGTGGCTGGTGCTTGGCTTTTAATTCGTGCTTGTACTTCCTTTTTTGACAATAAAAGAGTCAAGATAGCACCGAGGCCAGGAGAAAGGGAACGTGTAAGTTTTTATATATACAGTTTCCAAGCCAACTTCGGGAAGCCTTAACCTTTTTACGGGGTGGGGGTGGGGAGGTAAAAAGTTGTGATCTCTGAGAAAATAACCGCCACTACTCTGGAAGTGTTCATCAGCAGTTATACAAAACCGTGATTTTGGCTGCTCCCTAACAAATTCGTGATTGCATGATTCGAATTGCAGGTCTGTAGAATGAAGTTGGCTTTGGGTGTACGTGTGTTTGATAACTTGCAGGGTGGAAAAGCAGAACATGTGTAAAACAAGTATAAGCTTTGTGTTTGGATATAGCATTGAAACCTGTAAAGCTCTACATGTTCTTCGCGGGGTGATTAATTTTTATCCAAAACTTAGGTGAGAGTTTGCTATTTGAAGTCTCAAAAAAAATTTTTGTTAATGCCTTCACCTCTTTCCTAAAAGTGTAGGTAGAAGTTTAGCACTGCAGTCATCAGAAGAGGCAAGATTAATTTCCTTGACATTGAGGAGTTGTTGGATAATTACTAAATTTGTCCTTGTTAAATAAAGGTATAAAACAAAGATGTTTTTTCTTTTTTAATTTAAATTTTTTACAGAGCTGAGTGTAAAAATGTTAACTATGTTTTCTTTAACAGAAAGTTCTGTTTTTGTGATCCTTTTAAAAATAAAGCTTCACGGAAGGTATGAGAATAGTATTTTTCAACTTTAAATTTCTCATTACCAGAAGACCATGTGGTAATTCTCTGTATACAGTTAGAACAGCACGGAAACTTGAAGGCCTAAAAAATTAGCTGACCTTGTTAAAAATGTTGGCGTGAGCAGTATATTATTACCTATCTTTTTTTATTGTGTGTGTGTGTGTGTGTGTGTTTTAAACTAATTGGCTGAAATATCTGCCTGTTTCCCTCTTTACATTTTTCTTGTTTCTTTCCTTATTTATCTTTGTCCATCTTGAGATCTACTGTAAAGTGAATTTTTTAATGAAAACAGTTCCAAGTTTTACTCTCAGTGGGTTTGGGACATCAGATGTAATTGAGAGGCCAACAGGTAAGTCTTCATGTCAGTGTTTGTTGAGGAACGAGCCTATGAGGTCAGTTTTCCCAAAAGGAAAAAGGGCAGAAGGGATTTGTTCATTTTTACATCTCGTTTCTGTAATACACCTTTGACTTCATGGTTGATCAGACTTTGAAGTCTAAACAGAACGTAAGCACTTGGTGTATCGATTATCATACTACACAGTAGACATGTTTTCAAGGCATATCTTGTCACTGTGTGTGCTTCTGACTTGTATCTTTCCCTAGAACTAAATATTTTGAAGGTCCAAACATTATACTTTGGGAAACTTGATTGATTTTTTTTTAATCTAGCTTTTCAGCTGATAATGGTTACACGTGGTATTATTTCAAGTCCAAGATATTATGTATTCTATTTTAACTGTTTCCCAGTTTTGTATTTTTTGTATTGGAATGATTATGAAATTAATGAGAAATCTTTAGAAACAGACTACAAAAGAGTAGTTCTTAAATACAGAAGTGATTGTGAAACTTTGTGATAGCAATGTGTGTAGTAGCAGTTTTGTCTCAAATACATTTATCATTTGTTACTCAAAGGATGTTGAAGTATTAAAAGTCATTATGCTGTCTGTGGAATCCTACTATTAGTACAGAACACCCTGCAGTGATTTTTCCGCCCGTGTTAGCATTGAAGTTGTGAGCTCTACTTGCTTGTCTTTATGGCCCTTTAATTCAAGTAATTGGTCAGTATCCGTATGGGTCTTTTATACCACCCGCTGGGGGCTAAACTAATTTAGCTGCTGCTGTATACTTACTAACAAGGAATAAATGTTAAGCTTTCTTCTCAGTATTGATGGATGGTATCTAAAAGTATTTTTATGTTTCTTTAACATGGCTTAAATTTTGAACTTAATGTATCAAGTTAGTATGGTCATATTAATACCTGTGCTTTTCAGATTCTTCAAACACCTAAATGAAAGTGATAAATTCAAAACTGATCCTTTTAGTTCCTCATTATATGATATGAAGGGATTAACTGTAGCAGGATAGTCAACCTGACCGTACGGCATGGTGCTTTTTTTCAGGTGATTGGTCTTAATGTGAGGGTTAAGGTCTTGTGAGGACAGTATTGTTGAAGTTCACAACAAATTTGGGGATGGGTGGGAATACGGTCGACGAGACTCCTCCGGTATTCAACTTCATGACATTGTCCTGTCATGTGGAACTGTAGGGAATAGTGGATGATGGCGACAGTGGTGAAATATAGCTCGGGCTTTAGGATTTGTCATATGTCTAATGAGGCTTGACATGCAAGTACTATTAAAATCTCCTTAGCATACATTGTTTTCCTGATTACTGGGGGGGACCTTAAGTTGTCTCATGTAATAGGTGTATCAACTGATGTGTGATAGACATTAATATGACAGCTGTTATGGATACAGTCTATACAAAATGAGATCCTTTCATAAGCTTGAAGATTGGGGTTTCACGCTCATGTGTGAGATGTCCCTCTCTCAAACCTTACTATGAAGTCAGCACCACTGGGCACATTACTTGTCTGACATGAAGGGGAAAAAGTAAAACAAAATGTAAATAAGGAGTAAAGCATGTACTTAAAATATATTCTTATTCTATCATAGGATAAATCTTCAGACAAAAAAGTGCAAACAAAAGGGAAAAGGGGAGCAAAGGGAAAACAGGCCGAAGTGGCTAACCAAGAAACTAAAGAAGACTTACCTGCGGAAAACGGGGAAACGAAGACTGAGGAGGTCAGAAGTGTGTGTGTGTGTGTGTGTGTGTGTGTGATTGCTTTGACTCTGAACAGTAGATACTAAATTGTACATTTTTTGTAGCAGATAACAGTATTCATTATAATATTGAACAAAGTTTTGTACGGTATCCCAAAGTGATTGGACAAATGGTTTTCTATGATTTATGTTATTGGAAAGTAAATATGTAAATGGCTTATTTAAGAGCAAGAAATTTTAATATGCTCAATTTCAGATATAATTCAATCTTTGTTTTGTTTTTATATTCTGGATGTTGCTTTTAAATATATTTTTGAAAATTTATTCCCCTTACTTGCATTTTTCCTGGCATTTTTTTCCCACTTTCATTTCTAATGAAAATGTTTTTGTTTGTATTTTTCTTAAAGGTCTAAATAATAACATAGATCAAGTAAATAAAAAGACTAGTGTCATTAATCTTTATTCTTAGAGACAGTGTCTGTTAGCCAGGCTGAATCTTTATTGTTTTAAGCTGTGAGGAAAAGATGTCTTTTTTTTTTTATTAATGAAGCAGTGGGAGTAGAGAAGGAACAAAGAAGTCTGTAACAGGTTTTGATTGATTTGTTGTGAGCACTACTGCACTCCTCTAGCCTGGAAGCTGTTTCTTAAAAAATAACTGAACTGCAAGATTCAGTTAAGCCAGACCTTTATTTTATGTTTGTTATATTAGCTAAGCTAGAAAAGATAAGTAATTTAGTATATTGATTTTTAAATTTTGATATCACTTAAGTATTTGATGTTTATATTTGATATTTATCAAATTCTTAAGTTATAAACTACTTATTCCTAAGTTAAGAAATTTATAATCACAGTTTATTTTTTTAACTTGTACTTCTTGTACTTCTTAATTCCTTTTTTTTTTTTTTTTTTTGAGACGGAATTTCGCTCTTGTTGCCCAAGCTGGAGTGCAGTGGTGGGATCTTGGCTCACTGCATCCTCCACCTCCCGGGTTCAAGCGATTATCCTGCCTCAGCCTCCTGAGCGGCTGGGATTACAGGCGTGCATCCCCACACCCAACTAATTTTTTGTATTTTTAGTAGAAACGGGGTTTCGCCGTGTTAGCCAGGCTGGTTTCAAACTCCTGACCTCAGGTGATCTGTCCGCCTTGGCCTCACAAAGTGCTGGTATTACAGGTGTGAGCCACCGCTCCTGGCCTGTACTACTTAATTCTAACCATACATCAAATACTGTGTGATAATAAGATCACATTGCTAATCTAGTTTTGATTTTAAAGGAAGAACTTGACCTTCTAGTACATGTTATCAAATTACAGTTGGTTTCCCTTGTTTATAGCTGTGTTCTATTAATATAAGGCTGCCACAAGTATGAAACCGTTTTCACATAGGGGAAGTACAGGATTGGGTTCCTACAAACCTCTGATCACAACATTTTCATCAACTGAAAATACGTGACTTTGTTACATGTGTATTTCTGTTTAGACATGCCTTAATGTATGTTAAATTCACATCGAACTCACTACCCAGTAGCACTGTAATTTGTACCTGAACAAAGCCCTCCAACACATACGTTCTCTGTGTGGCACATCACAGCCTTGAATTGAGCAACATTAGATAGCACTTGAACAAGATGCGTGGGGGCCATTTTAAACAACAAAATCATCAGTAAAAAGCACAAAGGTGTAAAATATGTGGCACTAAGTAGACCGGAAAAACAGTTGTTTACGGCATTAGAGCTGAAACAAGAAGACAGAGTGACCTCAGCTTGGAGTGTACATGTGATGCAACTCAACATTTTTTCCTGCTCTGTAGATGCATGCACATGACCATGGAAGGGCTGCAAGTATTGATTTGGGGTGAGGGGGTGGTTAACAAAAGTTTTTTAACAAGAGTAGGTAGGTGACTTTACAAATAACAAAGGTTATTGACTTTTTTAAAGACCTGATAGTTGCATATAAATAAAACGACAACGTGTTAAATGCTAAAGATCTCAATTTCCTTTCTTTTGCAGAGTCCAGCCTCTGATGAAGCAGGAGAGAAAGAAGCCAAGTCTGATTAATAACCATATACCATGTCTTATCAGTGGTCCCTGTCTCCCTTCTTGTACAATCCAGAGGAATATTTTTATCAACTATTTTGTAAATGCAAGTTTTTTAGTAGCTCTAGAAACATTTTTAAGAAGGAGGGAATCCCACCTCATCCCATTTTTTAAGTGTAAATGCTTTTTTTTAAGAGGTGAAATCATTTGCTGGTTGTTTATTTTTTGGTACAACCAGAAAATAGTGTGGGATATTGAATTATGGGAGGCTCTGACTGTCTCGGGTGTCAGCTTAACATTCCACAGATGGGGGGTTAGTTTTTATATCCTATAATACAAAGCATATTAAATGGCAATATGGAGTCAGTCCTGCATTTAATGTCTTGAACATTTTAAATTACTTCTATTACCATGTTGTTTTTTAGTAGAATTGTTTCCTAAAGAAAACCACTCTTTGATCATGGCTCTCTCTGCCAGAATTGTGTGCACTCTGTAACATCTTTGTGGTAGTCCTGTTTTCCTAATAACTTTGTTACTGTGCTGTGAAAGATTACAGATTTGAACATGTAGTGTACGTGCTGTTGAGTTGTGAACTGGTGGGCCGTATGTAACAGCTGACCAACGTGAAGATACTGGTACTTGATAGCCTCTTAAGGAAAATTTGCTTCCAAATTTTAAGCTGGAAAGTCACTGGAATAACTTTAAAAAAGAATTACAATACATGGCTTTTTAGAATTTCGTTACGTATGTTAAGATTTGTGTACAAATTGAAATGTCTGTACTGATCCTCAACCAATAAAATCTCAGTTATGAAAATATTTTGAAGCACATGGATTAAATTCTGGTTTAAATTTTATTTACAGAATTTCCACATTTGAGCCTGGCCAACATGGTGAAACCCTGTCCCTACTAAAAATGCAAAAAAAAATTAGCCAGGTGTGGTGGCAGGTGCCTGTAATCCCAGCTACTCGGGAGGCTGAGCCAGGAGAATCGCTTGAACCTGGGAGGTGGAGGTTGCAGCGCACCCAGATCGCACTACTGCACTCCAGCCTGGGCAACAGAGTGAGACCCTGTCTCAAAAAAAAAAATTCCATATTTGATCTTCCAAAGTTGTTTTTTTTAAGTGAAATGTTTGAATTTTTGTTTAATACAGTCATGGGTCACCACTGACTGGATACAGTCTAAGAAACACATTGTTAGGCAGTTTTCTTGCGTGAACATCATAGAGAGTGCTTACACAAACCTCAGTGGCATAGCCTATTACCTATGTAAGCTGTATGGTTTAACCTATTGCTCCTAGGCAATAGACCTGTACAGCATGTTATTATGTAAATACTATAGGGAGTTGTAATAGAATGGTAAGTACTTGTGTATCTAAAGAGAAGGTACAGTATATAATATGGGACCATTATGTGGTTCATTGTTGGTTGATACCTGAGACATAACTGCTTGAGTATCTATGTCCTTTGAAGTTGCTTGACTATATTGGTTTAAGGGAAAAACAATCCAATATCCTTTGAATCAAAGCAAATACGTAATTCTTAACTCTTCGTATGAGGTTAAAAAAAGTACAGATAGGCCAGGTGTGGTGGCTCACACCTGTAATGCCAGCACTTAGGGAGGCCGAGGTGGGTAGGTCACCTGAGGTCAGGTGTTTGAGACCAAGATGGTGAAACCGCATCTCTACTAAAAATAAAACAGTTAGCTGGGTTTGGTGGTGGGCACCTGTAATCCCAGCTACTCAGGAGGCTGAGGCAGAAGAATTGCTTGAACCCAGGTGGTAGAGGTTGCTGTAAGCTGAGTTCACGCCATTGCATTCCAGCCTGGGTGACAAGTGAAACTTGTCCCAAAAAAAGAAGCTACAACTAAATCTAGTATGGTATGTATTTTCCAGATTTGCTTTCATATACATTCTGTTGTCATTCTGCCCTCTTAAGTATAGTCTTCAGAGGTGGTGTGGGGCAACTCTTGACTTGGCAACAGTGAAAACGGCCGGAGAACAGACCTTGTTGAGGTTATCACTAAATAGGGATCCTTGGAACAGAATTTAAACCTCTGTACACTTGGTGTGTTGTTTTGCCTGTGGGCTGATCAGTAGGCAAGAATCCTTTAAAAACAAGCCCTATGGGATCATAGATCTCTGCACGGACTGCCAGAGCAGAGTTTATAGGGAATAGTGAGGATACAGTAAAAGCAAATGCAGAGGATAGTGATGTGTCATGAACTGACGGCAAAGAAGCTTTGATAACCCTTGGGGGATGGGGAAGGACTAGGAGCCACCTGAGCGCTGTTGGTCATTACACGATGGAGGCCTGAAACGGTGATGAACAGATTTGCCTTTAACTCTGAAGTATAGGTAGAATAGATGAGTTTTTGATAAGCCTTTTAACCATAGAACCATCTGCCAGTGTTTAGTTAGTTGTCATCCCCAACCTTCCCACCCCGGACGGTGGTAATAGATGTTTTCAAATCACAGATTTTCTTAATCGTTGAATACTCGTTGTAATGATATATTTAAAGAAATCACTAGTTTTTCTTACAAATTAAAACAGGTAAAGGGTTTTGGCTTATAGAATACCAAAAACATTGTAGAAAAGCATAACAGAAGTACTTTAAGATCCTGCCTTGAACTACTCCGTTAGGCTTTTCTACAGTTTTTTTGGAGCGAGCCTTGCCTTGTTAAATCTGACCTATTACTTGGGTGTTTGCTAGCCCTAAGGCTGCCCATTTTCCTTTTTTTTTTTTCTTTTAAATCCTACCCACAGGAAGGAACACCTTTTGTTGTTGTTTCTGAGACGGAGTCTCACTCTGTCGCCCAGGCTGGAGTGCAGTGGTGCGATCTCAGCTAACTGCAACCTTTGCCGCCTAGGTTCAAGCAATTCTCTTGCCTCAGCCTCCTGAATAGCTAAGATTACAGGCGTGAGCCACCACACCCGGCTAATTTTTTTGTATTTTTATTAGACACTGGGTTTCACCATGTTGGCCAGGCTGGTCTCGAACTCCTGACCTCATGATCCGCCCGCCTCGGCCTCCCAAAGTGCTGGGATTACCGGCGTGAGCCACCACGCCTTGGCCAGGACACATATTTTTATGATAAACCGACTTCAACTGTCAAAGGAAAAAAAAAATTTTTTTTAACTAAGCCACCTTGGGGGCTGGATGTGGCAGTCACACCAGTGCTGTGGGAGGCCAAGGTGGGAGGATTGCTTGAGCCTGAGTTCAGAATCAGCCTGAGCAACAGCGAGACCCAGTCTCTACAAAAAATTTTAAAAATTAGCCAAGCATAGTGGTGCATATCTGTAGTCCCAGCTACTCAGGAGGCTGAAGAAGGAGGATCACAAGCCCAGGATTTCAAGGCTGCAGTGAGCTGTGATTGTGTCATGGCACTGCAGCCTGGGGTACAAAGATCTTGTCTCAAAAGCCACTTTGAGGCATGTTTTCTGGGATCAGTACAGAAAGTTAATATCTTGCCGTTTAAACAGAGTCGACAGTACTTTTGAGTGATGAGAATGGTTGACTGGCTGTACCAATATCAGACATCTAAAAGTATAAGGAAGAGAACTTCTTATCAGACAGCAATTGGTTGATTAGAAAAACTAGTGAACAAGAACCCTGCATTCTCTTGACTTCTCAGAGATTGAGCTTGACGTGCGTCAAATGTGGGTTAATCAGGATTTAAGGCACAGATCTTGGTACTTAGTACTTGGATTCATGGTAATCATGGAGGCCCCAGGGGGAAGTTCTGTTCTGTTGTAGCAGTTTGGGAAATGTGTATAAAAGTCTTGTGGGGTTAGGGATGAGGTTGGGGAGATGGACAGATGCAGGGATGAGAAATATGTGTGTCATCATAGGGGAGAAATTAATACACATTGGAAAAAAAACTCAGGAACTGCAGGCAAGCTAAAATCACCCATAATTCACTTAAACAGCTATTTAAGTAGCTATTTAAAGATGCATTTTTCTCAGATCCTATTCTATGCTTGTACATCCTATTTTGTAGTCTTTATCATACTGTGACCTTTCTCCCATTTCAGTGAATACACTTACACAGCGTTTGTAAGCACTGTGTAGTATTTTATTTCAAGAATATATAATTTGTCAGACATTTAGACTTTTTCGCATTAAAACAAGAATTGTCAAACTAAAAACTAATCTCTGCTAACCCACACAGATAGACCTAAAGATGTATCTGCTTATCACAATCTCCATTTGTTCCATGAGTTTGCAATAGAAATACTTGGTTGAAACACCAAGTAATTTTGAGAATTAGAATTGAGAATTTCTAAACATTAGGTTTAAAAAGATGATGGGAAGCAGCTCATCAATTGGTAACAATTGTTTTTATTTCAAGATCGTGAAAGCTAGGATTACATTTTTTAAAACCTCAAAGAGTATAAAGTAAGAAACCATTTAGGGGCCCTGCATGGTGCCTCATGCCTGAAATCCCAGCATTTTGGGAGGCCAAGGTGGGCAGATCACTTGAGCTTGAGGTCAGGAGTTTGAGACCAGCCGAGCCGACAAGGCAAAACCCCGTCTCTACTAAAATACAAAAATTAGTCTGTGGTGGGCGCCTGTAGTATCAGCTACTTGGGAGGCTGAAACTGGAGAATCACTTGAACCCAGGAGGCAGAGGTTGCAGCGACCCAAGATCTGCCACTGCACTCCAGCCTGGGCGAAAGAGCAAGACTCTGCCTCAAAAAACAAACAAAAAAACCATTTAATCCCAGAAGCTAAAAGCAATTATTTTAGGGTGAATTTTCTTCATATGTTTGGGTTTTTCCTTAACTGTAAAATGTTTTAATACTTGCTTAATAGTTCATCGTGTGGCAAAACCATAATTTGGCCATTACACTTTTTTTTATAATTATTAAGGGCTGGGCGCAGTGGCTCACGCCTGTAATCCCAGCACTTTGGGAGGCCGAGGCGGGCGGATCACGAGGTTAGGAGATTGAGACCATCCTGGCTAACACGGTGAAACCCCCGTCTCTACTAAAAATACAAAAAGAAATTAGCCGGGCGTGCTGGTGGGCGCCTGCCGTCCCAGCTCCTTGGGAGGCTGAGGCAGGAGAATGGCGTGAACCCAGGAGGCGGAGGTTGCGGTGAGCCGAGATAGCGCCATTGCACTCCAGCTTGGGCGACAGAGCGAGACTGTCAGAAAAAAAAAATTACTCTATTTGGGATAATACTGCTCATGCCAACAGTACAGTATACCGAAGCCCCTGTACCAGGCAACCAGTCCCAGTAGCCATCAACGTTTTTGGAAGCAAATAAGAGTGGATATTTTTAAAATAATATCTACAAATACAAAACTGAAAAGGAACAAAATGCATAAGAACAAATATTTAGGAGTAAAAGCTCATTTACCTTTGTAGTATTGGACATTTTCTCAGGATTGGATACAAATTCAATTTTAAAAGAAGCTGCTATTAAGAAAAAAAAAATCGGCAGGGCACAGTGGCTCATGCCTGTAATCCTAGCACTTTGGGAGGCCAAGGCAAGTGGATCACTTGGGCTCAGGAGTTGGAAACCAGCCTGGCCAACATGGTGAAACCCTGTCTCTACTAAAAATACAAAAAAATTAGCCGGGCCTGGTGGCGGGTGCCTGTAATCCCAGCTACTCCGGAGGCTGAGGCAGGAGAATCACTGGAACTTGGGAGGCAGAGGTTGCACTGAACCGCACCACTGCACTCCAGCATGGGCGACAGAGTTAGACCCCGTCTCAGGGGAAAAAAAAAATTATATATATTATATATATATATATATCTCCATCATGGCTAGTTCCACTTTAGAATTACGTATTAGCGTGGCTCACGCCTGTAATCTCAGCACTTTGGGAGGCCGACGCGGGCGGATCACGAGGTCAGGAAATCGAGACCATCCTGGCTAATACAGTGAAAGCCCGTCTCTACTAAAAATATAAAAAATTAGCCGGGCGCGGTGGCGGGCGCCTGTAGTCCCAGCTACTCGGGAGGCTGAGGCAGGAGAATGGCGTGAACCCGGGAGGCGGAGCTTGCAGTGAGCCGAGATCGCGCCACTGCACTCCAGCCTGGGTAATAGAGCGAGACTCCGTCTCAAAACAAAACAGAAAAAAAAAAGAAAAGAAAAGAAAAAAGAATTACATATTAGCTTCCAGATGCTGATTCCACAAAAATCTTTTCCAGTGGAAAAAAGTAGGTAGATGTTTGAGATTTTTTGAGGGCATGGAGATGTATAGTGCCATGGTTAGTGATGGAATTGAAGGGAAACGGCACGAAGATACGAGACACTCGCTGGGGTGAACGCGGATCGGCATCAGGGCAAGGGACCATCATCTGTAGCTCCATTCCACCACCTCTCGGTTGCAAATGAAGGTAACCTGACAACAGAAGGGGCTAAGGATATAGGTAATGGGCTTAACTGAAGAGACGATAATACTTTACCCAGAGGGTCAGAGTGGATGATGCGGGGCCTGGCAGTTAGTGCACCATAAACGTCTGCTTTCTTTCTTGAGTGATTTTCAGAACCTACAATTACTAGATTCCTGGCAGATTCCTGCCCGCCTCCCACCACCTCACAGCAATATATAGTGTTGAGGAAAGCCTTTGAAACTACACTTAATTTAACCTTAAGCTGAGCATTATAATGGGTAACTCGTACTCATAAAATCTGGCTGTGCTGTCTTGTTAGAGAGTGGCTTTTGTTAAGTCCCTCAGTGTTTCCTTACATCCTTAAGTGTAAAGAAAGATTACTTTTGTGTTTTAGATTTAATCCATAACTGCAAATTATATTAAAAAGTTATATATAATTTTATACTACAAATGTTATCTCTGAAAAGCACTTAATGTTGTTACTCCTTAGAAAATTCTAATTTAAAAAATGTACAAATACTAATAATACATTGAAGTTATGTATGAGAATTTTAAAATACACTAATCTGTTATGCATGATTCATAGAGAAGAAAGATTGGGAGTCTTGCATGCTTGGCTGTTTTTATGTAAGGATGTGGTTGCATATTAAAACGTGCAAGATTGTCATTTCCACCAGTGCCCATTTAGATTTTCAAAAGAAATATATTTAAGACAGTCTTAAAGGTCATCACATGATTTCTCACTTTCTGCTTCAGTTCTCCTTATTTCATCTATTTTTAAAGACAATATGAATGAAATATTAAATTCAACGAACTTAATTGAGCTAATATGAATAAAGCAGTCTCCTAGATACCGGGATGGGCAGAGCCTAGGTGCTTTGGTGGACGGGTGCGCTGCTCTCGCACATTTTCAGGTCTCATTGTGGTTCTTGGTTGGTATCAAAAATGAGCGTTTTTGGGCCGGGTGCAGTGGCTCACGCCTGTAATCCCAGCACTTTGGGAGGCCGAGGTGGGTGGATCACGAGGTCAGGAGATCGAGACCATCCTGGCTAACACGGAGAAACCCCACCTCTACTAAAAATACAACAAATTAGCCGGGGGTGATGGCGGGCGCCTGTAGTCCCAACAACTCGGGAGGCTGAGGCAGGAGAATGGCATGAACCCGGGAGGTGGAACTTGCAGTGAGCCGAGATCCTGCCACTGCACTCCAGCTTGGGCGACAGAGCGAGACTCCGTCTCAAAAAAAAAAAAAAAAAAAAGAGCATTTTTCTCTTCCAAGAAAAATATAAGATGTGACTGAAGTCTTTGACATAAAAAAGATCAGAACAAATGAGAAACACACAATGTTCCTAAAGAAAAGTTAATATTTATTTTTATTTTTATAGTATTATTATTATTTTGCAACGGAGTCTCGCTCTGTCACCAGACTGGAGTGCAGTGGCGCGATCTCGGTTCACTGCAACCTCTGTCTCCCAGGTTCAAGTGATTCTCCTGCCTCAGCCTCCCAAGTAGCTGGGATTACAGGTACTTGCCACCACACCTGGCTACTTTTTGTATTTTTAGTAGACACGGGGTTTCGCCATGTTGGTCAGGCTGGTCTCAAACTCCTGACCTCGTGATTCGCCTGCCTCGGCCTCTGAAAGTGCTGGAATTACAGGCATGAGCCACCTCGCCTGGCCCTATATATTTTTTTAATCTTTGTAAATTCAGGGAGTACATGTGCAGATTTGTTACAGGAATGTACTGGGTAATGGTGAGGTTTAGGCTTCTAGTGTGTGCCCATCACCAGAACAGTGGATGTTATACCTGTTGTGCCCTCCCCTCTTTTGGTGTCCCCAGTGTCCATATGTACCCAAGTTTGGCTCCCACTTATAAGTGAGAACACGAATTATTTGATTTTCTGTTTCTGAGTTATTTCACTTAGGATAATGGACACCAGCTTCATCCACGTTGCTGCAAAAGACATGATTTCATCCTTTTTTATGGCTGTGCAATATTCCACAATGTATGTGTACCACATTTTCTTTATCCAGACATCTGCTGATGGGCACTTAGGTTGATTCCATGACTCTGCTATTGGGAAAGGAGTAACGATTTGAGGGTGTCCGTTTTTTTCTGTGTAAGATGTAATGCAATACCAATCACAATCCCAGTAGAATTTCCATTGGAAATAGGAAAAATTGTGAGACTAGCCAAAAATTTAATATACAATAAAGGTAGCATTTCAGCTTGTTGAGGAAGAGACCACTCAAAAAAGTTTCAGGTCGGGCACGGCAGCTCATGCCTGTAATTCCAGCACTTTGGGAGGTTGAGGCAGGTGGCTCACCTGAGGTCAGGAGTTCGAGACCAGCCTGATCAACATGGTGACACCCTATCTCTACTAAAAATACAAAAATTAGCCGAGCATGGTGGTGTCCACCTGTAATCCCAGCTACGGGGGAGGCTGAGGCAGGAGAATTGCTTGAACCCGGGAGGCAGAGGTTGCAGTGAGCCGAGATCGTGCCATTGCACTCCAGCCTGGGCAACAAGAGTGAAACTCTGTCTGGAAAAAATAAAATAAAATAAAATGTTTCAGTTCAATTGGATATTCATTTTGGAAAATATAAATTAGTTCTCTACTTCACACCACACATAGAAATAAATTCCAGACAGATTTAACAATCCAAATGTAGAAAAACTCTAAAAGCACCAGAGGAAAGTATAGGAGAATAGTTTTATGATTATGAATTGAAGAAGGCCTTCTTTCCTCTGCCAGATAATAAATTCAGAAGCCATAAAGAAAAGGTAGGAGTATTTGACCTCATAACAATTTAAACTTTTATATGGTTTGTTTCTATTTTAGAGAATGGGGTCTTACTCTGTCACCCAGGCTGGAGTACAGTGGGGCAATCATATAGCTCAATACAGTCTCCAATTCCTGGGCTTAAGGAGCCTCAGCCTCTTTCATCCCCAGTAGCTAGGACTAATGGTGCTCACCTGGCTTGATATGATCTTATGTAAACAAATACCTGAGAAATGTTAGATTGGGAGAAAATTTTTGTGACACACATAACAAAGGGCTAGATGTCAAACTATAGAAAGAATTCCTGTCGTCGACCAGGCGCTGTGGCTCACGCCTGTAATCCCAGCACTTTGGGAGGCCGAGGCAGGCGGATCACCTGAGGTCAGGAGTTTGAGACCAGCCTGACCAACATGGAGAAACCCCCGTCTCTACTAAAAATACAAAAATTAGCTGGGCGTGGTGGCAGATGCCTGTAATCCCAGCTACTCAGGAGGCTGAGGCTGGAGAATTGCTTGAACCTGGGAGGTGGAGATTGCAGTGAGCAGAGATCGTACCATTGCACTCCAGCCTGGGCAGAGAAGAGCAAAACTCCATCTCAAAAAAAAAAAAAAAAAGAATTCCTATCGTCAATATGAAAAAGAAAAAATCCAATAGAAATATGACCATCAATATGAAAAAAACCAATAGAAATATTAGCAAATGATATGAAAAGATAATTCACAAAAGAAATATAAATATAAATCCCAATATTTTTGGAGGCCAAGGCGAGAGGATTGCTTGAGCCCAAGAGTTTGAGAATAGCCTGAACAACATGGTGAGATCCCCCCATATCTATGTTTTGAAAAATTTAAATAAATATTTTTCTATTGTGGTAAAATATACATAAAATAAATTGTACCATTTTGGCAGGGCATGGTGGCTCACGCCTATAATCCCGGCACTTTGGGAGGCTGAGGCGGGAGGATCACACAAGGCCAGGAGTTTGAGAGCACCCTGGGTAACATGGCAAAACCCCATCTCTACTAAAAATACAACAATTAGCTGGGTGTGGTGGCAGGCGCGTGTAATCCTAGCTACTCTAGAGGCTGACACACAAGAATTGCTTGAACCCAAGAGGCAGAGGTTGCAGTGAGCCGAGATCATATGTCTGCACTCAAGCCTAGGCGACAGAGCGAGACTGTCTCAAAAATAAAAAAGTTTTAAAAGTACCATTTTAGCCATTTTCAAGTGTGCAGTTAATTGGCATTAAGTACATTTACATTTTGTACAACCATCACCACTATCCATCTCCAGAAGCTCGGGGAGGCTGAGGCAGGAGAATCGCTTGAACCCGGGAGGCAGAGGCTGTAGTGAGCCAAGATCGCACCTTTGCACCCCAGCCTGGGCGACAGAGTGAGACTTCATCTCAAAAAACAAATAAAAACAAAACAAAACAAAACAAATGTGGGGTACTTGGCATGAATGGCAGGCAGGGAAGGGAGAAAGCAGGTGCGGGTACTACGTGACTCATTTCAGTGTCTTATCTACCGGGTGGTCTAGCTGGCGCCATTGGGCAGAGCTAGGTTGTAAAGTAGCCATTGTCTCGAGATGCTCTCCAGGTGGGAGACGGTTCTGTTGCAGGCACATGTTACGTTGTAAATTGACTGTTGTCTCTCAAGGCAATCTCCCAGTGGGAGAAAGTTCCTGCTCTGGAGCTTCTAAGTAAGCACACAGTTAGATAAGCTCGCCCTGTAGGGAGTGTCTGGTGAAGGGAAGGTCAAGGTTATAACTGCATTCCTAAAGACATAAGTAGGAAGTGGGGAACAGGGGAAAAGGAGGAAAGAGAAAAGAAAATAACATTTTAAAAATAACTCATGTTCTTTATCAGAAAAATGGGGGTACTCTGTTACATCACTAATCTGCTGATAATTTGCAAGGTTTCTAAAAAACATTTTTCAGTCAACTCTTGACAATCCATGCCTTTGCAGGCAAGGGGAACAGTATGTCACAAAAAAAGTTTGTAATTAAACCGCAATGTGGCCTCTGCATTTGAATATGGACATCTCACTGTCGGCTGAGTAGCAACTCCTTTTGGATTAAAGGTTCTAGGAAAAGATCTTCAAGTTGCCAAAAAAATGTTGTAAAGGATGAATTGGGAGGCATTCAAGGAGATGGAGGCCACTAGACAAGAATCTGTTGCAATCCCTTGCTGTCATATGCTCACTCTCTCTCCTTTACTCTTTCCTAAATCCCTCCAAGAAATTCCCTTTTTTTTAACCGACAAAAAGCTCTGGGCCGGGTGCGGTGGCTCACACTTGTAATACCAGCACTTTGGGAGGCCGAGGCGGGCAGATCACGAGGTCAGGAGTTCGAGACCAGCCTGGCCAACACAGTGAAACCCCGTCTGTACTAAAAATACAAAAATTAGCTGGATGTGGTGGTGGGCACCTGTAATCCCAGCTACTCGGGAGGCTGAGGCAGGAGAATGGCGTGAACCCGGGAGGCAAAGGTTGCAGTGAGCCAAGATAGTGCCACTGCACACCAGCCTGGGCGACAGAGCTAGACTCTGTCTCCTCTCCAAAAAAAAAAAAAAAAAAAGCTCTGAACTGGCTTCACATGGCTGAGGATGACATGACTTGAGGCTTTTGATCTCCAAAGATTCTTTCTTTTTTTTTTTTTTTGAGATAGAGTCTTGCTCTTGTCACCCAGGTTGGAGTACAATGATGCAATCTCAGCTCACTGCAACCTCACTCTCCCAGGTTCCAGTGATTCTCCTGCCTCAGCTTCTGGAGTAGCTGGAATTACAGGCATCCGCCACCACACCTGGCTAATTTTTTGTGCATTTTTAGTAGAGATGGGGTTTCACTATGTTGGCCAGGCTGGTCTCAAACTCCTGAAATTAAGTGATTCATCCACTTTGGCCTCCCAAAGTGCTGGGATTACAGGTGTGAGCCACTGTGCCTGGCCAAAAGATCCTTTTTTAAATAGAGACACCAGCTAGATTTTACAATTTGTTTTTACTATAGTGGCTTTGTTCCATATATTTCTATCCATCTGCCCATTCCTCATCAATTCACCTATTATTATTATTATTTTTTGAGGAGTCTCGCTCTGTTGCCCAGGCTGGAGTGCAGTGGTGCAATCTCGGCTTACTGCAACCTCTGCCTCCCAGGTTCAAGTGATTCTCCTGCCTCAGCCTCCCGAGTAGCTGGGATTACAGGCACCCACCACCACGTCCAGCTAATGTTCGTATTTTTAGTAGAGACAGGGTTTCACCATCTTGGCCAGGCTGGTCTTGAACTCTTGACCTCATGATCCACCTGCCTTGGCCTCTCAAAGTGCTGGGATTACAAGCGTGAGCCACCGCACCCGGCCCACCTTATTTTTCATTTATTTATCTATTTAATTTTGACATGGAGTCTCACTCTGTCACCCAGGCTGGAGTGCAATGGTGAGATCTTGGCTCACTGCAACCTCCACCTCCCAGGTTCTAGCAATCCTCCTGCCTCAGCCTCCCAAGTAGCTGGGATTACAGGCATCCGCCACCATGCCCAGCTAATTTTTGTATTTTTAGTAGAGACGGGGTTTTCACCATATTGGTCAGGCTGGTCTCAAACTCCTGACCTCAGGTGATCTACCCACCTCAGCATCCCAAAGTGCTGGGATTACAAGGGTGAGCCACTGTGCCTGGCCTATTTTTCATTTATTTTAAAGTAAATCGCAGGCATCAGTACACTTCCCCCTAATAATTCAGCATACACATTATTATTTAAAGCTCGATATTTGTTTATGGTTCTATTTTTTTTCCTTCAGATGTAAAATTTGCATTTGATAAAATGTAAAATCTCAAGCTTCCTGTTTGATAAGATGCACCTGTGGCCGGGCGTGGTAGCTCATGCCTGTAATCCTAGCACTTTGGGAGGCCAAGTCGAGCAGATTACTTGAGGTCAGCAGTTCCAGACCAGCCTGGCCAACATGGCGAAACCCCATCTCTATTAAAAATACAAAAATTAGCCAGGTGTGGTGGGGCATGCCTGTAACCAGCTACTCGGGAGGCTGAGGCAGGAGAATCACTTGAACCCAGGAGGCGGAGGTTGCAGTGAGCTGTGATTGTGTCACTACACTCCAGCCTGGGCAGGAGTGAGACTCTGTCTCAAAAAAAAAAAAAAAAGATGCACCTGTGTACCCAACACCTCATCAAGATAAACTGCCATCACCCTCAGAAGGTCTCCCATGCCCCTACCCACTCGATTCTTGCCCCCATCCCTTGTGGCTTCACGTTTTCCCACCATAGATTAGTTGTGCCTGTTCTAGTCGGGTCTGCATATAGATGGAATCATGATGCAGTGTGTACTCTTCTTTCACTCAGAAGAATGTTTCTGAGACTCACTTATGCCATTTGCTTGCATCAGTGGCTCATTCCTTTTCATTGGTGAATATGCCACAACTTGTTTATCCATTCTCCTATTGATGGATATCTCGGCTGGGGTGTTTTTTTTTTTTTTTTTGGCTATTAGAAATAAAGCTGCAATGAACACTACATTCTGGTACAAAGAGGTTTTTTTGTGAATATGTTTTTATTTCTCTTGGATAAATATGGCACAATTTTGAGCTCCTGAGTTAACATAATTATGGACAAAATTGGACATGGCATATTTTGATGGAAAGTTAAAAATTTGGCTACTATTAATACAAACTATTTGTTATAGCCAAAAAACCAAGAAAGATGATCTTTTTCCAAGCAAGACCAGCATGAATGCATGAACACTGTGTTCCTATTATGGATCAGACACACTTGAGAACAGCCTGAGGTGAAACAGTGAGAATACACCTTCCCGACTAGATTGGAGGGACTTGTCTCCTCTTCCCACTTCTTCATCCTCAGAGCTTGGAACAGCCCTAGCACATAATAGACATTCAATAAACACTTGTTGAGTGAATTAAAGATCTGTGTACCAGTAACTCGAGCAGGCCTGGGAGAGACATAACCTAAATGACGTATTTTAGGAACACCTATCCAAACATGTTTTTAGATCTTCTGGGCCCTAGACAGTGACTGAGACATTGAGATCTTGATCTAAGCATTCCAGAAGTTTTCAGAATCGACAGGGAAATTTGGCAGTACCTATTAAATTAAATGTGGTATTTCCTATGTCCTGGCAATGCCATTCTTCAGTGTTTACCCTAAAGAAGTACAAGAGTTCAAGGAGACACAGACAAAGATGTTAATGGCAGAATTGTTTGTAATGATGGAAATTGAAAATAGTCAAATGTCTCTCAATTGGGGACTGATAAAATTGGCATCATCAACTTCTGCTTCCTAGGCCCAAGACCTCCTTTCCATTCACTATATCTTTAATGCTTTGGGGACTCCTTGGAAAAAAAACATGAAAATAAAAACTTGTACTCTCATTCTCAAGTGAATTCCACAAGAACTGTGAATGCCTTTCTTATAAATAAATCAAGAGGTTGTGACAAGTGGAGCATATTATGTATGTAAAATTCCAGGGAGCGATCTTGGTTTAAAAATCATGCCAGTGGCTGGGCGTGGTGACTTACGCCTATAATCCCAGCACTTTGGGAGACTGAGGTGGGCAGATCATCCGAGGTTGGGAGTTTGAGACCAGCCTGGCCAACATGGCGAAACCTCATCTCTACTAAAAATACAAAAAGTAGCCAGGTGTGGTGGCAAGTACCCGTAATCCCAGCTACTTGGGAGGCTGAGGCAGGAGAATCACTTGAACCTAGGAGGCAGAGGTTGCAGTGAGCCGAGATCACGCCATTGCACTCCAGCCTGGGCAACAGAGCAAGACTCCGTCTCAAAAAAAAAAAAGTATACCAGCTTGCTACTGGTTCAGTTTCACTACTAGAAAAACAGCTGTCCTGGGAATATACTTAATGCCACTGAATCATACACTAGAAATTGTTAAAATGGTAAATGTCTATGTTATGTATACTTAACCATAATAAAAAACAAGATCCGTTGCCTTGTCAATTAATCCTACCTAGAGCAAGGTGAGGTGGCTAGGTCATCTCTGACTGAGGAAAAGCACGAGATATCTCCCACTTTATTTAATTTTATTTATTTATTTATTTATTCATTTATTTATTTATTTATTAAGAGACAGGCTCTTGCTCTGT
Source organism: Homo sapiens (assembly GCF_000001405.40). Classification (NCBI taxonomy): domain Eukaryota; kingdom Metazoa; phylum Chordata; class Mammalia; order Primates; family Hominidae; genus Homo; species Homo sapiens. The sequence continues at coordinate 39,327,883 of NC_000021.9, read as the reverse complement.
AGCAAAGGCCGGAGTGCAGTGGCGCGATCATAGCTCACTGCAGCCTTGAACTCCTAGCCTCAAGTCATCCTCCTGCCTCAGTCTCCCAAGGAGACTGGGATTAGAGGCGCATGTTACCATGCCCGGCTAAGTTTTAAAATGTTTTTGTAGAAACAGAGTTTTGGTAGGCTACCTAGGCTGACCTCAAACTCTTGGCCTCAAATGATCCTGCTGCCTCAGCCTCCCAAAATGCTGGGGTTGCAGGCATATACCATATGCCCATCTCTCCCACCTTTGATGGCACTCTTGGTTGTGGGCAAAGGCCTCTTTCCGTTATCTCAGAAACCTTCATACAGTATTCATTTTCATAATTGTAAAAACTAAAAAAAAAAAACAAAAAAAACCCAAAAAGCTAGAAACAACCCAGACATCCAACCACAAGAGAATGGATTAATACATTGTGGTCTTTGTACCCAGTGGCATATTAAACTACTTAAAAATGAATGAATCACAGCCATGCTCAACAGGAATGAACGTTTGAAACAATTCTGTATTGAGTGAGAAAATTTTGAGAAAAGATGCTTCCAACCCCTTCCCTGATCACACTCCGTCCTTTGCTCTGTGCTATGTTCCAACAGTCTGAATCCAACAGACTGCTGCACTAGGGTCTTCCTGCAGCTGAGCTCCAGCCAGATTCTCCCAACAGGAGACACCAGCAGGGCAAAAGAGAGCCTGGAGTATCTCTCCCCTGCTAGAGCTGTGCCGGCAGTGGCTGCACGGCTGTGGCTCCCAGTGGACCTCCTCAGCCAGTGACCTAGTGACCCAGCTCTCAGGGCACAGGTGTTCTCCCTGGCTCCATCAGGCCTAGGGTGGTCATGGCTTTCCACAGCTGCTCATCCCTGGGAGCTTCAATTGCACCTGGTTGGTTTCCTTAACTTTGGCCACAACTTGCAGTTTCTTCAATACAATCTCTTCCTTTGAAGCATAAGAATGAACTTTTGTTTTCAAGCTGACACAATCTACATATGAATGATCCCCAGTACAGTGGCACCATCATAGCTCACCGCAGCCTCGACCTCCCAGGCTCAAGTGATCCTCCTGTCTCAGCCTCCCGAGTAGCTGGCACTGCAGGTGCAGGTCACCAGCCTGGATACATTTTTTGTTTTGTTTTTAATTTTTTGTGTAGATGGGCTCTTGCTATGTTGCCCAGGTTGGTCTCCAAATCCTGACCTCAAGCAGTCCTCCTCCTGCCTTGCTCTCCCAATGCGCTGCAAATACAGGCTTGAGCCACTGCACCTAGCTGATTCCATTTTTACCAAACTCAAAACCAAGGAAGCTAAACAATGTTATAAGGGAATCCTACATATCTAGTAAAACTACTCATAAAAAGCAAAGCGAGATTCTGATATACATAAAGTTCAGGCCAGTGGATGCCTCTGGGGACCAGCAGGGGAGTGCTATAGAAAGGGCAGCTTCAGTCGGGCGAGTGGCTCACGCTTGTAATCCCAGCACTTTGGGAGGCGGAGGTGGGCAGATCACCTGAGGTCAGGAGTTCAAGACCAGCCTAGCCAACATGGTGAAACCCTGTCTCTACTAAAAATACAAAAATTAGCTGGGTGTGGTGGCACACACCTGTCATCCCAGCTACTTGGGAGGCTGAGGCATGAAAACTGCTTGAACCCAGGAGGCGGAGGTTGCAGTGAGCCAAGATCACGCCACTGCACTCCAGCCTGGGTGACTGAGCGAGACTCCGTCTCAAAAAACAAAAAACAAAAGAAAGGGCAGAAGGGCAGCTTCAATGATGTTGATGATGTTTTAATTCTTACATCAGATGCTGGCTTCAAAGCAATTTATTTTAATATTGAGTGTAATACCTTACATCTACATTACATATATTATTTTGGCCAGGAGTGGTGGCTCACACCTGTAATCCCAGCACTTTGGGAGGCAGAGGCTGGAGGATCACTTGAGGCCAAGAGTTTGAAACCAGACTGGTCAACATAGCAAGACCCCTTCTCCTCAAAAGAAAAATTAATAAATTAACCAGGTGTGGTGGCACACACTTGTAGCCCCAGCTGCTTGGGAGGCTGAGGTGGGAGGATGGCAAAAGCCCAGGAGTTTGAGGCTGCAAAGAGCTGTGATCACACCACTGCACTCTAGCCTAGGTGACAGAGCAAGACCGTCTCAAACAAACAAATAAAAAATAAATACATTACAAAATACTAAATACATTACAAAATAATACATGTAAAAAAATACATTACAAAATAATAAACAAAAACAAAATTAAAAATACATTACACATATGCTTTTATATGAATGAATTTTAAAAGTTAAAAAAGTATGAGGGGGTCCAGGCGCGGTGGCTTATGCCTATAATCCCAGTACTTTGGGAGGCCGAGATGGGTGGATCACCTGAGGTCAGGAGTTTGAGACCAGCCTGGCCAACATGGTGAAACCCCATCTCTGTTAAAATTACAAAAATTAGCCGGGCGTGGTGGTGGGCGCCTGCAATCCCAGCTACTCGGGAGGCTGAGGCAGGAGAATCACTTGAACCCAGGAGGTATAGGTTGTAGTGAGCCGAGATCAGCGAAACTCTGTCTCAAAAAAAAAAAAAAAAAAAAAAAACAATCTCACAAGCACAGGACTGAAATGAACCTCATAGCATAATGCTAGGCAATAAAGCATTTGGTAAAGCTGAGAGGCAGGAGAAAAGCCCTTTGACAAATCTCTAGGTTATTTGATTCCTGAAATTTCCAACTCATTGCTATTTTAAAGTCAGGTTTACCGAAGTGTAATTTACATACAATAAAATTCTCTCTTTTTAGTAAACAGGTCGATGAGTTTTGACAAACACATCGATGTCATCACAGTCAAGATATGGAATATTTCAATTACCCCAAAACATTATTTGAAACTACTTTGTACTCAGCCCCTCCTTCCACCTCCAGCCCCTGGCCAGCACTGGTCCGTTCTCTGTCCCTAGAGTTTCGCCTTTGTAAAAATGTCACGTATATGGAATGATTATGTGTGTAGCCTGCTGAGCCTGGCTTCTGTGACATAGCATGCTGCTTTTGAGAGTCATCCAAGTTGCTGTGTGTATCATGGGTTCATTCTATTATAGAGCAGCATTGCCTTATGTGGATGTACCACAATTTATTTATCCATTCACAAGTTAAAGAACATTTTGATTGCTTCCAATTTTTGATGATTTCATGACTAAGACCCTTACAAATAAATATTCATATATAGGTTTTTGTTAAAAGACGTATTTTCATATTTTCCCACTTAGAAGTGAACTATGTATGGGTCCTGTTTCATGTAGGAAATATGGGCCCACCTGTATGAGTGAAGTATATGTGAAACCCCGTCTGTACTAAAAATACAAAAATTAGCCAGGCTTGTAATCCCAGCTACTCGGGAGGCTGAGGCAGGAGAATCGCTTGAGCCCGGGAGGCAGAGGTTGCAGTGAGGCGAGATCGTGCCACTGTATTCCAGCCCAGCCAACAGAGCAAGACTCTGTCTCAAAAAAAAAAAAAAAAAAAAAAAAAAGAGAGAGAGATAAGGATCCACCTCCTGTGATCCAATTACCTCCCACCAGGCTCCACCTGCAACACTGGGGATTACAACTGAACATGAAATTTGGGTGGGAGGCTGGGTGCAGTGGCTCACACCTGTAATCCCAGCACTGTGGGAGGCTGAGGCAGGTGGATCACCTGAGGTCAGGAGCTGACCAACTCCTGAGCCTGACCAATATGGTGAAACCCCGTCTCTACTAAAAATACAAAATTAGCCAGGCGTGGTGGTGCATGTCTGTAATCCCAGCTACTCGGGAGGCTGAGGCAGGAGAATCGCTTGAACCCGGGAGGCGGAGGTTGCAGTGAGCTGAGATCGCGCCATTGCACTACAGCCTGGGCAACAAGAGTGAAACTCCATCTCAAAAAAAGAAAGAAAGAATGAAAGAAAGAAAGAAAGAAAAGAAAAACTAACTGTTGGGTACTATGCTCAGTACCTGGGTGATGGGATCATTCATACCCCAAACCTTAGAATCATGCAATATACTCAGGTAACAAACCTGCACATGTACCCCTGAACCTAAAATAAAAATTAAAAAAAGATTTGTGAATCTGGATTCTCAAGCCAAAAATCATCTTAATCTCATCTAATTACCAATATTCATATATTAACCTTTGGTGGCTTCAATATTTTAACTTTTTAAAAGCTTTTTAATTTTTATTTTTTGAGACAGGGTCTCTCTCAGTCGCCCAGGCTGGAGTGCAACGGCACAAGCTCGGTTCACTGCAACCTCCAGCTCCTGGGCTCAAGCTGTCCTCCCCACCTCAGCCTCCTGAGTGGGTGGGACTATAGGCACGCACCACCATGCCTGGCTAATTTTTGTATTTTTTGTAGAGGTGGGGTTTTTGTATGTGTTCCCAGGCTGGTCTCGAACTTCTGGACTCAAGTGATCCTCCCACCCTGGCTTCCCAGAGTGTTGAGATTACAGATGTGAGCCACTGTTCCTTGCCCTAATTTTTTAATGATAAGGTGGTTTTGTGTTGTAATCACAGCACTTTGGGAGGCTGAAGTGGGAGGACTGCTTGAGGCCAGGCGTTTGAGACCAGTGTAGGCAACACAGTAAGACCCTGTCTCTACAATTAAAAAAATAAAAATAAAAAATGTGGTTTTGTGTTAGACTATGGGTTTCTTCACCCTGCTCTTGGCCAGACTTACCCACAAGTGAAAAAGAGGGGCCAGGAAGCTTTCTCCAGGTGGAAAAGAGGGGTTATTGCTGCAATTAGGTGTTAAATGTCATGGCCAGAATAAGGGCAATCCTTGCCTTAGGTACCCAGATTGCATCTGCCCATTGCATAAGTCTCAAGGCCACAAGGGGACTATCTCCTGGTGGGGTGACCCAGTGACCTGAAGCTCTTCCTTCTTCCCCAGCCTCCTGCTTAGAATTTCTCTCCACGCTTCTGTCCTTTCTTCTGTAGCCTTCCTCTTGGGTCTGCTGGAATTTTTCCCTCCCTCACCACAGATCCGAAGTCTCACCTTGGGGGCAAGCAAGGCCGGTTTTGTCTCTTCATCTTTGGGATCAGCGAGACCCTGAGGAAACCAGAGGGTACTGAGCCAGTCTGAGAGAGAGGCTGGGGGAAGCCAGGGGTGACTGCTGTGTTCTGCGGGGGCTCAGGGAGATGGAGCCTGTGAAACAGGCTGCTGACAGTGGGTTGAAGCAGGCTGGCCACGGAGGGCACGGGGCACCTGGGAAATATATGGACACGATGCCCCGTTCCTGTAGCATGGGGATCCTCTCCTAAAGCAGCCTCCATTGCTCCTCCTGAAAGTGTTTCCTTCCACTCACCCTTCCGCTCCAGAGACTTTGACTATCCTGCTGCCTTTGAGGGGAGCCTTGAGCCAAGGAGGCCGTATCTCCAGGTATGTTATGGGTCAACGAGTTTCTGCAGATTGTCTTCTGATCTTTTTTTTGAGAGAGTCTCGCTCTGTCACCCAGGCTGGAGTGCAGTGGTGCGATCTGGGCTCACTGCAACCTCTGCCTCCCAAGTTCAAGTGATTCTCCTGCCTCATCCTCCTGAGTAGCTGGGATTACAGGTGCCTGTCACCAAGCTCGGCTAATTTTTTTTTGTATTTTTAGTGGAGACAGGAGTTTCACCATGTGGTCAGGCTGGTCTTGAACTCCTGACCTCAAGTGATCGGCCCGCCTCGGCCTCTCAAAGTGCTGGGATTACAGGTGTGAGCCACCGCGCCCAGGCTTGTCTTCAGATCTAACCACCACAGTGGCTGAAAGATTTGAGGAAATGTTGAAAGCATAACTATCTCATATTTGAGGGACTGTCTAGTTGAGCAATTTTTCATTAAACATCCAACAAATATTTATTGCATACCTACCATAAGTATGTCAGGACTCATCATAGCCCTGCAGATGTGTCAGAGAGCAAAACAGACACAGATCTCTGTCTGCCTTCATAGAAGGTCAAGAGATAGACAATAAACAAAATAGACGGGGACATGTTACAGTAGGTTAGAAGATCAACAGTGCTATGGAGGAAAAGAACACAGGAAGAGTAAAAGAGAAATGGGCACAGAGTGAGGATAAGTTTAAATTGTACTTAGGGTGGTTAGGGAAGGTCTCACTGAAAATGTGACATTTGAGCCAAGACTTGAAGGAGGGGAGGGACTCAGCCATGCAGTTTTTCCAGGAGAAGAGCATTCCTGCAGAACAAACAGCAAGTACAAATACCCTGAGGCAGCCGTGGGCCAGGTCACGCCACAGTGAGGCTGGAGCACTATGAGAAGGGGAGCAGTCAGGTGAGAGGTAAGACAAACCAGAGAGAGGCCAGATCGTGTGGACTTGGCCTTTTCCTCTGGGTCTGATGGGAGCCTCTGGAGGATTTTGAGAGAGGAAGGACAAGTCCGTCTTTAGTTTGTTTTTTTTTTTTTCTTGAGATGGAGTTTCGCTCTCGTTGCCCAGGCTGGAGTACAATGGCTCGATCTCGGCTCACTGCAACCTCCACCTCCTGGGTTCAGGCAATTCTCCTGCCTCAGCCTCCTGAGTAGCTGGGATTACAAGCACACGCCACCATACCCGGCTAATTTTTGTATTTTTAGTAGAGACAGGGTTTCACTGTGTTGGTCAGGCTGGTCTCAAACTCCTGACCTCAGGTAATCCACCTGCCCCGGCCTCCCAAAGTGCTGGGATTACAGGCATGAGCCACTACGCCTGGCCCTGTCTTAAGTTTTAACAGGATCCCTCCAGCTGCCTGAGAATACACAGAAATAGGATGAAGGTAGAAGCAGTAAGACATAAGAGGTTGTGGTGCTCTTCCGGATGAGAAGTGCTTAGATTCTGGATACATTTTGAAGGTAAGCTAATTGGATGGTTTACTGATGAGTTGCATGTATGATATAAAAGTTATGACTCTGGCCAGGCATGTGGCTCACGCCTGTAATCCCAGCACTTTGGGAGGCCAAAGCAAGTGGATCACCTGAGGTCAGGAGTTCGAGACCAGCCTGGCCAACATGGTAAAACCCTGTCTTTACTAAAAATACAAAAATTAGCTGGATGTGGTGGTGTGCACCTGTAGTCCCAGCTACTGGGGAGGCTGAGGCAGAATTGCTTGAACCTGGGAGGCGGAGGGTGTAGTGAGCCGAGATCATGCCATTGCACTCCAGCCTGGGCAAGAGAGCAAGATTCTGTCTCAAAAAAAAAAAAAAAAAAAAAGATATGACTCTAAGGTTTTTGAAAAGAGATTAACGGCTTGGGTATGGTAGTCACACCTATAATCCTAGCACTTTGGGAAGCTGAGCCAGAGGATTGCTTGAGCCCAGGAGTTCGAGACCAACCTGGACAACATGGTGAATCCCCGTCTGTAGAAAAAATGCAAAAACTAGCCAGTTGTGGTGGTGGGTGCCTGTAGTCCCAGTTACCTGGGAGGCAGAGGTGGGAGGATCAATTGTGCCTGAAAGATCGAGGCTGCAGTGAGACGTGATTGCACTACTGCACTCCACCCTGGATGACAGACTGAGACACTGTTTCAACAAGAAAAAAAAGGGAAGCCCAACTCCTTAAGGGGCAGGGGAGGCAGTGGTCTTAAAGCCCAGAGAGGGTCTCTATGTGCAAAGAGAGGGTCTCTATATGCACACAAATAGCAGTTACTATCAACCTGTGGCTTGGCAGGAAAGGAGCTGGGAAAATGGAAACTCCAACCTCACTCTCCTCCCACCCTTCCATCTCTGGCTGAGGCCTCTTACCAGATGAATCCCATTGGAAACTCAAGGGCAAGCGAGCCATGGCTTTACTGCACAGTCATCTTTCCTGGGTGTGGAGCAGGGAGGGAGGAGAGTAGAATGTCCTCCACAGTGTTAAAAGCAAGCCAAGGAGTTTGGGTTTGAGGTGACAGCGAATGAGAAAGACGTGAACAGGGAAGCAATATGTTAAGTTGCACTTAAGGTTTTTAAAAGTAGTGACAGGATTATCTCCAAAGAAGATACAGAAGTGGCAAAGAAAATAAAAATAAATAAATGAAAAGAAAAAAATAAAATGACAGGATTAATTAGGTGGAGAGTCAGGGAGAACTTTAAGGAGGATGCTTGTTGATGATTGAGGGCCTGAACTAAGTGGGAATGGAGAGAAAAAGAATTATTCTTATATAACAGGGTCATGTTGAGAGCTGGGCATTGTTCAGCGAGCTTCACAGGCATGCTCTCTGGAAATGCTCACAAACACCTCTAGCTGTCTCATGATCCTTAAATAATGCATGGAAATGATTTAGGACAGTGTCCAGCATACAAACATATCCAATAAATGTTATTAGTTGTCATGCTTATTTTAAAGATTATTAAACAAAACGAACAGAAAAATATCCGAGCCAAGAGGTTGCCCAACTCCGACATCCAAACACAGACACATTCTGATCCCAGCTCCCATGTTCCCAAGGTCTTGTCCAACCACACTGTGTTTTCTCTAGTGCTGTGAGAAATGTTTCAAAGTAAGAACGAGTAAGACTTGGAGACAGACATGGGCCAGCGCCTGCAAGCTGGGAACAAATAGGACAGAAGCCAATGGCAAGGGAGAGGCAGAAGTTGGAGAGGGAAGAGATAAATGTGGAAACAATTTGCTGAGGAAGGCAGGGACAAGTAGCATTAAGGGGACAGCTGGTTGGGTTAGACTTAAAAGGAAGAAAAGGTCCTGTGGGAAAGATGACACCACTAGTAGGTGGAGGAAGGGCATCAGGAATTAAATGCAATATAATATCTACTAGTGACTAAGGGCTTATCAAAAGATCAGATACCTTCTTCATTTTTACTTTGAAAGTCCTCCAAAAATCGATCAAAGTCCAGGTGTGGTGGCTCACGCCTGTAATCCCAGCACTTTGGAAGGCCAAGACAGGAGGGTCACTTAAGGCCAGGCAATGCAGTGAGACCCTGTCTCTAAAAAATAAATAAATAAATAAAATCTATCGAAGTGTTAACTCTCCTCTTCCTAGGGAATTTATCCAACAGAAGTCCAGGAAGATCAAGGCGGGAGGATCACTTGAGGCCAGGAGTTTGAGACCAGCCTGGGCAACAGAGCAAGACCCGCATCTCTAAAAAACAGTAAAAAATTAGCCAGGCATGGTGGTGCACACCTGTAGTCTCAAGTACTCAGCGGTAGGACTGCGAGGCTGCAGTGAGCTCTGACTGTACCACTGCACTCCTGCCTGTGTGACAGAATGACATACTGTCTCTAAAGCGGAAAAAAACAAAACAAAAAACAGCCCAGGAGCCAGGGAAGACTTTTAACACATATTTTGTTGAATGAATGAATGAAGTGATCCAGGTTTTTGTGTGCATTTAATTTCACCTCTAGGTGCTGATCCAGTTTGTGGTATAGTGTTCTGGAGGTCCAACGTCATCTACTTCCTGCCCTTCAGAGGTATGCTGATGTTGTGTGTACATCAACATCAGCACAGCCTCCTGAATGAACCTAAATTCAGTTAACACAAATTTGCATTAAAACTAATATTAGGCTTTGGATTAGGTATCTGAGTTGTTTTGCATGTTCTCCATTGCTCACAGATTTCCTTATCTCATTTTTCAGAGTCTTTTGAAATGGACTCTAATCTACTAATTCATTCCATTTTGACCACTCTCTTATGTGAATTGTTGGAACCAGACTTCTTTGGTCACCATTTTCTAGATATGCATTCATATTTAACGTTGTTGGGCTTCCTAAGTGGTGATTTGGAAGGCCTTACTGAATTTTATTTTCCTCTCATTCACAGACAGATTAAAAAAAAAAGCTTTCCATTTTTAGGCAAATTCTTAAACTTTATTAGCCTTAGTTCCTCATTCTTTTTTGAGACAGGGTCTCGCTCTGTTGCCCAGGCTGGAGCACAGTGGTACCACCATAGCTTGTGACAGCCTTAAACTCCTGGGCTCAAGTGATCTCCTGCCTCAGTCTCCCCAAATAGCTCAAACTACAGTCACCCAACACCATGCATGGACTAAGTTTTTAATTTTTTGTAGAGAGAGGGTCTCACTATGTTTAAGACCAGCCTTGAACTCCTGGGCTCATGCGGTCCTCCTGCCTTGGTCTTCCAAAGTGCTGATAGCACAGACGAGAGCCACTACGCCCAGACTAGTTTCCTCATTCTTAAAATGGGAATAACAGAATCTAAGAGTTGCCTGCGGTAAATGAGATTACACACGTACTTATCACGTGGGCTTCCAAATGTCAGCTCTCTGATGCGCTAGCTGTGCAATCCTGTGTAAGTCTCCTAATTTTCAGGTCCCATTTCCTCTTTTGTGAAACGTGGCCAAGGGAGAATGGACTTTGCAGTGTTTGTGTTTCAGTCTAAGATAATACTGTCTACTTGGGATTGCAGTCCAGCCACCACTTACCAGCTATATGCCCTTGGGCCATACTTCCTCTGCGCCTCAGCTTGAGCCTATCAATGACATCTAAGAGCTGTTTATCCAGTCAGGAGTTGCTTGCCACGGCATAAGATGTTGGTTCCCTTGAAAATGCAACCCTATAGCTTAATGTCACCCACTGTTAAGATTTTCCAACACTTGCTTACCATGTAGCTTTCTTGTGGTGAAACTCTAAAGTTATTTCCATTTACCCAAAAGCAAACCTCAGTGTGTACATATGGAATGGCTGGGATTGAATTGTGTGAGGAATACACAGATTCTTGCCTTGTTTGGAGACCACTTCTGGTGGGTACCCACTAAGGAGTTGCTCCTGGACAGTGTATTTCTTTTTCCTCCTCCTGGCAGGCAAATATGAGTCACATCTGAGTCTCTTGACATATGGGAGTCGAATCGGGAAGATATTCTCTCTCTTGTTAGAAATCTTTGTTCCTATTCAAAATTTAGAAAGAATATTTGTCATGAATGTGATAGTAAGTTGTAAAAGGACTCCCAAGGCTCTTGTAAAGGAAAACTCATGTCATCGTGTCTTTTTTTTGAGACAGGGTCTTGCTCTGCTGCCTAGGCTGGAGAGCAGTGCTGTGATCATGGGTCACTGCAGCGTCAATCCCCCCCGGCTCTAGCCATTCTCATGCCTCAGCCTCTTAAGTAGCTGGGGCTACAGGTACACACCTACCACCCCTGGCTATTTTTTATTTCTTGTAGAGATGGGGTCTTACTATGTTACTCAGGCTGGTCTCGAACTCCTGGGCTCAAGCAGTCCTCTGGCCTTGGCCTCCCAAAGCGCTGGGATTACAGGTGTGAGCCACTGTGTCTGGGCTCGTGTCATCATTTCTGATCTCTTGTAATGGTTATCATGGTGCCAGTATCAGAACGATAATTTTGGACAATGACCAGAGCTTGGGATATAAATTCTTGTAATATCTTTAGGGGGTTTTTAATCTTACGCCCTTGTTACAAAATGAAATGCACAACTCCTTGGTCAATCATTGAAAGTTTAAATTCTCCCCTCTTGATGTCTTTGTCATTTGGTAACACTGGTAATCTTGCAGCATCAGATCACTGTCCCACAGTCATCTATGCACTGTAACTTCAAATAATCAAGTTGTTGCAAGCAGTTACTCATCTTAACAATCTAGCTACCAGCCTGTATGCCCTACCTTATTTGTTGGCACAACCTTGGAAAGCCCCAAACGAGATTTTTGTGGTTTTTATTTCACCCCAACTTCATCTTGCAGATTTACTGTCCTACATACTTCTGATCTTGTCTCTTCTCTATCCTTATGACCAACGCCCTCATGCATCATTTCTTTTCTATTTCAGGGGTATGTTAAGTGCCTCTTGGTCTTAACTTTCTCAAATCCATCCTAAAATAGAAAATGATTCCTTCCTGGCTTAGAATCTTTCAATTGCTCCCAATTTCAACTTCTGACATCATGGTCCCATCCTCTCCAAAGTCACCCCAAGTAGTCATACTAAACTTCTGGTTCCTTAAACTAGAAATCATATTCATGTCTTGGCCCTCTGTTGTTTGTATGTGCGAAATCCCTTTCCACACATTGTAGCCTGGATAACCCAAACTTCCCTAACATTTCCCCCACGCACAGGCAAGCTGATCTTCTGATATATCTCTGCCCTAAATCGTGTCATTATTTGCTTACATCTGTTTCCCCTAAGAGACGCTGAAGTCTTTGATGGCAAAGCTGTGGCTCATTCCTTTTTTTTTTTTAATCTCCATCACTTGTTAGTGCTTGCTGAATTAACAGATGTAAGGAGTTAACTTACTGTTGCACTAGCTCAAACATATTTAGATTGTTACCTCACAAATAGCTTTTTTTTTTTGGAGACGGAGTCTCGCCTTGTCGCCCAGGCTGGAGTGCAGTGGCGCGATCTCGGTTCACTGCAGCCTCCGCCTCCGGGGTTCAAGCGATTCTCCTGCCTCAGCCTCTCAAGTAGCTGGGACTAGAGGCGCGCACTGCCACACCTGGCTAATTTTTTTATTTTTAGTAGAGACGGGGGTTTCACTATGTTGGCCAGGATGGTCTTGATTTCCTGACCTCGTGATCCGCCTGCCTCGGCCTCCCAAAGTGCTTGGGACTACAGGCGTGAGCCACCATACCCGACAGCCTCACAGATATCTATGTCCATTTATAAATATATATAAAAGCTTTTGGCCAGGCGCAGTGGCTCATGCATGTAATCCCCAGCACTTCGGGAGGCCAAGGCGGGTGGATCACCTGAGGCCAGGAGTTCGAGACCAGCCTGGCCAACATGGTGAAACCCGTCCCTACTAAAAATATAAAAATATAAAAATTAGCCGGACGTGGTGGCGCTTGCCTGCAATTCCAGCTACTCGGGAGGCTGAGGCACAAGAATCGCTGGAACCCGGGAGGCAGAGGTTGCAGTGAGGTGAGATCGCGCCACTGCACTCCAGCCTGAGAGCAAGACCCTGTCTCAAAATAAATAAAAGCTTTTGCTATTTGGTGTAAATAAAAGCCAACTTGTACACGGTGCTTACTGTATACCAGGAACACAAATTCATTAAATCCTCACAACTTTGAGACAGGCACAAATATTATCTGTTTACTAGTGAGGAATTACCTACGGTTTACTAGTAAGGAACACTGAGACCCACAGGTTGTGACTTGCTCAAGGTCAAGCTGGTGGAGCCAAGACAAGGTGCAGGCAGTGAGTCCTGCCCTAGAGTCTGACCCGAACCACATTTAACGTCTATGTGGTGTGTAGGTTATTGCCATGAGTAAGAATCAGAATTGTTAACGCGCATTCCAGGAAGGCAGGGACACCACTGAGTGTTACTGCTGTACTTTAGGGGCCAGAGCAGGGCAGGCTGGATGCGCGGAGGAAACTCATAGTTAGGTCAGAAGCCTGGCAAGACAAGGGAATTTTCTGGTCGTCGTCCACCTCTCCAACCTCACATCCTACTAGTCTTCCAAGAGGATTCTAACTGCACATGACTCCCTAGTTTCCGGCTTCTCTTCCTAAGGAGGGTCTGCGGCCCGTCTGCACCACCCTCTCCCCACAGTCCCGTTTTCCTGTCCATGCTTGGATGGATCCAGCCGAGCCGTCAGCCGCAGCTGCGCGCTGCTCCCCCGACTCGCACCCCCTCGGCGAAGCGCTGCATTTTATGTAATTTTCTGCCGGGCTGCTGGCTTGTGGGGGATGTGGCTGGGTCTCGGCAGCCTTCAGCGCCGCAGACGCTCCGGCAACGCCAGCATACGAGGCCCCCGCCCCAGGAGCGCGGGTCCGGGCGGCGTTCCCCTCTGCGGGAGGCGCGGCGAGCCAATCCTCACTTTAAAAGCTTTCCTGTCCTCGAAGCGAGGGGTCTTCCGTGCGGGGCAAGACGCACTGGCCCCAGACGACCGGTCCGTGAAATGACCCTTCCGAGCGACCCGGAGCGGGCGACCTTGCCCAACCCGCGACTCGGGGCCCCTGCGGTCCCGCGTAGAGGACCCAGGTCCCACGGGGGGCGGCGGTGAATCGCCCCCTCTTGTGGCCGCGCTTCCGCCCCCGGCACCCGCCCGCTGCTGGGCCACCCGGCGTCGCGCTGCCGCCTCACAAAGCCCGGGCAGCCGCCTCATTGCGCGCAGGGATTCGGACCACGCGCCCTCCCCTCCCCCACTCGCTGCTGCGGCGCCCAGGTCTTTGCCTCCGCGTCACTTTCTCCTCATCGAGTCCCCGGAGGCAGAGAGCTGAGCGAGGTTCGCCTCCCCGGGCGGGACACGAGCTCCGGTCCTCTCTTGGCGCAAACCCCCGCCCCCCGCGGAGGGACTACTTTTCGTCTCCCGCGGAGGAACTACTTCCTCCCCCGCGGAGGCGTCGGTCCAGGCGGCGCGCACGGTATGGCGGCGGCGGCGGCGGCGGCGGCGCGCGCCTGAGAAGAGGGGACGCCAGCCCGGTCAGGCCTCGGCGCGGCCTACACGCTCCGCTCGCTCGCTCGCTCCCGCCTCCCGCCCCGCGCCCGGCCATGGCGGAGCCGTCGTCCGCCCGACGCCCGGTGCCTCTCATCGAGTCGGGTAAGACGCGAGGCCGTGCCACCCCCGCCCTGGCGCTCCCGGCTGCTTCGGCTTCCCCGGCTCCCCGGGCTCCCCCGGCTCCCCTGGCCCCGTCCCCCTCCCCTCCCCGCCGGGGCTTGACCTGACTCCTTGTCTTCCCGCAGAGCTGTACTTCCTTATCGCCCGGTACCTATCGGCGGGCCCGTGTCGGAGAGCGGCCCAGGTGAGTGCGGGCCCGCGGGCGGCTGCGGACTTGGCGTCCCCAGTGTCCCCGCCGCCGGGGGTCGCGGGTGGTGGGCGGGGGTGAAACGGGAGCGCCCCGGGCCCGACCCCACCCCTGACCGCGCGTCTCTCGGCCGCAGGTGCTGGTGCAGGAGCTGGAGCAGTACCAGGTCTGTGCGCGCCCGTCCCCGCGCTCCCTCGGGTTCCTCCTGCCGACCTTGCCCTGAGGGATGCTCGCCCGCGCCCCCCGCCCGCCGCCCGCCGCCCGCCCCCGGCCCCCCGCCCCCCGCCCCCCCCGCGCCGGAGGGGTGGTCACTCGTGTGCGTTTCGTGTCTTTCCAGTTGTTGCCGAAGAGATTGGACTGGGAGGGCAACGAGCACAACAGGAGCTACGAGGAGTTGGTGAGCATTGGGCACGTTTGCTCCCCGGGTTTTCCGTGCACCGCCCCCCGCCCCCGCCCCTTCCCCTCGCGGGGACCCCGGCCCGTGGGGTGCAAAGTGTGACCCGCACTGGGGGGCGGCCCGGGGATAGCTGCGTTCCCGGCTGAAGATTTTGTTTTGTTTTTGAGGCGGCCAGGTTTGTTTTGGCAGGAAACAGTCATTGGGGGCGGCGCGGGGCGGAGCGGTGGGGGCGACTCGCGGAGGTCCTGCGGCAGGGGTGGGGCTCCAGGTGCGGCCGCCTCTGCGGGGGTGTGGCGTGCGCAGCCAGCCATTCAACTGGGCGGTTTCATTCGCTTCCCCGCTCCACCGCGCTTGTAACTCGCGCTCTGATTGGCCTCGCTGCTCTTGCCCCGCCCGGGTCTGTCCCCCCACTTGTTCCCTAGGAATAGAATCATTGGTCTCTGAAGGTGGAGAAATGTTCTTGTGTTGAGCTTTTTATTTTTTGTTTTGTCAGCAGCGTCATAAAAATCTTGCAGCTGTATGAATATGCCACTGTAGTGCTTGTGCTCCTTTCTACTGTACAATATTTGTTGAACGCAGTAGTTGATTGATGAGTTTCACACTGATCTTGTAGATAACACAATAAAGTGCTTTAAATAGGCACTTTTCTTTTGAGCTCGGTTAATCTTGCATTACAGTCTCATTTCTTTTGTGAACTTGGTTAATGTTTCTATATAACTTGCTTTTATCTATAGTTACAGCAGTTGCAGGGATTCGTTTGTTTTTACTGGAGACATTTTTCAGGAATATATTTTTGCCGTTTCGTTATTAGGATAAAGGAATTCATTAATTGCCAGGCCATATTCAGCATCTTGTATAAGGAAAACAATTGAGAAAGAAAAGAGCTTCTGAGTGATCTTTTACCACAGTTGGAAGACCTGTAACACTTGAGTGGTAGAGTATGGTGGCAAGTGAAAAGAAGAAAAAAAAGTGGTAGAAGATTACTGGTTTTGAATTAGACAACAGAAGAGACCAGAGGATGTGTTATTTCCATGAACAGTTAACACTTGAAGCCTGGTGCAAGTAATAAATAATTTTAATATTTGCTTTCTTAGATTTTGAAGTAAACACTTTAACAGTGGATGTTTTCAAGGGAATGAGTTCTAAAAATTCTGATGGCAATGTGTTGAGTTTGACATTTTGAGATAGTTTATTTTTGTAAACGTTGAGGAAACATTTAAAGGATGCCCTCTTTTAGTTTTCTTCACGGATAATATAGCCTTATCGGTGAAGCGGAAAAGCATTACTGGTTATGACGCTGTTGTCGTGCTACCTGAGAGAAAATAACTTGAAACAAATGTAGTGCTGTAACTACTGGAAAAGTTACTTTTAAAATACATTTATAGGGGCTGGGTGCAGTGGCTCATGGCTGCAATCTCAGCACATTAGGAGGCCGAGGTGGGAGGATCACTTGAGGCCAGGAGTTCAGACCAACTCTTGTCTCCACAAAGAATAAGTAACAGAAAATTAGGCGGCTGTGGTGGTGCGTGCCTGTAGTCCCAGCTATTTCGGAGGCTGAGGCGGAAGGATCACTTGACTCTGGGAGTTTGAGGCTGCATTGAACTATCCTCCTGCCACTGCATTCCAGCCTGGGAGATGGAGCAAGGCCTAGTTTCTTTTTTTTAAAAAAAAAATTTATATAAATTTTTTGGCTTTTGTTGGTAGAATTGCTTAAAACCCTACTTACTATTGTTTAAAATCACTTAAATTCTGTGATAATATGGCTGTGATTTGGCTATGACATATGGCATCTATCATTGCCTCCCTGATTTGGTCTGTCTGGTGGGTGTCCTTTCTTTTTTTACCTTCCTCTCTGCCCTCCAGTCCCCCAGGACTGAGTGATGATGAGCCTCATGTGTAGAGAATTATTCTTTTGTTAATGGTATATGTATCGTTTCTAAACTTTCAAAGTCTTTTAAAAATACCTTATTAAGAAGTATTCCAGGCCAGCTGCGGTGCTAACACCTGTAATCCCAGCACTTTGGCAGGACGCTTGAGGCCAGGAGTTCTAGACCTGCCTAAAGTGAGGTTGAGGATGTAGTGAGCCCTGATCAAGCCACTGTGCTCCAGCCTAGGTGAGCGAGACCCTGTCTCGAAACGCAACAACAAAAAAGAAGTATTTCAGATGTACACAAATGAGAATAATGTAATGCACCGCTGTATATCATCAAATTTGAATAATAATAATTTTTTTTTTTGAGACAGTCTGTTTTGAGGAGCAGCCTCGGCTCACTGCAACCTCTGCCTCCTGGGTTCAAGTGATCCTCCTGCCTCAGCCTCCTCAGTAGCTGGGATTACAGGCACCTGGCTAATTTTTGTATTTTTAGTAGAGATGGGGTTTCACCCTGTTGGCCAGGCTGGTCTCGAACTCCTGACTTCAGGTGATCTGCCTGCCTCTGTGTCCCAAAGTGCTGGGATTACAGGCACCTGGCTAATTTTTATATTTTTAGTGGAGAAGGGGTTTCACCATGTTGGCCAGGCTGGTCTTGAACTCCTAACTTCAGGTGATCTGCCCGCCTCTGTGTCCCAAAGTGCTGGGATTACAGGCGTGAGCCACTGCGCCTGGCCAACAAATTTGAATTTTGAAAGTTACTAACTTGCTATATTTACTTTGGTTTCTGTTTGAGGTATACATATGTTTTAAGAAACTATCAATGGACATCTTCAAACAAAAATAATAGAATAAATGACCCACCCACTAGGTGCCCATTTTCCAACTTCAGTGATTATCAGAGAATGTTGCATATTGTCTGCTCCCTTGTTTTTAAGCAAATTCCAGAAAGCCATTCATTTCACTGGTTAATGTGTTGGAATGTTTTAAGGCAGATTCCAGACACTACATTTCATCTCTAAGTTTGTCAGAGTTCATCTCTAAAAAATAAGGACTGCTTATTATATCATCAAGTGCCAATATCACAGAGTCCATATCCAGATTTTCTTTTTGTTCCCTGGGTGTCTTTTTTTTTTTTTTTTTTTTGAGACGGAGTCTCGCTCTGTCGCCCAGGCTGGAGTGCAGCGGTGCGATCTCGGCTCACTGCAAGCTCCGCCTCCCGGATTCACGCCATTCTCCAGCCTCAGCCTCCCGAGTAGCTGGGACTACAGGCGTCCGCCACCACGCCCGGCTAATTTTTCTGTATTTTTAGTAGAGGCGGGGTTTCACTGTGTTAGCCAGGATGGTCTCGATCTCCTGACCTCATGATCCGCCTGCCTCTGCCTCCCAAAGTGCTGGGATTACAGGCGTGAGCCACCGCGCCCGGCCTCCCTGGGTGTCTTTTTACAATTAGTTTGATTTGGTCTTGAGAAAGGTCCATACATGCATTGACTGATTGATTCTCTCCCCGCCCCACCCTGGGTCTCACTCTATTACCCAGGCTGGGGTGCAGTGGTGTGATCACAGCTCACTGAAGCCTCCATTTCCCAGGCTCAAGCAATCTTCCCACCTCAGCCCTCCACCTCCTGAGTAGCTGGGACCACAGGCATGTGCCACCACACCTGGCTAAGTTTTTTTTTTTTCCCCTAGAGAAAAAGACTCGCTATGTTGTCCAGGCTGGTCTCAAATGCTCCTCCCAAAGTTGGAATTACAGGTGTGAGCCACCACACCTTCCCTGATTTTTGTTTTGTTTTTTTTTGAGATGGAGTCTCACTCTGTCGCCAGGCTGGAGTGCAGTGGTGTGATCTCGGCTCACTGCAACCTCTGCCTCCCGGGTTCAAGCGATTTGCCTGCTTCAGCCTCCCAAGTAGCTGGGACTACAGGCGCACACCACTATGCCCAGCTAATTTTCGTAGTTTTAGTAGAGACGGCTGTTCACCATGTGGGCCAGGATGGTCTCCATCTCTTGACCTTGTGACCTGCCCGCCTCGGCCTCCCAAAGTGCTGGGATTATAGGTGTGACTCACCGCATCCTGCCCCTTCCCTGATTATCTTAAATCTCTTTTTATCTTGAATAGTCTTGTTTCTATGCCATTGATTTACTGGAGACCAAATCATTTATCCTGTAGAATGTTTTACATTCTGTATTTGTCTTATTGTTCCTTATGATGGTAACTTGTTCCTTTTTCTTAGTGGTTTTCATCTTCAGATGAGAATCATCTGGGGAGCTTTATAAAATCTGGTTGCCCAGAGTATGCCCCAAACCAGTTAAATCAGAATCTTTGTGGTGGGACTGGACATCAGTATTTTAAAAAGCTTTTTAGATGATTCTAGTATTAGTGTTTGTAAAGCCACAATTTATCTTAAACTTGTGACCATGCTGTTATTCCAACCTGTATTTGGGGGCAAGAGTATTTTTGGTACTTTTGCTTTTTTTTTTTTTTTTTTTTGAGACAAGGTGTCATTCTGTTGCCCAGGCTGGAGTGCAGTGGTATAATCTTGGCTGACTGCAACCTCTGCCTCACAGGTTCATGCAGTTCTCCTGCCTCAGCCTCCTGAGTAGCTGGGATTACAGACATGTACCACTATGCCTGGCTACTTTTTGTGTTTTTAGTAGAGACGGGGTTTCACCATGTTGGCCCGGCTAGTCTCGAACTCCTGACCTTCAGTGATCCACCTGCATTGGCCTCCCAAAGTGCTGGGATTACAGGCATGAGTCACCTTGCCAGGCCTACTTTTGCTTCTTATAAGAATTGAAGCCAAGTGTGGTGGCTAAGGCTACACAGAGACTTGAGAGTCTGAGGTGGGAGGATCACTTGGTGCCAGGGGTTTGAGAGCAGCCTGGGCAACATAAGCAACACCTCATCTGTAGAAAAAAAGTTTACAAAACCTTGGTTTACAGGTGTGAGCCTCCGTGTCCAGCTCCCAAGTTTCTAGTCTCTACCTGCACTGCTATATTGCTAGACTGTAGCTCATCAATCACACTACCATGATCATTAAGTGTCCCCAAGTTACAAATGAAATACCTATAGAATGATAGATCTCTATAGTCAAGGACAATACAGAATCTATAGAGGAAAGAAATTAGCTACCCTCAGGATGGAAGGGTCTTTTAGAGTTCCACTGTGAAAATTAAATGATAATGGGATTAGTTTCAAGACTTGTGGGAAATACAAAATTGTAAAAGAGGTTTTTGTTTTAAAGGGGTTTTACTATTAAAAAAGGCTCAGCCTAAGACTTAAAGTATCTGGCAGTGCACCCAAGTTCCAAGTCATAGCCTATAATCTTCTATCATAACCTGATTCCTTAATCCTGTAGAGTACTTAAAATGGTAATACCAGTCTCCTCCCAGTTTGGGTAATTAAGTCATAACCCAGGAAGGTTAACAAGCGAAGATGAAGAAAAAGGAAAGTACAAATGTATTCACACAAGTATATATACATATAATATGTGCAATATATACATACAAACATATATACATAAAATATATACATATAATACATTGATATTCATACAAGTACATATTCTGATGTAGTAACAAGTTTTGTAATTACTGAGTTACATTTATTTGTTTGATAGAGTAAAAAAAATTACAAAATAAATTTGAAATCTATTTACAAGTTTAGTCTTAGAAAATTCATGGTTAGGTTTGTCTAAGTTAACCCTGCTGAGGTGATTAAAATAACTGTACGCTTCTAAGTGTAGTGAAAAATGCCCAAGGAAATTTGATTAAATGTGTAAGTGGTATAAAATATTTTATGATTAAATTTTCAATTATAACCAGGCTCAGTGGCTCACACCTGTCATCCCAGCACTTTAGGAGGCTGAGGCAGGTGGATCACCTGAGGTCAGGAGTTCAAGACCAGCCTGGCCAACAGGGTGAAACCCCGTCTCTACTAAAAATACAAAACTTAGCCGGGCGTGGTGGCAGGTGCCTGTAATCCCAGCTACTTGGGAGGCTGAGGCAGGAGAATCACTTGAACCCAGGAGGCAGAGGTTGCAATGGTCTGAGATCAAGCCATTGCACTCCGGCCTAGGCAACAAGAGCAAAACTCCATCTCAAAATAAATAAACAAATTTTCAATTATCAATTAAACAGTAACCAAAGAATAAAAGTAACTATTTGTTTCTGGATTTATAAATAAGATTTGTACTTGAAGGTTTAAGAAAAATGACTACTTGCAATTCTAATAAACCAAATTCTGATTTCAGTATAAATAACTTTTAAGTCTGTTCCTCACACAAAAGGACTACTCCAATATATTTCTTTAAATCTTAATGAGTTTTCTAATGATACACTAAATATAAGGATCTTCTGGTATTTTTTCCGGTCAAAGAAAATGGCCCACAAAAATGTAACACATTATTCAATTATTAAGTCTCTTAATCTCTTTCCCTTTAAATAAACCCCTCTACAAACCTAGTCCTTCCGAATTCTTAGGCTCAGTTCTGTAGTTATATTTCCTTCCTCCTCTGTCTTTACCACTCGTATACATGAAAATTACAATTAAATAACATGGATTTGACAGGCCCAATGCAGGGTGAGATATTTAAAGATATCTAGGCCAGGTGCGGTGGCTCACACTTGTAATCCCAGCACTTGGGGAGGCTGAGGCGGGTGGATCACAAGGTCAAGAGATCGAGACCATCCTGGCCAACATGGTGAAACCTCATCTCTACTAAAAATACAAAAAATTAGCCAGACGTGGTGGCGGGCGCCTGTAGTCCCAGCTACTCGGGAGGCTGAGGCAGGAGAATCACTTGAACCCGGGAAGCAGAGGTTGCAGTGAGCCAAGATTGCACCACTGCACTCCAGCC
Source organism: Homo sapiens (assembly GCF_000001405.40). Classification (NCBI taxonomy): domain Eukaryota; kingdom Metazoa; phylum Chordata; class Mammalia; order Primates; family Hominidae; genus Homo; species Homo sapiens. The sequence goes on along the minus strand of NC_000021.9, from coordinate 39,306,113 downwards.
TGGTGACAGAGTGAGACTCGGTCTCAAAAAAAAAAAAAAAAGATACTTAAAGATAACTAGTCTCAATTCTTTGTTTTTTGAGTTTGGGTCTCTTGTTGTCCAGGCTGGACTGCAGTGACCCAATAATGAATGGCTCACTGCAGCGTCAAACTCCTGGGCACAGGTGATCCTCCCGATTCAGTGTCCCAAGTAGCTGGGACTACAGGAGGGCGCAGCCACACCCCGATAAGGTTTTTTTTTTTTTTTTCTTTTTGAGACAGTCTTGCACCGTCGCCAGGCTGGAGTGCAGTGGCGCAGTCTTGGCTCACTGCAACCTCCGCCTCCTGGGTTCAAGTGATTCTCCTGCCTCAGCCCTCCTGAGTAGCTGGGACTACAGGCACATGCCACCATGCCCAGCTAATTCTTGAATTTTTAGTAGAGACAGGGTTTCACCGTGTTGGCCAGGATGGTCTCTATCTCTTGACCTTGTGATCCACCCACCTCAGCCTCCCAAAGTGCTGGAATTACAGGTGTGAGCCACTGCACCAGGCCTAATTTTTGTATTTTTAGTAGAGATGGGATTTCACCATAATGGTCAGGCTGGTGTCTCAAACTCCTGACCTCAGGTGATCCACCGACCTTGGCCTCCCAAAGTGCTGGGATTACAGGTGTGAACTACTGTGCCTGGCTGGCTGTGCTACCTTAAAAGAGAGTAGTTACTAGTTTCCATAGGCTCACCCAACAAGAAGAAGTTATTTGTATCTAAGGGATAAAAGTTGAGTGACTTGTTTATTTTCAGATCATATGTATCCTTATGGATTTTTGCAAGCTTACTGTATTGATTCCTGAGAAAGATTTGTTAAAATCTCCAACTACGGCCAGATGTGGTGGCTCACGCATGTAATCCCAACACTTTAGGGGGCCAAGGCGGGCAGATCACTTGAGGTCAGGAGTTCAAGACCAGCCTGATCAACCTTGTGAAACCCGTCTCTACTATAAATAGAAAAATTAGCCAGGCATGGTGGTACATGCCTGTAGTCCCAGCTACTTGGGAGGTTGAGGCAGGAGAATTGCTTGAATCCAAGAGGCGGAGGTTACAGTGAGCGGAGATTGTGCCACTGCACTCCAGCCTGGGCGACAGAGCAAGACTCCATCTCAAAAAAAAAAAAAAAAAAAATCTCCAAATATGACTGTGGATTTGTTGCTCTTTTTGTCCTTTTTTGAAGCTGTTATTAGGTACATTCAAATTTAGGATTTTTGTTTTCCTATTGAATTGACCTTAAATATTAGAAAATGCTTTATTCATTATAATCTTCTTGTCTTCCCATCTGCTTTGCCTTACATTAATATAGCCACACCAACTTCTTTTGGTTAGCAATGGCACAGTGTATCTTTTTCTGTCCTTTTCCTTTCAACCTTTTTGTGTTCACATGTTTAAAGTTTATCTCCCGTAAACAGCGTGTAGTTTTATGTGCATTCTTTTAGTGATGTTTTGGTCATTTGTATTTTTTTTTTGTTTTCCAGACAAGTTCTCACTTTGTTGCCCAGGGTGGAGTGCAGTGGCATGATCATGGCACACTGCAGCTTTGACCTCCTGGGTTCAAGGGATCCTCCTGCCTCAGCCTCCTGAGTAGCTGAGTCTATACGTGTATGCCATCATGGCCGGCTAATTAAAAAAAATTTTTTTTTCTAGAGACTGTCTCACTATATGGCCTAGGCTCATCTTGAACTCTTGGACTCAGGCAGTCCTCCCGCCTTGGCTTCCCAAAGTGCTGGGATTATAGGTGTGAGCCACTGTGCCTTGCTCATTTGTATTTAACATAATTAAACATAATTGGGTTTAAGTCTACCTGTTCTTTATCTCATTTTTTCTTTATTCTTTCTCTCACTTTTTTTTTTTGATTAATCAAGTATTAAGATGACAGCAGGATTTCAAAAAGGTAAAAAGTATTCTACTTATTCTGTATTTCTCTTTTTTTTTTTTTTTTTTTTTGAGAAAGAGTTTCACTCTGGTTGCCCAGGCTGGAGTGCAATGGCGAAATCTCGGCTCACTGCAACCTCCGCCTCCCGGGTTCAAGCGATTCTCCTGCCTAAGCCTCCTGAGTAGCTGGGATTACAGGCGCCCGCCACCACGCCTGGCTCATTTTGTATTTTTAATAGAAACAGGGTTTAACCACGTTGGCCAGGCTGGTCTAGAGCTGCTGACCTCAGGTGATCCACCCGCCTCAGGATCCCATAGTGCTGGGATTACAGGTGTGAGCCACTGCGCCTGGCAACTACTCTGTATTTCTTTTCTTTTTCTTTTTTTTTTTGAGACAGGGTCTCACTCTGTCACCCAGGCTGAAGTACAGTGGCATGATCACAGCTCACTGCAGCCTCAGCCTCCTGGGCTCAAGCCGTCTTCCAACCTTAGTCTCCTGAGTAGCTGGAACCACAGGCATGCACCACCACACCTGGCTATTTTTTTTGTAGAGATGGGGTTTTGCCATGTTGCCCAGGCTGGTCTGGAACTCCTGAGCTCAAATGATCTGCCGTCAGTCTCCCAAAGTGGACCTCGCCTGGCCTAACTATTCCTTTTCTTCATTTTTTTAATAATTTTTTTTTTTTTTTTTTTTGGAGATGGAGTCTCGCTCTGTTGCCCAGGCTGGGGCGCAGTTGTGTGATCTTGGCTTACTGCAACCTCTGCCTCCTGGGCTCAAGCGATTCTCCTGCCTCAGCCTCTCAAGTAGCTGAGATTACAGTCACCTGCTACCATGCCCGGCTAATCTTTGTAGTTTTAGTACAAATGGGGTTTCACCACATTTGCCAGGCTGGTCTTGAACTCCTGACCATTAGTGATCCACCTGTCTTGGCCTCTCAAAGTGCTGGGATTACAGGTGTGAGTCACTGCACCCGGCCTCTTTATTTCTTTTTAGTTATATATCCTTTTATTATTCTTTTGGTGGTTTCCCTAGAGGTTTCAATATACATTACCAATATACATTACTTTACATTAGTTCCTTTACCACTTCCCAAATAAATAAAGTTATAACTGTTAGTTGTCACCATCCTGTCGCTTTGAGCTAGTAATCTTTTTTTTTGAGACGGAGTCTCTGTTGTGCAGGATGGAGTGTGGTGGTGTGATCTCGGCTCACTGCAACCTTTGTCTCCTGGGTTCAAGCAGTTCTCTGCCTCAGCCTCCCAAGTAGCTGGAATTGCAGGAGCATGCCACCACACCCAGCTACTTTCTGTATTTTTAGTAGAGATGAGGTTTTGCCATGTTGCCCAGGCTGGTCTTGAACTCTTGGCCTCAAGTGATCCGCCTGTCTGGGCCTCCCAAAGTGCTGGGATTACAGGCATGAGCCACCATGCCTGGCCTTACTTTTTTTTTTTTTTTTTTTAAGACGGAGTCTCACTCTGTCACCTAGGAGTGAGTGCAGTGGTGTGACCTTGGCTCACTGCAACTTTTACCTCCCAGATTCGTGATTCTTGTGCCTCAGCCTCCCAAGTAGCTGGGATTACAAGCATGTGCCACCATGCCTGGCTAATTTTTGTATTTTTAGTAGAGGTGGGGTTTCACCATGTTAGCCAGGCTGGTCTTGAACTCCTGACCTCAGGTGATCTGCCCACTTCAGCTTTCCAAAGTGCTGAGATTACAAGTCTGAGCCACTGCTCTCAGCCCGGCCTTACCACATATTATAAAAGTTTCAAGATGTTGTTACTGTTGTTTTAAAGTCAATAATCACTTGCTTACCTACCTATACATCTTTTCTGGTATTTTAAATTTTTTCCTCCACTTCCATGGGACCTATTTGTGGTAATTTTTCTTCTGTCTGCAGAACTTATTTTGTTATTTCTTTTAATGAAGGTTTGGCTGGGCTTGGTGGCTCACGCCTGTAATCCCAGCACTTTGGGAGGCTGAGGCGGGTGGATTACCTGAGGTCAGGAGTTCGAGACCAGCCTGGCCAACATGGTGAAACCCCTTCTCTACTAAAAATACAAAAATTAGCTGGGTGTGGTGGCGTGTGCTTGTAATCCCAGCTACTTGGGAGGCTGAGGCAGGAGAATCACTTCAACCTGGGAGGTGGAGGTTGCAGTGATCCAGCATTGGGGCCACTACACTCCAGCCTGGACCACGGAGCAAGACTGTCTCAAAAAAAAAAAAAAAAAAAAAAAACACACAAAGCTTTTTAACAAAGGTTTGTTGACAGTGACTTCAGTAGCTATGGAATTCTGATTCATAGTCCTTTTTTTTTTTTTTTCGGCACAGTAAAGATGTTCTACTGCCTTATGCCTTCCTAATGTTGGAAATTTAGCAGTCTTATTGCTCCTTTGAAAATAATGTTGTTTTTGGTCTGGTTGCTTTTAGGATTTTTATTTTGTCTTTGATTTTCAGCAGTTTTACTATGTTGTCCTGTAGTCATGATCTATTGCTGTATAACAAATTACCCCAAAATTTAGCAGCTTAAAACTACACTAATTTGTTGTTATCTGCCAGTTTCTGTAAGTCAGCGGTCCAGACACAGCTCAGATGGGTTCCCTGTCTCCTTTTCTCTGAAGGTGCAGTCAAAATATTGGCAGAACTGGGGTTTTAGCTGAAGGCTTGACGGGAGGAATAGGCTTCCAAGCTCATGTAGTTTTGGCAGGATTCGGTTCCTGGAGGGTTGTTTGACTGAGGGCCTCAGTTTCTACCTGACTATTGGCCACTCTCAGTTCCTCGCCCTTTTGGTCTTTCCAGTGTGATAGCTTGAGTTATCAAAAGATGAAAGCTGACGAGGCAGTAGAGTCTTAGCAAGACAGAAGTCACAATTGTAACCTAATCATAGAAGTAGTATCCTCTCAATGTTACTGTTTTCTGAAGTAAATGAGGAGGGGATTTCACAAGTCTGACTACCAAGAGGTTTGGGCACTATTAGCGGGCATGTCAGAAGCTGCCTTTCACATGTGCACCTAGGTGGTTTCCTTTTTTTTTTTTTTTTGTGGGAGCCTTGCTCTGTCACCCAGGCTGGAGTGCAGTGGCGCCATCTTGGCTCACTGCAAGCTCTGCCTCCTGGGTTCACGCCATTCTCCTGCCTCAGTCTCCCCAGCAGCTGGGACTACAGGCACCTGCCACCACGCCTGGCTAATTTTTTTGTATTTTTAGTAGAGACAGGGTTTTACCGTGTTAGCCAGGATGGTCTCGATCTCCTGACCTCGTAATCTGCCCGCCTTGGCCTCCCAAAGTGGGTTTTCTTTGCATTTATTTTTCTTGGGTTCTCTGAGCTTTTTGAATAAGTGGTATGATATCAAATAGTTTAATGTGTAATTAAAGTCCCAAGTGGAAAGGATAGAGGGGAGAAGTAGTTTGAAGAAATAACAGCTAAGCATTTTTGAACATCTGGGCCATCTCTAGGTCTGCTTCTATTGACCATTTCCCCTCTTGACCATGGGTCATATATCTAGCTTTGTTGTGTATCTCATCATTTTTTTGAGGTATGCTGTAACTTTTTGTGTAAAGAGTAGAGGCTGCAGTAATGTATTTACCTCTGGTAAAGATGTGCTCTTTTCTCAAGCAGTTAGTGTGTGAGACAGGGTCAATCTAATTTGTAATTGATCATCTCTGAGCTTTGTTACATTCAGTAAATCACTGGCTTTCCATGCTTTGAGGGTGGCATCAATACTTTCCCTTCCAGCAGAGTTTGACATTTGGCCCTCATGAAATTTCTGAGATGTCTTATTTTTTACACTGGAGTTGCCACCTTTCCAAACTTTGTGAGATCTTTTTCTACTTTGTACCTGACTGCCAACTTTTTAGGTTGCTACAGAGTTCGCTCTGCCTTGCCGTCCTGCTCTAGGCTTTCCATGTCAGAAGAGATCATTCTCCACCCTGTTGTCCTATCTCTAGCCTTAGGAGGGCCACTACAGTGCATTTCTTCCAGGGCTGCCCTGGCTTTAGTGTTTGGGCCCTATGCAGTTGGTGAAGGCCTATGGGAAAAAATTGTGGTAGGTGTGCAGACTCACTGTAACTGAGGCGCCTTAGGATTCTAATCAGTCATGCCGGCCACAAGTAGCCATTAAGTTTGTTAGAGGTTTGAGTGGTTTTTTCTTATTCTTTTCTGAGGTCAGTTCTTCCTGCCTCTCTGCTAGGGGTGTAAGCAGCTATGAGTCCCTTTTCTTTAACTTTATTTTTTTTAGATGGAGTTTCACTCTTGTCGCCCAGGCTGTGGAGTGCTATAGCATGATCTTGGTTCACTGCAACCTCCGCCTCCCAGGTTCAAGTGATTTCATACCTCAGCCTCCTAAGTAGCTGGGATTACAGGCGCCTACCACCACACCCAGCTAATTTTTGTGTTTTTTTTTTTTTAGTAGAGATGGGATGTCACCATTTCCGCCAGGCTGGTCTCGAGCTCTTGACCTCTAGTGATCCACCTGCCTCGGCCTCCCAAAGTGTTGGGATTACAAGCGTGAGCCACCGTGCCCAGCCTGAGTCCCTTTTCTGTTCCCAGAAAAGCTTGTACTTTGTGGGATTAGTTAATGTAGATTTTTCTTTGTTTCTTCAGCTGTGATGGGTTTATACATTTTTTAAAGTTTATCCAGCCTATTCTCATTGTCGAGATGAGAGCAATATCTTTTATCTCTTACGTTGGAGTAAATAAATGATTATTTTTCATTTAAAATTATAACAGACATATATTTGTCTATAGTAATCCATAGGTATATCCACTTATGGCTCCTGGCACCTAATAGGCTGTCAGTACTTACTGAAAGAATTAATGTTTTTTACTGCCTAGTATGTTGTTGAGAACCAGTTATCCATGATTTAGATACTAAATGATGTCTTATAGGATCTTTGATATCTTAACATCTCTCTCAAAGATGTATGCTTCACTTACAGGCCAGTTAGCATATATATATATTTTTTTTTTTTTGAGACAGGCGAGTTAGCGTAATATGTATATATATTTTTTTCTTGTTGCCCAGGCTAGAGTGCAATGGCACGATCCCAGCTCACTGCAACCTCCACCTCCTGGGTTCAAGTGATTCTCCTGCCTCAGCCTCCCAAGTAGCTGGGACTACAGGTGTGCACCACCATGCCTGGCTAATTTTGTATTTTTAGTAAAGATGGGGTTTCACCATGTTGGTCAGGCTGGTCTCGAACTCCTGATCTCAAGTGATCCACCTGCCTTGGCCTTACAAAGTGCTGAGATTACAGGTGTGAGTCACCATCCCTGGCCCAGTTAGTGCAATTTTGAGTAAAGTCTTGATTTCAAGTCTTGAGATTAAGTTTTGTTAGCTCTGCAACCTTTTTTCTTTTTCAGAGGTGCTTTTCCAGGTCATTTGCATATAAATTTTAGAACAAAATTGTCAATTTCTACAAAAAAAAATGTTGCTGAAGTTTTGAGTGTTACAGGTTTGAATCTGTAGCTCAAATCTGTAGATCAGCTTATTGTTTATTTAAGTCGTCTTTAATTTCTCTCAGCATGTTTTACAGTTTTCAGTGTATGTTTTTCACATTTTGCCAGACTTATCCCTAAGTATTTAATAGTTTTTGATATTATTAAGCTGTTGTCATTAAAACTTGCTCTCCAACTAGGTCTTGTCCAATAAGCATGTGGCTCCTGATCATCTTTTGCAAATCTGCCAGCGCATCGGTCCTATGTTGGATAAAGAAATTCCACCCAGTATTTCAAGAGTCACTTCTTTACTTGGTGCAGGAAGGCAGTCTTTGCTACGTACAGCAAAAGGTACCTTAATTTGAAGAAGTGTTCTGCTTTGTATTAATAGCCTAATAATTATTATAATTGTGAAGTAATGTAAGCATTGTGGAAGAAAGGTGATAATGTAACTATAAATCATGCTGTGGACTATAAAATTCTCTGCATTTAGCATAGAACATTGAATTTTATTACATAAGTGTTTAATGGGTCCTTCTGCATTAAAAAGTTGATAAAGATATAGATGTTAAGCTAAAAAGCTTGAATTTATTCTGAGATGTTGTTTGAGGTTTTATCAATGTGAGTTCTTAATTTTCCATTTTGTAGCTCACTCATAACTTCATTGAATGTAATTGTATGTGTCTAATAAACTCTTTAAATGCTAGAGGTATTTCATTTGATATTTAGCTTCTGAAAGCCCTTTGTTATAAAGGGAAGTGATTTTCTAAATTTGGTAGCAGCTTGAAAACAAGCACCACAAATGTAAAACTGCATGGTTCTTTTTTTACTAATTTAATTTTTTTGCCAAGTTATGTGCTAGCAAAATGTTTGAAATTGCTATTCTTTTTCTGTTAGCTTGGTATATATGACTTAGACTAAGTATATGTATGTGATATAATATATGTGTACATGTGGCTAAACTGCTAATGGGCAAAGATTGTTGGTTCTTCTGATGCTGAGTATACATCAAGTTCATCCCATGATTATTTTTTATTACGAGCTATTGCTGATGTGATGCTACTCTTAGCTGCACCACCAGTATAAAGCTTAACTGAGAAAGAACACCCCTCCCTCTTAGTTCCGTGCCAGACTGGTTTGTTAGCTTTAGTTGTTTCTTAGTGCTCTAGCCATGTCACCCTGTGGCACTAATCAGGACACTGTTTATATTCTTCCTCTTCTGTGTCCCTATTCACTTTGTAATTATTCTATTTTAGCTGGTTATATGGTAGTTAATTGGTAGCCTGTTTTCCTTTGTTTTCTTTACTTGTGTCAAGCTCCATGTCGTTGTTTTGTGATGAGCAGTGATTTAGAACTGGCCAGACCTTAGAAGAGTCTTCAGCAAGCTGCCCTAGGGTAGGGGCGTATTCTCTGTTTGTTTTGTACTGGTACCCCAGGAGGATGCCTTGTAACTGCTCTTTGGTCATGATAGTGGTAATGAATCCATTCATGTAAAATGCAATATGTCTGTTAGTTTGGGGCACCCGAGGCTCAGTAGAGGTTTAGTATGATGCCTTCCCTTTCTTCTTTGAGTTATGAAGAAACTAATTTCTGGCACAGTGTGACTGCTTCAAACCTATGTTCTGCTGCTATCTCCTATAGAGGAGGGCAGACTTTTTTTTCTTAGTGCATTTGCTGGTAGGTCAAGGAGGGATGGACTTTGAATTAGTGTTCAGAGTCACAGATCCTACGTATGTGCTCTTCAGTAGAGGATTTTCTGTGATCCTACAATGAAGGGAAAGCTATATAATTTATTGGTACTTCCTAAAGATAGAGACTAAAGTCATGGTAGTATTGGCCAAATTAATTTTAAAACTGAACAAGTCATGAATTTTCATATAAATCAAAGAACTTTTTCCTTATAAAAGCTTCCATTTTTGAAAAGTTGGATCAGTTGTAAGACCTTTCATCTTTAGTATTGTATGATATAATTCTACATTGAAAAATAAACACTTGGCATTAAATGGGACTTGGAGTCAAAAGATCTGGTTTTATGGTCCATCTTTTACCAATCATTTGCTGTGGATCTCTTTAAAGGTCCTGGAACCTTTGAGCCTCAGTTACCTCACTTGTAAATTGGCAAAAATACCTACCTCACAGGGTTGTTGTGAGGATTCAATGAGCTAATGTATGTTGAAAGCACTTTGTGAATTGTAAAGTGCTACACAAATGTTAGTTGTTGTTGCTGCTGTATCTGAGATGTCTTAATTTTCTTTTTCTTCAGAAATAGTCTAATAAACCTCCAGGGCTTTTCTGTTAAAGTATACTAGTTGGTAAAATGTTGAATAAACAGTTTATTACAATATACGTAAGTATTCTATAAAATCTTTCTTGGGGTTAACTTTCAAGATTTTATGTGTATCTAAAATTCATTTTAAAGACTGCAGGCACACAGTTTGGAAGGGCTCTGCCTTTGCTGCTCTTCATAGAGGAAGACCTCCTGAAATGCCAGTGAATTATGGTTCCCCACCAAATCTTGGTAAGTAAGGTTGGCCTTTGAGATGCCTGAAATAATTGTTTTTAAATTTCTCAACAACCTTTATAAATGCTGTATTAAAATTTAAAAGGAAATACTGGTTGAAATGTTGTTTTAATAGTAATAAGTATCAAATGTCAAATTATTGTTAAAATAATTACTAAAAATAAAATTAATAAAAAATCTTTTTATAGTAAGAAGTCTATGTTACTGAATACAGAAGAATAGAATTGGGAAGAAATTGTGTCATTAGGGCTTCTTGAACATAGATTTTTGTGACCCTCTAGAAATTGTTATTTGAGTTTTTCTTAGATTTTTCCTTATTGGCTCTCCCTTAACCATTTTCATTGTTTTTATTTCCTAGTGGAGATACATCGAGGAAAACAACTCACAGGGTGTTCCACTTTTAGTACAGCATTTCCAGGAACTATGTATCAGCATATAAAAATGCACAGAAGGATTCTCGGACATCTATCTGCTGTTTACTGTGTAGCATTTGATAGGACAGGACATAGAATCTTTACAGTGAGTAAAAATTTTAAACTTGATTTGATGTCATCTAGAGTACTTTAGTGTGCTTCAGAATCATCTAGGAAATCTTAGTTTCTGTTTCCCATCCTCAGAGATTTTGACTCAGTAGGTATGGTGTGGGTCTCACGAATTTGTATTTTTAATAAGTGCTTCAGCTGAAGATAGGACTCTGTGCTGTTTTGAAAGACAGTGATTTAGAGTAGTCGTTCTTAAATGTGATATTTAAGGATGCTTAAAAATAGACATACCTGGCCGGGCGCGGTGGCTCACGCCTGTAATCCCAGCACTTTGGGCGGCCGAGACAGGCGGATCACGAGGTCAGGAGATCGAGACCATCCTGGCTAACACGGTGAAACCCCATCTCTACTAAAAATACAGAAAAATTAGCCGGGTGTGGTGGTGGGCGCCTGTAGTCCCAGCTACTCGGGAGGCTGAGGTAGGAGAATGGCGTGAACCTGGGAGGTGGAGCTTGCAGTGTGCAGAAATCGCCCCACTGCTCTCCAGCCTGGGCGACAGAGCGAGATTCCGTCTCAAAAAAAAAAAAAAAAAAAAAAAAAAAAACATAGACATACCTAACACTTTCCCTCTAGCACATTCTAGACTTACTGAATTAGATTACATTGTAATTAAATATATGTATTAACTGTAAACCCCCCAAAATAAAAAGCTCCTCAGACCTCTACAAGTGATTCATGTTCACATTAATCACTGGTTCAGGAAAATGGGTTGATTATAAAATAACCCATTAGTGTTCAAGTAAGTATTAAAAACCTATCTGAAAAAATTTGGAATTTATCATTTTAATGTTTTAAGCGTAAGTTAGGAGAGGTGAGAAGTTTAACTTTCATTTTGTGGGTGTAAAATTCAAGAGTAGATAATCAAATGTTTCTTGAATGGGTGCTGGCTAGTACTGTAAACTTGAGACTGTGTTCGTGAGGAGGCTATTCCCACCACTTTTGTTTGTTTTTGGGATTGCCACTTAGTCCTGTTTCTCACACTATGAAGTATAGATCTGTTCCAACATTCATCACATTCATCACATTATATAGCTTGATGTGAATAGACTTTTTTTTTTTTTTTTTGAGACGGAGTCTCACTCTGTCACCTAGGCTGGAGTGCAGTGGCGCAATCTCCGCTCACTGCAAGCTCTGTCTCCTGGGTTCACACAATTCTCCTGCCTCAGCCTCTTCAGTAGTTGGGACTACAGGTGCCAGCCACCACGCCCGGCTAATTTTTTGTATTTTTTAGTAGAAAGGTTTCACTGCCTTAGCCAGGATGGTCTCGATCTCCTGACCTTGTGATCCGCCCACCTGGGCCTCCCAAAGTGTTGGGATTACAGGCGTGAGCCACTGTGCCTGGCCTAGACTAACATTTAACCATTGTTAGTTGATATAAGAGAGCCGTGAACTTTGAGTTGGACTTACTACTTTGCAGAGAACTTGGGGGAAAATAGTATTGGTAATGGAGTCTGACCCGTAGAAATGATAACTCGGCAGTATCTTTATGTAGACTGTCTTTGCCTTAAAGAAAAATACTATTATTCCATAGGTGTTCTGACCATAGTCATAATTTATTACATAAATAAGAGAGTATTCTATAGTTGGAAAGAGTTAAAGTTAATTTGGATGGCATATAAAAGGTATTCTTTTAATATTTAAAAGATTTGCTGTACTAACATTAATTTTTGGATATATTTTTTCTTAGGGTTCAGATGACTGTTTGGTAAAGATTTGGTCAACACATAATGGCCGCTTGTTATCTACATTAAGAGGTCATTCTGCAGAAATTTCAGATATGGCAGTAAACTATGAGAATACAATGATTGCTGCGGGGAGCTGTGATAAAATTATTAGAGTGTGGTGCTTGAGAACTTGTGCCCCAGTTGCTGTGCTCCAAGGACACACAGGATCAATTACATCTTTACAGGTAAACTTGTAGCTTAGTGGGCACATTCCTATATGTATTTTCACCTTTTTCTTTAAAACAGTTTCTTTGGAATTGAGAAATAGTAAGATGTGTATTAGTTATGTTTTAAGTAAGAGAAGTGATAATCATTCATACAAATCATACAAATCATGGAAGGCTGATGAAATGAAGATCTAATGCATATTTACATGAAGGCTTATTGATATTTTGGGGTTTATGGTTGAACTGGATGAGTGTCAATTAGAAACTGGTGATAGATTAATTATTTTTCAACTTTAAAACTTGTGGATTTTGCTAAGTTGATTTTTTTTTTTTTTTGAGACTGAGTCTTGTTCTGTTGCCCAGGCTGGAGTGCAGTGGTGTGATCTCAGCTCGCTGCAACCTCTGCCTCCTGGGTTCAAGCGATTCTTGTGCCTCAGCCTCCCGAGTAGCTAGAATTACAGGTGTCCACCACCACACCCGGCTAATTTTTGTATTTTTAGTAGAGACAGGGTTTCACCATGTTGGGCAGGCTGGTCTCGAACTCCTGACCAAGTAACCTGCCCGGCTCAGCCTCCCAAAGTGCTGGGATTACAGGCGTGAGCCACCGTGCCGCTTAGTTGATTTAATTTACCAAAATATTTAAAGTTTTTTTCACAATAAGCAGAGGATAATTTTGAACCTATACAGAGTAGACAGAATTGTATAAACCCCTATGTATCTGTCAACCCATGGCCAATTCTTTCCTAACTGCTTCATCTTGTACCTAAAGCGAATCCTAGGTTTTATATAATTTCTTCTGCAAATATTTCATTCTGTATTTCTAAAAGATAAGGATTCCCCTCCCCACTTTTTTTCATAGTGACGGTTATGATGGAAGGAAAAGATTCCTTTTTAAAAAAACTGCAACACCATTATCACACTATTTATTGATGTTCAAGTTTCCAGTTGTCTCATAATGGTATTTTATTTAGGTTGTTTGAATCAGGAGCAAAACGAAGCCTGCATGTTACAATTGGTTGCTGTAGAATAAAAGAAACTTAAAATATAAATTTCACCTATCTATGCAGTTTAAAAAAAATTCGCTTGCAGTTTCTTCGTTGAAGGACCTAGGTTATCTATAGTTTCCCCACAGTTTGGATGTTGCCCATTGTATCCTGTTGGAGTAGTTTAATATGTTCCTCTGTATTTCTGTTAAGTTGGTTATTGGATGTAGAGCAGTGGTTCTCTTTAATGTGCATGAGAATCACCTGGAGGGCTTGATTAAAACATTGTTAGGCACTACTCCCAAAGTTTCTGATTTCAAAACGTCTGGGGCGAGGGTATGAGTATTTCATCACTGATAGAGAATTGATCATCTTGGGATGTAAGTTCTTCCATCAGAAGGCACAAAATGTCTAGTGTTTTTTGTATTACTCACTGATGATCATTGCCTTACATCCGTTAGTTATTAGGGACAGAAAATGTTACTCTTACTAGTGCACGGTTCTTGGCTGTCAGTGTAACAGAAATTAATAGGAGGCTAGGCAGACTTCCCAGACAAGATTTATTAAGACTTATGCTGAGATTTATTAAGACTTGTGCCTAGCGATGGCTCATGCCTATAATCCCAGCACTTTAGGGAGGCTGAGGTGGGAGGATCACTTGAGCTCACAGGTTTGAGACCCGGCCTGGGCAACTTAGTGAGACCCCCCCCCCCACCCCCACCCACCCCCCACAAAAAATAGTTTGGCAAGGTAGCACACGCCTGTAGTCTCGGTACTCCTGAGGTTGAGGGAGGATTGCTTGAGCCAGGAGGTTGAGGCTGCAGTGAGCCGTTATCGCACCAGTGCATTCCAGCCTGGGTGACAAAGTGAGACTGCCTCAAAAAATAAAAATAAAAAAAGAGACTTATGCCTGAAACATTGGGAATAAGTGAGACAGTGAAGGAAGAAGGGTTCTCTGGCTGGCTCCCCAGGGGAATGCCTTGCCGTGTCTTAAGGAGGGTAATGTGCATAACTCATCAGGTAGGTGAACGTTATTACATGTGTGGGATGGAGCACAGGGTGTGCAGATGCACTAAGGAATCATGCTGACACATATGTCACGTGATGAGAGGGGCAGATAAGCCCCTCTGGGCGAAGGTTTTAGTATTACAATGAGGCTCAGGGTTAGGATTGGTCCTTCTCCTGGCCTTGTGCACATATGGGCGGATAGAGTTAACTCTCCTTAGTAGGATTCATGGTGGAATGCTGCTTGTTTTAGTTTTTTTAGACAACTTACAAGGTCTGGTCAGCGAGTATAGGCCAGTGGGGGTGGTACCAAAATGTCTGGTGGTCAGTGGTCACATATGGAAAAACATGTTGGTGGGGTTGGGCCAAGTGCTGTCCCTACTACCCTGTTTCAGTGCTTTTCTATCATGTTTTGAAACTTAACGTTTGGTTAGACTGAAGTAAATTGTTAGATGATTTGTAAGGCTTTTATTTTATGTTTGATTTATAAGGCTTTTAAAGGTACATTGGTATCTCTCATTAGAATTTGGTGAAAACTGGTGGTGGTTCAATTTTTTTATGCACATTCACCTAGGCTGTGTATTACTGGTCACTTAAATAGATTTGGTGTGAAATTTTATGATAAAAGGTGACTTTTGTTCTAGTCAGTATTCTCAAAGAAAAGAGAGTGAGTAGCTATTTTGGGATGAAGATAGTTATAACTGAGATAGCGGTTTTTGTTTTTGTTTTTTGTTTTTGGCCCAGGCGGAGTGCTGTGGTGCAGTCATGGCTCACTGTAACCTCAGCCTGGGGTCAAGGTCTGCCCATCTCAACCTCTCGAGTAGCTAGGGCCACAGGTGTGTGCTTACCAACCCCGGCTTTTTAAATTCTTTATAGGGATGGAATCTAGCCATGTTGTCCAGGCTGTTCTTGAATTCCTAGGATCAAGCAGTCCTTCTTCCTCCACCTCCCAAAGTGCTGGAATTATAAGCCTGAGCCACCGTGCCTTGCTGAGATAGTGTTTTATTTTGGAAGTTTAAGCAAGATTTTTGGTTTGTGTACTTACTTTTAGTTAAGTATATTGTTCTCTGGAAGATTTTATAGTTTGAAAATTAATTCAAATTCTTGCTAGGTTTCACAGTTAACATTTTATAGTTTGATATGAATGTGTTGACAATATAGCAGCAAATAAGAAAATTTATACTTTGAGAGAGTGCCTGTTTTAAAATCATCTTGGAATTCTTTGAAAGTGGAGTTCTAGTCTTCCCTGAAATGATTCTTCTTGTAACGGGGGCTCACATGCGTTTATCACCTACTGAATATATCTGAACAATCTAATTGGGTAGTAGTACATTTTTTTTTTTTTTTTTTGAGACGGAGTCTTGCTCTGTTGCCCAGGCTGGAGTGCAGTGGCGCAATCTCAGCTCACTGCAATCTCTGCCTCATGGGTTCAAGTGGTTCTTCTGCGCCTCAGCCTCCCGAGTAGCTGGGGCTACAGGCACGTGCCACCACGCCCGGCTAATTTTTTGTATTTTTAGTAGAGATGGGGTTTCACTGTGTTAGCCAGGATTGTCTCGATCTCCTGACCTCGTGATCCACCTGCCTTGGCCTCCCAAAGTGCTGGGATTACAGGTGTGAGCCACCTCGCCCAACCTCAGTGGGTGATTTTAACAGCATCTGAACACAACTGATGAAACTGAAGAGAGAATTAGTGAAGTGGAATTGAGGCCAGAAGAAAATAGATAGAATGGAGTACAATGAGTAATCATTGCAGCCCTAGGGAAAAATTAGAGGACTAATAAGAAGACTGATTGCTAGCTTCTTTTTTTTTTTTTTTGAGATGGAGTCTCACTCTGTCACCCAGGCTGGAGTGCAGTGGCGCGATCTCGGCTCACTGCAAGCTCTGGCTCCCGGGTTCACGCCATTCTCCTGCCTCAGCCTCCCAAGTAGCTGGGACTACAGGCGGCTGCCACCACGTCCGGCTAATTTTTTGTATTTTTTAGTAGAGACGAGGTTTCACCGTGTTAGCCAAGATGGTCTCGATCTCCTGACCTCATGATCCGCCCGCCTCGGCCTCGCAAAGTGCTGGGATTACAGGCGTGAGCCACCGTGCCCGGCCTGATTGCTAGCTTCTTAATAGAAGTAACGGAAGTTGATAGACAAAGAAGTAATATTTTTAAATTGCTAATAGAAAATGCCAGTCAATAATTCTGAACCTATTAAAATATATCATTGAAGAATGAAAGTATATTAAATGCATATTTAGACAAGCTGAGAACTTCTTAGCAATGGAACAACATTAAAGGGAATTCTAAATAATATTCTTTAGGTGGGGATGTGATCCCAGGTGGAAACTTGGAGATGCAAGAAGGAATGAAGACTTAAGACAAAAAAAAAAATGAATGTGTGGGTAAATGGAAATAAACATTGGCTGTATAAGATAAGTAAATTCTGGGCTTCAAAATACATATGGAATTAAAGAATGAATAGTGTGTGTATCAGGAGGCGGTAACTTCAGTATTCTGAGATCTTTGCATTGTTCAAGAAGTGGAAAATAATACAAATTTACATTAGACTTTAAGATGAAGATGCATTTTGAAATCTCTAGAATAACAGCCAAAAGTATAGCAAGAGATTGCATAACTACTAGGCTTAATAGAGGTGGGGAAATATGTACTAATAAAGAAAGTAAAACAAGAAAGGAGAAAAAAACAGTACTAAGATGATACTGGGATAGTAAATGTCAATGTAAACATAATTATATTACTTGCAAGTACATTAAATGGTCTAAAGCAAGTCTCAACTGAAATAATTCTAAGTATATTCTCTGACAACAGTGTAATTAAGCCAGAAATTACTAACAGCCAGAATTAATAACAGATAATCCTCACTTTTTGTAAATTTTATGTATAGTTGACCCTTGAACAATATGGGTTTGAATTGCATGGGTCGACTTATATATAGATTTTCTTCCACCTCTGTCACCCCTGAGATAGCAAGACCAACTCCTCTTATTCCTCCTCCTCCTCTTCAGCCTATTCAACATGAAGACAATGAGGATGAAGACCTTTAAGATGATCACTTCTACTTAATAGTAAATATATTTTCTCTTCCTTACGATTTTCTTGATAACATTTTCTTTTCTCTAGCTTTATTATAAGAATACATTATATAAAACATATACAAAAATATGTGTTAATTGACTGTTCATGCAATTGGTGAGGCTTTATCAATAGTTAAGTTTTTTGGGAGTCAGAAGTTACGTGTGGATTTTCAACTGCCTGGGGGGGTTTGGTACCCTAACCCCTGCGTTGTTCAAGGGTCAACTAACTGTACTTCTAAATAATCCATACATCAAAGAAGAAAAATCACAATAGACATTTAAGAATATTTCAAACTGATTAATAATGAAAACATTACATATTAAAACTTGGGGGAGGTACTCTTTGGGAGCCAGCCTTCAAGGCAGTGCCCAGTGATTCTTGCCTTCTGGCACTTAGGCCACTGTAGTCTCCTTGCTGAATAGGGTTGACCTGTGAACTTGAAGATATTGAGAAAATGGTATAATGTGACTTTCAGTGTTTCTGAAGTTACACTACAACATAATGAAATATCTTTTGTCTTATTCTCTTTAATCACTGGTCTTGGGGGAAGCCAGTTGTTAGGTAGATTGCACACTCAAACTGCCCTATGGAAAGGTCTTCATGGTAATAACTGATGTCTTCTGCTATAGCCATGTGAATAAGCCATTTTGGAAGCAGATCCCCCTATTCCCAGTTAAGCCTTTATGTGACTGTGGCTCAGGTCGACATCTTGACTGCATCTCTCAGCCTTGAGACACTGAGCCAGACCTATCTAGCTAAGCTGCTGTTGAATTCTTGGACCATAGAGACTATGAGATAATGAATATTTATTGTTGTCCAGTGCAGCTAAAAATTTTGGGGTAAGTTGTTTCATAGCAGTATATAATTCTCTTCTGAAGTTGTGCTGAAGGGGAAATTTACACCCAATTCATGTATTAGAAAGAAGCTGAAATTCAGTGATCACAAGTGTATTTCTCAAGAAGTTAGGAGAAGAACAAACAAGAAGAAAGAAATTATGAAGATAAGTACAGAAATTAAGGATAGAAAAAATGTGCATAACGGTAGTGAGGATCAACAAAGCCAGAAGTTCTTTGAAAGACTAAAAATACTGGTAAAAAACACATTGTTCAGGGAACAAAAAAGAAACGTGACAAATAACCATTATCAGATTTGAAAAAGGGGTATCACTACATATCCTTCAGATAATAAAAAGAGGATATTTTAAGCAGCTTTATAAAGGAAAATTGAAGGTTAATACAGAGAAAAACAAGACACAAAAAGAAAATCTGAATTGACTTGTAACTATGAAATGCATTGTATCTGTAGTTAAACATTTTCTCTACCTACTTATTATTTAGGTAAAAAATGTTTGGCGCTAATCTCCCAAGGAAGCAATCAGACAAATCCAAATTGAGAAACAGTCTGTGAAACAAATCTCTTATTCCTCAAAAGTTTGGTTTCAAGAAAGATAGAAAGGTGGAGAGCTTTTCAATAAGGAACCTCAGGAAAAGGGACAAACGTTAGTGTAATGTGTGAGCCTTGATTTGGGTTCTAGATTTAGGAGAGAAAAAAGCTGTAAAGGATGCTTGAGAAATTTGGAAAATTTGAATATGGATTATATAATAATGTTTTATCAATAGTAAGTTTTCGAAGTATTGATAATCATAGTTATGTAGGAGAATGTCATTGTTAGGAGATACACACTAAGGATTTTAGGGTTGAAGTGATGATGTCAGCAAGGTAGATTTGGATGGTTCATGTCAGTGTGATATCTACATCAGGAAGCAAGTGTTGCAAACTATTAACCATTGGTGAATCTTGATGACCAGTGTATGGGTGCTCATGGTACTATTACGACTTTTATCTAGATTAAAAATATTACAAAATTAAGTATTTGCAGAAAATGAACACTATACTATTACTACAACTGTTCATTTTTAGTATTGCTAGGCAAGAACAAAAATGGGCCGGGCGCAGTGGCTCACGTCTGCAATCCTAGCACTTTGGGAGGCCGAGGTGGGCGGATCACGAGGTCAGGAGTTTCAGACCAGCCTGACCAACATAATGAAACCCTGTCTGTATTAAAAATACAAAAAATTAGCCGGGCATGGTGGCGGGCACCTGTAATCCCAGCTACTTGGGAGGCTGAGGCAGGAGAATCGCTTGAAGCCGGGAGGTGGAGGTTGCAGTGAGCAGAGATTGCGCCACTGCACTTCCCACCAGGTGACAGTGTGAGACTCTGTCTCAAAAAAAAAAAAGTACAAATACTGGAAATAAAAAACTTTTATTTTCCAGAAGTTTGGTTGCCTACTTAAAATCCAAGAGAATTGAAAAATGCCTTGACAGGTTGCAGTTTATCTTGTGAAATAGTAGCTATTGACCTTAGGTAGTGGCGATGGCTGCACAGCATTGTGCATGTACTAAATGCCACTGAATTGTTGACTTTAAAATGGTTCATATGGGCCGGGCGCGGTGGCTTACGCCTGTAATCCCAGCACTTTGGGAGGCCGAGGCGGGCAGATCACGAGGTCAGCAGATGGAGACCATCCTGGCTAACATGGTGAAACCCCATCTCTACTAATAATATAAAAACAACATTAGCCGAGCATGGTGGCCAGCGCCTGTAGTCCCAGCTACTCGGGAGACCGAGGCAGGAGAATGGCGTGAACCTGGGAGACGGAGCTTGCAGTGAGCCGAGATCGCACCACTGCACTCTAGCCTGGGCGACAGAGCGAGACTCTTGACTCAAAAAAAAAAAAAAAGTTCATATGGTGAGTTTTATGTTATGTGAATTTTTATCTCCCCTAGGATGCATGAGTGAGCATACAGGAAGAGATTTCATTTTAACAGTTCAGGACAGCTAACTACCTTTGACGAATACATTCTTTTTTTTTTTTTTTTTTTTTTGTTGACTGGGCTCAAGTGATGCTCCCCCCTCACCCTCCTGAGTAGCTGGGAGTAGCTGGGACTACAGGTGTGTGTCACCACACCTGGCTAAGTTTTTTTGTGTGTGTTTTTTGAGTAGAGATGGGGTTTTGCCATGTTGCCTGAACTGGTCACACTCCTAGGCTCGAGCAGTCCTCCTGCCTTGGCCTCCCAAAGTGCTGGGATTATGTGTGTGAGCCACCACACCTAGCCTACATTCTTTTTAAATTTTTTGTTTTTAGTTGACCTATAATACTTGTAGAAAGACAAAGAATACAGTGTGATGTTTCAGTGCATATATGCATTGTATAAGGATCAAATGAGGGTAATTATATCCATCACTAAGCATTTATCATTTATTTGTTGTGGTAATATTCAAAATCTTCTCTTCTAGCTGTCTTGAAATGTCTATCACATTGTTATTTGCTGTACTCACCTTACTGTGTAATGGAACACCAGAACTTATTCTTCCTGTCTGATTGTAACTTAATACCCATTGAAACAACTTCTCATGGTCCCCCCCTTCCCCCATACTCCCCAGCCATAGGTAACCACTGTTCTATTCTCTGCTTCTGTGAAATCAACTTTTAAAATTCAAGGGTGAAATTACACAGTGTTTGCCTTTCTGTGCCTTGCTATTTCACTTAACATAATGGCCTTTAGGTTCATCCATATTACCACAAACGACGGAAGAATATTCTGTTTATAATGTTCCATTTTGTGTGTGTGTATACACGGACACACGGCATTTTCTTTGTTCATTCATCTGTAGATGGGTGTTTAGGTTGATTCATGTCTTGACTATTGTGAATGGCACTGCAGTAAACATGGGAGTGCAATTATCTCTTCAATATACTGATTTCATTTCCCTTTGGATATACACCCAAAAGCATAGGGAACAAAAGCAAAAACAGACAAATGGGATTACATCAAACTACAAAGCTTCTGCACAGCAAAGGAAACAAACAATATAGATCGAAGAGACAACCTGAAGAATAGGAGAAAGTACTTGTAAACTTTATGCATCTGACAAAGAGTTAATATCCAGAACATATAAGGAACTCAACTCAATAGAAAAAAAATTCAGTTAAAAAATGGGCAAAAGACCTGCGTAGACATTTCTAAAAAGAACACATACAAATGGCTGACAGATATATGAAAATATGCTTAACATCACTAATTATCAGGAAAATGCAAATCAAAACCACAGTGAGATACTACCTCACCCCAGTCAGAATGGCTGTTCTCAAAAAGACAAAGGATAACAAATGTTGGGAAGGATGTGGAGAAAGGGGAACTCTTATGCACTTTTGGTGAGAATGTAAATTAGTACAACTATTATGGGAAACAGTATGGAGGTTCTCCCGCCTCCCCCAGAGGCAGGTTCTCTCTCTGTTGCCCAGGCTGGAGTGCAGTGGTGTAATCATAGCTCGCTTGGCCTCAAACTTATGAGCTCAAGTCATCCTCCTGCCTCAGCCTTCTGAGTAGCTGGGACTATAGGTGTGTGCCACGTCATCTAGTTAGTTCTTAATTTTTTGTAGAGACAGTGTCTTGCTATGTTTCACAAGCTGGTCTTGAACTTCTGGCCTCAAGCAATCCTCCTCCATTGGCCTCCCAAAGCACTGGGCTTTATAAGCATGAGCCACCCTACCCAGCTGGAGGTTCTTCACAAAAAAAGATTGGCTATATATCCAAAGAAAATAAATAATACATTCTTTCATAGCAAAAGAGAGGATCAGCATATATTAAAGAGTGCTTATTTTACCACTGAACAAGTTGTAAAAGTAGACGTTCTTAAGCTCATGAGCCTGTGGTAAATACTAGGTAGTCACTCAAAATGTGTAGATTTCAAGCATACTTTGGACTTTGGAAGTAGACACATGAGATTGTAGCACGGAATCCTAAAATCCTAGGCCAAAGAAGACTTTTAGAAATCATAGTTCATACTGTTTCTTTTATGCAGGATTTAGCTAATCCATCTTAGAAAAAAAAAGCAAGACTATTTTTAATATCCAGAAATACATATTATAGTCATTGGCGACTGGCCTTGAGGGGGCATAACAAAACATGGTTGTATGTCAGTGATACTGCAATTGATGAAATGTTGCTATTTAGAAACAGTAAAAGGAAGCCCCCAGAAGTTAAAAATACCTGTTGGACACTAAAAAAACAAAAACAAATCGCAACTCTTAAAACTTCAAGCTTAGAGGCTTCATTAGTGAATTCTGTTAAAACTTGTTAGAACTGCTGAGAGCTTAATACGATGGTTAAATATATATAGGACCCATGTCTTAAAACCAGAACTTTATTGTACACCAGCAATAAAGAAGTAATAAATACAATGGAAGAAGAGTATAATTTGTAATAGCAACAAAACCCCTCAAACACATAGGAATGAATTTAACAGGAAATGTGAAATATGTTTATGAAGAAAGGTCTTAAAAATACTGACCGGAGTCTTGGGTTGGGGAAGGAAATAGTCTAAGTAAGTGAAAATACCTCTACCATGTTCCTGAATCAGAAGATTCAGTATTGTAAATATGTCAGATCTTTCCTGATTATGCTATAAAATCAGCGTATTTACATTTGAAATTCCAATGATTTTGTTTTTATGGAACTGTGCCAGCCAATCAAGCTCATTTAAAAGAGAATTATATAAGCACGGACAGCGAAAGAAGAGCAAAGAATTGTTTAGCCATGCTGGAGATATAAAAATGTTTTAGAGCTGTTATAAAGAAAACAGTATATATCAGTCCATGAATAGATGAAGATATAAGTGGGACAGAAATAGCTACAAATTGCTTATCTGTCTGGAAATTTGATTTAGAACAGGTGACTTAAACATATTCTTTCATGGACAGTTAGGTTTAGAATTCCTTTTTTTTTTTTTTTTTGTGACGGAGTTCCGCTCTTGTTGCCCAGGCTGGAGTACAGTGGTGCGATCTCAGCTCACTGAAATCTCTGCCTTCCAGGTTCAAGCGATTCTCCTGCCTCAGCCTCCCGAGTAGTTGGGATTACAGGCGCCCACCACCATGCATGGCTAATTTTTTGTATTTTTAGTAGAGACAGGGTTTCACCATGTTGATCAGGCTGGTCTTGAACTCCTGACCTCAGGTGATCCACCTGCCTTGGCCTTCCAAAGTGCTGGGATTACAGGCATGAGCAACTGTGCTTGGCCTCTAGAATTCTCAAAGTACTCTGCAAGGTTGCGAGTTTTACTCTGATGTTTTAATTAAAAAAAAATTTTTTTGTCCAATTAGCAATTCAGTGTGGAAGGTGTTTAAATTTTTTTTAAAGTGAAAGCAAGTTTATTAAGAAAGCAAAGGAATAAAAGAATCTTCAATTTTAATTAACAAAAATATCCAACTACTAATATAACTTTAATTATACTACTTTTTCTCATTACTTTTAATGAGATAGCCTGCAAAGCTCAATGTTAGGCCACATTCTGGAACATATCTACTTAGATATAAACAATCACTTTCAACATTAAAAAAAATCCATAATTTCTTCCTTACTTTGCTTTCTGTTAATGGCACTATTAGTCTTTCTTTTCTAAGCTCCTTCTTTGTCTTGAATGTTTCTTGAGTCAGCAAGTTTGTTTGCTTTTTGAGACAGAGTCTCACTCTGTTGCCCAGGCTGAAATGCAGTGGTGTGATCTTGGCTCTTTGCAACCTCAGCCTCCTGGGTAGCTGGGACTACAAGCATGCGCCACCATGCCTGGCTAATTTTTTATTTTATTTTATATATATGTTTATATACGTATGTGTATATGTCCATATATACGTATACGTGTATATATACATATGTACATACATATACTTATACATAGACGTATATGTTGACATATGTGTATATATACATATTTATATACATGTATTTATATGTATACATATATGTCTACATATATACACATGTATATGTATGTATACGTATATATATACATGTATACATACATACATATATATATATATTTTTTTTGGTAGGTGAAGGAGTCTTGCTGTGTTGTCCCGGCTGGAGTGCAGTGGCGCCATCTCAGCCTGCTGCAACCTTTGCCTCCCGGATTCAAGCGATTCTCCTGCCTCAGCCTCCTGAGTAGCTGGGATTATGGGCATCCGCCACCACTCCTGCCTACTTTTTATGTTACAGGCATCCAACATCATGCCCGGCTAATTTTTGTATTTTTAGTAGAGGTGGTGTTTCACCATGTTGGCCAGGCTGGCCTCAAACTTCTGACCTCAAGTGATCTGCCTGCCTTGGCCTCCCATAGTACTGGGATCACAGCCGTGTGTCATCACGCCTGGACAATTTTGTATTTTTTTGTAGAGACAGGGTTTCGCCATGTCACCTAGGCTGGTCTTGAACTCTTGGACTCAAGCAATTCTCACTCCTCGGCCCCACAAAGCGCTGGGATTACAGGCATGAGCCACAGCACTCGGGCGAGTCAGCAAGTTTTGATGCTCCTCTCTTTTGGTCTTTCCTCCCCATTCTAGGGGGAGAAGGGTGGAGCTGTATTCCAGTTAAGCTTCTTGCTTCTTAGATTAACTGGGTTCCCTCTTGGCTTTTTATTACATCTTGCCTCTTCTTTTTCAATCAATACTGTATATTGCTGTAAGACAAATCGTTTGGCTGCTTCTGGTGTTTTTACTTGAAAAGTACAGTTACCCTTTAAGCTGCTTTGATTACATCCAGATTCTCTATTCATTTACCCCATTGCCGCATGACTTTGAGAAATGAACACTTTGTTCATATAGATCTTTGTTTCTATCATATACCATATTCCCCCTCGCTTTTGAACTTGTGCTGATATTATTCCTTTGCTTAGTGTGTGTTTGTTTTCCTTGCATTTTCCTACTATTTAATCCTTCCTAGATGTCTCTAGCTAGTTCATCTTCCTTTCTGTAGCTTGCTTGTTTAGCACTTTTGGTATTTTATTAAGTACAGATGTTAGCCTTATTCTGAAGTTGCGCTGCAGTATAGTTCCTGTGTTTCCTTATTTTATGGCTTTGTTTTCAAAATATTTAAATCATTGACCCATTTCGAATGTATCCTGATGTAGTCTGAAGAATGGACTTAGTTTTTTTCCAGATTACTGCACAATTGTAATACCATTTATGCAGTGATCCATTGTTCGCCCAACAGATTTGAGATAATACCTTAATTGTACTTAAGTCTTAGATTAGGATTCATGTTTTCTCCCATTTTTCCTTCCAGTTTTTCAGTCAGCTTTCCCAGGTTGAATAGGGTCTAGTTTTGGATTGTATTTTTTCCATTGGTCATTCTATCAGTGTACCCTGTTTTGTCTGATCATTTTAATTATTAACACTCTGTGATATGCTTTAATATCTAGTAGGACTAGATCTCCACCTTGTTAAAGTTTTTCTGGCCAGTCTTGTTCATTCTGAAAATAGGCTTATTGAGATCATATTACATATAAATGAATGTGGAGAGGTTATGATTTTTTCACTACGGTAGTATTACCTATATTTTGGATTTCATGTGTTTATTTCCTGAAACTGTCAATTGAAGTTAAGTTTGCAAGACTATTAAACTGTAACTTAAGTAGAAGTTCTGGAAACTGAATTGTATATGTTTTACTTTTTAGTTTAGCCCGATGGCCAAAGGCTCTCAAAGATACATGGTTTCCACTGGTGCTGATGGGACAGTTTGCTTTTGGCAATGGGATTTAGAATCCTTAAAATTTAGGTAAGTGGCTTTAATTATGTAACAGGTTTTGTTTTTTAATGTAGTTACAGTTTAATCTAATGAAATGAAGTTTTATTGTTATGAGAAATTGTGTATTGTTGCTTTTTTTTAACCTTTGAACTTAATTTTTATTATATACAGCATATGTGCCATATTGACTATTTCCTATTTATAATTATGTAGATAGCAGGATTTGTAAAAGAAGCATAGCTTTTCTATCTTAGCACATTTTTGCAAAGACAAAGTAAGGCATTTAAAATAATAGGTATATAATTGGAAATTCAGGCAGGAACATTTGAGAGTCATAAGACCTGTATTGTATACCTGTGCTGTCTAATACAGTAGTCACTAGCCATATATGATCGTTGAGCACTTTAAATGTGGCTAGTGCAATTGAGGAACTGAATTGATAATTTAAATTTAAAACTTACAATTGATTAATGTATTAAAACATTTTTTTTCCTTTTGTTTTCGTTTTCTTTTT
Source organism: Homo sapiens (assembly GCF_000001405.40). Taxonomy (NCBI): domain Eukaryota; kingdom Metazoa; phylum Chordata; class Mammalia; order Primates; family Hominidae; genus Homo; species Homo sapiens. Next base: position 39,279,663 of record NC_000021.9, on the reverse strand, counting down.
TTTTTTCTTTTTTTTTTTTTTTTTTGAGATGGAGTCTCACTCTGTTGCCCAGGCTGGAGTGTGATGGCGTGATCTCGGCTCACTGCAGCCTCTGCCTCCTGGGTTCAAGTGATTCTCCTGCCTCAGCCTCCTGAGTAGCTGGGATTACAGGTGCCCGCCACCACGTCCAGCTAATTTTTGTATTTTTAGTAGAGATGGAGTTTCACCAGGTTGGCCAGGCTAGTCTCAAACTCCTGATCTCAGGTGATCCACCCGCCTTGGCCTCCCAAAGTACTGGGATCACAGGCGTGAGCCACCACGCCTGGCCTGTTAGAAAATTAAGCATATCTTGAATAACGAGTATGTGAAATTTTCAATGAGTTTTGGGAAATCCAAATATAGATAAAATATTTTTGTTAAAAATTGAGTTGTCAAATTGAGATGTATTTTGAGTCTCAAATACACACTGGAAAATTTCAAAGACTTAATATGAAAGTATCTTATAATTTTATTGATTTGGATTACATGTTGATATTTTGGGTGTATTGGGTTAAAGGAAATATGATTAATTTGATCTTTTTATATTTTGTAAAAATACATGGAAATCTGTGGAAATATTTGATATACAATAAGGTATTATAGAAATAAGATTATAGCTGGGTGTTGTGTGCCTGTGGTCCCCAGCCACTAGGGAGGCTGAGGCTGGAGGGTCCCTTGAGCCCAAGAGTTTGTGTCTAGTGTGGGCAACATGGCGAGACCCTGTCTCTTAAAAAATTATAATATTTAAATATGCTAGATTAAAACTAATATTTTAAGCTGTGTTAATGTGGTAAAATAATCTATTTTAAAGCAGCATCTTCTTCTTTTAAAGCCCACGTCCCCTGAAGTTCACTGAAAAGCCTAGGCCAGGCGTTCAAATGCTTTGTTCTTCTTTTAGTGTTGGTAAGAACTTCTTCACATTTTTTTCTTAGTTTTTTTTTTTTAAACATCTATTAAATGACCACTTGGTTGCTAAGAACTTTTATTAGCTACATGGTAAATGACTTCTGGTGTTTATTTCATTAGGTTCAATTTATGATGTTTATTTTGTTAGCCTTGTTCTTCCAGTCCTCCAGTCTGCCTTTCTCTGATTTCTGGTAGTAATCAGTGATATAAGAGATGGCTGGTAAAAGGGAGGCTTGAGGTGTCCACACAAGTGATTCCTATGCCAGTACTATGTGTATGATAATCTAAATTTGTGATTTTCTTTGAATAGGCTAAACTGTGTATGTTTGATAGTTTAAATTTATTTCCCACACATAATATCTTGATGAAATTATTCTTTTTCAGTTTTTGTACAGTGAACTTGTGTGGTAACCTTTCTCTTTTTTCGGATAGGTCAAAGACTTTTCCCTCATAAAATCTGAAAACTTGAACAAGCTAGGGTTAGGTATGTAGAATTGTTTAGAAAGCAGAACTTCTTTTCTTAAAAATATTTTTAGAGCGCTGGTGCTTAATTGGCATTATATTGCCACCCTTAATAATACAGATGGGGAGGCCAGGCACAGTGACTCAATGCCTGTAATCCCAGTCCTTTGGGAGGCCGAGATGGGAGGATTGCTTCAGCCCAGGAATTCGAGCCCAGCCCTGGCAACATAGGGAGAACCCATCTCTAAAAAAAAACAAAACAAAAATTATCTGGGCATGGTGCACACCTGTAGTCCCAGCTACTCAGGAGACTAGGTGGGAGTATTGCTTGTGTCCAGGAGGTTGAGGCTGCAGTGAGCCATGGTCACACCACTGCACTCCAGCCTGGGCGACAGACTGAGACCATGTTCCCCGCCCCACCAGCTGGCTCACGCCTGTAATCCCAACACTTTAGGAGGCTGAGGCGGGTGGATCACCTGAGGTCAGGAGTTCGAGACCATCCTGACCAACATGGTGAGACCCCCATCTCTACTAAAAATACAAAAAATTAGCTGGGCATGCTGGTGTGCTCCTGTAATCCCAGCTACTCAGCAGGCTGAGGCAGTAGAATTACTTGAACCTGGGAGGTAGAAGTTGCAGTGAGCCGAGATCACACCATTGGGCTCCAGACTGGGCGACAGAGTGAGATTCTGTCTCAAAAAAAACAGGAGGAGATTGTGAATGTTTCCAGATTGAATTAATTTTGTTTTTTAAAGCTACAAGTTCAGCTTTATAACCTCTATATAGTGAGTCAGAAAATGTAACTGTTGAGATAAACTTAGTTTTAGGGTAAATGATCTTTCTTTTTTATATTTTAATATGGAAATTTGATTTGTTCAGGTATTTGTTATAAACTGGATGTTTAAACCTTACCATTTTTATTTCAGGTGGTATGTTTTTAGCCACAGGTAGTACTGATCATGTAATCAGAATGTATTTTTTGGGTTTTGAAGCACCCGAAAAAATCGCAGAACTTGAAAGCCACACTGTAAGCATCCACGTTTTAAAATCCTTTAGATTAATTGTTAATACTATTCCTGTTATTGCTAAGGGGCATTGTTATTGGCTCTACTTTTATTTTTAATTTTTTTTCTGTTGAACAAATGAACTGTCATTTATAACTTTTTGATGGTATTAAGTTTTAAAATATTAAATCATAGTTGCATTTCTGAGATAAGTCATTGCTTGTGAATGTTATCTTAAATTTTTGCTGAATTCTATTTGACAGTTAAAATATTGTTAGAGATGTTTGTATATTTATAAAAATGAAAATGTCTAGGTACAATATAGTTTTTGTTAATTCTATTCTAATTTTAATTTAAGCATACAAGCAATTATATTTAAAGGGGAGGTATGTCACTGGCAACTCAGATTAGCACTTGAGAGGCCTAATATTTTACAGTGGTTATTTTAGCTTTATGTTCAAAATCTTGATTATGACAGTTGATCTGGGTGGGTTAACTTTAAGTGAGCCTGTTTATCTAACCAAGCCCATGAAATAAGAATGTGATTTTAATAATGCATAGTAAGATAGAAAACTGTCAGTGTTCTGAAGTACTGGTCAGGGTTGGGCCATCTTTTCTTTTATTTGAAGCTTTTGGGAAGGCAGTCCACATCCAGAGGTTATTTGATAGATACAGATTTAAATAACTTAAAACAACAATTGAAAATGCCTTATTTTTAGCTACTTTAAAGCCTATATTTTGAGCACTTTCCACACATTTCACTTCCATATAAGTCATCTTAAACAGATGTAATTATAAATACTGCTTTAAGTTTAGAAGCAAGGCTTTTTTTCCTGTTAGATGTGCCTTTCTTTGAAATGAAAGCTGTATTTTAGTAGTCTTAGGTTTGTAGTTAGTCTTCACTTAAAATTATAAAACATGTTGAATGACAGGGCTAAGCAACACAAGTGCAAATTTTGCTTGTTAAAGCAAATAGGCTTCTAGCATTAAAACTTCATTTTTTCAAATTCACAGACCATGTAGATGATCATTTTTGTATTTGTCCTTTTCCCCCCTTTAGGATAAAGTAGATAGTATCCAATTTTGTAACAATGGTGATCGGTAAGTGTGTGTTTTGTATGTGTGTGTGTGTGTTATTAGGCAAATATAATGTGCTACATGTTAGTATAGCTAACCTGTCATTTTGTATGTATTTTTTCCCTTTATATTATTATGATTATTTATTTATTTATTTATTTTTTGAGATGGAGTTTCGCTCTCGTTGCCCAGGCTGGAGTGCAGTGGCACAATCTCGGCTCACTGCAACCTCCACCTCTTGGGTTCAAGTTAATCTTCTACCTCAGCCTCCTGAGTAGCTGGGATTACAGGCGCCTGCCACTGTGCCCGGCTAACTTTGTATTTTTAGTAGAGACGGGGTTCCTCCATGTTGGTCAGTCTGGTCTCGAACTCCCGACTTCAGGTGATCTGCCTGCCTCGCCCTCCTAAAGTGCTGGGATTACAGGCGTGAGCCACCTTGCTCAGCCATTATTTTTTATTTTTAGTTGACTAATAATTGTCTATGTTTATGGAGTAAGTACACTGTGGTGTTTTAATATATATTTACATTGTGGGATGATTAAATCAAGCCAATAAACATCTCTGCCACTTCACATACTGAGCATTTTTCTGTAGTCAGAACATCTGAAATCTACTCAGAAATTTTGAAATAATATATAATTAACTGTCACTTTGTATATTGCAGGTATTTATTAGTAAATGTATTAATTGAATGAAAAGTGTCTAGGGCAGGGGTTGGGGGAAGAACACATGAAATGTAAGTTTTTAGAATTGTAGTTTCTGCCAGCTTCTAGCGACCAAAAGTAGTTTTTCTTTGGCTAGATGTCTGATTTACTGAAAAAATTATGTGTAAGGATCATTAAATTTCTTGTTTGGGTAGTTAAAAAAAACTTTTCTAAGAAACCACCGTGATATATCCTGCAAAGAAATTATTACTTAAATCATATACTCCTTCTTTGCCTCCATTGTGTGTCAGGTCCCTTTGCTAAACTAATTGTTGAGAACTTAATTTGTTAATAGATTGATTTATTTTTACACAGTGTCCAACATGAATTAATTTGAATTAACAAGTAAGATGTTTAAAATGGAGCTATTGCTCTTATTTTCCTATACTTCAAAACTTTTTTCTGTTTTTTTTTTCTTCTTGGCATTCTTATTTAATTATTTTTTTTTGAGACGGAGTCTAGCTCTGTTGCCTAGGCTGGAGTGCAGTGGTGCAGCCTCGGCTCACTGCACTGCAACCTCCCCCTCCTGGGTTCAAGCGATTCTCCTGTCTTAGCCTCCTGAGTAGCTGCGATTACAGGCATGTGCCACCACGCCTGGCTAATTTTTGTATTTTTAGTAGAGACGGGGTTTCACCATGTTGGTCAGACTGATCTCGAACTCCTGACCTTGTGATCCACCCACCTTGGCCTCCCAAAGTGCTGGGATTACAGACATGAGCCACTGCAGGTTGCCTCTTCTCAGCATTCTTATACATTGTATTTTCAAAACTTAATCTGTTTGAAAAGCTATTGATTGAGTTTGAGGTGTGTTTTATTTCATAGGGCCGGGCAAATCATAGCAAACCAAATTTTTTTTCCCATCCAGATACGCTCTAAATACCTTGTCTTTTGAATTAACACCTGTGGATTGTCCTGTTGTTAGGACAGCTTCATTACATTCTTTTTTTGCATGTGATTTTAATTGTAGCCCTTGTTGGAAAGTGTGTGAATATAGTAAGATCCTGTTCTGAATGTTTTAAGGTTCCTAAGTGGTAGCAGAGATGGAACAGCACGGATTTGGAGATTTGAGCAGTTAGAATGGAGGAGCATTTTATTGGATATGGCTACCAGAATCTCAGGGTAAGTTGAGATTGTTAGAAGTAGGTGCATCATAGGTGTTCGATCTGTCTCTCTCTCTCTCTCTCTCTCGCTCTCTGTGTCTCTCAGTGGTTATTTTGTTGAGGGGATTATAGCTACCTTCTATTACGAAGAGCTGTGGTATAAGTGAATAGCTGCGTACTGCATATCAGGTGAACAGAGACATCCAGGTAAATTTATCCTTACGTTGTATAGCAAAGAATAACATGTACTTTTTCTATGGTTCAAAGCATTGACCTCCTTCTTAGATGTTGCATTTAAAAGCTTCTACAAGTAAAAAAGATAAAATTAACTCAAGTACGTTAAGAGTGGAAATTATACTTTTCTGTGGATAGGATTTTTGAAAAAATTTAAAAGTAGCTTAGAGCCAAGGCTGGGAAATAGGGTAAGCAAACATACTTTATTATTAAGGTTAAAAAAGAAAATTGAGCTCCAGCCTGGGTGACAGAGCGAGACTCTCTAAAAATAAAAGTCATAGATTTTACTTTAGAGTTTGTTTCCTGATTTTAACTTTGCACTTTTTCATATCAGTTTTTCTGAGAAACGTTTCCACATTTTGTCTTCTGGAAATCATGTCTGCTTTATTTTTATTTAAAAAAAATGGTTTAGGGTCTCACTCCATCGCCCAGGCTGGAGCGCCAGTGGTATGATCGTGACTCACTTCAGCCTTGACATTCCGGCCTCAGGCAGTCCCCCCATCTCAGCCTGTCCCCCCATCTCAGCCTTCCAAGTAGCTGGGACTATGAGCATGAGCCACCATGCCTGGCTAATTTTTATGTTTATTTTTTGTAAAGACTTTTGTTCAGGCTCATCTTGAACTCTTGGGCTCAAGTGATCCTCTTGCCTCTGCCTCCCAAATGCTTTGTTTTTAACAACAGAAATTGACTTATATTCTCTGCTGTAGCTCAAAGAATTGTATTGCATTTTCAAAATAAATTTGATCTTGTTTTTTTGTGGAATTATCTGTGATAGAGAATGAAAAGTATATATACTGGAAATTTGATAACCCTTGCTCATAAACAAATTAAAAAATCTTTATTATATATAAAAATGTTACATCTCAGTATGAAAGTGAATACTGTCAATCCTTGATTAGTTGAAATAAAGGGAATGGGGGTGAAGATAATTTAAAGTCAGTTTCACCTATTATTGTTTTATTAAGGAAAATAGAAACTGTCAAAACTTGAATGAAAATTTTTAAATGAGACTGAAAACTGTTTAGTTTTCTTGCTGACGCACTCGATCCATGAAGGGGACTTTTCCTATAATTTTCTTCATGAGAAAATATCTTCTCATTTTAAGTTTTCTTGCTTTCAAATCTTGAAAAACAGAGTCTTCTGTATGTAAGAATTGATTGATCTGTTTATTTTAGTGTTCTAATATTGGCGAATCAACTTGATGAAATGGAACATATCTGTTAGTAAATTCAAAGTTATTAATTTGTGGCTGGGCATAGTGGCTCATGCCTGTATTCCCAGCACTTTGGGAGGCCAAGGCAGGTGGATCACCTGAGGTCAGGATATCGAGACTAGCCTGGCCAACATGGTGAAACCCTGCCTCTACTAAAAAAAAATAGAAAAATTAGCCGGATATGGTGGCATGCGCCTGTAATCCCAGCTACTCGGGAGGCTAAAGCAGGAGAATCAGTTGAACCCAGGAGATAGAGGTTTCAGTGAGCCTAGATGGAGCCACTACACCCCAGCCTGGGCGACAGAGCTAGACTCCACCTCAAAAAAAAAAAAAAAAAGCAATGTTATTACTTCAAAAGCCTTTTAGTTTAAAGTGAAGAATGGAGTCTTTGCCTTTATTCCATTTTACTTTTTTTTTTGGAGACAGAGTCTTGCTCTGTCGCCCAGGCTGGAGTGCAGTGGTGCGATCTCTGCTCACTGCAAGCCCTGCCTCCTGGGTTCATGCCGTTCTCCTGCCTCAGCCTCACGAGTAGCTGAGACTACAGGCGCCCGCCACATGCCCGGCTAATTTTTTTTGTATTTTTAGTAGAGACGGGGTTTCACCATGTTAGCCAGGATGGTCTTTTTTTTTTTTTTTATTTATTTAAGTTTTAGGGTACATGTGCACAATGTGCAGGTTAGTTACATATGTATACATGTGCAACCAGGATGGTCTTGATCTCCTGACCTCGTGATCCACCCGCGTCGCCCTCCCAAAGATCTGGGATTACAGGCGTGAGCCACCGCGCCCGGCCTCCATTTTACTTCTTAATATTATTCTACCCTCAACACCAATCAATCTAGTTAGAATTATTCTCTCTTCTGTGTGTTTTTTTTTTGTAATTACATAGATAGCTGTTTTATAACACTCATTCTATATTCTTTTTTTTTTTTTTTTTGAAATGGAGTGGCACGGTCTCAGCTCATTGCAACCTTCGCCTCCTGGGTTCAAGTGATTCTCCTTCCTCAGCCTCCCAAGTAGCTGGGATTACAGGAGCCTGTCACTACGCCCAGCTAATTTTTGTATTTTTTATAGAGGCATGATTTCATCCTGTTGGCCAGGTTGGTCTGGAACTCCTGACCTCAAGTGATCCGCCCACCTTGGCCTCTCAAAAGTGCTGGGATTATAGGTGTGAGCTACCATGCCCAGCCTTTGTTAATTAAAACATGTTAGATGCTTGTAATATCTTTTTTTTTTTTTTTTTTTTTTTGAGACGGAGTCTTGCTCTGTTGCCCAGGCTGGAGTGCAGTGGTGCGATCTTGGCTCACTGTAAGTTCCGCCTCCTGGGTTCATGCTATCCTCCCACCTCAGCCTCCCGAGTAGTAGGGACTACAGGTGCCCACCACCACGCCTGGCTAATTTTGCTTTTTTTTGTATTTTTAGTAGAGACGAGGTTTCACCGTGTTAGCCAGGATGGTCTCAATCTCCTGACCTCGTTATCCGCCTGCCTCGGCCTCTCAAAATGCTGGGATTACAGGCATGAGCCACCGTGCCCGGCCGATGCTTGTAATTTCTTAAAACGTATTCTATTATTTCAGAACCATTAGGCCTTCCCTACCCCACTGTTGACTACTGTAATGCAGAGACCCTTTGCATATCACTTTTTTATTTTTTGAGAACGTAGTCTTGCTCTGTCACCCAGGCTGGAGTGCAATGGTGCGGTCTTGGTTCACTGCAGACTCTGTCTCCCAGGTTCCAATGATTCTCCTGCCTCAGCCTTCTGAGTAGCTGGGAATACAGGTGTGTGCCACCACACCTGGCTAATGTTGTATTTTTAGTAGAGACGGGGTTTCACCATGTTGGCCAGGCTAGTCTCAAACCGCTGACCTCGTGATCTGCCTGCCTCGGTCTCCCAAGATGCTGGGATTACAGGCGTGAGCCACCGTGTCTGGCCCTCCATAACACTTTTATAAAGGATGAAAAACATTCTAGGCATGTGTATCCAAGACCGTTCTTGCCAAGGGGCCTGTAGGAGTAGACTGTAGGAAAGTTGTATGAAGAGATGAGAATAGTCCCATTTACAGTTCAGATTGAACATCTGTGTGTCAGTTATTTTTCTAAACATTGGGGATATGAATATGAATTACCTTATTTTTGTGTTCCTAAAATTTTTTTGTCTTCTATGGAGAGAAACAGTTGAAAGTAAGTGTTAGCAATAGGTTTGTATTCAGAAGAAGGAAATAATAGGAAAGAAGTAGGGAGAAAAAGCATTGCTTTCATAAGCAGTAATGGTGTCCTAAAATCTGCCCTTATTCAGTCTCTGTACTGTTTCTAAATTATCCCTCCCTTCTTCAGGTTTTGCCCTCACCTGTTTCTAGACAGTCTGTTCTGGGTCAGCTGTGATGAACTCACTGTAGGGTTGATAAGATAGGCACATGGGTTGGATTTCTTTATTTTTGTATTGATGAGAGATTGTATACATTGTATAGCCAGCCATCTAAATAAGTTTACATGTTGTGTATTTTTTTGTTAGGGACTTATCTTCCGAAGAGGAAAGGTTTATGAAACCTAAAGTAACAATGATAGCTTGGAATCAAAATGATAGCATTGTTGTCACAGCTGTGAATGATCATGTCCTCAAAGTGTGGAATTCTTACACTGGACAACTGCTTCATAACTTAATGGTAGGTAATTTCTGGTACAGTGTAACAAATGAGATTTTTTGAAATATGATTGTAATTTTGAAGCTATAAAAATAATATATTGAACAAGTTGTTTCTCTCATGTAAACTATGAAATGATTAGAAATTTTTATAATTATAAATTATTGTCGAATACATTTCTAAAAGTATATGCTGTAACAGTATGTATTTTTAAATTTTCAATTTGTAACTTGTAAACCCTCCTTAATGTTATGACTTTGTTAAATAAAGGGACATGCTGATGAAGTATTTGTTCTGGAGACACATCCCTTTGATTCCAGAATTATGTTATCTGCAGGACATGATGGCAGCATATTTATATGGGATATTACAAAAGGTACCAAGATGAAACATTATTTTAATATGGTAAGTGAAGTGAGATGTACCTTGATACATGCTTGATAATTTGTTTAGAGTATTTGGGTTATGCGGCTTAGCCAGAAATTGATCTGCTTGTTTTGGCAGTTTGTTTTTACAAATCAGCATATTCAAAGCCTGCTAAATATTAGACAGCTACATGTATATACGTACATACATGAAATTCTCTGTATGACTGATTTATATGAGGGAGACATTTTTAAGTTACCTGTTGAGCATTTTATGTGCCTGTGTGTTTAAACTGGTAAAAGTATGGCAATTGTAAAAACTTTTTCACTACTTGAATTTATTGAAATATTCTATAACAAATTGAAATATTTGATAAATAGAAATATAAAAATAGTAATAAAATAAAATGACATTATTAATATTCAATATTAACCAAATATTACAATATTTGATTACTCCAATTTCAGTAACCTTGGGCTGGGTGTGGTGGCTCTGAACTCCTAACACTTTGGGAGGCTGAGACAGGAGGATTGCTTGAGCCCAGGAATTCAAGTCCAGCCTGGGCAATGTAGTGAGACACTCTCTTAAAAAAAAAAATCCCAAGATGGTTGAAATAGAGATCAAACATCATTAGGTTTTCCCGGCCTTTTTTCTTTATGTACAGGTGTATTCTTAAAAAAAAAAAATTTTTTTTTTTGCATATGTATATTCTAGAACCAAATGAGGATCCTACTGTATCTTTTTAGAATTTCTCCACATAATCATAATTATAGTTACTAATCAGCAAATTTAACATTTATAAGATAGCATTGTCTAGTCAGGTCTATAGTAACATCTTTTTAGATATATTTTGCTCCGTAGACCAGAATCCAGTTCAGGCTCATGCGTTGTGTTTAAGTGGTTGTATCTTTCTAGGTTTCTTTTTTTTCTTTTCTTTTTCTTTTCTTTTTGAGACAGAGTCTCGCTCTGTCGCCCAGGCTGGAGTGCAGTGGCGCAATCTCAACTCACTGCAAGCTCCGCCTCCCGGGTTCACGCTATTCTCCTGCCTCAGCCTCCCAAGTAATTGGAACTACAGGCACCCGCCACCAAACCTGGCTAATTTTTTTGTATTTTTTAGTAGAGACGGGGTTTCACCGTGTTAGCCAGGATGGTCTCCATCTCTTGACCTCATGATCCATCTGCCTTGGCCTCCCAAAGTGTTGGGATTACAGGCGTGAGCCACTGTGCCTGGCCTCTATTTTTCTTTAATTGTCACCAGCCCCTCTCAGCCTTTTTTCTTTTTCCTCTTTCTTGGCCTTTAACTTTTGTTGAATATTAGCAAGTATTGTTACAGAGTGTCCTCAGTTTTGTCTGATATTTTTTCATGATTAGATTGTTATAGTTTTTTAAATGAAATAAAACATAAGTGATATTGTGTCCTTCATGAATCATATTAGGAGGCACATGATATTTATTTGTCCCCTTACTATGGTGATAATTTTTTTTTTTTTTTTTTGGAGATGGAGTTTCTCTCTTGTTGCCCAGGCTGGAGTTCAATGGCACAATCTGGGGTCGCTGCGACCTCCGCCTCCTGGGTTCAAGTGATTCTGCTGCCTCAGCCTCCCGAATAGCTGGGATTTACAGGCACCTGCCATCACATCCAGCTAATTTTTTGTATTTTTAGTAGAGATGGGGTTTCACCATCTTGGCCAGGCTGGTCTTGAACTCCTGACTTCAAGTGATCACCCGCCTCGGCCTCCCAATATAATTATTAAACTAATTTTTTTAGTAGCGCTTTTGAGACTAATCTGAATATCCTGTTTCTCATTAAATTTTTACCCACAAGTATTGGATCCATTGAAGATTTTCCAATGGCATTATTCCTTCCATATTTATTAGTTGGTGTCTTTGCACACAGTGGTATTTTTTTTTCCTCCTCCAACTTCTAAGTTCAGGGGCTACCTGCTGTGTGCAGGATGTGCAGGTTGGTTACGTGGGTAAATGTGCTTGCACATAGTTTTGTAATCTTATTTCATGTAAAACCTTTTTTTTTGAAATTTTTATTTTTAAAGAATTTACAGATGTATTTTTGAGTATAAATTCAGCCTGTCTGAGAAGAAAGTTAACTTTTACACAATTAATTTCTATTGTTGAGTACTTAAGTGGTTTCTAAAATACGTATGACAATAACACTTTGAATAGCCTTGTACATGATTATTTCCCTAAGATAAATTCTGAAGGAATTATTGTGTAAAAGGGTTTTAGCACTGTTAAGGCTTTATATGTTTGAGACATTTTGTGAATTTACTCTTCAGTTTATACTGTTACAATTCAAAGTGCAATTTTTTATTGTTTTGTTTGAGACAGAGTCTCTCTCTGTCGCCCAGGCTGGAGTGCAGTGGTGTGGTCTCGGCTCACTGCAAGCTCCGCCTCCCGGGTTCACGCCATTCTCCCGCCTCAGCCTCTCAAGTAGCTGGGATTACACGCGCCTGCCACCACGCCCGGCTAATTTTATTTTTGTGTTTTTAGTAGAGATGGGGTTTCACCATGTTAGCCAGGATGGTCTCGATCTCCTGACCTTGTGATCCGCCCGCCTCGGCCTCCCAAAGTGCTGGGATTACAGGCTTGAGCCACTGTACCTGGCCTGTGTGATGTATTTTAGAGGCAGTGTAGTAGCATCCTATTGATGCTGATGCATTCTTAGACCTTTGATTCTCAGGTTCTTAGACCTTTGATTCTCAGGTTCTTAGACCTTTGATTAAATGCATTCTAAAACATTTTAAATAGTATGATCAAAGTACAAATAGACAATTAGGCATCTCTGAAAGCTGCGTTTCTGTGTATTCAAATTATTGGAAAAAGAACTAAACATTCTTGGACAATTTTTCTGTCGTTTTAAAATCCGTGGGATACATCCATTACCTTAACTATCCTTTCATACTCAGTAATAATATTACATCCTGAATTTAACTCCTCAAAACAAAAAACTACATTAATTTAGGCTTTAAGCAGAATATAAGCGGAAAAACTCTATGCCAAAGAATAATCTGAAAAAACATTTCACGTGGGCAACAATGATCTTATTTCCAGTTGCATAGCCAAAATTGGCCTTGTTTACTGACATTTCCTTACTGCTCAGCTAAGAGGCTCATAATTCCTAATTCTAGATAGACTAAATAGGGTTGTCAGTTATTAATAGCAACAATATTTCATGAATACGTAATAAACTTTAATGTGACATTTTTCTCCAGACACAGTTGCAGGTTGCGTTTTGTCAGGAATCATTGTATAGGACGCTTCCAGTTACAAGTGAAACCCCAAGTCCTCCTTGCTCTGCTTAGATAGGTCTGCCCACTTGAGAAAACTTTCATCTCAGCAAGTATTTATAGAAAAGCTTTTGGTGCTGTTAAGTCCACATGTATGATGGGCAGAGTTGCTGCCACCATCTTCAGCTTTCCAGCTTTGAGATTTTGCCACTCCCTCCCCACTGGCATCTGCTTTAACCATGACTGAAGGTCCCAGGCCAGGGATGCAAAATGGTACATATATGCAGGTTGTGCTGTGGCACAGGTGGCTCCTAGAAGGACCATGTGGGTGAAACCATGTTCTTATGTTTTAATGATCAGTTGGAGGAAAAAAAATATATAATATATATACACACACAATTTTTTTCCTTTTTATGTTAAGAGAATATGAATTAATATGCACATCTTATTCAGCAATCCTCTGAATATCCGAGTAACTTTATTTTTTCCACGTTTGCTAATTGTCATCCTTTTCATGTGCAACAATAGTGAAGTATCACTATTCAAGCAGTGACTTACTTGGGCGTGGACGTGAGTTTGTTCTGGCAGTTACTGAGTAGATGTCTCATTTCTCCAACACCGAACGCGTAACATTTAGTTACTGGAAAGTTAAAGGTGCAGACAACAAATATGCATAGCTCTACACTGTAGAGTTAACCAAATAACTAACTTAACTATAAATTGATGATATTAAACTAATATAGTTTACAGTTTAAAAGGAAGAATAAAACAGTATAAAAGTAATCTATTTAAGGTTACACTCATGATAGACTTAGAGCATCCTTTCTGAAATCTCTGTTAGGGTAGTTGTGGCTGCAGACTTTTTCATATATATGCTTGAGACCCGGCAGCATTGCCAAATTTTGCATGGTGCTTAGTCATCTTAGTAATGAGCTGAAGTAGAGCCCACCTTAAAATCTAGAAAAGTGTTCGTTTTAGTTCATGAATACCAAATTTGGTTAATCTTTAATCATTTATCTTGTAGCTTATTATCCTTTTATTATATACTAAGACAAAAATTTATGAAATTGTTTATAAGAAGTAAAAGAAGCCTTCACTTTGGATTGGGTTGTTAGCCTTCATTGGAGCACTTGGAGAACTAATGCTTAGAAGAACTTTGAAGACTTTTTTCTAGGCTAGTTGTATCCAAAATCAATTTTATTTTTTTGGAATAGTGATTGATGTATATGCTTAATGAAACATTTGTTTTTATTTTTATTTTACAGAGTCTCACTCTGTCACCCAGGCTTGAGTGCAGTGGAGTACAGTGGTGCAGTCTTGGCTCACTGCAACCCCTGCCTCCCCGGTTCAAACGATTCTCGTGTCTCAGCTTCCTGAGTAGCTGGGACTACAGACGCACACTGCCACGCCCGGCTAATTTTTTGTATTTTTAGTAGAGACAGGGTTTCACCATGTTGCCCAGGGTGGTCTTGAACTCCTGTGCTCAGGCAGTCCACCTGCTTCCACCTCATAAAGTGCTAGGATTACAGGTATGAGCCACCATGCCTGGCTGAAACTTTTTTTTTTTTTTTCAGAAGGGATATATTGTCACAGGTTATCCACATTAAAAAAGTTTACATAGCAAATCACTTGCATAGAATTGGTCCTAACTTTTTTCCTTTTGTGTTTCCTAGATTGAAGGACAAGGACATGGAGCTGTGTTTGACTGTAAGTTTTCACAGGATGGACAGCATTTTGCCTGTACAGATTCTCATGGGCACCTTCTGATATTTGGTTTTGGATGCAGCAAACCATATGAAAAGGTCATTTTTAATACTTTGTTGTAGCATGCAAGTAATAGTTATCAGCTGTGTTTTGGAAATAAGTAGTTATGAGCTATGTTTTGGAAACAGTTTAGCTGAGTGATTTGATTTCCTTGTTTTTCTAGTTTTAATTAACTGTTTAATATTTGTTTCCTTTAAAATGTGTGAACCTTAAAATGTCATCCTGTGAACTTCATTTTTCTAGATTCCTGATCAGATGTTCTTCCATACTGACTATCGACCACTTATTAGAGATTCTAATAATTATGTCTTAGATGAGCAAACTCAGCAGGCTCCTCATCTTATGCCTCCACCATTCTTGGTAGATGTAGATGGAAATCCTCATCCAACCAAGTATCAGAGATTAGTACCAGGCCGAGAAAATTCTGCAGATGAACATTTGATTCCACAGCTGGGCTATGTGGCAACAAGTAAGTGCAGTCTTTTTTTTTTTTTTTTTTTAAAGTTGTACTTGAATATTTTAAAGTATAATATAAATAATTTCCTTACCTTTAGATCCCCAATTATTAATATTTTGCAATATTTGTTTTATTATTTTTTTTCTGTGTATTGTTTTGAACCATTTAACTTCTGGACCTCATGTACCATTTACCTCTAAATAAGAACGACATTCTCTTACATAACTATAGACACTTATGACAATTAGGACGTTTTACACTCAGATAATACTATTATCAAATCTATAGTGTGTAACCAAAAATTTCCAGTTATTCTAGTAATGTTCGTTTATAGCTTCTAAAATTCTCCCAATTTTTATTTGGGACCACATACGAAATACGAAAGTTAGTTGTCATAGTTCCTTAATTTCCTGTAATCTGGAGCAGGTTGTCAGTTTTTGACTTTCATGATGTTGATGTATTTGAAGATTACAGGTCAGGAATTTTGTAGAAGGCCTCAATCTGGGTTTGTCTACTTCTTGATTAGGTTCCGGTTATGCATTTTTGACAGAATACAACATAAATGATGTTCTAGTCTTAATAGAGCATACTGTCAGGATGCTTATGATTGTGGTTTGTCTAATTACTGGTAATGTTGTTTTTGAACACTATAAACTTAGTATTTTTCTCTTTGTAATTAATAGTAATTTGTGGGGAGATATGTCAATAACCTGTTCATTGTCAAAGTTTACCCTCAAGTTTTAGGACCCATTGATGAGTTTTGCCTGAATCGGTTGTTACTGTGAATACTCCAAAGTGGTTATTTTCTAACTTCATCATTGTTCTGTCATTGCATCATATGTATCATTGCTCCCTCATTGCGTCATATGTATCATTGCATATGACTGTCTATTGCTCACCCCTTTATTTATTGATGAGGCTTATTAAGTTTTAGTATGGGCTTCTGGGTGTGGCTAATGGGTTGTATTACTCACATAATCCTTAGGTTTGACTCTCAGAGCCTTTTGAAGCTGTCCTTCCCCAAGTCCTTACACTTTTTCAGTCACTTTTTTCCTTTTCTGGATGTAGGATGTTCCAGGTTTGTCTTGTACTTTTCTCTGTCGTAGCCAAGTGCAAAGTTCTTTTTTGTGTTAATAGCAGGGCAGTGTTTCTCTACAGATGTTAAAGAAAAAATGCTATTTTGTTTGTTTGGATGAGGATTTACTGAAACTAAATCACCAGCTATATATAAAGTAAAAACCTAATGTAGATTACTATATGGTTGCTATTTCAAATGTTATTTTTTATTACTTTTATTGAAGTGTACTTTATATACAAAATTCACCAATTTTAAGTGTACAATTCAAGTGTATGTGTGTTTATTTTTTGAGACAGGGTCTTACTCGTTTCCCCAGGCTGGAGTGCAGTGGTGCGATCTTGGCTGACTGCAGGAGGGTCAAGTGATCCTCCTACCTCAGCCTCCTGAGTAGCTGGGACTGTAGGCGTGTGCTAACACACCTGGCTAATTTTTGTATTTTTAGTAGAGATGGGGTTTTGCCATGTTGCCCAGGCTGTCAAGTATGTTTTGACAGATGTTAAATAATAAGTAACTACCACCACAATCAAGATACAAACCATTTATACTGCCCCCAAAAGTCCCCAGGACCTGTTTGGAGTCAGTCCTCTCCTTTCTCCCAGTCCCTTGTAATCAGTGTTACATTTTCTGTCACTTTAATTTTGTCCTTTAAGAGGGTTTTATATACAAAGTGTAATCTTTTTGAGACGGAGTCTTGCTCCGTCGGCAGACTGGAGTGCAGTGGCATGATCTTGGCTCACTGCAACCTCCGCCACCCGGGTTCAAGTGGTTTTCCTGCCTCAGCCTCCTGAGTAGCTGGGACTACAGGTGTGTGCCACCACACCCAGCTAATTTTTGTATTTTTAGGAGAGATGGGGTTTCACCATGTTGGCCAGGATGGTCTCGATCTCTTGACCTCATGATCCGCCTGCCTCGGCCTCCCAAAGTGGTGGGATTACAGGCATGAGGCTCCGCGCTTGGCCACAAAGTGTAATCTTTTGTGTCTGGCTTCTTTGACTTAGTGTGGTGCTTTTGAGATTCATTAGTGTTGTTGCATGTATCAGTAGTTTGTTCCTGTTTATTCACTGGGGCTGATAATACCCCATGGAATAGATGGGTATATTATCATTTGTTTTTGCATTCACTAATGGTTAAAGGCTTGTTTCCAGTTTGGGGCTATCATCCAGATTGAAATATCCAACTGTCACGTGGAATTTGTCATTTCTCTCTTCAGTTTACTCAGTTTTTACTTTATGTATTTTAAAGTTCATTCATTAGGTGCATACACATTTTGAATTGCTTGTCTTCTGGATGAAATAATTCTTTTCTCATGAAATGTTTCTCTGTATCTCTGAAAATATTTTTTGTTTTGAAGAGTCTTATTTCATATTAATATAGCCAATTCAACTTGTTTTGGATTAGGATTGTCATGGTATATCTTTGTCAGTTCTTCCAGCTGATCTGTGTCTTTATATATCTAATCTGATAACTTTTAATTGGGATTTAAGTATTAAGTACTCTATTAAGTGTAGAGTATTTACACTTAAATGTTCATATGGTATGGGTTTGAACATAAGAGTATTCCTATTTGTTTCCTCTATATTCTTTTCATTCTTTGTGCCTTTTTCCTTTTTCTTTTTTTTTTCTTCTTTGGGATTGATGATTTTTTTTTGTGTTCCATATGACCTCCACTAATGTCTTACTAGCAATACCTGTTTATTTGTATGTAATGGTTGCTTTAGGGCAGAAATTGTCAATGTGTGGTTTGCAGACCCATAGGTGTATCTGCAACCTTTCATGGAGTCTGCAAGGTCACAGCCATCTTCATAACAATACTGAGATATTTATTTTTTTACAGTGTTGACATTTGTACTGATGGATCATGGGTGGGTAGAAATAAACTTCTGGCACTGTAGCACAAATCTTGGTTGTGGCACCAAAATAGTAGGAGTTATTATATTCTTTACTGCTCTGCACATGAATACATGTCTTTTTACTATTCTAGGTATTAAAACTGGAAGTGTACGTAAAGCACTTCTGCTGTGTATTCTGGCTCCTGCGAACTTGAACTATTTTCTGTCCTGTGAGAGCTCTGCAAATTTTTGTGCAACTGCTTTTTTATATTTTCCCCTCAGTAGTGGAGTTCTACCCCATGTGCACACATAACAGTATTTAATTAAAAAAATTTTTTTTGAGACAGAGTCTTGCTCTGTTGCCCAGGCTGGAGTTCATTGGTGTGATCTCGGCTTATTGCAACCTTTGCCTCTGGGGTTCAAGCAGTTTCCCTGCCTCAGCTTCCCACGTAGCTGGGAGTACAGGTGTGCACCACCACACCAGGCTAATTTTTGTATTTTTAGTACAGATGAAGTTTCACCATGCTGGCCAGTCTGGTCTCGAACTCCTGACCTCAGGTGATCCGCCCACCTCAGCCTCCCAAAGTGCAGGGATTACAGACAGGCGTGAGCCACCATGCCCGGCCACGTATCAGTATTTAGTCAAATAATTGATGAGACCTCATTACAGATCTTTGGAGCTTTGTGTGCAGTTCACTCTCCTCTGATATTCAGTCCTGCGTATTTTAACATTCTTCTTCCAGCAAACTCTCACCTCTGTCTCCTCAACTCAGTTAGATCTGTGGATGCTGTTTGGGTTCTCTCTTTTGTTCTGTAACCTGGAGACTACCTCCAGACAGTAATCTGGAGCAATCAGAGGGTTTGTCTCCATTGTTCCCCTTCTCTCAGGGATCACAGTTTTGTGCTGCCTGTTGTCCAGTGTCTGAAAGCTTTTGTTTTACATATATTTTTTCCAGTATTGTAGTTGTTTATGGCAGAAGGACACTTCCTGCGGCAGTTAAGTTTTCATGGGTAGAACCCTCCTTCAATATTTCAGTATCGATTGTATTATTCCATAGAGACAGTTAACATTCTGATATTTGAGAAATTAACAGTTAAGTGTTCTGTGCTATGAAAGAAAAGTTAGGCTGAGTGCAGTGGCTCACGCTTGTAATCTTAGCACTTTGGGAGGCTGAGGCAGGCAGGCGGATTGCTTGAGCTCAGGAGTTCAAGACCAGCCTGGGCAATATAGCAAGACTTTGTGTCTACCAAAAAGAAAAAAAAGAAAAGTTATATAGCCTTAGGTTATTTTGGCTTATGCCGATTAGAAATCTTCTTTGCCGTTTTCCCTTTGGTATCATGTTGTAATCTTAGGAATTTTGTGTTATAAGCAATTCTAATTAAAATCTTCTTATCTTTTTAGATTAAGCCTCTATGTACTGCCTTTTCAACTCATTTTTTGAGACTGATAAAATTTTTAAAGACAAAGTTAATATGAGATATAACATTTAGCTCTTTTAAGTTCTTCTTTGGTTTCCATAGCAAAACAAAGACATTATCAGTGATATGCAAGGGAGTCTTACTCAGGTAGCAGGATGGAAATGTCCTCCCTTGCCCATCCCATAATACTATATGAGGTTTTACAGTTTCTCTATCTGTCTTTATGGTGGCAAGTTATATCTTTGCATTCCTTTTGATTATCACCTTATTAATCTCCTTTATTTTTAATTTTATTTATTTATTTTTTTGAGACACAGTTTGACTCTTGTCACCCAGGCTAGAGTGCAGTGGCATAATCTTGGCTCACTGCAACCTTCGCCTCCTGGGTTCAGGCAATTCTCTAGACTCAGCCTCCTGAGTAGCTGTGACTACAGGCGTGCGCCACCAGGCCCGGCTAATTTTTTTTTGTATTTTCAGTAGAGACTGGTCTTGAACTCTTGACCTCAAGTGATCCACCTGCCTTGGCCTCCAAAAGTGCTGGGATTACAGATGTGAGCCACCACGCCCCGGCTGTAATCCCAGCACTTTGGGAGGTCGAGGTGGGTGGATCATGAGGTCAGGAGATTGAGACCATCCTGGCTAACACGGTGAAACCCTGTCTCTACTGAAAAAAAAGAAATACAAAAAATTAGCCGGGCATGGTGGTGGGCACCTGTAGTCCCAGCTAGTCGGGAGGCCGAGGCAGGAGAATGGCCTGAACCCAGGAGGCAGAGCTTGCAGTAAGCCAAGATCACGCCACTGCACTCCAGCCTGGGCAACAAAAGTGAGACTCCGTCTCAGAAAAACTCTGTACTTGAAGTAAGAATTATGGGTAGTAGCTATGTTAAAAACATATCTAAGAGAGTAATTTGAGATTAGTCGGAGAGGCTTGTGTAATTACCACCATCAATTGCACTGTTCTCCGAGGACTCTTGGGGCAGAGGGAGAGCTAAAGTCTTGTTGAAGGCTTAAAAAAGGTCTTACCTCCCTTTTTTCCCCTTTCTTAAGACATAGAGAAGAAATTAAATCTCAGGGATTTTTCTCCACATTGGAAATGACCCATAGTTGCTCTGTTCCAGTTAGAGACTCTGGGGAATAAGATTTTAGTGAAATATATCGAGTATGGTGAGGGGCATTAGTGTGAAACAGCGTAATAAAGTTTTACAGAAATATGTTTCCATGCTTCCACTTGCAGGAATTTCAGAGGCTGCTTTCAGGTTTTTGTGGTATTTAGTCCTCTACAGGAAGACTTTTGTTGGCTTTGAATCTTTTCTCTGACTTCTTGGTGAATATGTAGAGTATCTTTTTAAACTGGTTATTTTTCAAAAATGGGAAATTCTGACCATTGTTAATGTATTTTAATTTGTACCCTAACGAAATTTTTTTTTGTTTTCTGCTTTTATATGATTATATATTAAATAATTGAATTTGTAGGTGATGGAGAGGTGATTGAACAAATTATAAGCCTGCAAACCAATGATAATGATGAACGCAGCCCAGAATCGAGTATTCTTGATGGAATGATAAGACAGTTGCAGCAGCAGCAAGATCAGAGAATGGGAGCAGATCAGGATACTATTCCAAGAGGACTTTCAAATGGTGAAGAAACACCCCGGAGAGGTAATAAATAGTGATAAATGTTTTACCTGAATATGGCTGCATTGAAATTAAAGAGTAAACGAAGTCTTTGTCAGGTACATGTAATGTGAGAAACTTAAGTAAACAATGTATTTTTACAACTTAATTAGTAGTCTGAAGGTAGCTTTATGAGGTGTGAGATAATGTAGTAACAAATGGGTCTTTGAATTTCAAGTACTGCTGAAGCCTTTTGTACTCTAAAAATACAGTATTTACAAAATTGTATTAAATAGGAGCGAATAACAGATTGGTTTTTAAAATAAAACCATAGTTCTAGCTTTTCTTTGCTTTAACATTGGTAATTTTTGAAAAACTGTATTGGGTAGAGTATGATTTTTCTTATTGAATCAGAAAGTTTGAAAACTTAGTGAGTTTTCAGTGTTGAGTCCTTAAAAGTACAGTGTAGAAGTAAATACATAACAATCACCAGTCTCCCCTCAGTTAGTTCCACTATTTACTTTGTTTCTAGTCCAATATGATTAACAAGTTTCATTATTCATTTAAAATAGTACTTTTTTTCTCTTAAACTTACAGCATAAGACTTTGTTTTTTTATTTTGGAAAGAAAGGTTGGAAGAAGGATACAATGAACAGCCATATATTCTTTACCTAGATTCCTTATATTACTATACTTGCTTTTGCTTTTTTTTGTGTATGTGTGCACACACACATTCCTATGTGTTTTTTTTCAGAAGCATTTGAAAGTAAGACTTGTGACACTTTATATCTTAATGCTTCATCCTGTATCATCCAAGAACCAGAGATATTCTCTTACATAACCATAATACAGTGATCACATTCAACAAGCTGAATATGATAATTGTTGATATAGCACTGCTATCTAATTTTGAGTCCTTACTTACTCTTCCCCAGTTGTCCCAATAACTAACTGTCCTTCCTCATGGCCTTTTTTAAAAAAAAAAAATTTAGGATTTAATTAGCCCTGCTCATTACATTTTAGGATTATGTCTTTTAATCCAGAAAAGTTTCCTCAGAGCACTGGTACTTTGGAAAGCTTCAGGCCTGTTGTTTTCACAAGATTTCTCTCAATTTAGATTTGTCTAATTATTTCCTCATAATTGGGTTCAGGTTAAGCATTTAGACAGGAATACTGAATAGTTGATGCTATGTCCTCAGTCTGTCATGGCAAGAGGCACAAGATACATAAACGCATTCTTCTGGCACCTACTGTATTGCCTTAACAATATATTCTAGAAATCGTATCAGTTCACAGAATTCTTCATCCTATTTTTTTTTTTTTTTTTTTAAATAGCTTCATACTACTCCTCTGTGTGGAGTAATTAACCTTTCTAATCTCTTTATGGGCATTTAGGTTGTTTCTTATGCTTTGCTGTTATAAGTGATGTGATAAATAACTTTATGCATGTTTTCAGATTGTTGGAGAATAATGCTATGACTTGGGCAGTTAAATTTAGAATTTATATTTCTCAGTTCAAAAATGTTTCTTCAATATATAGTATTTTAATATAAATGCTTGGTTTACTAGCGGGGCATTTAATGCCATTTGAAGTTGGTGAAGCATAGTGTGTTCTCTAATGCACATTGGTACACATGTGATTGGTAAATAGAGTGTGGTACATAGAAGAGTGCAGAAGTTGCATTCACTCGTGGATTTTTCCCTAGGCAAGAAGAGCTGGCACAGCTGGAGTACAGCTCCATAGCCTCCCACAAGAATCAATATCACCCTCAGTTTTTCTGTTGTGTTAGTAGCAGGAGCCCCTTCACCTTCTGTTGTAAGAAAATGAGCACTTTGTCTAGGACTTCCTCCTCAGAGGCTAGTCTCTCTGTGGCTTCCAGCTCATGGGAGGTTGCGCAGCCTCCTATACCCACCTTAACAGCCTCTGTGGCTTCCAGCTCATGGGAGGTTGCGCAGCCTCCTATACCCACCTTAACAGCAGCCCCTCAGGCTCAGAGCGTCAGTGTTGTCTTCATTGCCTCATCACCCACCTGCCCAGCTTTAGTTTAAGCACGACTGGCATTTACCCACAACATTTTATTTGTTTGACTTTTTAATAACCATCTTGACAGCTACTTGCCTTGGTGGCTCAGATTATCTCTTGAGAATCATGAGAATCATGATTACTGTTGCAAGAGCTCTTGTAAAACCACTTTGATTTCAGGTATCTGTCTTCAGTGCAAATTTTTCAAAAAGACTTTTTTTAGTGTGCAATTTTTAAGAAGGCACAGTTTTTAGGAATGCATATATAATGTAATGTGAAATGTACATTTTATAATTTCAGAAAGTCTAGTAAAAATTGAAATTGAGGTTTAATAGTTAATGTTTGTTCCGTATTCTACATTTTGATCTTAGTCATGTTAAGATTCTGTCAGGCTGGGTGCAGTGGCTCATGCCTATAATCCCAGCACTTTGGGAAGCCGTGGTTAAGAGGATTGCTTGAGGCCAGGCATTTGCGACTAGCCCGGGCAACATAGCAAGACCTTGTCTGTACAGAAAATAAATTTTAAAAAGATTTTTCTCACAAAGTTTTTTCAGTAGATACTATCTTCTCTTAGTTCTTTATTTTTGGTGCGCATCTTAGGTGAACGTGTGCTTGTTACATGCTAAATGTATATTAGTTTAAAAGTGTATTGGAATCACTTCCCCATCATATTTTCCTAGGTTTTAGAAGGCTGAGCTTAGACATTCAGTCCCCTCCAAATATTGGTCTGCGTCGTAGTGGACAAGTTGAAGGTGTTCGTCAGATGCATCAAAACGCTCCACGCAGTCAGATTGCTACAGAACGTGACCTGCAGGCTTGGAAACGAAGAGTGGTTGTACCAGAGGTACCACTAGGCATATTTAGGTTTGTTTTAGGATATCTATTTATAATGTTTCTATCTGTGAAAATATATTTATATGGTTATTTACACATTCTGTATTCCATTAATTGTGTAAATAATTGTATAAATATATTAGTAATGAGTGGGAATCTTACTATCTTAATTGTGGTAGGAAAATGTCAGAATTATTCTCTAATGTTTTTACTACATTAAAGGTTTTCAGAGCCAGTCTTGCTTCTTTTCTTTTTTTTTTTCGAGACGGAGTTTCGCTCTCGTTGCGCAGGCTGGAGTGCGGTGGCATGATCTCGGCTCACTGCAACCTCCACCTCCCGGGATCAAGCGATTCTCCTGCCTCAGCCTCCTGAGTAGCTGGGCTTACAGGCGCCCGCCACCACACCCAGCTAATTTTTTATATTTTTAGTAGAGACAGGGTTTCACCATGTTGGCCAGGCTGGTCTCGAACTCCTGACCTCAGGCGCTCCACCTGCCTCAGCCTCCCAGTGTGCTGGGATTACAGGCATGAGCCACCACGCCCGGCTCCGTCTTTTTTTGTCCATGCACACACACACCCACTTTTGTCCTTTCAGTATTATTTTGAAAGAAATTCTAGATGTAATATTATTTTTGTCCATAAGCGTATAAGTGTGTATTTCTAAAGATAAGAAATTTTAAAATATATAAAATAATGCTGTTATCACACCTTAAAAAAACCGTACCTTGGTTTCTCAGTATAACCAAATATCCAGGCTGTGTTTAAATTTCCAGTTGTTTCAGGTGTCATAAATGTTTTCAGTTTTTTGCAAGACTGCTTCATAAGTGATAATTCTATCAGAAGGCACACATAAATAGCCTCCTCGGTTTTTGTGATGTTAGCAGCTATCAGTGCTTAATGTGTAGATTCATTAATTTATTAGCTGTTGTATAATCATGATTTTTAACTCTATGAAAACTTCTTCATTTATTATCTTGGACACTTCTGAAAAAGAAATCTAAAAAAGAAACCCAAGTATACTTAGTTTTCAAGTAGCAAAGTTTGTGTAGGAAAGGCAGAGTAGATGGCTTGATTATTTTGCTTTATTTCCCCTCAAAATAAAGATTTATTCCTTTTCATTATTCAACAGCGACCAATTTGTATGTGTGTGTGTTTTAATGTATAAATCAAATAGCTGGGGTTTAACTTATTTCTGATATTCTTTATTGATGTTTAAATCATCTCTTTTCTAGCCATGAGGAGCCTCTTTTCTAAGGCTCCCTGTCCTTTCAAAATGACTAGTAGTTTTCCATAGCATCCTTACTATGAGACAGGGGAAGATATTATAGTTCATCTTGTAAATTTTTGACCTATATCTGAAATTAAGCAGCCCTATTTTCTTTTAGTAAGAAATGTTATTTCTTTTATTTTTTTGAGACAGAGTTTTGCTCTCGTCCAGGCTGGAGTGCAATGGCACGATCTTGGCTCACTGCAACCTCTGCCTCCGGGTTCAAGTGATTCTCCTGCCTCAGCCTCCCGAGTAGCTGGGACTACAGGCATGCGCCACCACGCCTGGCTAATTTTGTATTTTTAGTAGAGACGGGGTTTCTCCATGTTGGTCAGGCTTGTCTTGAACTCCCGACCTCAGGTGATCTGCCTGCCTCGGCCTCCCAAAGTGCTGGGATTACAGGTGTGAGCCACTACGCCCAGCCTAAGAAATGATATTTTATATTGCTTCTTGGCCTTTTGGCTAAGATCAAGTGTAGAAATGATATTTTGTAATTATAATATGGGCAGTAGTGTCCTTGGTGCTGAGTTGTAATGTACTGATTTGAGTTATTGAAATGGAAACAGGAAATACTTTTTAGAATGATATCTAAAATGTTTCAGTATTTTCTCATGTTTGTATGTCATAATAACTTAATAGCTTGAAGATAATTTTGTAAATTTATCTTTGTGTTTTTATATGTTTAACCAGAAGAGTTTCAGTGAATGCTGGAGTGTTATTAGATAGTACTTATATATTGTTCTGTGAATTTGGGAAGGACTAGAAAATAGTGAAAAGCAAAATGTGGAATTGTGATGAGAAATACAGAAAATCAATATGTATATAGTATGCTGTAATTAAGTTTTAAATTGGCGTCTAAGTCTTATGGTCATCAGAACCAAAAGTGTCATTTTGGGATGCTTTTTCAAAACCAAGGGAAGCAAACAGGTGTCAAGAGAGAAAGACCTGAAAAATTAGTTTCTTAAAACACAAGCATTTATTTTCTTATCCGAAGGAAGACTAGAAATAATCTAAGGCTGGAATAGTGGTTCCACAGTTAATCAGGAACTTAGACTCCTGTGTTTCTCATCCCCATCGTGGAGCTTGGCTTCTAGTCCTTTTTTTTTTTTTTTTTTTTTTTTTGAGACAGTTTCGCTTTTGTCACCCAGGCTGGAGTGCAGTGGCATGATCTCAGCTCACTGCAGCCTCTCCTCCTGGGCTCAAGCGATTCTCTTGCCTCAGCCTCCAGAGTAGCTGGGATTACAGTCATGGGTCACCACACCCGGCTAATTTTGTATTTTCAGTAGAGATGGGGTTTCACCATGTTGGCCAGGCTGGTCTCAAACTCCTGTCCTCAGGTGATCCACCTGCCTCGGCCTGCCAAAGTGCTGGGATTACAGGCGTGAGCCACCGCATCCAGCCTTGGCTTCTAGTCTTAAGGTCACCGCATAGTCCAAGATAGCTGCTGAAGCTGTAGCTATTACATATCTGTATTTGTGATGTAGGTTGAAATTTAGAAGAAAAGAAGAAAGATGTTCAGATGTCAAAAAGGGCATTTCTAGTCAAAGGAACTTACTTTAAGTAGCCATGTGGCATTTCTGCTTATAACTCATTGACCAGAATGTTGTCATTTGACCATAATAAGCTAAGGAGGAGAGTAGGTAACACAGTATCTATTTAGAGCAGCAAAGAACCTGGATAAAAATTGGTATTGTGTTTCTAAGGAAGAAAAGGAGAACGGCAGCTAGCTATCTGCCATAATATAATTTTCACAAAAAAGAACATAGCTCTTTCTAGCATTTTATTCTAAAAGAAAGCTCATGTGAAATTTTATAAAGGCGATAATTGATTGAGATGTGGTGATCATTGCCCATGACAACAGTTCCAATAGTGGAAACAAGGGTGAATTTTTCATAACTGTATGTTAGGATATCATTTGATAAGGATGAAGAGTATTTAAAAATTTGTTTTCTGACTATAAAAGTTTGTGTCCAATGTGAAAAATTGGAGTAATAGATATAAAAGCATAAAGGTAAATGACAGCTGTGCAGAGCTATGAGCATATAATGTTGCTTGCCAGTATAAGTAATTCTTTTTGTGCCTAGGATTCAGGCACGTAGTTTGTCTTGATCCAATAACGGTAGAAATTCTATTCATTATAAATTTTTTTTTTTTTTTTTGAGACGGAGTTCTGCTTTTGTTGCCCAGGCTGGAGTGTAATGGTGTGATCTTGGCTCACTTCAGCCTCCACCTCCCTGGTTCAAGCGATTCTCCTGCCTCAGCCTCCAGAGTAGCTGGCAAGCCCAGCTAATTTTTTGTATTTTTAGTAGAGACGGGGTTTCATCATGTTGGCCAGGCTGGTCGTGAACTCCTGACCTCAGGTGATCCATGTACCTTGGCCTCCTAAAGTGCTGGGATTACAGGTGTGGGCCACTGCGCCCGGCCGTATAAAAATTCTTTTATATACACTCTATGATCTTTGCTAATACCACTTTTCTTAGCTGACCATCTCATTAGGAGTAAAATTGCATGCAGCTGAAAATGATACCTATGTCAAGTGTTCCTTTGTTTTATTGATTGAGAATCAATTGTATGTATTGCTTTATTGTCAAAGGGAAACATACAGATATCAGGTGGGACTTTCATTTGGCTGCAAGCTGAAAATCTCGTTATATGGTTCCTTAAACACACATAAAGCAGTGAAATTGACAACCTGTGAAAGGTTGAGTCTGCTTTAGAAATCCCCGCTGGATAAAATAATGTTCTACTGTAATCTTGAGTGTGGGCTGTCTGGCGTACTTAGAGAAAAATGCAGTGTTCTTAAAAATCAGTTTTTATCCTTACAGCATTTACTCTTACACTCTGTTGAGTGTCTAGTTATACCTTGGAACATGGCCAAGATTTCAGTATAAATCTTTTTCCTTTGAGATGTTAAAGTAAACAAAAACATAAAAGCCACGTGTTTTTAATAATGTTCCAGTTGGAGAAAAGGGACAGTCAGTCTTTTCCAGAGAAGAAAAATGATTTTTAGTACCTTCTTCTTGGTGGCAGGTCCTTTGCTTTGAAATTGGTCACAATAACATAATCTTTTTGTTGTATCATGTGAGTGAAATATAGGTGATTAGAAAAACCAGTAACATTGCTATTCTTGTTTTCTATAAATTATCAAACATAGCTTGAATAAATGTGGAGAAGGCAGACTCTGCTTATTTTTTCTTTAGAGAAAGGAATTGCAATCTTGGAAAATCATGAAGACGTTTTGAAAAGCTATTATGGGAGATTCTGTTTGAATTGGTCCTGATAGTACCAATCAGAAAACGAATGAATATTTTTGCCTCTGATATGAAAAATAGGTTTAACTGCCTCTGAGATTTTATTTATATTCATATAAATTTTTAACATGTTTTAACTTCAGAGATTTTGTGTATTTTTAAAGTACATAAACTTATGATTTATAGAATCACACTGGTTTTTATTCTTTATATCCTTTAGTTATCCATCAGTTCAGTAGTTAATATAACTGGGTATTTAAATTTGTAGGAAGCTGGAAGACTTCCGATTAGAGAAAGGTGAAGAGGAAAGAAATCTTTATATAATAGGAAGAAAAAGAAAGACTCTTCAGCTCTCACATAAGGTAACCTAAATTCTGTTTTCTTAGCAAATTAGAAATTACATTGAAATATAGAGTTTTCTTTTTGATTTATAAAACTATCAGTAACTTTCATCTGAAGTGGAGTATTTCTTGCTTAAGGTTTTCTGTTTGAGATTTAAAATAGTAGACTTAAGGTTATATAGCTGTTAGAAAGGAGTAGTTTGAAAACTTGAGAAAAATTGCCTAGTGCCTAACAATGGTATTGAGTTCTTAATTTTAGTTACTAAATTATTTGATTCTGAATTGTCATTTGGTTCTTCTTTTTTTTTTTTAAGGGCTCTCAGTTTTCTACTAAAATTCTCATTGTTTTAATTACTTGGAAAGCAGCCATAGCTATTTTAAAAACAGGTCTGGTAATTTCATTTTTTTCAATGTCTTGCTTCCCTGTGGACCATTTTCTATTGCCTGTTGATTTTTCTCCTTTTTTATCATCATATTTTTGTTTCTTTTTTGATTGTTAAATGTTAGAAAAGATTTGAAGCACAGGATGGCTTTATTCCCAGAGACGATTTACATTGACTTCTGGCAGCCTTCTGGGGCCACTCTCAAGCCTTATTGCCTTATCCGAACAAGAATGGGCCTTAGTTCCTTGGGATTACTGTTCTATCTGTAGTTTACCTACAGGTCTAGGCTGTAGCCTTTTGGGCTAACAGCCAAAGCCCGAGGGAGTCCCCTACATATAGGAGGCCATGAATTGCAAGTTTATTAGCCTAACTCATGAGTTAGTCTGTGATTTTGCTTACTTGCTAAACCTTCCAGCTTCCTCTTCCAGAATGAAATTCTAGGGTTAAAATATATATATATCTATGTGTGTGTGTATACACACACACACACACACACACACACACACACACACACACACCCCCCTTCTTTTTTTGATCTTGGTTCTGTGATTCTTCATAACCTTTTAAGGCATAAAGTGCCTTTAAACAGATTTGTTAAAAAATATGTTTTACCAGATTTTCTAGTTTTTCTTAGTGAAAGTTTGGCCCACCTACATGTTAACCTATTATCACTCGTGAAACTCATTAATACGAGTTTTTGCCAAAATCAGTACTGACAAATTAAGGAACATTCAGTTCATTTTAAGATCATCCAGTGATAATGTTGAAATTCTAAAACTGACCAGTGCTCATTAGACAGATGGCCACTCATGTGAAAATTGATTTGTGCATAAATGTAAGGAATATGTGCTCTCATTGGGTAATCTCATCTGCTTTTGTGGTTGGGGAATGGCATGCCTTTTAAAAAAACTAAAACCAATATAGTTACTTTATTTGGCTGATTTTGAATGATTATTCTGTTTTGATAAAAATATATTTAAAACATTCAGAACTGAAAAGCACAGACAACAAATTATGTAAACATTAAAAACCTGAAAATACACATACTTACAGTTAATATTTGAACATTAAAAAGAAAACTTTTAGCTTCAGGGGTATATGTGCAAGTTTGTTATATAGGTAAATTGCGAGTCATAGGGTTTTGGTGTATGGATTATTTTGTTACCCAGATAATAAGCATTGTACTTGATAGGTAGTTTCCCGGTCCTCACCCTTTTTCCACGTTGTGCCCTCAGGTAGGTTCTGATGTCTGTTGTTCCCTTCTGTACTCAATGCTTGGCTCTCACTTGTAAGTTAGAATATGTGGTACTTGGTTTTCTATTCTGATGTTAGTTCACTTGGGATAGTGGCCTCCAGCTTCACCCATGTTGCTGCAAAGGACATGATCTCGTTTTTTTTTTATGGCTGGGTAGTATTCCATAGTTTATATATACCATATTTTCTTTATCCAGTCTACCATTGATGGGCATTTAGGCTGATTCCATGTCTTATACTATTGTGAATAGTGCTGCAGTGAACATAGGTGTATATATGTCGTTATGGTAGAATGAGTTCTTTTCCTTTGGGTATATACCCAGTAATGGGATTATTCGGTGGAATGGTAATTCTGTTTTAAGTTCTTTGAGGGATCATCAAACTGCTTTCCACAGTGGTTGAATTAAGTTACAGTTTCACTAGCAGTGTATAACCATTCTCTTTTCTCTGCAACTTCACCAGCATCTGCTATTTTTTGATGCCCTCCACCCCCCAGTGTTTTTTTTTTTTTTTTTTTTTTTTTTTTTTTTTTTTTTTTGGGAGATAGGGTCTCACTCTTGCCCAGGCTGGAGTGTTGTGGTGCAATCATGGCTCACTCACTGCAGCGTCAACCTCCTGGGCTTGAGTGATCCTCCCCCCTCAGCCTCCCTAGTAGCTGGGACTGTAGCTGTGTACCACCATGCCCAGCTAATTTTTCGTTTTTTGTTTGTTTGTTCTTGTTTTTGTTGTTTTTTAGGGGCAGGTTTCTCCATGTTGCCTGGGTTGGTCTCGAACTCCTGGGCTCAAGTGATCTGCCTGCCTTGTCCTCCCAAAGTGCTGGAATTACAGGTGTAAGCCCCCGCGTCTGGCCTTGACTTTTTAATAATAGCCATTCTGACTAGTGTGAGATGGTATCTCATTGTGGTTTTGATTTGCATTTCTCTAATGATTAGTATGTTGAACATTTTTTCTTTACACCTATGTATAGAGATAGTGAGAAATTCCTTGAGAAGTTGCTTACTGCATCATAATGTACGAATATGTATTTTTCATTTCTGAGATGTATACTTTTAAGGTGACATCCTTTTCAGATTATTGTTATTTTCCCTCATTCGTGGTAAACCAGTTAACTTACAGCATAGTTTGGAAAATGCCCATCTAATGTGCATTTTCTCATGTTTTCTAAGGACCTTAAAAGTAAAACTACTAAGCTTGAGTTAAAACTGTATGGCAAAAATGCTACCTTCTTTTTAAGCCTTTTTTTCTTTTTGCTTTAAATCCTTCTGGAAACTTGACGGAATGCCCATTTTGTTGATATTGTCCTTATTTAGGTGTTGATTTTCATTCGCATGTTTTTCTGTGTTTCAGTCGGATTCAGTGGTTTTGGTATCACAGTCTAGACAAAGGACATGTAGGCGTAAATATCCAAATTATGGTAGAAGAAATCGTAGCTGGCGTGAGTTATCTTCTGGAAATGAGTCTTCAAGCTCTGTAAGACATGTGAGTGGAAAACTTTAAAATGTTATAAGATAATCTTAAATGAATTTGGCTTAATTCTTTACTTTGAATGAATATACCCCAAATTTATATGAAAACACAGCATTCTGCAGAGATTAATATGAAATTTCACATTTTGAATGTTAACAAAAACTTTTAATGGCTAAGATAGTCACATACTGTATACTTGTGCAATCCAGTGGTTTTACATGTTGAGCATCCCAACTCAGAATTTTGAAATGCACCAAAATCTGAAACTTTCTGTATATAAACATGATGTTCTAGTGTGCATTTCAGATTTTGGATTTTTGGATTTGGCATGCTCAACCTGTAAGTGCAAATGCAAATTTTCCAAAATCTGGAAAAATACGAAATCTGAAACAATTCTATTCCCCAGCGTTCTGGATAAGGGGTATATAACCTGTAGTATATTGACAGAGTTGGGCCATCGTCACCTCTATTAAATTTTAATACATTTCATCATCCCTAAAAGAAACCCTATTCCCATTTACAGTCACTTGCCAGTCCCTCCCTCTCCCCCAGCCCCTCACAATCACTGATACATTTTCTTTTTCTGCATTTGCCTGTTCTGGACATTTTATATGAATGGGCCCTTTTTTTTTTTTTGAGACGGAGTCTCGTTGTCTTGCCTGGCTGCAGTGCAGTGGCGCGATCTCGGCTCACTGCAACCTCTGCCTCCCGGGTTCAAGCGATTCTTCTGCCTCAGCCTCCCGAGTAGCTGGGGCTACAGGTGAGTGGTGGCCCAGCTAATTTTTGTATTTTTAGTAGAGAAGGGGTTTTCACCATGTTGGCTAGGATGGTCTGGATCTCTTGACCTTGTGATCCACCTGCCTCGGCCTCCCAGAGTGCTGGGATTACAGGCGTGAGCCACCACGCCCAGCCGGACGGGCTCTTAAAATATGATTTTGTGACTGGCTTCTTTGACATTGCATAATGTTTTCTCTAATGATTAGTATGTTGAGCATTTGTGTAGCATGTATCAATACTTCATTCTTTTTTTACTTTTTATTGCCTAGTAATTCTCCCATTGGATGTACCACATTTTGTTTATCCATTTATCAGTTGATGGACATTTGTATTGTTTCCACTTTTTGGCTGTTATGAATAGTGCTGCTTATCAACATTCATGACAGGTTTTTGTTTAGACATATGTTTTCATTTCTTTTGGGTCACGCTAGGAGATGGTATGCTGGGTCGTATGGCAAGTTTTATGTTTTAACTTTTTGAGGACCCTCCAGACTCCTTCAGATTGGCTCTACCATTTTATATTCCCACCAGAAATATGAGAGTTCCAGTTTCTCTACATCCTCACCAATGATTGTTATTATTCCATTTTATTTATGCTATCTTAATGGGCGTGAAGTGGTATCTCTTGGTTTCAGTTTGCATTTCCCTAATGACCAGTAATGTTGAACATGTTTGATGCTTCTTCAGATCTTTTGCTTATTTTTCACTTTTTTTGGGGGGTCTTTTTATTGTTGTAAGAATTCTTTATATGTTCTGGATACAGTCCTTTATGACTTGTAGATATATTACTTGTAGAATTTTTCTCCCATTCTGTGGGTTGTCTTTTCACTTCTTTGGTGGTGTCTTTTGAGGATGAAAGTTTTAAATATTGATGACATTCATTTTATTTTTTCCTTAGTAGCTTCTTTTACTGTTGTGTCTAAGTCTTTGTTTAATATCTTTGATTGATTTTTAATAATCATATGTAAGCTATTTGTCTTCATTTTGATTTGTTTGAGGGAGAAACCAACTTTTTTGGTAAAGAGTATTTAATAGGCCGGGCACGGTGGCTCATGCCTGTAATCCCAGGACTTTGCGAGGCCAAGGTGGGCAGATGACTCCTGAGGTCAGGACTTCAAGACCAGCTTGGCCAACATGGTGAAACCCTGTCTCTACTAAAAAGACAAAATTTAGTTTGACGTGGTGGTAGGTGCATGTGATCCCAGCTATTTGGGAGGCTGAGGCAGGAGAATAGCTTGAACCCGGGAGGTGGATGTTGCAGTGAGCCGAGACTGCGCCACGGCACTCCAGCCTGAGCATCAGAGCGAGACTCTTGTTTCAAAAAAAAAAAAAAACCAAAAAAAAAAGTATTTAATACTACAGTGTTAAAATTTCCTGACTGAGTAATGTTTTGAGGAATGAAGTATTAGATATGACTGAAAAGTTCATTTAATTGTCTTATGATGCAGTAGGTTAATAATTAAGCATGGGGTTTGAGTTTAAATCCAAATTCTTTTACTTTGTCATGTTGCTTAGCTTTTCTGTGCCTCTGCCTATGTAATATGTACTTCAGAGGCGTGGTAACATGTACCTCAGAGGTGTGGTGAGAATTAATTTAATCAGTAATGCAATGTGTTTAAATAGTGCCTAATACACAATAATGTTAGCTACGATTATGATTAAAACCATCTGTTTAAACTGTTTTTATTTTTTTGAGACAGGGTCTTGCTCTGTTGCGTAGGCTGTAGTGCATGGTGCAGTCATGGCTCACTGTAGCCTCAAACTCCTGGGCTCAAGCTGTCCTCCTCCTTCAGCCTCCCAAGTAGCTGGGATTAACAGGCACCAGCCACCCTGCCTGGCTAAACTATTATATTATGTAATGAGAATGTTTTTACATTCTTTTTTTTTTGAGATGGGGTCTTGCTCTGTCCCCCAGGATATAATAGGAAATAATTATTTTATTATCTGTCATTTTTATGCTGGTTGACCTTTTTCTCTTTTCTTTTTCTGCATATATATATATATATATATATATTTCTTCCAAAGTTTCTATATGTAACTTACATTGTATGACTTAAGCAATTGGATAGTCAGGTTGTATCATGGTTTGGAATAAAGGGTTATATATAGACTTTGCCTTTGGGAGGAAGGTGTAGTATCCTAGTCTGGAAATAACTATTTTACCATGCAGCTCTGTTCCAACCTCTCCGCCTCAAGTACCTTGAATTTGCCCAACACAGTAGACATGGGATGGTTTCCTTTGGGAAAACTGTTACGTAAGGTCATTCTAGAAAGGCTAGGGTGGTATGTAGTGCCATTATCATTATTGATGTGGAAATACATTAATTACTGTCAAGGATATACAAAATCATACAATCAATATGTAAAAAGTGCTATAAAAGGGCTAAACATTAATGCATTTTATTATGCCTGGGAGGCACTATTCTAAATGGTTTACACGTTATCTAATTTCATCATTCCAACAAGTAGGAATTCAGGCACTCTTATAATCTCTTTTAAAAATGAGGAAACTGAGGTACAGATATGGAGGTTCAGTAACTTTCCCACATTTATATAAAAAGTTAGCAGCATGGGCCGGGTGCAGTGGCTCATGCCTGTAATCCCAGCACTCTGGGAGGCCGAGGTGGGTGGATCACAAGGGCAGGAGATCAAGACCATCCTGGGTAACACGGTGAAACCCCATCTCTACTAAAAATACAAAAAATTAGCCAGGCATGGTGGTGGGCACCTGTAGTCCCAGCTGCTAGGGAGGCTGAGGCAGGAGAATGGCATTGAACCCAGGAGGCAGAACTTGCAGTGAGCCGAGATCGCGCCACTGCACTCCAGCCTGGGCGACAGATCTCAAAAAAAGAAAAAAAAAAGTTAGCAGCATGATCTCAGAGCAGAAACCCTGCCTTACCGAAGCATCAGTTCACTTGAGGATTTGGGGAAATTAAACTTAAAAAAAAATTTATTGAATGCCTCCTATCTGTCAGGTGTAAATTTTTTATTTTGATGTAATTTCAGACTTGAAAGTTCTAAGAATAATAAAAATTCCTTTGTGTTTACCACCCTGACTGTTATCACTCTCCTGTATGTATGAATATGTTTTAATCCTTTTGAGAGTGAGTTGTACATATGCCTCTTGATATCTACATATTTCCTTGTGTATTTTCAAAAACAAGTGATATAATTATCAAAATCAGGCTGGGTGCAGTGTCTCATGCCTGTAATTCTCAGCACTTTGGGAGACTGAGGTGGGAGGATGGCTTGAGCCCAGGAGTTCGAGACCAGCCTGGGCAATACGGGGCAAGCCCTCCTCCACAAAAAAATGAGAAAAAAAAAATTAGCTGGGTGTGGTGACACACCTGTAGTCCCAGCTTCTCTGGAATCTGAGGCAGGATAATCACTTGAGCCTAGGAGGTTGAGGCTGCAATGAGCCTTGGTTGCGCCAGTGTAACTCTAGCCTGGGTGACACAGTGAGACACTGTGTCAAAAAAACAAAAAATGAGGCAATAAACAACAATATAATGTCATTATCAGATCTGCAGATCTTACTCAAATTTTACCAGTCAATGGTCCTGATAATTTTCATAGCAAAATAAAATCCTGGATCACGTGTTACATTTTGTTGTGTCTGTTTAGTAACCTGAATCTAGTCTAGTTCCTTGATTTTTGTTTTAATGTTGATATTTTTTGATGATTTATGACTGGTAATTTTGATGATTAGGGTCATGCATTTTTGGCAGTAATATGACAGAAAATATACTGTTCTTCTCAGTGCATCACATCAGAAAGCACATGATTTGTTTTGTCCCACTACTGGTGATACGTGCTTTGATCACTTCCTAAGGTGGTGGTGTTTGCAGGTTTCTCTATGGTAAAATTACAGTCTTGATTGTTGGATTTACTCCTTGATCCATGGGCTGCAGAATGGATGTGGTGTTAGCAGGCATGAAAACAACATTAATCTCCTTTGATGTGCCCATCAGAGGTCTTGGATGGCTAGGTCTATTGTCCACAAGCAGTAATATTTGGAAAGGAGTCTTCTTTTTCTGCTCAGTAGGTCTGAACAGTGGGCTTACAATATCTGGTAAACCATGCTGTAAATGATGCTGTAAATAGATGTGCTGTCACCTAGGCTTTGTTGTTCCATTTCTTATGCTCAGGCAGAGCAGATTTAACATAATTCTTAAGGGGCCTGAGATTTTTGAAAAGGTAAAAATGAACAGTGGCTTCAGTTGAAAGTTACCAGCTGCATTAGCCCTAACAAGAGAGTGAGCCTGTCCTAGAAGCTTTGAAGCCATAAGTCCCTCTAGCTGTGAAAGTCTTAGATGTCATCCTCTTCCAATAGAAGGCTATTTATTTCATCTGCATTTAAAATCTGTTATTGTAGCCACTTTCCTTGATTATCTTAGCTAGATCTTCTGGATCACTTGCTGCAGGTTCTCCATTAAAGCACTTGCTGCTTCACCTTACACTTTTATGTTATGGACATGCCTTCTTTCCCTAAACCTCATGAACCAACCTCTGCAAGTTTCCATCTTTTCTTCTGCAGCTTTGTCACCTCTCAGCCTTCATAGAATTAAAGAGAGTTAGGGCCTTGCTCTGGGTTAAGCTTTGGCTTAAGGGAATGTTATTGCTGGTTTGACCCTCTATCCAGACACCAAAACTTTCTCTATATTAGCCGTATGGCTATTTTGCTTTCTTACCATTTGTGTGTTCACTGGAATAGCATTTTATATTTCTTGGAAGAACTTTTCCTTTGCATTCACAACTTGGCTACTTGGTGCAAGAGGCCTAGCTTTTAGCCTGTGTTGGCTTTCACCATGCTTTCCTTACTAAGCTTAATCATTTCTACATTGCGAGTTAAAGTAAGATATGTGTGACTCTTTCATTTTTGAATACTTAGAAGCTATTGTATGGTTATTAGTAGGTCTAATTGCAATATTGTATCTCAGGGAATAGACTGGAGCAGTCAGAACACACATGGTATTCATTAAGTGTGCTATCTTATATGAGTATTGTTCCTAGTGCCCCCAAAACAATTAGAATAGTAACATCAAAGATCATTAATCACAAATCACAGTAACAGATACAATAAAAATGAAAAAGTTTGAAATATGGTAATTACTAAAATGTGACATAGAGACAAGAATGAGCTCATGCTGTTTAAAAATGGCACCAATAAATTTACTGGGTTCAGGGTTGTCACAAAACTTCAATTTGTAAAAAACACAACTGTGAAGCACAATAAAGTAAAGCACGATAAAAAGTATGCCTGTGTATACATATTATATGCAGACACATGTATTTTTTTGTCTGTATATCTGTCATTGTTATGCACGACTTCACATTATTCTGATTTTAATGATACCCGTTTGTACTTCCCTTCTGTACAGAGAAACCTGGCTCCTGTTATTTATTTAGATTTTTAAATCTTTTTTTTTTTTTTTTTTTTTTTTTTTTTTTTTTTTTTTTTTACTTTGGAGATGGAATCTTGCTCTGTTGCCCAGGCTGGAGTGCAGTGGCACAGTCTTGGCTCACTGCTACCTTCACCTCCTGGGTTCAAGCGATTCTCCTGCCTCAGCCTCCCAAGTAGCAGGGATTACAGGCATGCATCACCACACCCGGCTAATTTTTTTATGTTTTTGGTAGAGACAGGGTTTCACCATGTTGGCCATGCTGGTCTTGAACTCCTGACCTCAAGTGATCTGCCCGACTTGGTCTCCCAAAATGCTGGGATTACAGGCGTGAGCCACCATGCCCAGCCCTGTTATTTATCATAAACTTATTTGTTTAATTCTACATACACAGAAAGTAGTTTAAGATTTACTAGGCTGGGTGGCTGAAGGCTGTCTCTACAAAAAATACAAAAAAAAAAAAAAATTAGCTGGGCGTGGTGGCGGGTGCCTGTAATCCCAGCTACTTGGGAGGCTGAGACAGGAGAATCGTTTGAACCCACGAAGTGGAGGTTGCAGTGAGCCGAGACAGTGCCACTGCCCTCCAGCCTGGGTGACAGAGTGAAACTCTGTCTCAAAAAACAAAAAAAAAAAGATTTACTTACCCTGTGGTAAAAACCCTAGTATGTAGAGTTTAGTTATTTACTTACTGTTCTTTTTTTGTCGTTAACCAAATTGTATTTAGTACAAATATTTCAAAAGTTATTTATCCTTCTTATACAAAATACAGCATACTACAGATAGTCCCACACTTGACATTTTTCACTTAAAATATCTTTGAGATCACTCCATATGATCCTTATTTGTTTTAAGAGTTATGTAGTACTTTATGGCATGATTGAAACAGTTTATTGAATCGTTCTCCTGGTTATGGGCAGTTAGGTTGTTTCCAATGTTTACATTATAAATAATGCTACAGTGAATAATATTTTGTATACGTATTTTTGTACTGCTAGAAGTGTCATTTGGGGATATATTTATTTGATTTTTTCTTTTTCTTAGGGACAGGGTCTTGCCCTATGGCCCAGGCTGGAGTGCAGTGGTGCAATCATAGCTCACTGCAACCTCGAACTCCTAGGCTCAAGTGATTTCCCAGCTTCTGACTCTTGAGTAGCTAGGACTACAGGCATGTGCTACCATGCCCAGTTAATTTTTTAACAAATTTATAATGACATGTATCCACCATTATAATATCACACAGAATGATTTTACTGCCCTAAAAATCCTCTGTGCTCCATCTGTTCATCTTTCTCTTCCCAACAGCCCCTGACAATCACTGATTTTTTGTCTTCATAGTTTTATCTTTGTAGAATGCCATGTAATTGGAATCATATAGCTAGTAGCCTTTGCAGATTGGCTTCGTTCATTTATTAATATGCATTTACATTTCCTACATGCCTTCTCATGGCTTGATTTTTTTGTTTGTTTGTTTGTTTTTTTTAGCACAGAATAATATTTCATTGTCTGGATATACCATAGTTTTATCAGTTTACCTACTGAAGGATGTGTTGGTTGCTTCCAAGATTTGGCCATTATAAAGTTGGTATAAACATCTGGGTGTAGGTTTTTGTGCGGACATAATTTTTCACCTCATTTGGGTAAACATCAAGTGTGATTGCTGGATCTTATTATGTTTAGTTTTATAAGAAACTGCTAAACTGTCTTCCAAAGTAGCTGTACCATTTTGCATTCCTATCAGTAATGAATGAGAGTTCCTGCTGATCCACACCCTTGTTAAAAAATTCTTTCCAGCATCATCTGTAGATTCACAATCCCAAACAAAATCCCAGCAAATTAATTTTACTGACAAACTGATTTTTCGAGTTTATATAGAGAGGAAGAAGATCCAGTATAGCCAGCACAACACTGAAGAAGAATAAAACTGAAAGACTGACACTCTACTTGGCATTAAGACTTACTGTAAATCTGCAGTTTTCAAGACAGTGATGCTGGTGAAAGAACAGATCAATGGAACAACATAAAGAGCCCAGAAACAGACTGACACAAATATATTCAAACGATCTTTGGCAAAGGAGCAAAGAGAACTTGGTGGACAAATTTATCATTTTCAGCCAGTGGTAGAATAACTGGACATTCACATACAAAATAAATCCTAGACACCAGTCTTTCACAAAAATTAACTCAAAATGAATCATAAGCTTAATGTAAATGTAAAACAAAAAAACCATAAAACTTCTAGAAGATAACAAAGGGCAAAATCTATGTGTCCATGAGTGTGGCATTGACCTTTTTAGATACAATATCAAAAGCACAATCATGAAAGAAAAAATATAAAAAATTTGGACTACACTGAAATGAAAACTGCTTTGGGAAAGACACTATTAAAAGAATGAAAAGATAAGCCACAAACCAGGATAAAATATTAGTAAAACTTATATCTGATAAATGACTTATATTCACAATATACAAAGAACTCTTAAAACCAAGCAATAAGAAGGCAGCCTAATTTAAAAATGGGCAGAAGATCTAACAGACACCTCACCAAAGAAGATAAACAGATGACAAATAACCATATGAAAAGCTACCAAAATATGTCACAGGGAATTGAAAACTAGAACAACAATTAGATACATCTATTAGAATAGCTAAAGTCCAAAATGGAAAACATTTACATTGACTTTTTATTAACTTTACTCAGAATGGCCTGTTGTATCACTTTCTTTGCTAATGGTGGTAGTGTTAAATCTTACGGATGTTCTCTTTTTGTCTTATGCTTTGATAAGAAAGGGATGTAGTGAAGAAGTTTGCTTTTTAAGTTTATCTGATTATATATTTACTGATTACTGTTCATTTTTCTTAGATGATTTAATCTTACTGGGGAGGATTGTGTACAGCTTTTTTCTGGACATGTGTTGTTTAACTTCAGGGATCAAGATTTTTTTCCCCCCTTCACAAATTAGGAGACTTCCTGTGATCAGAGTGAAGGTTCTGGTTCTTCAGAAGAGGATGAATGGAGAAGTGACAGAAAAAGTGAGAGTTACAGCGAAAGTTCAAGGTATCTGTTTTTATTGTTGTGGTCTTTTAAGCATTTTAGTCATAGTCTTGGATGGAATCATACTTGAATTTTATTCAAGAGGCAAGAATTTGCAACTGTGGAACAGTTTTTAATACACTTAAAAGGAGACAAAAACTAGATCCAACAGCTGTTCCTATAGGAGTATTTCAGGAGTTTTTTTTTTTTTTTTTTTGACTTTAAGCAGTTGACCCAGCACTGTTGAACATGCATACTGAAAATATAAATTTAATCTTGGTTGCACTTAAAAAGACTAGTATCTAAAGTATGTGTGGTAAAACCACAGTATATTCATTATTATTGCATGTGTTGAATTTTTGTTAGTTTTGAGATCCAGATTTCCTGGGTCCAAAATGTCAGCCTCTGGTTCTTGGTGCACGTCACCTTCATCTCAACAGATCCTCAATCCAGAAAACTGGACCTTAATCTCTCTTGTCCACCTATCCGTAACATGGCTAGAAAATTCTCCTTCCTATCACTCAGATCATCTTTCTTTTTTTTTTAATTGGTACTGTTTGGTTCAAACCATTATCACATACTCTCTGCTTCCTTTCTTGTCTTGTTTTACTTCATTATGATAAGGAGCTAGAATGATTTTTTTAAGAACATAATGTATTATCTTTTTTTAAACAAATTTAATTGTGGTAAAATACACATAACAGAAATATAACCATTTAAAGCATGCAGTTCAGTACTGTTACGTACATTGACATAGTTGTGCAGCCAGTCTCCAGAACCTTGTTTATCTTGCAAAACGGAAATTCTATACCAATTAAAGAATGATTCTTTTCTTTACCCTTCCTCATGTCCCTGGCAACCACTATTCTACCTTCCGTGTTTTCATTCATTGTCTTCTAATTCAACTTTTCTTGAATTTTATTTATCTAAAACAGATGCTTTTATAATTTTCATAAATAAGCTCTTTTTCTAATAAATACCTTTTTGTAATGTGTTTACCTGTGTATTTGATAGAGACGAAAAGGTGTGTGGTTGGTTGAAGTTGGGCCAAGGATGGCCCAAGTAGAGTCCTTTATTTTTATTATTATTTCTGTTTGGTGAAGCTAGTAGTGGACCAGGGACTAGTTTTCTATAACTAGTTTCCTCTTTGACTCTGATTTTGCTAAGGACTAGGACTAGTCTCTTTCTATCAGGGAGACTCCTCTTGGCAAGAAACTGACTACTTAAGGCTTTCAGTTTGGTGTAGCTATGCTTCCCTTGGGCTTCTCAGTGTGTTCATTGATGGCTTGTGATTCCAGTTGAAATTCCTGGTCTATACCTCAGCTTCCTCCAACATGGGGGTAGTGGTGGGGCCTATTTTTGGGGTTTTGTATGATTCTTATGTTTCTATAAGTCTGTGTTTTGTTTCCTTGAAGGGGTAATTGCTAGTTGTCTTCCATCATATTTTATCTACAATATACCTAAATTTTTTTTT
The DNA here is from genome assembly GCF_000001405.40 of Homo sapiens. Classification (NCBI taxonomy): domain Eukaryota; kingdom Metazoa; phylum Chordata; class Mammalia; order Primates; family Hominidae; genus Homo; species Homo sapiens. The sequence goes on along the minus strand of NC_000021.9, from coordinate 39,237,028 downwards.
TCGGGTTTACATCCTTTCCTAATTTCTAGTGTTAGTGAAGATTTCTCTTTTTCTCTTATGTTTGTCATGATCTTTAGTCACTTCAGTACTTGCTGGTAGTGAGGGGAGAATGCTCAAGTTAAGTCTTTCTGGTATCTTCCCTTCCCTTTTTCTCCTCTCTCTGTTCCCTCAATTTTATATGATTGACTTGCTATCAGTGCTTATATTCTGGCTCCATTCAACTGAAAGCACTCCCCTTTTCTAGTGACTCTTCATCTAGATATTCCGATTGGACAGCTGATGCGGGCATCAATTTGCAGCCTCCTTTAAGAACATCATGTCGTCGACGAATTACTCGATTTTGTAGTAGTTCAGAAGATGAAATATCTACTGAGAATTTATCTCCTCCAAAAAGAAGACGAAAGAGAAAGAAAGAAAATAAGCCTAAGAAGGAGGTAAGAAAAACGTATCTTTAAAAATAGCATGTATCATGATACCCCAGCTTTACCCCATTTCAAATGTTGTTTTAACATTTCTCGTGATACTGGCATAGTGGTGCCTTGGGTGTCTTGGGCCCTGCTCTGGGGCTGGTCTGGGCGAGCTGTCAGCCCTCCTTGGGGAAGCTCACTGCACTCCCAGGGTGCAGCAGGTACCCTGTGTGTCTTGGGGATTCTGAAGGGCACTGTGGACTCCTCTGTCTCCTACTTTCAACCCCTGTGGATAGCAGGAGCTCTGGGGCCTGTGGGAAGGAAGGGAGCATCTGTCAGTCCTTTGGAGGGATGGGTGGGGGCAGATATAGTGGGACTTATGGGGGAGGCCTTTGCTTCACAGATGCGGAGTCCTTTGCAGGACTGGGGCCCTGGTCTCCCCGCGAGAGACTTGAAGTCCACCAGTGTCGTTCACTTCAGTCTTGAGGAGATGGAACTGCCATGACTGCATGTTTCTGGCTGTGTCAAAAGGCAGGATAATCTCAAACCGTTAACATCCAGTCTAAGTGCAGGTCTGGTCAGAGGGCTGGGTGCAGGCAGATTGGCCCTGTTGCCCTATGAGGAGACCGTGGGATTGGGGTTGCAGAAATTCCATAAGCCTCTTGCCACCTTTGTGAACCACATGACACAGATCTGGCAGGACCGGAGACAACTGGGAATTGCCACAGTGGTTTGGGATGTGGCCATGGTTCTCTCCACACATCTGGAGATGGGAGCTGTGGAGCTCTTGGGCTGCCCCGCAGTGAAACTGGGTGCTGGCATAGGGCTGATGGGCATAGTGGCTGCCCTGCTGGGTGCTCATGTGACTGTCATAGATCGAAAAGTAGCATTAGAGTTTTGTAAATCAAATGTTCAAGGCAATTTACCTCCTTGTATCCAACCCAGAGCTTTTGTTAAGGAGCCGACTTGGGGAAAGAATTTGGGGAGTTTTTCTCCTAGAGATTTTGACCTGATACTTGGAGCCGATATCATATATTTAGAAGAAACATTCACAGATCTTCTCCAAACACTGGACCATCTCTGTAGCAATCACTCCATGATTCTTTTACCTTGCTTAATTCACTATGAACGGAGTAACTTTTGAGCAATGCTGGAGAGGCAGTTTACTGTAGGGTTCACTATGATACTGAGAAAGACGTACATACTTACACAGAAGAGAAGCCACAGCAAGGACCTACAGTTGGCTATCATTTATAAGAATGCTGTCATTGAGGGTGTTGATTAAGGTCTTGGAGACAAAACACACATGCAGTTTTAAAACAAAGCAGTGCTTTATGCCATCGCTGTGATTTATTTATTTATTTATTTTTTATTTTTTGAGAGGAGTCTCTGTTGCCTAGCCTGGAGTGCAGTGGTGCAATCTTGGCTCACTGCAGCCTCTGCCTCCTGGGTTCAAGTGATTATCCTGCCTCAGCTTCCCAAGTAGCTGGGACTACAGGCCCACGCAACCACGCCTGGCTAAGTTTCGTATTTTTAGTAGAGACATGGTTTTGTCATGTTGGCCAGGCTGGTCTCGAACTTCTGACCTCAGGTGATCTGCCCACCTTAGCCTCCCAAAGTGCTGGGATTACAGGTGACCCACTGTGCCTGGCCATTGCTGTAATTTTTAGTCATATTTACTTACTCTGAAATTCCATTAATGTTAAAAGATTAAGTGTGAGATTTTGGTTCATGCTGTTTCTGTACTCCATACTGCTCCCTCTTGATAAACAGTTTTCACTGATGATGTGAAGCATTGGTATAAAGGTGTCTTTAAACTAGCAAGCTTGTTTTGGCGAGGTTAAATCATGCAAATAATTTTAAACACCTTCTGAAATACATCGTGTTTAGCCCAGTTTTCTGATTTTCTGGATATAAGACAAGAGGTTTAACATGTTCCCTGAGCTGTTGGTGCTATTGAAATCTTTTGCCCCATTTAAATTGTAAAAACTCTGGGTTGGTTGAGTGGGGTGTGAGTTTTCTGGGGTCTCATATTATGCTTTTTGGCTTAATTTCAGGTTTAAGTATCTAAACAAAGGGTTAAGTAAAAATAAAGTTTTAGTTACTTTTTGAGAGTACCTTAAGTCTTGGACTCGAATATAGGTTATCTTTATCAAAGCAAAAGCTGTGGTTTTCCCCCTCAGCTTTACCTTGTCTCAAATGTTGCTTTAATGTAATTGTTTCTTAAGCTTTCCATGCCTTCTTAATAATATATAGGATAACAGTAAAAAAGATTCTAAATCCCATCCCTCCATTAAGAGGTTAGCTTCCCAAACATAAGCTCCTTCTGTATTGTACTTGTAATTGTTCATTCAGCGTCTGTATTACCCAGTAGACTGTAAGCTTCTTCAGGGCCAGGAATGCTTCTGCATCTCTCATTGTTGCTTCCCCAGGATCTGGTATTAATATATCATAACCAAATAATGAAAAAGATACATTCCAGTTAGAGGCTTTTGATTGTTGGTTTAAATGATTGTTATATTGTTTTATGATTGACTTTGATACACTTCATGAAGTCACACATAAACTTTTTAAAAATTATTTTTATTTATTTATTTATTTAGAGACAGAGTCTTACTCTGTCACCCAGGCTGGAGCGCAGTGGGGCAATCTCGGCTCACTGCAACCTCCACCTCCCGTGTTCAAGCAGTTCTTCTGCCTCAGCCTCCCAAGTAGCTGGGACTACAGGCACACACCACCACGCTCGGTTAGTTTTTGTATTTTTCATAGAGACGGGGTTTCACCATGTTGACCAGGGTGGTCTCGAACTTCTGACCTCAAGTGATCCACCTGCCTCAGCCTCCCAGAGTGCTGGGATTACAGGCGTGAGCCATGGCGCCCGGCCAAGCTACTTTATTATTAACACTTCTCCATCTCCACTGTTCTGAGTAGTGGGCTTGACAGTTAAACCTTTCCAAATCTGAAACTTAAAGAGAAAGCTCTATTTTGCTCAGAATCTCACGGCAACACTTATTTTCTCCTGTCAATTTCAACACTAGTAGTAGACTTCAAGGAATTTTAAGGTGCTTTTTTTTTGTGTGTGTGTGTTATTGCTACGTTTACCATTTTCATTTTACATGTCTGTCTTCATACTTGTCTCTTCATTTAATAACATCCCTATTTATTTGTGTACACTGTGCTGATTTCAAGCAGGTAGTCATTGTTTAAAGATGTTAAGTCTTTGTATTTATCTATTGCTGTATATAACAAACCACCCTAAAATTTAGGTGTTTACATGGCAAACGTTGCATATTTCATGTATTGGTTGATCAGGAACTGGGAGCTGATTTGACTGGGTGATTTTGGCTCATGAGGTTACAACATGTTGACTGGGGCTGCAGTCATCTGAGGACTTGATGAGGGTTGGATGATATTCTTTCCGAGCTTATTCATATGGCTTTTGGCCTCAGTTCCTTGCCACACAGGTCTCTCCTTAGCTGGCTGCTTGAGTGTTGATTTTCAACTCAAGCTGGCTGCTTGAGTTATGATTTTCCTCAGAGTGAATGATTTAACAGTAGCCAGGGATAAGCCCCCATTTATGACCTAGTCTTAGAAGTTGCACATAGTCTCATCGGCTTTATTATATTTGGTAGAAGTGAGTCATTAAGTGTAGTCCACACTTAAGAGGAGGAGACTTCCACTTCTTGAAAAGGAGAGAACTATTGGGGAATTTGTAGGCATATTTTGAAATCACCGGTCTTACAACCTAAAATCAAGAGGAGACTCCTTGTGATGATTAGCCTGTGGCCAAACTCAGAGTGGAGTCTTGGCAGAACAGGCTATGGGTAAAAGAGGATTTAGGCTGGGTATTAGCCCCCTAAAATGGGATGTAAAATAGCATGAAGAATCTATCAGAAATTTAGGAGATGATGCTAGGAAAATGTTAGGTAGATTTACAATGCTTTTTTAAGTGATATATTCCTGTGTAAAGGAACTAAATATATATGCTGTGTGAAAACTAATCATTAGATGGACATGGCAAAAATAGTCATTCTGAATGGTGAAAGTTTCTTTTATTTTTCATTCAGACAGTGCATGCTGCCCCTTTCTAATCTAAGAAACTTTGTTCTCTTCCCCTTGGTAGAATTTGCGGAGGATGACTCCAGCAGAGCTTGCAAATATGGAGCATTTATATGAATTTCACCCTCCAGTTTGGATTACTGACACCACACTTAGAAAATCTCCTTTTGTTCCTCAAATGGGTGATGAGGTGAGAGTAATACAAATTTAAAAACACGAATATGGAACATAAAGTTTATATTGCTCTTAATTTTTAAATGCATATTTCCCTTTTGTAGGTAATATATTTTCGACAGGGTCATGAAGCTTATATTGAGGCTGTAAGAAGAAATAATATTTATGAACTGAACCCTAATAAGGAGCCATGGAGAAAAATGGATCTTAGGGTAGGATGATGGCATTATTAAATCATTAAACATTTTAGCACATACATAGTTAAATTACTTACAAATCTATTTAAAAACCTGTTGGAAACATATTTTATTACTTTCTTTCCTACTTGATAACATTTCTGCTGTAACCAAACCTTAAGATCCTGTGGGAATGGCTTGTTTGTCAGTGGGCAAAATTTGTATGTTGCTGATTGGTGTGTAAAATGTTAAATGCAACAACCTAGAGTTTCAGAAAGGCAGCTTGGCAATATATATATTATCACTCTTAAAAATGTTTATGTATCCAAGACAGATTTTCAGAGGAAGAAATGCAAGTTTTCAAAAGAAGAAATAAAAACTGGAAGAAGGGTTTAACCTCATGGATAATAAAATAAGGAAATAATAATTTTTCCTTTTCAATACTTAGCCAATTTTGTGATTTCGTTTGTTTTTAGCTCAAGAAAGAATTCCACATTTTAGCAAGTGGCAAAGATGTTGGTTTGTTAACAGTTATTCAGATTGCTGGTGGGGTGTGTGAAGTGGTCCAGGCTTTCTAGGGGATATTTTGTTAATAGTAGTTGAAACTGAAAAATATTTGGAACTTTTAATTCTGTGATTTTACTCTTCTGGTAATTTGGAAAACAAGCAGAAATGCTTGTAAATATATGAGTATTGTAGTTCACTCACTGTTGACAGAAACAAAGCTGGAAAAAAAAAATTCAGATATTCCACAATAGTGAATGAACCAAATCATGGTGCATTCACACAGTCACTTACTATGTACAGCCCATCTTGTACTTGAAGGTTGAAAAATATTTGTTGAATGAATGATGGATACATTTTCACAGTGTATTACTAATAGGAAAAATGGGGTGTGAAGTGGTATTTCTGGTTATGGTAGCAAAATTTTGAAAACATTTGCAGCCAATCAAAAGAACAACATCAAAATGTCAATGGTGATGATCTGTGGGGTAGTAGTACACGTGTTTTTTTATTTTTTATATTTTTATTCTACAGATTTTGATACTTTTAAAAACTTAGAAAATGAAGAAAATGCTAGTTATTTTAACAAATATAGCTGTTTTTAACACTTATATTCAACTTAATGGCTCTGCTTGTATAAGTTAGGCTTTATATACATTGGCGGTTTTATTTATGTCTGTTTAACTTAGGACTGTGTACCTAAGTACAGTCCATCCTCATTATTCTTGGATTCTGTATTTGTGAACTGCGTACTTGCTTTATTTGTAATCCCCCAAACAGTACTCTCAGAGCCTTTTGGTCATTTCTGGACATGCTCAGGGTGGTGAAAAATTTGACTTGCCTGACGAGCATGTTTCTAGTTGAGGTTGAACAAGGTGTTGCTCTGCCTTTTTTTTTTTTTAAGCTCTCGCACTGCAAACAAGTGTCCTTTTCATGGTCTATTCAGTGCCACATGTTTTCCATTTTTGTGCTTTTTCTGGTGACTTTGCTGTTTAAAATGGCCCCTAAGCGTAGTGCTGACATGCTCTCTAGTGTTCTTAAGTGCTAGAAGGCTGAGATGTGCCTTATGGAGAAGGTATGTTAGATAAGCTTCATTCAGGTATCAGTTAAATGTTTGCAAATCAACAACATATTAAATAAGGTACCTTTAAACGGAAACACGCATAAAACCAAGTTACGTATGCACTGGTTTACTACAGTGTTGTGACCAGAATTTTGCAGGAACCTATCCCTATATATTCTCTATAGCACTGATTTAGTATTTTATTTCAGTGTTCTAGGTGACTATAGAACATAACTGCTGTGAATAATGAAAACTATGCTTAGCACTTTGTTTGGTACATTATAATAATAACATTTGTTCAGTGAATAAGTGGATGAATGATCTGTTGTATTCCTAGTATCAGAGAAGCAGACACTGGGGGGAAGGTTGACTATGGCAAATCCATTTGATGGATACTCCATCCAGGTAGGGACTTTCACTTGTTTACCGTCCTGTCCCTACTGCCTAGAAGAGGTCATAGCATATGGTAGATTCTCAACAAATATTACTTACTGAATGTATTAGGCAGAAACTTAATATCAAGATTTTGAAGAACACTTATGAATAAGTAGAATGCTTACACATTTTCACTGTATAATATAAAGCTATATAAATAAAAATGTGCATTGACTGGGTGTGGCAGGCCACACCTATAATCCCAGCACTTTGGGAAGCTGTTGTGGGAGCATCACTTGAGCCCAGGAGTTCGAGACTAGTCTGGACAACATAGGGAGACCTGTCTCTACAAATAATAAAAAATTAGCTTGGTGTGGTGGCATGTTGTACCTGTAGTCAGTCCCAGGTACTCGGGAAGCTGATGTGGGAGGATTGATTGAGCTCAGGAGTTTGAGATTGCAGTGAGCCATGATTGTGCTACTGCCCTCCAGCCTAGGCAACATGGTGAGATCCTGTTTCCAAAACAAAGCCAGAAGGAAATATGTTAGATTTTTAACAGTGATTGTCGTTAGATATTGCGCTAATCCGAGATTTGTGTTTTCAATCTTACACTTTTGTAATGTATTTTCTAAAGGATGTTCTTTGTATTAGAAACTGTATTAAATATGTGGAGATTAACTTTAGCAAAATTGAATGTAATTAATGGTATTAATTAAACTTGTCTGCGGGTTTGGAAGCCTAAATTATGAGTTTACTTAATATAACAGTATGTGGAGAATTATAGTATTAAGGAATTGCTTTTATTTTAACCATTAAAAAATATGTCTGTTAAAGGATCAAGAATTGGTTAAAATAGTTGGAATACGATATGAAGTTGGGCCCCCTACACTCTGTTGCCTAAAACTAGCATTTATAGATCCAGCAACTGGAAAACTTATGGACAAATCTTTCTCTATTAGGTATGTATTATTTTTTAAAATGGAATTACTTAAATTTAAATTTGCCATTTTGCTGATTGAATGATTAGCATGCCCTTCCCATTTAACTCCAGGGTAACTGGTAGAGCACTGTGGATAGCCTAAGATGTGGCTCGAGCTTCTGATGGCTAGGAAACCCATCCCTGACCCTGAAGTCATAGTAGGCATGTCACAGTTATAGTTAAGTGTGGGCAGTCTGTTTTATATGGTTTTCATGCTGCTTATGTGGGTGGGGAATTCTGACATACGGGCCAAATTTTTTCTGCCCTTTGTTTTTGAAAAAATTCAGAATAAATAATTTCCTACACCTGTGCTGTCTAATAAGGTTACCACTAGTCACATGTGGCTACTGCTCACTTGAAATATGGATGGTTTGATTGAATGTCTTAATATGTGACTTGGCAGAGTATGAGGCATAAACATTTTTTTTTAAAGAAATGAATGTGTTGTGAATGTACACACTGCATTTTGAAGAGTAGTTATGAAGAAAAAATATGTCAGATCTCTATTTTGTTTTGATAACATATTGAAATAATATTTTGGATATATTTAAAATATGCTATGAAGTTTACTGTTTTACCTTTTAAAATATAGCTGGTTGAAAATTAAAAATTACATTCGTAGATCTCATGTTTCTTTTGGACAGTGCTGCTTTTAGACTATATAACCTGCTATGTAGAGAGTTTAACAATTTTTTAAATTTTTGTCTAGATATCATGATATGCCAGATGTTATTGACTTTCTTGTATTGCGTCAATTTTATGATGAAGCAAGACAGAGGAATTGGCAGTCTTGTAAGTCTATCCTTACTAAGTTTTATATACCCTTAAAAATTAATCTGTTTTATTGGTCTACCTTTTTGGCTGTGGGACTCTTAATTATAGTATATACAAACATGTAAATTCCAGAAGAGATATAAGTGACCTATAAATATATTTTGCTTACGGCTTGGTACTTACTGATTATGCAGACTTTCTTGGTAGGGGCCGGGGGACGGTGGGCATGGCACGCATTTTCTCCCTAGGTCACCCAGGCTGGAGTGCAATGGTGTGATCTCAGCTCACTGCAACCTCTGCCTCCAAAGTTCAAGCGATTCTCTTGCCTCAGCCTCCTGAGTAGCTAGGATTACAGGTGTGCGCCACTACGCCCGGCTAATTTTTGTATTTTTAGTAGAGACAGAGTTTCACCATGTTGGTCAGGCTGGACTCGAACTCCTGACCTCATGATCCACTCACCTCTGCCTCCCAAACTGCTGGGATTAGAGGTGTGAGCCACCGTGCCCAGCCCTATTATGTAGACTTTTTTAGACGAGCAACTTTTCTTCTGTTCTTTTGGTTCATGACGTTTGGAAAAGATTATTTTCACTCCTTGACTATAGGCTAGGGTAGACTTACTTCCTTTTAGACTTCCCTGTACTATATTGTATATAATTATCTTTGATGTAACATTGGCATAATTTACACAATTATACTAGGATCTAAAATGATCAGAAGGTTGAAGAGTAATTTCAGATTTCACACTGAAAATGTTCTGGTATACCCAATTATTTTACCCTTGATATCATAACAACGTAGACTTAAATGGGAAGACTTGACACTGTTTTGTTAAGAAATAAAAAATTCATATACACTTTGCTTTATAACCATGTAATGTATAGGTGGGCAGAAAAATTAAAAAATTAAAATTACCTCAATGTAATTTTACACATTCGAGTAAAATTACACATTGGAGTAATTTTAGTACCTCAATGTAGGTACTAAATTACTCGAATGTGATTTTTGTGATGATCATTTAAGGAGGGCTCACTTATTCAGAGTTGTGTAGATTATTAATCTCAGGATATAATTGATGATTGAATGACTGTCATTAGGCTGGGTAGTAATAGCAACTGTTAATAGTAACTGTAGTACCTGTTTTCACAGGTGTACAAATATATGTTCAGTGTGTAATGCTATCCAGGGAGCTTGTGTATTGAGTTAGAAGTAGGATGGTTCGTTCTTTTATCAGTTCTTGGATTTTTGTTAGAAATACTAAGTTTTACCCAGGCTGTGTCATCTGGTGTACACATTCATAAATGATGTTAAGACATTGATCTTTCTAGTTACTGCAGTTTCTTTCTTTCTTTCCTTCTTTTTTTGGACACAAGGTCTTGCTCTGTTGCCCGGGCTGAAGGGCAGTGGTGCAATCAGAGCTCACTGCAGCCTCAACTTCCTGGGCTCAAGCGATCCTCCCACCTCAGCCTCCTTTTTGGCTGTGGGACTCTTAATTATAGTGCATACAAACATGTAAATTCTGGAAGCTGCACCATGTGCAGCTAATTTTTAATTTTTTTTGTGGAGACAGGGTCTTGCTGTATTGCCCAGGCTGGTTTTGAATTCCTGGGCTCAAGCAATCCTCTTGCCTCAGCCTGCCTAAAGTGTAGGAATTACAGGTGTGAGCCACCATATCTGGCCACTGCTGCCTTTTTGTGTGGTACTACAAGAAGGTAAATTTTAGATAAAGTCCCTAATCATCCTCATCTGACGTGAAAGATTGTCAGGGCGTGTGGCTCCTCTTTATAGATTATTCTCCTGGTAACATCTACACAAGTAATCAAGATTATTTTGGGAGTAGATGCAGAGAAAATTTTTCTTGAAGAAAAACATACAGCCACAAAAATAACATGAAGCAACATTAGCAGGTTGTATAGTTGTGTTCCAAATAACTTTAAAGCTTCCCAGCTATTATGATTTTTCAGCTCCCATGAGGTGTAAGAGGCTCTCATTTTTGCCAACATGTCCATTAATTTTTTTAAAACTGAATTATCTACAGTTAAACTCTAGAGATGGAGTCCCAGATGCCTCCTGTAATTTAGTGGTTTTTGTTTTATTTTTGTGGTTGAGAAATTATTGGACCAGACCTGTTATACTACACTTTAATTCATTTTGCTTCCCCATTTTTGCGTGGAATTTGAGTAGTATGGCAAGAAGAAGTTGCTTGTTTTCATTTTTACAGTGGATTTTTATCCTTCTCTTGAAAGGCCAAAGTAGGTTTATTTGAAAAGCCTTAACATAAGATTACCAGGGTGATCAGCTAGCAAAAACATAGAAAAGACACTTTTATTATGAGAAAACTTAATTTTTTCAGGCTCCTTTTTATTTAAAGGGTTGTTTTTGTATGAAGAAATATTTTTATCTAAACTGAAATTATCTTCTAGTATTAGGTAAATAGCAAGAAAAATATACACTTAATTTTTTATATCAAAGACTCTCTTCTAACATGTTTTTATGTTTGGCCTCTCAAAATTGAGGCAGCTGATTTTATGACAATAATTTATTATTATTACATTCAGTTGTAATTAATGTTTATGTTAAATTAGGGTATTAGAGATTTGGATAAAATCATGGTGTGGTTTGTCTTAAATTGTAAGTTTAAAGCTATACTAGTCTCCTTAGATTTCTTTCAGGGGCTATGGTTTCAAGTGATTTTGAAGTAAAATATATGTAAAACTCATGTTTACATAAGTTTGAAAATATGCTAAAGACTAAAACATGTAGGTCTAGTAGTTATGGCATTATTTTTTTTCAAACCTTTGAAGAATTCACTGTAAGCATACTTTAATTATTCAAGACTGTTTGCCAGGTATATTATATTCTTTCTTGGGGATAAATTGTAGCTTTAATTTTGATTATTTCTATAAAACTTTCCTTGAGAAAAGAACTGTTGATCTATATCCCGAAGAATCATCAGTGCTGGATAGGTGACTTTTATTGTTTCATTGGTTTTGTTTTGTAAATGGTGGGAAGGGTAAGAAGGAAGAGATATGGTTACTGCAGCAGTTCATGTTTCTATTGTAATGAATGTTAAACACAGATCTAGTGCAGTTTATTTCACTGGTTGAAGTGTTAGAGTTGTAAAATACATCTAGAAATGCATTTAATCTAAAAGTTAAATTTTTTATGCCATATTTTTCTTGGTTTGTTTAGGAGCGCTGCTTGCCTGTTTTTGTATTGTGCTTTTGGCTTTTTTATCTGTATCATATGGTATTTTGTAGATTAAAAAAATGTTAATGAATGTTAGCAGAGAAATGCCTCAGACTTGATCATTTCTCTCCTAGGTGACAGATTCCGCTCTATTATTGATGATGCTTGGTGGTTTGGAACAGTGTTAAGTCAAGAGCCATATCAACCACAGTATCCTGATAGTCATTTCCAGTGTTATATTGTTAGGTTTGTATACAGATGAAAACTAATCATTTCCCAGTAATTCAGTGTGGCAGGTTGCTGTATAAATAATACATTTCTGGTTTTTAAAAAAACATGGTTTTTATCTGTCATTAAGTCATGTCAGGCTGACCCGAAATGTCTCTCAGACATGCACCTACTCTTTGTTTCCTATTCACCAGTACTCCCCTTGGTTCAGGTTCTGCTTGCTTTCCTGGAACTATTTCTGTAGCCACCTAATATTTCCTTTACCTCGTATTGTCAGTGTCCTAGTTCAGAAGCAGATACTATATCATTAATCTTCTTCAAAGAAACCTTTGACGCCTCTTCATTGGCAATGGGATAAAAACCATTGACTGTGGCTGTAGTGGAATTCAAGGGCTTCATGCCTTGTCTTTCAGTTATTGTTCACTTTGGGTGCAGGCCACATAGGATTTCTGGTTTTGTTCTTAAACCTGTTATTTTAATAATATATCCTTCTTAAAAAAATTTACTGTTAATATTTAAAATTGTACTGCTGCAGTGAGGTTAATTTTCACATTTTGTATTTTTATAATGGATACCTATTATCCACATTTTGTTTTTATGAAAGGCTAACCAGAGATTTGTTGTTTTTTAACAGGTGGGATAATACTGAAATTGAAAAACTTAGCCCATGGGACATGGAACCAATTCCTGATAATGGTATATATATTTGTTAAATAATGAAAACATTTTATTTTTATAATATGTACATTTGCCAGTGCACATGGAACAAACATATTTGTATTCTATGATCAATATATTCAAATTATTACAGTAACTGAACTTTACTGAAAGAAGACAACAGCATCGTGTTTATCTGTTTTGTTAATTCTTGACCTTAGATTCCAGCTTGATTTTGGCTGTACCTTAATAGCTTGCTGTCGTTTCTCATGTAACCCTGCATTAAACTTAACTCCTGGCTGGGCGCCATGGCTCACGCCTGTAATCTCAGCACTTTGGGAGGCCAAAGCAGATGGATCACCTGAGATCAGGAGTTCGAGACCAGCCTGGCCAACATGGTGAAACCCTGTGTCTACTAAAAATACAAAAAATTAGGCGGGCATGGTGGCGTGTGCCTGTAATCCCAGCTACTTGGGAGGCTGAGGCAGGAGAATTGTTTGAACCCGGGAGGCAGAGGTTTCACTGAGCCAAGATTGCGGCTACTGCACTCCAGCCTAGGCGACAGCGAGACTCCATCTCAGAAAAACAAAACAAAAAATTTACATCCTTCATGTAGCCTCTACTTTTCCTACCTCATTCTTAATCTTTTACCCTTGGTCTTCCTTCAAGGAAAAGATTGAACTTGACTTCCATCTGTCTTCTGCTTTACCTCAAGTTGTCTTATTATGGATTTTCTACTGAAATAGACAACTATTTAAAGCCAGCCTGTCCTCCAGTGCTAGCATCCCACTGCTGTTGGCCTTCCAAGGGCCTGGTACCTACACTTAGCTCATCCCCTCCAACAATTTTAATTTCCTCCTACCTTTCTCCAGTCAGGTTTGAATATGTCTCTTAGACCTTACATTTGACTTCATGAAGCATTTTTGTTACTGAATTATTTCCCTTTTGCGAAACTTTTTGAAAGGGTACTCTATATCTCTTGTGTCCATTGTTTTCACCACCAAGCTTTCTTTATGTGTTTTTACTGATTTGTAACATCCTTTGATGTTTTTCTCTTTTTATAATTTTCAAGAAAATCTCTGAATATCTGCATTTTGATATTTCTCTTCAATATGTACTCTCCATTTTTTATAGCACTTTAAAAAACTTGATTTCAAGATAATTTCAGACTTAAAAAAAGTTAAAAAAAATAGTACAAGGATTTTCTGAATACCTATATTTCCCTTCTTATACAGCTAGCACATTGCAGTGATCAAAATCAGGAAATTATTAATACGATACTATTGTCTATAGACTTTATTCAGATTTTGTCTGTTTCACTAATATCCTTTCACATTTTGGATTTGTCATGTCATCTTAGTCTTTAATCCAGGATCCCTCCGTTTTTCACTGTCTTTCATGACTTTAAGGCTTTTGAAGATTACTGGGCAGTTATTTTATAGAATTTCCATTAGTTTGGGTTTGATGTTTTTCTGGATTAAATTTAGGTTTTGCATTTTTGGCAAAAATGTCAGAAAGGTAATGTGTCTTTCTCAGTGCAATTATTTTAGGATTTTAATAATTTGATTTAGGGGGTATGTGTCAGGTTTCTCCAGTGTAAAGTAAATACTTTTTCCATTATAATTAGTGTCCCATGGGGATATATTTATGTGCTGCAAAAATCTTGTTTCTTATGCTGTTTCCACTCACTAATTGTAGCATCCGTTGATAATTCTTGCCTCAAATAATGATTTTTTGTTTTCATTGTCTTACATGTGTTAGTTGGAATTCTACTATAAGATACATCTTCTCCTTTCCCATTTATTTATATTAGTATGTACTCAGATTTTTGTGAAATAAAATCAGTGTTCAATTGTTGTCATTATTTTGTTGCTACCTTATTGCAGATTTGGCCACTGGGAACCCCTTCATGTTGGCTCCTATGTCCATTTGACATTTTCTTTTGAATCGCCTTTGAGTGTTTTCATAGCTTCTGGCAATATGCAGTGTTCAAGGCTCACCTTGTACTTTCCTTACCTCAGCTGTGGAATCAGGCAGTTTTTCAGGGGCCATGGCCTGTTTGATTGGAGAATGGCATTTAGAAACCAAGATATTTCTTGTTATTGATGAATCATATTCCATTGTATGGATATAACACATTTTTATCCATTCATCAGTTGATGGGCATTTGGATTGCTTCCATTATTTGGCGGTGAATAGTCCTCCTGTGAATATCATGTGCAAGTTTTTTTTTCTTTTGGGTACATATGTAGGAGTGGCATTGCTGGGTTACGTGGTAACTCTGTTTAACCTTTTGAGGGCTGACAAATGGTTTTTTTGGAGCAGGTATACCATTTTACATTTCCAGCAACAGTGTATGTGGGTTCCAATTTTTTCACATCCTGGATACTTTTGTTTTTTTTAACTTATAGGAAGTATTATTGTGATTTCGATTTGCCTTTCTCTGATGCCTAATGATACTGAACATTTTTTCCTTTGTTTATTGGTCATTTTTATATCTTTGTAGAAATGTTCAATTTCTTTTTTCTTTCTTTCTTTTTTTTTTTGAGACAGTCTCCCTCTTTGCCCAGGTTGAAGTGCAGTGGTGCAATCGCGACTCACTGCAACCTCCACCTGCCAGGGTCAAGTGGTTCTTGTGCCTCAGCCTGCTGAGTAGCTGGAACTATAGGCATGTGCCACCCAGCTATTTTGCCATGTTGGCCATACTAGACTTGAACTCCTGGCCTCAAGTGATATGCCTGCGTTGGCCTCCCAAAGTGGTGGGATTACAGGCGTGAGCCACGGAGCCTGGCTGAGAAATATTCAGATTCTTTCCTCATTTTTAACTGTTATCCATTAGTTTGGGATATCATAATTTCTTCTGTTCCCTTAAATGGTCTCTGTATTTCGGGGCTTTTCTGGATTTTTTTTGTTTTTTTGCTTTATTTTCTTTTACTGTTTCATTAGGATAATTTTTATTGCTGTGTCTTCAGTTTTTATTGCTGTGTCTACACTATGTTAGTGTAAAATTTGTTACATATGCATCTTTTTAGTTTTATGTTTGGAAAATATTAGTTATTATTGCTTTGTTTTATGAAATATTAGCTATGCTTATAGAGTAAATCATATAACTACATCACATATTTGTTTCATACACATTTCTTGAATGCCTACCGTTTGGGGGGCATCAAGTTAGGCACTAAATAGACATTATGAGAAAAGATTTAGTTTTTTCCCCTCAATGATGATATACATTCAGAAATGAATAACACATATTGTGCTCTTTTGAATTTTTTTTTTTTTTTTTTTTTTTAAGATGTAGTTTTGCTTTGTTGCCCAGGCTGGAGTGCAGTGGCGCAATCTCCACTCATTGCAACCTCCACCTCCCAGGTTCAAGTGATTCTCTTGCCTCAGCCTGTTTAGTAGCTGGGACTACAGGTGTGTGCCACCATGCCTGGCTAGTTTTTGTATTTTTAGTAGAGATAGGCTTTTGCCATGGCCAGGCTGGTCTTGAATTCCTGACCTCAAGTGATCCCCCTGCCTCGGCATCCCAAAGTGCTAGGATTACAGGCATGAGCCACCATTCCTGGTGTTGAGTCTTTTTATATTTTTATCTTATATATTTATATTTTCTTTCGGAATATCTTATGTATCACCAGCCAATGTGTTTATAGTATTCACCTTACTGCTTGTTGTTTTCATCTCTAAAAGTTGGATTTGGGTGTGTGTTTCATGTCTTCCATTTATATATGTTTTTAATGAACATGCGTAATATAATAACTGCATTCATGTCTTTGCTAATTCTAACATATGTGCCAATTCTGGTTGGTTGATTAATAAATCTCTTCATTATGGGTATTTCCTAATATATTACCTGTGTTATAATTTTACATTTTATGTCAGACATTGTGAATTTTTACCTTGTTGGGTGCTGTATATTTTTGTATTCCTGTAAGTGTTACACTTTGTTCTGTCACACAATTAAGCTAGTCGGAAACAATTTTATCTTTTTAAGATATGGTAGATGGGTTTGGAGCAGTGCTCAGCCTAGAACTGATTTACTTTTGACTTCTAAGGCAAGGCCCTTTTATGCAGTGTATCCACTGCTCTATGTATCATGCAGCTTTTTCAGTCTGGCTGAGGGAACAGGCGTGGGTGCTGGCCTTTTTGTGCATCAGGCCTTTGTTATCACAGAACTTTCATTTGGTTCTTTTCCTGGCTTCCTGTCATTTCTTCACACGTGTGGGTTGATCAGTATTCACCAGAATACCTGAGGAGACCAGCCCAGGCAACATAGTGAGACCCCCTTTCTCCCCATTAAAACAGACACACCCACACACCCACCCACCCACACCCCTTGCCCAAAGTCATAGTTTTTAGGTGGTATAGATGTGATTTGAACTTAGATCCCGGCTTTGATAAACCAGTGTTTTTTAAAGCACTTTATGTTGCCTGCCTGTACAGCGTCTTTCCTCTTCCTTTTGATGAGATAAAATACTGAAAGCATAACTCTGAATTACAGTATAAAAATACACATTTTGGCTTATTAGGGCAGTGGGATGTCTCTGCCCTCTTCCCCCACATTTCTTTTATGTTCATGCAGAAAATAAAATGGAAATCCTTTTTCTTTTTGCAAGAACATGAATTATAAGCTTATAGGAATCATTTATCATCCATGTTTAAAAAATTCCCATCTCTCAGCTAAAAGACTACATCATATGACTTAATTCTAATAGGTCAACTCTACTGAAGTTAAGAGCATTCCCAAAGAATGCTCTATATAAAACTTGTGTGTATGTTTGCAGGAATCTTAATGGATATGTTTCTAGAGGAAATGCTCCCATGAGCATTCTCTCCATCATTTAGCAGCTGTTAAAATGATGCTCTTCCCAATGCCCTTGTTCCCTCATTGTAAACGTGCTCTGAGTTAACCTGGTAGCCAGTACACAGTACACAGTAAATGACATTTCTTATCTGTATGTTAGAACTACTATTCAATAAGCTAAAATATTTTGAGCTTCCTCAGATTTTCTCCTTTTTTTTTTTTTGAGACAGAGTCTTGCCCTGTTGCCCAGGCTGGAGTGCAATGGCACAATCTCGGCTCACTGCAACCTCCACCTCCGGGTTCAAGCTATTCTCCTGCCTCAGTCTCCTTAGTAGCTGGGATTACAGGTGTGCCCCACCACAGCTGGCTAAGTTTTGTATTTTTAGTAGAGATGGGGTTTTGCCACGTTGGCCAGGCTGGTCTCAAACTCCTGACCTCAGGCGATCCACCCACCTCGGCCTCTGAAAGTGCTAGGATTACAGGCGTCAGCCACCCTGCCTGCTTCTCCTTATTTTTTCAAGAAATACCAGTCTGTTTCATTTGCGCTCCCTTAAAATTTAAGAAAATTAGCCATTTGTCATGTGGGATTATTTATCCATTTTGACTTGACTTTTTAAAAATTTTAATTTAAAAATTTTAACTGTATGTAAGCTTAAAATTTTGAATATTGTCAGGTTCAATTTGTGTTTTCAGAGGCCTCAGGGTTAAGTTTGCCTCCTTGAAGAAATAGACTGAAAACTGCAATACTGGCACTCTTATTTTTAATTTTTAATTTGTTAGGGTAGGTAGATTGTGTTTTTACCTGAATTTAAGCAATTTGTTAATCTCAATGAGTAATTTTAAAAGAGTTGCACATTTGAACTCTATTTTTGACTGTGGAGATAACCTAGTTTTATAAGCTATGAAAATTGAATTTTAATACCGTATATATTTATTTTTTGTGTTTTTTTCTTCCTCTCATTGTTTTTTATGGTATTCATAGTTGATCCACCTGAAGAATTAGGAGCTAGTATTTCTGTCACAACAGATGAGCTAGAGAAATTGCTCTATAAACCACAAGCTGGTGAATGGGGTCAGAAATCAAGAGATGAAGAATGTGATAGAATTATCAGTGGTATAGATCAACTTTTGAATCTTGGTAAGTTTTTTATTTTTTAGGATGAAAAGTTTTTTTTTCAATTTTTTTCATAAAGGTATTTAAAAATACTAGCATAATTGAGGTTTCTGTTCTTTTCTACACTTTGTATTGGTTATCTTTTAATTTAGCCTGTAATGTTAAATGTAGCCATATCTTATGAATGATTTCTAGAGAAGTACCACTTAGAGGCAATGGATTTATTGATTAAAAACTCTCCTGTCTTCCCTAACAGATATAGCAGCAGCTTTTGCAGGCCCTGTTGATTTGTGTACATACCCGAAGTACTGTACTGTAGTAGCTTATCCAACCGATCTTTACACAATTCGAATGAGACTTGTTAATCGATTTTACAGGTTAGTAGAAACCTGCTTTCAAAATGTTTAAAAAGCTATATTTGGCAATATTGACTAGGGTAAACAAAGAAAGAGATAGTGGTAGAATTGGGGGCTGATTAGCATTTTCTGTTTCATTATTCTCTTTCATTGTCAGATGGTGTTAGATGCCTATGGGTAGGTGTGGGTAGGGCCAGGCAGAAGATTGACTACCATATTTCACCCTCGTTTTTTTTTCAGTGATTATTTCCATATCACTGAAATTTTACTTTTATTCCACTTATTTCAGTAAACTTTCACTGGTACTTTAGTAATGAGAATTTTTCTATCCTCATACATGATTGAAGACATAATTTGTTTTAAAATTAATAGCCATAATTGAAGAAACAGTTGTTTGTTTTTCTAATCAGGTAACCAAGGTGCAGAATCTTAAGGCCTCAGTAAATGTTGTGTTTTATTATTTGAACAATAAGACCTTCTATTTTAATTATTCTTGGTAAATAGTGGTTTTGTTTCTCCAGTGGTTTTCATTTGCCAAACTCATGACAGATGGTTTAACAGGGGGGCTACTGCTCCCAGGGAACTGTCAGATAAATCCTCATTTCCAGTGCAGCAGCTGTTGGCAGTCTTTCATCAAAAGTCCATCCATCTGGAGTTACCTATTGTGATTGGCCAAGTAGTTTTGCTTTGGCTACCAGGGCTTCGTTCTGTTGAATATGATATTCCTGAAATCTCTTGGATATTCTTTGTGTCATTTAAAAATAATTTTTGTGGGAGGCCAGGCGCATTGGCTTATGCCTGTAATCCCAGCACTTTCATGAGGCCCAGGCGGGTAGATCACCTGAGGTCAGGAGTTTGAGACCAGCCTGGCCAACATGGTGAAACCCCTTCTCTACTGAAAATACAAAAATTAGCCAGGCACGGTGGCACGTGCCTGTAATCGCAGGTACTTGGGAGGCTGAGGCAGGAGAATTGCTTGAACCTGGGAGGTGGAGGTTGCAGTGAGCTGAGATCACGCCACTACACTCCATCCTGGGTGGTGGAGTGAGACCCTGTCTAAGCAATTAAAAAAAAAAAAAAAAAAAAAAATATATATATATATATATATATATATATATATAAATATATATATATATTTATATATATATATATATATATATATTTGTGGGAGCTAAATGATAAGACCACATGGACACACAGAGGGGAACAACACACACTAGGGCCTTTTGGAGGGTGACAGGAAGGAGAGAATCAAGAAAAACAACTAATGGGTACTAGGCTTAATACGTGGGTGATGAAATAATCTGTATAGCCAACCCCTGTGGCACAAGTTTCCCTGTGTAACAATCCTGTACTTGTACCCTTGAACTTAAAAGTTAAAAAAAATATATTTCTGTAAGCAATGGTCTGAACAGGTGGTCTCTTCAGGCTTTACTTTTGTTGTGAAGTCTTTAACACAGTCCAAAAAGCAGGTTTCTCTAAGTTTATTGTAGGTCCCAAGAAATTCCTTAAACTGTTCTGAGTAGATTCTGTTATTTATACAGTCATATACTTCTGGCCTTTCTGATGCATGAGTTTCCTTTCTGCTCTGGAAAAATAGTTGTTCAACCTATCCTTGAGTGTCTCCAGTAAGGCCTGATATCTTATTTAAGCACAGGCTCTCACAGCCGACATGAGTAGGAGGCTGAGAGTTGCAGGGATGGTCAGGCCTGGCTGGAGAAGGGAGGTCCGAGTCAGGGCCTCAACCCTCAATCTTTAGTAATCTGTTTTTCTTAGAAATTTTGTTAAGTTGTTAGATAACTTTATTTTTTTTCTTTGTATGTTTAAATTTCTATTTAACTACATTTAAAAATAATATTTATATAGTTAATACTTGGTCTTTTTGGCCTTTGGAAGATTAATTTCCCAGAGGCACTGACTTTTTATCTTTGGCTTCTAGAGCACTGGTAAGTATAAAATTTCCTATTCTTAATGATTTTTACAGCAGTTGATTGTATTTTAACTTTTATAATTCAACTACTTTAAGAAATTATAAAAAGTCATCTTGAGTCCACATTATCGACGTAATTTATCTCTGTAATTTAACACTGGAATGTGCATTCCCATCAGAAACCACTTGATTGTTTACAGTGAAACTGAAGCTCTTAGTTTTTGTTTGTTTTTTTGTTTGTTTTTGAGAGAGTCTTGCTCTGTCACCCAGGCTGGAGTGCAGTGGCATGATGATAGCTCACTGTAGCCTCGACCTGCCAGGCTCAAGCAATCCTCCCACCTCAGCCTCTTGAATAGCTGGGGCTACAGGTGCGCACCAGTACGCCTGGCTAATTTTTTAATTTTAATTTTTGGTAAATTTGGGGTTTTGCCATGTTGTCCAGGCTGATCTTGAACCCCTGGGCTCATGCTGTCCTCCTGCCCTGTCCTCCCAAAGTGCTGGGATTACAGGTGTAATCCCAGCTTGCTGGGCCAGCTTTTAGGGTTGATGATATTTAACATATTTTCTTTATTGAGATTCAACAATTTTAAAAGGTACCTATATGCAGTATGAAAAGGGAGGGTAGTTTTGTTGGTTTTCTGTATGTGATTAAGTAATTTGTTAAGATTTTTGTCCTCTTCAGTTCAATATAATTGCTTCGGTGTCCAATGTATTGCCTATGACTATGATCAAGTTGAGAGCATTAGAAGGTTATTCATTATAACTTTGCACTTATGGTTTAATTATTATTTCACAGTTGTTTAATTCACATGCTGCATTTTTTCACTTGGTTTCTATCTTCTCATTTTCTAAGCCCTAAATTGTCTACTTTATTTTGAAGGAGGCTGTCTGCGTTAGTTTGGGAAGTCAGATATATAGAACATAATGCCAGAACATTTAACGAACCTGAGAGTGTAATTGCAAGATCAGCTAAAAAGATAACTGACCAACTTTTAAAATTTATCAAGTAAGTAATTTCATAGATGTTGTGTAAAAGTGACTGCATATTGTGCTATTAACAATCATCTAGTTTTGCCGGGCGTGGTGGCTCATGCCTGTTAATCCCAGCACTTTGGGAAGTGAAGGCCGTCAGATCACTTGCGGTCAGGCATTTGAGACCAGCGTACCAACATGGTGAAACCCCGGCTCTACTAAAAAAAATACAAAAATTAGCCGGGCGTGGTGGCGGGTGGCTGAGGTGGGAGAATTGCTTGAACCCAGGAGGTGGTGGTTACAGTGAGCCCAATCGTGTGTGGATCGTGCCATTGCACTCCAGCCTGAGTAACAAGAGCAAAACTCTGTCTCCAGAAAAAAAAAAAAAAAGGAAAAAAAAATCATCTAGTTTTGTTTTTTACTCAGAACTATACTTTTTTAATGCTTTACTTTAGATGACATTTCTTTACATACATAATTTAAGTAAAAGTCTGAGAAACTGAATAATTCAGTTTTTCAACTTTTTAAAATTTTGAAATAATTTTATACTCCAGAAAGTTGCCATTTGCCTTTCATCTAGTCTCCCCTTAGGTTAACATTTTATATAACTACGGTATACTTATGAAATGTTAAAAAAAAAATCTTGGTACCATGCTATTGACAGAAAGTGTAGAATTTATTTGGATTTCACTAGTTTTTACACCCTTTTATGTTTCAGAATCTAATCCAGAATCCCCATCAAATTTAGCGTTTTGTTTTCTTAGTCTCCTTCAGTTTTTTCTTGTCTTTATCACCTCATCATTTTTATGAATGTTACTTATTTTATAGAGTATAGTTATGTTACTTATTTTATAGAGTATATTTAATTGGATTTTGTTTGGTATTTTCCCATGATTATGTTGTTTTAATGTTTCAGATTATGTCCTGTGAAAATGTTTGTATACGTGTGAATATTCTGTAGATTTTCTTAAATTCAGAAGTATTCAGAATCAAAGAATGTAAACTGACTTGGAAATTCAGACCCAGGTTCTAGTCTGCTCTATTCTAGTGAGCATTCTTAATTTAGAAACAGTGCCATCGTTTTCAGCATCTAGCTGAAAACTGGGGAGTAACTGATTCTTGTCAGCTTTCTTGGTTTGATTCTGTCCTAAGTCTTGGAGACTCATACGTAAGTTACCTCCTCCCCAGAATCACCTTCTTGTTCTTACTTCAGGAAAATTATCTACCCATTTTTGTCTCCTTTATGCTTAGATATCCATATTTCAGCATTCTTTTTTTCTCCTGTGTGTACAGTAAGATACTATTTGCTTTAATTTCAATTCCTTTTTCCCTTATATATATATGTATATATATATATTTTTTTTACCTTAAATCAACTGTTTTCCTGGTACTTATTGTGTGAATACTGCTATTGATGATACTTAGAAAAACTCATCCATGTATTCATCCAATTGAGGCCATACATATATTATTTTTGGATTACCTGCTTAATTTGGATACATACTTAACGGAAAACAAGAAAAACCTTCAAGATTCTAAATTAGGATTTAAGATGGCTAGTTACGTTTACAAAGGGTTGGGGGAAAACCTGATATTCCTCTGTTTGAAATTAGGCACGTATAGGTTGGTGAACTGTTTATATTTTAATGTATAATTTGAATCCTTGCCAACAAGTCACTACATCTGCATACTATTAAAGTGAAAATTTGTTTTTTAGGAATCAACACTGTACAAATATCTCAGAACTTTCTAACACATCTGAAAATGATGAGCAAAATGCTGAGGATTTGGTATGAAGTTTGTTGATTTTATAATGGTTTTTGTTAATTTCAAATGGTATTTTTAAAGTGAAGAAAATGTTGGCTTTGTAGTACCAACTCTTGTAGTAGTCCAATGAACAAATAGGGCATTTGATAAAATTATATTTTTGAATTTTCTAGATGATTTATGAGGTAATTTGTTTTAGCTAATATCAAAATATATCTAAGTGAATAACTTTAGGTGTGGAATATATTCTCTTTCTATATTTTAGCTAGTGAAAGGTGTATTATATAAAGTACCTTGGAGGCTGGGCACAGTGGCTCACACCTGTAATTCCAGTGCTTTAGCAGGCTGAGATGGGAAGATTGCTTGAGCCAGGAGTTTGAGACCCTGTCTCTACAATAAATAAAAAAGTTAGATGGGGGTGGTAGTGCATGCCTGTACTATAGAACACAAAATGCAGAAACTATAGGAATCTGTATGTTTCTGGGGATTTGTGGATAGAGGTAAAACACAAGTTTTCTATTTAGGAAATGCATGAAGCGTCTTTTTATAGCTGTAATTTCAAATTTTAGAATTAGTTCATGTTCTTAGGGAATGAAAAAGGATTATTAAGAATGATTTTTTTTTTTCAAGCCTGGGTGCCACAAAGATCATCTGGTAGTCTTTCTTTGGAGATTTTGATAATAACATGTTATAACTCTGGTAATACCAAATGTCTTTGATATGTTATTTATTAAGATTATGTTATTATTTTCTAATGAGACTCTAAATACTTAAGGTGCTCTGATTTTATTCCTAGGATGATAGTGATCTTCCTAAAACATCTTCTGGAAGGAGGAGAGTAAGTTACTCTGCATGGTTGACTTTTGTAGTTTCTTTTTCTTTGTTTTAAAATCAATTCAGGATTTTAGTTTTTGTCTTTGAAAAGTTATATCAGTGTAGATACTGAATATTTTATTAGCAAAATGGGAGAAATTACTGGAAAGATTTAGTGGGAGAGTTGGAATTTGTACTGTATTATCAGAGTGAGATGGAGTAAGAAGAGGCCATTCAAAAAATAGAGGCTACCACAGGAAAGACAAAAAAAGTAGAGAAATATGGCATGGCATGTCCATAGACTGTTAAGGGAACTACACCTGACTGGTGTAGAGGTTGGATGTTGAAGTGATCAAAGTGGCTGTGTCTGGCTGTTATGATTGGGGTAGATTATGGTGATATTGAAATCCAAGGATTTCATTTAAAGTAGAGAATCAATTGAACAGCCAAAATAGATAATACAATTTGAAGGATAAGAAGATGTGTATTAAAGGAGATGAATTAGGAGTTTATTCCAAGAATATAGGGTGAAGGACGGGTACCTAGTCAAGGATATTTGCTTGGAATGGAGAGGAAAGGAAAATTATGACACCTTTTTAGGGAAAACTAACTAGGATTTGGTGACTGAACTTTTTTTAACAATGGAGATATGTTGGGATGATGAGGTTGAGGGGTAAGGAGAAGGGTCTATGGAACTAAGTTTATGAAAGTGGGTAATCATAATGGAGTATCGGCAGGCTTTGAAGTTCAAATATAGAGTAATTAAAATTAAAGGTTATTAATATGAAAATGCTTAAGACATTTTAGCCCAGATCATTTTAAATTTCCTCCAAATGCTCCTTAAATTTAAGCTTTTTATGAAATATTAATTTATACCATGTGCTTGCCTTCCAGAACACTGAAAAGTTATACCTAAAATACTCTAATTTGATTAGTCATTTTCGTTTAATTTTATTTCTAGACTCCCAAGTGTTTAGTATTTGTATTTATTTGCTATGTCTGCTGCAGCAAATGACAAATTTAGTTGCTTAAATAATAAAAATGTATTACCTGATAGTTCTGTAGATTAGAAGTTTTCATGGGTCTCTAGGTCAGAATCATGGTCTTGGTGTGGCCAGAAGCTCCAGGGAGAGTTATGTGCATTTTCCAGCTTCTAGTGGGTGTCCTCACCTTGGCTCCAGGTCACCTTGTTCCATCTTTCAAGCCAACAATGTAGCATTTTTCAGTCTCTCTCTGACTCTGACCTTTCTGCCTCCCTCTTATAATAACTTTTGTGGCTATACTGGGTCCAAGCAATCAATTCAAGATAATCTTTCATCTCAAGGTCTATACCCTTAATGCAAAATACCTTTTCTCATGTAAGGCAACATAGTCATAGGTTATGAGGATTATGATGTGGACATCTTTGGTGGGGCCATTATTCTGCCTATCATATTATCAGATGTGCTTCATATTCTGCGAAAACAAATATTATAAACCTGGGAGGTGAGAGGTCATGGAATAGCCTTTCACTAGATAATGTGCTCTTGTTAGAGTATGCTTTTCATAGCTAACTTTGTAATATTTCTGAAATTGGTTAAGTTATATGAAAATAACTTACGTTTCATGCATAGTTTAAAAATTTCATTTCTGGAAAAATGTGTTGAGAGCAACATATATGACATTATTGTATTTTTATAGAAGACAGTAGATCAGTTACATTTTTACCACAGTCTTACACCAATAGTGTGATTTTTCTTAAGACTGTGAATGTATTTTTAGGTCCATGATGGGAAAAAAAGCATCAGAGCTACGAACTATGTTGAAAGCAACTGGAAGAAACAGTGTAAGGAACTAGTGAACTTAATTTTTCAGTGTGAAGATTCTGAACCATTTAGACAACCTGTTGATTTGGTTGAATATCCAGTAAGTTTCCATTGTTTAAATGTTTGGGGCTTTTCTTGTTTTGCAGTGAGGAAACTGGGGTAGAGTTATTAAACTTTAAAGAGAAAGATACCCAGGCTTTATGTTAACTTTTTTGCTCCTATCACTAAGTTAGTGGTAGAAGTATTGTTTTTACATAGTTTTCTTCAATTTATAGACACCCTTGTGAGCTCATTTAAGAATTTAGACTTAGATAATCAGTATTACATAACAGTGGGATGGATCTACTTAGATTTCTATCTAAGTAGGCCCAGCACTAGGAGAACTGTGAATTGGATAAACGTGTCTGTTTGCACTCTTTAAAAAGGGAAATTGAAAGATGACTTTATAAAAAAAGTTGGATTATAACAGCACAGAGTGACTGTAGGATGCTTGGAGTACATACAGCAGGAAATAAAACCATCCCATGTGTCACTAACAATAAATAGACATTAACATTTTGGTATATTTCTATCTTTTCTTTGTTTTTATACCTCTTTTTAAACATTACTAATGAATTTTAAGAGTCCTCTAACCTTTTCCTCTCTTCCATCATTTCACATTTTTTAGAGATCTGATGCATTTACATTTCTAAAAGCAAGAAATGAATCTATGAATTAAATATTGTGTTTAAAACCTAGGACTACAGAGATATTATAGATACCCCAATGGATTTTGGAACAGTAAGGGAAACTCTAGATGCGGGAAATTATGACAGCCCTTTGGAGTTTTGCAAAGACATCCGGCTGATATTTAGCAATGCAAAAGCGTATACACCAAACAAAAGATCAAAGGTAATTTTTTATGTGGTTTATTGAAAAAAACTGCCTGATCTGTGTAGATAATTTTCCAATGTAATAGTAATTTTTTCCAGTGTAATTTTCCACTGTGTAATAGAGGTTAGAACATTAAAGATAAGTGAATAAATTAAGACTATTATAAAGAAAAGAGCTTCTGCTACTGCTCATATAGCTTCAGTTTTTGCCTTTCATCAGTTGATGTTTATCATAATCTCCTCAAATTTTATAAGCAAGTGGGGATTAATGGGAGTAGGCATCAATAGAAAGTGAACAAATTTGATACACAGAGTAAGAGTCTCTGTGTTTTGTATGTATAAGGATCTTAAGTGGATTGGAAACATAGATCGAGACTGTAAGAATATTAAAAGTAAAAAGGAAAATCTGATTGTGAGACTGCTGACAGCATAAGAACATTTGGATTTGAAGAAGGAACACATGAGCTATCAGATTAAGACCACAAATAATGTTACAGAGCCAGTGGAGGCTCTTTGCTTGATGTGTTAGAAGCTAATATTATGACACAGGGTTTTTCTTTTTCTTTTTTTTTTTTTTCTAGCCTACTCAAGTGAAGTGGTGACACTGGGTTTTTGAGAATAAGCTTTATATTGAAAGTTGACTCCTAAGGAGACAGGAGTGAATTTCAAATCTGACTCCGGTGCTGGCTTTAAAGCAGTATTTTTATTTTTTATTTTTTTTTAAAGAAAAGGTTCAGGGCATGGATTCTGAGATTAGCAGGTGATTAATGGAAGGAAAGGAGAGGTCTGGAAAGTCTTTGGGCATGTATAGTTATTTCTTTATGTTATCTGATGGGTTGCGTGTGCAAATTTGGGGGAAGTTAGTGTGAAGCATGCTGGAAATTCAGGCTCTGATGTCAGCAGGCTCATTCTTTGCAGACTCCACTTGGCCATACTGGTTTTAACCAGTTTCAGCCAGTTCTTCTTATCTCATAAGCAGAGGGAGTTTTAGTGTTTTATAGTAGGTTGGGTTTCTTTCTTTCTTTTTTTTTTTTTGTCATTTTGTAAACTTAAGAATTTTTGTTAATTGACTTCTTTAACTCTTTGGGGCATGCAGTTTCAGTAGAAGGTTACTAAAGTTTTGTTAACATGTTACACATTGGGTAACTTTTCAAAACTTGATGAGGCCTGTAATCCCTGGAATTTGGGAGGCCAAGGTAGGCAGATCACTTGAGGTCAGGAGTTCGAGACCAGCCTGGTCAACATGGTGAGCCCCCTTCTCTACTAGAGATAAAAAAATTAGCCCGTGTTGGCGCTTGCCTGTAATCCCACCTATAGGCACGAGGCATGAGAACCGCTTGAAATGAGGCATGAGAGCCACTTGAACCTGGGAGGCAGAGGTTGCAGTGAGCTGAGATCATGCCACTGCACTCTAGCCTGGGCAACAGAGCAAGACTCCAGGTAGCTCATGTGTTGAATAATTGTAAAAAGTCATATTTAAAGTAAAATACTTGTTTGATCTTACAACATTTTTTGGTGTCTACAATCAGTGACATTTAACTGTTTTGCTTTAACTGCATTTCCCTGTCATTACTTAATATTAGACTCCTCCTGCATTACTGCCTCTGGTCTCAATTTGAGAACTCTTTCTTGGATTCAGGATCCACACTGCTTGCTGGATCAGTTTAACGTTCAAGGCTAACGTTTCCAAGCTTGGATTTTTGTCAAAGTCACCATTTGTAAGACTGTTTTTTTTCAGCGACAAAATAAATTTCATTCAAGTCTTCCCTGCGCCCCTCAAATACATGTTTGAGGACACATACCATACAGTTCACCATTGAAAGCTTATAGTTCAGTGGTTTTTGGTATAGTACATTGTCAGTTGTTCAAAACTATGGTTAACTATATATAACATAACATTTGCCATTTTAGCCATTTTTATGAGTACAATTCAGTGGCATCGTTTATAATCTTTCTAAAACCTTTTCATCATTCCACACAGAAGCTCTGTAACCATCAAGCAGTAATTTCCCCTCACCCCCAGTCCTTGGAAACCTCTAACTTTCGGTGTCTGAATTTGCCTGTCCTAGATAATTTCATATAAAAATTGAGATCTTACCATATTTGTCCTTTGTGTCCAGCTTATTTATTTCACTTAGTGTAATGCCTTAAAGGCTTATGCATGTTGTAGCATGTATCAGAACTTTATTCCATTTTATGGCTGAATAATATTAAAGTGTGTGGTTATACCATATCTTATTCATTCATCTATCGATGGCCAGCTCGGCTGTTTCTATTTCTTGACCATTACGAGTAATGCTGCAGCAAATTTTGGAATACACGTATCTCTCAGAAACCCTGCTCAATTCCCTTGGGTATAGACCTAAGAGTAGAATTGCTGGGTCATGGGATAATTCATGTTTACCTTTTCCAGGAACCACTACACTGTTTTCCATATTGGCTGCACCTTTTTACATTCCCGCTGGCAGTGTATAAAAGCCACAGTTTGTTCACATCCTTGCCAACACTTGTTGTTTTTGGAGTTTTGTTTGTGTGTGTGTGTGTGTGTGTGTGTGTGTGTGTTTTCTTTTTTTTCTTTTTTTTTTTTGAGCCTGTCTCACTCTGTTGCCCAGGCTGGAGAGCAGTGGTGAGATCTTGGCTCACTGCAACCTCCAACTCCTGAGCAATTTGCCTGCTTCAGCCTCCCGGGTAGCTGGGACTACAGGCTTGCGCCACCATGCCCGGCTAATTATTGTATTTTTAGTAGAGATGGGGTTTCACCATATTGGCCAAGCTAGTCTTGAACCCTTGACCTCAAGTGATCTGCCTGCCTCGGCCTCCCAAAGTACTGGGATTATAGGCATGAGCCACTGTGCCTGGCAGAATAAAATTTATATATATGAAATACTGAAAATAACTGTCAAAGATCATTTCAGATTAAGTATAACAAATTTCACATTCATTTGTGAGCATATATATATGTATATGAGAAGCATGTAAGAAATTCGTATATCTCACATACTTTTTAAAAAAGTTTTCTGGTATTGGAGTGTCTTCGCCATCCACTGCCATGCACAAGAATTATATTTAAGTTTTGAGCATTAGACTTTTGCACTTATTTTCAGGAAAAGTCGTGGAGGAGGATAGAGTAGTTCTGTACATACATAGCTGTATCCAAAAGTATTTAAGATTTGATGTTATTTAATTGTAAACATTGTTAAAACAAATCTTTCATATGCATTAACGTTCTAGGTTATACTTTCTGCTACTGGATGCAAGGTATTTTTGTTTCATTTTTAGAATTAGGTGGCATTGAAAACAGATTGCAGACAGAGATGGGTATATAAAAGTGCTTTTGTTCCCTTGCCCCAAAGAAAGACAGCGCTTTTGTAGCCTAAATAGCAGCCTTAAAACCATTCAACTTCCCATCTAACTTTGGGAGAAGGGTATATTTTGGGGTTTGTACATACAGATGTTAGAATAGGCAAAAACAGTTGAGATTCACTGACATATAGACACAAGTCCTGAATATAGATGCTTGACTTCAAACTACTTTCTTATCATCTGAGAGGTATGTATTTGATACTTCTTACTTCCAGATGTCATTAAGGGAAGGGGGTTGGAAACAGAAGAAGTGGGTGACAGCCATTACCTATAAGCAGTGATATAATACATTGCAAGGGATCTCAATGATTACAATTATTTCTTAAGTACTTTTAAGGCTATTTTGTAATTCTACTTTGTTTTTATATCCTTGCAGATTTATAGTATGACCTTGAGATTATCTGCCTTATTTGAAGAAAAAATGAAGAAAATCTCTTCTGATTTTAAAATTGGTCAAAAATTCAATGAAAAACTTCGAAGAAGCCAGAGGTTCAAGCAACGGCAAAATTGTAAAGGTGACAGTCAGCCTAACAAAAGTATCAGGTAAACTGGTTATGGCAAGCTTGCTTTATTTATTTATTTAATTTTGGAGAGAGTCTCACTGTGTCACCCAGGCTGGAGTGCAGTGGCATGATCTCTGCCTCCCGGGTTCAAGTGATTTTCCTGCCTCAGCCTCCCAAGTAGCTGGGACTACAGGCGCACACCATCACATCTGGCTAATTTTTGTATGTTTAGAAGAGACAGGGTTTCACCATGTTGGCCACGCTGGTCTCGAACTCCTGACCGCAGGTGATCCACCCACCTTGGCCTCCCACAATGTTGGGATTACAGGTGTGAGCCACCACGCCCAGCCTATTTATTTATTTTTTATTTATTTTTGGAGACGGAGTCTCTCTCTGTTACCTAGGTTGGAGTGCAGTGGCATGATCTTGGCTGACTGCAACCTCTGCCTCCCGGGTCAAGCAGTTCTCCTGCCTCAGCCTCCTGAGTAGTTGGGACTACAGGTACATGCTGCCATGCCTGGCTAATTTTTTGTATTTTAGTAGAGACAGGGTTTCACCGTGTTGCCCAGGCTGGTCTCGAACTCCTGAGCTCAGGCAATCCGCCTGCCTCAGCCTCCTAAAGTGCTAGGATTGCAGGTGTGAGCCACCGCGCTCAGCCCTATTTATTTTTTAAGACAGGGTTTCACTATGTTGCCCAGGCTGGGGTCTAGTGATATGATCATGACCACTGCAGCTGCAACTTTCTGGTCTCAAGCAGTCCCTCTCACCTCAGCTTCCCGAGTAGTTGGGATAACAGGGGTGTGTCACCAAGCCTGGCTAATTTTTAAAAATTATTTTTTGTATAGATGGGGTCTTGCTATGGTGCCCACGCTGGTCTTGAACTCCTGGGATCAAGATCCTTCCACCTTGGCCTCCCAATATGTTGGGATTACAGGCGTGAGCCACTGCGCCCAGCCTGTATGCATTTTTTTAAAAATTTAAGACTGTGTTATTTAATCTTTAGAGTACTGTACATTCTGAAAAGACTAGTCATGGGTTTTATAGCTTGAAAGCATTTCTGTGAATATAGAGCTGTTGTATTGGTTTGTAATTCTATAAATATGTAAAATTATAGATTTTTTCAAATCTTATTAAGGATTATTTAAAGTGTCATTTGTATTTTGCATAAGAATTGGCTCTTTAATATAGAGTCGGAGTCCCCAGCACCTGCTCCCTGTGTAGACTGGGCCACACAGTAGGATGTGATTGGCTGGCAAACAAGCATTACCACCTGAGTTCTGTCTGCTGTCAGATCCGTGGGGGCATTCGATTTTCATAGGAGCAGGAACCTTTTTGTAACTGCATGCGAGGGATCCAGGTTGTGTGCTCCTTATGAGGATCTAATGCCTGATGATCTGAGGTGGAACAGTTTTGTCTTGAACTCTGCCCACTCACTGGCCCCAGTCCCAGTCCATGGAAAAACTGTCTTCCACAAAACCGGTCCCTGGTGCCAGAAAGCTTGGGGACTGCTATGTAGAGAATAATGTGATTTTTATGTATGGTCTTTTGAGCATTTGATTGTGTAAGGGAAAATGTACCCTTGATACAATGTACCTCAGTATTACTGAGGATTATTTGTAAAGAAATGTAAAATGAAGGATTTATTAACTTTCTCAGTAATTGTATATTAATTTACATTCTATATTCTTTGACTATGTAGTTTAGATTAATATCACATTTATAGGTACTTTATGTTGTTACAGTATAAAAATTGAGTTGTGCAATGTTTAGTTTGTTTCCATTTATATTTTCAACTGTGCAGTATATCCCTTGATGGGATTTCCTTGTGGTTGCTCTGGGGACTACACTATGCATCTCAATCTATTGCAAACAATCGATTTTATATTAATACTATTTTTATTACAGTACATATAGGAACTTGGCTCTAGTATAGCTTCCTTCCATCCCCTTCCTAGGTGGTGGTGGTATCAGATCACTTTTTTTTTTTTTTTTTTGAGATGGAGTTTTGCTCTTGTTGTCCAGGCTGGAGTGTGTTGTTGTGCTATCTGTTTTCTGTGCCCTCTCCATCTCCGGTTTTCGCGCTTTTTTTGTGTCTGCGTCTCGCGTGTCTGTGGTTTTAGGGGCCCGCGCCCCCGCGCCGATGTTTTTTTTTGTTTTTTTTGTAGACGGGGTTTTTCCCCATTTTGGCGGCTTGTCTCAAACTCCTGACCTCAAATAACCCACCTGCCTCGGGCTTCCAAAGTGCTGGGATTACATGCATAAGCCACTGTGCCCAGCCTTATATTTACTTTTGTTCTCTCCCTTGATTATTAACGGCATTTAAAATTTTTGATATTACAGCCTTGACAATTATTGCTTTAAAGAATTGTGATTAACTTTAAGCTTCAATGTCTAGATACCACTTAAAAGGCTGTTTTGCTTTTGTTTTAAGAAGCAGGGTCGGCTGGGCGCGGTGGCTCACGCTTGTAATCCCAGCACTTTGGGAGGCCGAGGTGGGTGGATCACGAGGTCAGGAGATCGAGACCATCCTGGCTAACATGGTGAAACCTTGTCTCTACTAAAAATTACAAAAAATTAGCCGGGCGTGGTGGTGGGCGCCTGTAGTCCCAGCTACTCAGGAGGCTGAGGCAGGAGAATGGCGTGAACTCGGGAGGCGGAGCTTGCAGTGAGCAGAGACTCTGTCTCAAAAAAAAAAAAAAAAAAAAAAAAGAACCAGGGTCTTGCTCTGTTGCCCAGGCTGGAGTGCATGGTGTGATCATAATGTCATCGTAATGTCAAGCTCCTGGGCTAAAACAAGTCTCCTGAGTAGCTGCGATCATAGATGTGCACAACTATGCCCAGCTAATTTTTAAATTTTTTGTAGGCATGGGGTCATGCTATGTTGCCCAGGCTAGTGTTTGAACTCCTGGCTTCAATTTATCCACCTGCCTTGGCCTCCTAAAGTGCTGGGATTACAGGCATGTTCGGCCATTTCTTAGCTGTTTTAAAGGAAAATAGGATTATCTCAATATTCATTCACCCATATTTCTCACATGCCTTAAACTTCCATTCTCCTTTCTCATAATTCCTGGCCTAGTGGCCAACCATGGTGAATGGGTGCAGTTAGATGTAAATAGTCTGGTCTTGGGACAAAAATCATTTTGTTCTGATGCCTTTTTTTAACTTTTCCTGTTTAGGTTTTGTTGATTTCTCCTCTTAACCATATTCTGTCTTTAGGGACATAGAAATAAGAGAGGAGAAAGTTGGGTCCTATTGAGGCTTACATTGGTAGTATGAATGAATACCTATATTACGTAAATGTTGGTTCCTCTTAGCATTTAATCCAAAGAATGTAAGGTATTCAAATAATTTTCTGTAACTCTTACTTGGAACATTGATTCATTACTCCAAATTTGAATAACAGTACGTTAAATTTAGAGTTAGGAAATACTACTACTAATCAGTGCCAGAATAAAATGTTAATAGTGAATATTTTAATGTTTTGATGATAAAATTACTCTCAGTTTAAGAAATATGATATACTTCTATTTAGTCATTCTCTGTGAACCAATTATCTTTGTATTTTGTTAAATACTGTTTCCTTTGTTCATATGTTTGGCCAGAAACCTCAAGCCGAAGAGGTTAAAATCTCAGACAAAAATAATTCCTGAGTTGGTAGGTTCTCCTACCCAGTCTACCTCAAGTAGGACAGCTTATCTTGGAACCCACAAGACAAGTGCTGGTATCTCTTCAGGTGTTACTTCTGGTGACTCTTCAGATTCAGCAGAATCATCAGAAAGGAGGAAAAGAAATAGACCTATAACAAATGGTTCTACATTATCTGGTGAGAAGTGAAATACTATGTTATTTCTTTGCTGAGCACCCAAATGTGTAACACTGGCCGTTACTAGAGATTTAGAGGAAAATATAAAGATGTGGCCTTGACACTGAAAGAACTTACAGTTTAATGGAAGAGATAAACATAATAAACATGGAACAATTCGGTTATCTTCTGTAAGTGCCATGCTTTGTGAATGGTACATTTATATTGAATTGTCAATTACATGATACATAGATTCTTCACACTTGGTGTGCAGCATTTGAAGTTTTTGTATCTTTTTAATTTAAAAATTAAGAAGTACTAAGAATCAATGAAGTTCAAAGCTGATGACGTAGTAAATTCTAAACTGTTCATGTTGTTGCCATCTGGTAGCATAACTGTAGCTGATGCTAACTTTGTTAACATTGTACAAATGAGGCTGTGGTGTGTATCTATTTCTGTACTGCTCTGAGTGGTTTTGCTGAATTATGACAATAGCATACTATTTACTGTTATAATTGAATCATTTATACATATCTTTTACCTAGTATTTCAATAAATAGTATTGACAGCATTGAAAAATATACATACAGATAAAAGTTTGGAATGGAAGTGGACTGTGATAAAACGTGGAGAAAGACAAGCAAGTTCATGTGTATCACATTAGAACTGTACAGTGTTTTAAGGGATACATTCATAGCATGGAATGTCCAATCAGAGTATGCTGGAGTAATTGAAAATGGCACTAGTGATAAGTGGACACATTACAGCCTAGTAGCAACTATGAGAAAATGCACTGAAGGAAAGAAGGATGCATTTTGTGCAAATGAAAAGACCGTTTTGGGGAATGTTACAAACAATGGGATCAAACAGATAGAGTACAGTCAAAGTTTAGCAACTTTCGAGCCTTGCAGAAGAGTTTGGATTACTGAACTGGGTTCCTTATTGAGTGACAGAGTCACATTATGTTTCAGGAAGATTAAGTTTGGCAGTGATGTGCAGAGGGAGGGGAAGAGCCTGGAAAAACAGGGAGTCAAGGTGATGGATGGTAGAGTTGACAGGAGTAGCTGAGGTGGGCAAACAGTAGAACAAGTTCAAAGGATGAACCACAATTTGGTGTCTAGTATTTTGGTATCACAGCCAGTTTTCTTTTCTTCCCTCTCACACTCTTTCTCTCGTGTAGCTGTTATGTAAGAAATGACCTTACTGTGCTGTTAGGAATGGGTAAAAGGATGGTGAGACATGCAAACTATGTCTTCTGAAATGCTGGAATTGAAATGATGGTGTCTTTTTTATATGAAATACCTATCTGATATCACAGAAGGGAGTAGACATGGATCCAATTAATTTAACTAATTTATTTTTGAGACAGAGTCTCTTTCTGTCGCCCAGGCTGGAGTGCAGTGGCACGATCTTGGCTCACTGCTACCTTCCCCTCCTGGGTTCAAGTGATTCTTCTGCCTCAGCCTCCCCAGTAGCTGGGATTTCAGGGTCCTGCCACCACGCCTGGCTAATTTTGTATTTTCAGTAGAGATGGGGTTTCACTATTTGGCCAGGCTAGTTTTGAACTCCTGGCCTCAAGTGATCCACCCACCTCAGCCTCCCAAAATGCTAGGATTACTGGAGTGAGTCACCGTGCCCGGCCTGCAGCTAATTAAATTTTTAATTGGAAGTCTGTTTATAAAATACATAAACTATATTTTGTAAATCTACACTAGGATTAATCTGTTATTTTTAGAAATATAATTAAAAACTATTTGGAATGCTGATTATGTACCTTTTAATACTCCAAATTTCATCAGCTTTTTTTGGGAATGGTTTTTAAAAAATATATTCTAAGCATTTTAGGAATCTGCTTTTGTAGTAATGTTATGTAATGTTCAGAGTAATGTTATGAACTGCTTGCTTATGTGTGTAAAGACAGGAGAATATATGTAACTATTTACACTTTATTTTTCCTAGAAAGTGAAGTGGAAGATTCTTTAGCTACCTCTTTGTCATCGTCAGCTTCCAGTAGTTCTGAGGAAAGCAAAGAGAGTTCCAGAGCTCGTGAATCCTCCTCACGCAGTGGGCTATCCAGAAGCAGCAATCTCAGGGTAACCAGAACTAGAGCTGCTCAAAGAAAAACTGGTAAGAGACTCAGTAGTACTTTTATGGAATGTATATCAAAAGAATCCAAAAGTTATAAATTGAATAGATTCTCGATTTAATGCATCTACGTAAGATTAAGTTAATGTCCTTTAGGTTCCTTAGATTTAGGAAGGAAATGAATTTTGGCATTAAAAAGTGAAGAAAAGGCTGGGTGCGGTGGCTCACGCCTATAATCCCAGCACTTTGGGAGGCTGAGGTGGGCGGATCACCTGAGGTCAGGAGTTTCGAGACCAGCCTGGCCACCATGGCGAAGCCTTGTCTCTACTAAAAATACAAAAAATTAGCCAGGCATGGTGACTGGTGCTTGTAATCCCAGCTACTCAGGAGGCTGAGGTAGGAGAATCGCTTGCACCCAGGAGGCAGAGGTTGCAGTGAGCCAAAATTGCACCATTGCACTCCAGCCTGGGCAACAAGAGCGAAACTCCGTCTCCTCCCCGCCCCCCAAAAAAGTGAAGAAAATCATTAAAATAATAGTCATTTAAAAATGTTGAAATAAGGAAAATCTTTTTAATCTTATTGTTAACCTTATTTCTAGGTCCCGTTTCATTAGCAAATGGATGTGGCAGAAAAGCCACTCGAAAGAGAGTCTATTTAAGTGATTCTGATAACAATTCATTGGAGACTGGTGAAATTCTAAAAGCCAGAGCTGGAAATAACCGAAAAGTCTTAAGGAAGTGTGCTGCTGTGGCTGCCAATAAAATAAAGCTAATGAGTGATGTAGAAGAGAATTCTAGCTCTGAAAGTGTCTGTTCTGGTCGGAAGCTGCCTCACCGCAATGCTTCTGCTGTAGCTAGAAAAAAGTTATTACATAATTCTGAAGATGAACAGAGCTTAAAGTCAGAAATTGAAGAAGAGGAGCTAAAAGATGAAAATCAACTATTACCAGTGTCCAGTTCTCACACTGCCCAGAGCAATGTTGATGAATCTGAAAACAGAGACTCAGAGTCAGAAAGTGATTTGCGGGTAGCCCGGAAAAATTGGCATGCTAATGGTTACAAGTCCCATACTCCAGCACCTTCAAAGACAAAATTTCTTAAAATAGAGTCTTCTGAGGAAGACTCTAAAAGTCATGATTCAGATCATGCATGTAACAGAACTGCTGGCCCATCAACGTCTGTGCAGAAACTTAAGGCAGAGAGCATCTCAGAGGAAGCAGATTCTGAACCAGGAAGATCTGGTGGTAGGAAATACAATACATTTCACAAGAATGCGAGTTTCTTTAAAAAAACCAAGATTCTGAGTGACTCAGAAGACTCTGAATCTGAAGAGCAAGATAGAGAAGATGGGAAATGTCATAAAATGGAAATGAACCCAATTTCAGGAAATCTGAACTGTGACCCTATTGCTATGTCCCAGTGTTCCTCAGATCATGGATGTGAAACTGATTTAGATTCAGATGATGACAAAATAGAAAAACCAAACAATTTTATGAAAGGTAATTCAAAACATTTATCTTTGTTCACTGATTGACTCTCACCATCCTTTTCTCTTACACACATTGGTTTTTTCCCCCCGAAAAAGTTTCCCTTGAAACTTTTTTCTCTTTGCTGTTTCTCTCCCTCCCATGCATTCTGTGTTAGCCTTCTCTGTTCATCCTTTATATTCTTATGTGCATGCGTAACTTTTTATTGAGTATAATTTTATTCACCTAACAGGCAATCTTGGCCTTAAGAACTATGCCTATTGAAGATTTCACTTCTTGTATTGATGATGGGGATATATTATATTAGAGATGGGCTTGAATAAAGCAGAGAGGGGCACATTTATAAGCTGTGATGTTGATAGCTTAAGTAGTAGACAAAAAGGGTAGGACTGTTTAATAAAAAGAGATGTTAGTAATAGCAAATAAAACAGTTACTGAGCTGTTTCTATTAGGAAGTTTTTCTAAATGTTTTCCATTAATAAGCAGTTTAGTCTTCATTTCTTTTATGAAGTAGGTACTAGCATTATTGTTCATTTTACAGGTAATAACTGGAGCACAAAGTGGTGAAATAACTTGTTGAATTAAGATTGTACCCCTGGTACATGGGGATTGATAAAATACTGTAGAGCAGAAGACAGCTAAAACTAAGATGAAAAGTAATTGTGTGATTGGAGCTTGGGGAGTTACGGGGAGTTTCAGAGAGGCTGAGTGTTAAGTGATTACTTTGCATATGCTAGTGCTATGGTAAACAGTTTAGTTGTATTCATGTTAATATTATAGTGTCAAGATCATGGGATGTTATTGAGAATGTGTTGAATTTGTGAATGGTGCTGAGGATGAAAAAGTTACTGCTTTAAAGTACAGTCATGTGCTGCATAACAGTGGTGGTCTCATAAGATTATAATGAAGGTTAAAAATTTCCATTGCTTAGTGAAGTAATCATAGCTGTCCTCAAGTCCTAGTGCAGTGCATTACCTTTTCTGTTTGGATACACAGACACAGACTTACCATTGTGTGACAACTGCCTGCAGGATTCAGAACAGTAGCATGTCATACAGGTTTGTAGCCTAGGAGTAATAGGCTATACCATATAACCTAGATGTGTAGTAGGGTGTACTGTAAGGTTTGTGTAAGCACACTCTGTGATGTTTGCTTAAGACGAAATAGCCTAACGATGCATTTCTCAGAACGTATCCTTGCTGTTGAGCAACATATGACTATACTAATAGGTGTGTACCATTCCATTCACTGCAATACCCCCTTCAAATTAATACGAATTCTGAACTTGTTTTTAATATTGAACATATAATTCCTTTAGACTTACAAAAGATTAATAGAAATCTGCTCTTTAACTTTTAGATTCTGCATCACAAGACAATGGACTAAGCAGAAAAATTTCCAGGAAAAGGGTCTGTTCCAGTGACTCAGACAGTAGTTTACAGGTGGTTAAGAAATCATCAAAAGCCAGAACAGGTCTCCTGAGGATTACTCGAAGATGTGCAGCTACGGCTGCCAATAAGATCAAGCTCATGAGTGATGTAGAAGATGTCAGTTTAGAAAATGTGCACACTAGAAGCAAAAATGGAAGGAAAAAACCTCTCCATCTTGCTTGTACTACAGCTAAGAAGAAATTGAGTGATTGTGAAGGAAGTGTACATTGTGAAGTACCAAGTGAACAGTATGCCTGTGAAGGCAAGCCACCTGATCCTGACTCCGAAGGTAGTACAAAAGTGCTTAGTCAGGCTCTAAATGGAGACTCAGACTCTGAAGATATGTTGAATTCAGAACACAAGCACAGGCATACCAATATTCACAAAATAGATGCACCTTCTAAAAGAAAAAGTTCCTCTGTTACATCTTCAGGAGAAGATTCAAAAAGTCATATTCCAGGGAGTGAGACTGATAGGACATTTTCTTCAGAGTCAACCTTGGCACAAAAAGCTACTGCAGAGAATAATTTTGAAGTGGAACTGAATTATGGGCTGCGCAGGTGGAATGGCAGAAGACTCAGGACCTATGGAAAGGCTCCTTTTAGTAAGACAAAAGTGATTCATGATTCACAGGAAACAGCAGAGAAGGAAGTAAAAAGGAAGAGATCGCATCCTGAATTGGAAAATGTGAAAATCTCTGAAACAACTGGGAATTCAAAGTTTAGACCTGATACTAGTTCCAAATCATCAGATTTGGGATCTGTAACTGAATCAGATATTGACTGTACTGATAATACAAAAACCAAAAGGAGGAAAACGAAAGGAAAAGCAAAAGTAGTTAGAAAAGGTAAAACTTTTACAGCTAACATATCTAAAACTGTGAGACGTCAAAGACAAAGCAAACGCCCTAGGTTAAGTGTGGATGATAATGACTGGGAGGATTTGGACTATGCAAAATCTAAAAGAGTTCTTCGACGTTCAAAAATAAAAACGAGAAATCAGGGTAGAAGGACTGTGAGATACCATGATGGGGATGATGACAGAAGTTTAGAAAATGTGTTAGATTTCAATGGTTGCACCTTATGACCTTGAGGGAAAGCCAGTTCATTTAAGAGGAAATGGACTGGCATTTATGGTGAAAGCTGGCTGTTAAAATTATTTTTTTGTCTTACAATTCAGGGAATATATTTATATTTTTCTATGAAAAGTTATGAATGTGACTAAATCATGACTGTTATTTTTATTTGCACTTGCTGGTCTTTGTAGCAGCATTCAGCACAGGTGCCAAAATATGCTTCATTTTGGGGGCAGATCTATTTTGACAGTATTTGACTACATATAGCAAGAGTTTGAAATATGTTAAACACTAGACATCCTGGTTATCAAAACCAATGAGCATTACTTTCATGGCAGCAAGTGTCATGCAGTTATTTTCTGAATTTGTCAAAGAGGCAGTAGTTTCTAACCCCTGTTCTATAGTAGTTACAACAATTTCACAACCTATGTTTACAGATTCTTCATAAATACATGCATACTGACACTATAATCATGGGAG
The DNA here is from genome assembly GCF_000001405.40 of Homo sapiens. Classification (NCBI taxonomy): domain Eukaryota; kingdom Metazoa; phylum Chordata; class Mammalia; order Primates; family Hominidae; genus Homo; species Homo sapiens. The sequence goes on along the minus strand of NC_000021.9, from coordinate 39,195,789 downwards.
GTGTAACCATGATTAGTAGGCGAGGTACCTACCACTTTTTTTTTTTTCTTCCCCTGGCTACTTGAGTAGAATGCATTATACCAGATCTGGTCACTTTCATTGAAATGGTTTCTAATTTTCTTCCCAAGTGCTGTTGGGTTTTTTTCTTCTTAAGGAAAACGTTGTCACTTTTATGTTATAAACTTGAATTTATAAAGTGCTGGTAAATTATTTTTAATGATTTGAGTGCATGTTTTAAACCTCTAGGACCAGAGCATAGTCAGAGCATTTTCTTTTAAATTGTGCACTAACAAAATGCTATATAATCTGTCTTCTGTCCAAGATCTCCTGGTTTCCATTGTAAGGGATTTAACCAAAATCTTGCTCTTCCATAATCTTACTCTGTGAAATAGAGGAATTCGTGTGCCTTAGATTTAGAAGTGTGTTCTTTAATAGAGTGTACAGGGCTAAAAGAGTATTTAAGTTAATATGTAGGTTTCCCCCATCTGTATTCCAATTGTAGAGGTGAGTTTTGTTAAGAGTACAATTGCAAATCTTATCTATATAGGAAAATAGCTAAATGTCATTCTCCATCTCTTTGTTTTAGTTTACTGCTTCCATGTGCAATCCTAAGCATTCTTTGCTGGGGCAACTAAATGTATCTTTATTAGTGACTTCTAGTCCAAATATAAGAAACTGTCATGTTTTGTGGGAAAATAATTTTATAATCCATTTAAAGTGAAAGTTTATCACACAAATAGTACACTTATTTTCTAACCAAATACTTGATAGGTTATGCTACTCCAGTGTAGATGGCCATTCCTAACTTGTTTGTGCCTGAAGATGGACTTGATTCAAATGGTTTACATATTTAGTGGGTAAGGGATATGTTACAGTACCCCACCTGTAAGTTATTTATTAGCCCTAATTGTGTTTGATTTCAGACAAAATTAACCCTTTTCTCCTGTGTATCTTTGAAGTGGCAGATAAGGTGAAGCATCAGACTGGTATCAATATTAGACAATGTTATTTATTAGCCCTAATTGTGTTTGGTTTCAGACAAAACCTTTTCTCCTGTGTATCTTTGAAGTGGCAGACAAGGCGAAGCATCAGACTGGTATTAATGTTAGAGAATGTTCTGAAGTGTTCCTATTTTGTAGTTATCTATTCCATTTGACATAGTAGAAGGTACATTTTCTTTCTACTCTGATGCATGGGGAAGGATGTTTTTGGACATTATCAACTGAGATAGGTGGGAAACCTCCTCTCATTTGTGGCTTAGAGAGCTATCACCATTTCAGAACTATGATGCTTTTCTTCTCAGAACTTGTGTTAAGTAGATAGTAAACAGATTGATTCATGATAATTGTCCTTGACTAAGACTGAAAAGACTAATGGGATGCCTTTTACTTTGCTAATTTTAAAAACTGGTGATAGATGTCAAATCCATTAATTTATTTAAACTCTTCTTAACCTTCTCTTTTATAATCTGTTCTCAGGTTTTAACTCCATGTTTACCATCATTTGCAAAAAGGTACCAAAAAAATCCATAAATAAATATGGAATACATTCATAAGTACATACATTCTTTTGGTATAAAACAATATTTTGACAGTTTAGGCTTCATTAATAGAACTATTCTGATTATTTGGACTGCATTAATTGGTCATTGACTGGCCATCCAATTACCATTTTTTCTTTCAGTCCAAAATAGTTAGACCCTTGCATACAGAAGTGGTATTTTGGTTTTTAATCAGATTTGGTTTCATCAGAAGCAGCAAGAATGGACCTGATGTCTTTAAAAGCATAGCCGACAATGGTAGCTTCTCAAGTTATGAAATAAAACTGAGAGATAATGGAGAAAATAATTTTTATGGGTTTTTTTGGTTATGGTGCTATTCCTAAGGTTAACTTTGAATATGTGACACACACACTCCTAAGTACCTTTAAGGAAAATTAATAAATCATTAATAGTTAAAATGTTTACATTGAGCACTAGAACATGTTTGGCCTTTTTTTTCTACGTTATGCAAAATGCCCAGGGATTTAATGCACAGGTGTACTTTAATGTTTAGGGTCAGTTTGTAGTATTCTTGAGAAAAAGATAAAGGGTTATAATTTGAATGTGAACTGATCCAGAAATAAGTGCTGTACCTTTCCACTGCACTTGAAGTTCAACTTAATGGTGTATGTGAAAAACAAAAACTACTTTGGTTGTGTATGTCCAAAGTCCTATGGTTTTATTCATTTATGGTTTTACAGGCTTTGAAGTACTCAGATTTGATTTTTGCTTTCTTGGAAAGACTCACTTTACCAAGCATATAAAGGAAAAATGATTTCAAACATTGACAAGATAGATGAGTGTTAACAAAGCTTTCTTTTTTCGTGTCCTCCTTATTTAAAAAGGTATACTTACAATGTGAAGTAACTTATGAATAAAAGGAAAAGTTTATCCCATATTCAAATAATTCCTAAGGTCAGCCTCCCTTTTTGTAAGTGGCAAATATCTGATTAAATCATTTCTCAGTTTATTAATCCTTGGAAACAATGATATAGCAGTTACTCACAGCTTGTAAATTACAACAGAAAGGTTCCTTTCAAATAGTAGAGCTGCACCTAAAGAGGAAATTGGGTTTATAAGAAAATGGAGGCAAAGAACTTAAGTTTTAAGAAAAAGCACTTCAAAACAGAAGGGCAAATGGAAAAGGGGAATATAAAACAAACCAATAAAAATACCATCTGAGGGTGTTACTGTCCAAAAGTAAAGAATAAGATGCATCACTAAGCCCTTTGCACTCGTTATGACCTCGTAAGTAAAAATTATCACTTAGAATAAGGGGTGCACACTACATTCCCTCTGTCTTCTAGACTTTTTTTTTTGTAGAAGAATCAGAAAACAATTTACTAACCTCCCTGTTTGATATTAAAAATAGGAAGAATTTTAATATTTTCTGTTAGTACAAGTTGAACTTGATTGTGCCAACTGAAACCCCAGAGGTTTGTATATCAGTAGAATGCAAGAACATTGTTAAAGGTGCTTACGATCTTTTTTGTTTTCCTTTCCACTCCATTGTATCAATTTTTTGAGTAACTTTTAAATGGCTAGAAAATGGTCTTTTTGCTTTGCCCTTTTAAAGCTGAAATAACCAGCTCCATTCTTTTCATGAATAGTAAGTTGATATATTTATTTATCAGGTATCTTGCAGTTGTCACCAAATACTGTAGTTTTCTTATGTTGTATGGAAATTATAGTTCAATTATTTTAATGTGATAGAGTGCAACAAGTCATTGTAGAACTTTTCACCTGTTAATGTTGAAGTTATACCTCTGAATTTCTGCTGTGGATATCAAGGAAATAATAAAGCAGAAACCCCAAGAAATTTGCAACTTAACAGTTTGAGACTGTCTCTTATCCTAGTATTTGGGAAGAGAAGGAATAAATTTGTCAAAACTAGGTGAGAAAATAGAGCATTGTGGGAAAAACTGAGTCCAACTAGATTAGCAAATGTTAATTCCTAGCTCAAACTGTGAATAGTAAGGATTGAAAAGTAAAGTATGTAATGCTAAGGGCTGTGTTGTCTTTTCTTACGATTTTAAGTTTTAAAGGCTGTTAAATTACAGAGATGTTGCCCAAGGATACATGGGGATTCTCAAAAGTAAGAGATTTTTACCTTTTTCATAATCTGCCAAGCTGGTTCCTAATATATTGTTAAATTGGTAGAAAAATATCTTTAAATTGGTGTCTGCTCAAGAATTGCTTTTCTAGATTTGATGGAGGGAGGGGGAGAGTCACATCATTTGGATTCTACCAATCTGCAGGCTCTATCTTTGGCAACATGTAAATAATTAGACTATACATCTGTTTCTCAAGTATGGCAAGACCAATAGTTTGAATTTAATTATCAATGCTATGGTATACTTTCTGGTCATATTTTAGTTATGTCAGTTTTAAGGTAAGTTTTTTCATTTATTAAAGCCCTTAAATGAGATTTTAGACTGCCAAAGAGAAGAGGCAGTCCAATTGACCTAACTGAAATGAGATGACCAGTATATAGAGCCTAGATGGACTGTAGCAGCTCTACCCCTTTGTTTTACAAGGTAAATCATTTTAAAAATTACCTTTTTTGATCAGTGGGTAAAAGTTAAAGGGATCTTTAATTTTTGATATATTCAAGTTAATTTTCTAAATGTGAATCAGTCCTTGGACTGCAACTATATATTCACCTACAAAATCCCAATCAAAAAATTACATGAGCCTGTCAAGCAGATCTTTAGTTTTCCACTTCACATAAGATCGTTAATGTTCTAAATTAATCTATTCATTTAGATGATTTTTGTCAGTTCTTAAATGGGATATAATAAATTTAGCATTTTCATCTTAACAAGCAAAAGAGTTAAAAAACAAAACAAAACACTACTCCAAGCCAAATACATTCTAGCTGGTTAATTCCAGACTTGTCCCAAGTGGTTCCCCAACCTCTTTTCCACTGGTAATTTCTTTTCATGCAGGCAGAATATAGGGGTGCGAGCGCTGTGAGTTTTACATATGAGCTTGGATAGGGGAACTGAAGCGAGTCAGGAGCCCTGCTGGAAAAGGGGTTTGCCATTGGATTGTCTGTGGCCTGGTTTCTTTCCAGTAGTACAGTAATAGGGTAGATTGAAAACAAGTATTTACTTCTGATTCTGCCTGCATTTAGTGTGAAATGCTCTTAAGGTATTGCTTCTAAAAAGCAAATTAAGCAGTTAAGTATAAAGTCCCTGAATTCATATTTCAAAATAAGGCTTTTATGAGATTTTTATTAAAAATTGCAATAGCCATCACAAATCTGAGTTTTTCTAGGGGTGAGAGAAAACTGTATTGTGATGAGCTAGATTAGTTGTAGTTCCAGAATAAGAACAAAAATTCAGAGTTGTGTGGTGCCCATCATTGAGTAAATGAACCCTAAAAATGAATAAGCTAATGAACTAGTTCATGGAATTATTTCTGATGGTCTTTTGACCTGATGCTGCCATACTGCAGTGTTACCAGCTCCCCCTAGAAAACGGAACTGTTTAAAAACACAGCAAGTTACAGAAACCATTTTATTCTACAGCCATTGGGGTACTTCAGTTTATGGGATGTTTTTGGAAACTTCTGCTTTGGGAGGGATGAAGATCATTGATAAATGTTATTTGCTTTCTGAGTTTTGGGGTCATTTCATTGCTTATCAATGAAGGGCAGACAGAGGAGAGAATATCTCAAGTCTTTTCTGATAAAAGGCTTGCTTGAGGGAGCTTATAACTTGCACCTAGAGGGTTTACCCACTTTGTGGATTTGATTTATCCACCAACCACAGCAACCAATAATGTCAAGATTCTAGGAGTTTATGAAAGAGGCTAGTATGTTTTCATTTTGAGTCAGACATTCTTTTCTCATTCTCAAATCTGTTTTAAATGCTCCAATTTTAAAAATGCCAATGAAAATTTTATAATGCTTCTGTAGTAACCATATGCAGTTTACTTTGAATTTAGGAAAACAGTTTTGTATGATGAAATATTGTGCAGAATCTGTAAATAAGGTAGCTTAAAAATTAAAAAAAAGTCTAATTAGAATATGATTAATCCTTGAAATGTAGAAACTAGAGATTGTGTTGAGTCAGAACTGTTATGTTTGTATCCAGGTTTCTATTCACCACATATACCATCTTAGAATACACACATATCTGTGAGTTATAATTTAAAGTGGTCATCCAGGGAAATGATCATGGAGTGCTACTACAGATGTACAGTTTTACACTACTGATGTGTTCTTGCCATACCCAAGTAGGGAATCACTTCCAGGAAAACAAGTCCTCAAGCACTCAATGACTTTGTAAACCCATGACTGAAACAAGACTCATCTGAGGCAGTAGGACTGGTGGGATTCTACTGACTTCTTAGTATCACATGGCACCATCACAAATGCATTGTTAGAGCAGCAACATCCAGAGTTCTTAAGCTTGTACCCTAACACACAAATTTGACTTCTAACCCTGAAATATCCTATATATATTTCTAAAACTGTTTGTAGTTTTCTTGAGAAAAAGCACTTTATAATTTACTCAGTTTTCAGTAATAAAATTAACACTGACTTGAATGTATTTAAAAAAATTCTCCACAGTTTTGTCTTCCTCAGATTGTTTTTATCCTTATTCTCTGAAATTCCTGTTTTATTGTCTAAGACTTAAGAGATTCAGCTTTATCAAGTTAGAGTACAGTGTAATTCAAATTCTCCCTCCCTTGGGCATAGTTACTGAAGTTCAAATTTCCTTAAGTATTTTTTAAAAACCTGATTTTAGTTTTTTTTTTCCTGCAGAATCTTAACTTTTCCATTATTCTGGATGACAAATAAACATTTATTAAAATGTGTTAGAATTAGTATTTACTAGGTTCCTAAATTGTCAGTATAGGTACTTTGATCACACATCAAAATGGAATTTCTGCAACTTAAAGCATTTTGTTACAAATTGTAGTTGAAATAGAATTTTATCTATTTGTCTGGATGAATAGGTTGTTGGGAATGAACCAGTTATCTGTTCTTTTCTTCCAAATGCAAATGGTGCAGCTAGTTGATAATAGTATATTCTCATCCTACTATAAAGTGCAAATTTCACCTTAATTTTGCATATTTTAAAATTTTTGTTTACCCTTTGTAGCATATTTACATTTTAGCATTTGCTAACATTGATTTAATGTGTTAAAGATTCATTTTGGATATAGGGTTGACTTGTTGGAGATACTAGTTCATAATTTTAAAATTCCCAAGAGAAGTGTCTTTGAAGTGGTAAACACAGTGCACTTTAAGCCACTTCTCTTCCCACAGAGTCCAGCTGAAGGAGGTAAGGGCATGCTGCATGAGAGTAATGCCGTGATGAGTGTCTTACTCTGGTAAAATGCCATTTACAATGCCTGGAGACTGAACACTGAACAAAACATAGTGCCCTTAGAATTTCACTGGAAAAACATGTGAATCACATAAGTTAGTTGGCAAAAGGAACTGATGTGTATGTGGTGGGGTTGCTTTGAATAAAGTATTTCCTAACCTATTCTGGGGAGAACGCTCAACTGATCTTAGAGAAGTGTGAAATCAGTTTCATAGACTTAGGGAAAAATCTGAAGTGCTTGCACTGTGAGGGCAGAGGCCTGCCTCATTAGTCTAGCTGTATGAACATGTCAGTCCACAGAAGCAGTTTTTACCTGTACTCATCTGCCCTTCAGTCAGCTTTGTGACAGAAGGGCAAACATCTTCACAGAAGAAAAAGTTCAGAAGGTTGGCATTGGTGGTTTCATTGCTACAGAATAATAGTGTTACTTGATAGTATCTGACTAAAAGAGCTCTCATTTTCTAGTACTTAGTAGTAAAAAGAATGTGGTGGAGTCCTCCAGATGTCTAGTGTGGGTGGAGGATATCAACTGGTTATTTCAGTGATCTACAGCCTTACCTTTTGAATGCTAAATGTCTGGAAACTTCAGGCAGGGTCCTACAAAACAAACTGCCATCAAGATTGGTGTGTACCATGAAGGCAGTTTTAGATAGTTTGACTGTTCATGGCTGCAAGAAAGACCTAAAATTCAAGGGCCCGTGAACTTCAGATACGTAAAAGGAATATCACTTCTGTTCTAGAAGAGTACTAATTAGACTTGTTTGTGAAATTTGAAAATTTGGCTTTGAGACACTGGTAACAAACATATCTGAGCCCTCCTAAGTTTGGTCAGCACGGAGTAGTAGCTCTGGCATCATGTGGCTGTGTAGAGCTCCAGTGTGATTTCAAGCCCCCTCTAAAAACTGCCTTAGTCTGCATGAAGTAGTTAACTCTCCAAAGTGCTTTTTGTCTGGCAAATCCCTTCACAATTTTCACCTCTCGTCTAAAAGCTTCCTTAAAGGAAGCCTTCCTTGATCCCTTAGGCTAGGTTAGGTTTCCAGTCTGTGTTCTCATAGCACTCTGCACTTTTTGGTTCCTTAAAGCAACTCTGTGTTATTTTTTAGAATTTTAATCTGAATCTCGTGTGTCACATACCTAGGTCAGAAAATACTGGAACAATGAAGTTAAGATTTAGTAATTCAAATTATGTAAAATGCTCATATATATGTTTTTAGATTAGCAGCTTTATGATGCCGATGCTGAAGGAACTTTTCACCCCATTCTTACAAGTCTGCTACTGTTTTAAGTGACATCCTTATAGTTGTAGATAAGCAAATGTAAGGTTATATCAATGTGAAGAAGCCCTTAGTATCACATTTTAAAATTTATCATTTAGCAATATGACTTTTAAATTTATTGTTTCCGAATGAGTGTTGTTGAGGAATGTTAGCAGTAGTAAAATCTTGTGTTACAAGATTTTTGCATTTACATGAACTTTCACTCATTTTTCAGAATTTGTTCCTAGAGACAGAGAACCCAATACAAAAGTGAGAACATGTATGCATAATCAGAAGGATGCAGTGCAGATGCCTAGTGAAACTCTGAAAGCAAAAATGGTACCTGAGAAAGTTCCCCGCAGATGTGCTACTGTTGCTGCAAATAAAATAAAGATAATGAGTAATCTAAAAGAAACGATCTCAGGACCAGAAAATGTCTGGATTAGGAAGAGTAGCAGAAAACTGCCCCATCGAAATGCTTCTGCTGCGGCTAAGAAAAAATTACTGAATGTTTATAAAGAGGATGATACAACCATAAATTCTGAAAGTGAAAAAGAGCTAGAAGATATTAATAGAAAAATGCTTTTTTTAAGGGGGTTCAGATCCTGGAAAGAAAATGCACAATAGTGACTATGAGAATGTAGAAGTGGCATCTGAAAACAATTGGTACACAAGTAAACTGGCAGTTACATTCTGCTCCCAGCTCTAAAATTACTCCCTTATTGGCATCTTTGGAGGAATTTTCTAAAAGCCATAATCCAGTGGGTTCCTCCCAGTCAGCTCTTGTACAGACATGTGCTCTGGGGAATTCTGAGGAGGAAATAAATTGCAGAGTCTGTAGGTGGAGAGGTGGAAAGAAAAGACAAATGGCCTGCTATAAGACTACTATTCCTTTCCAGAATGCAAGGCCTTGAAGACATGATTCCTTAGAGGAAGAATATAATGGGAAGTGTACAGGCTAGGAAGAACTTGAAGTGAACAAATTTCAAAATCTTAACCTGATGCTAATTTTCAGGGTTCTCCATTACAGTGTAAAAATTCAGACCACGACAACTATGGTGTCATGAGGAAAAAAAATCAGGCATTTTTCCAAAGGAAGTGCTAATGGGCCTATTTGACTTCTGAGTGAAGCAAAAACTACCCAGATCCATTCCCTACAATTCACATCCCCAAAGGTCAAAAACAAACTAGGAGGACCTGGGAATTTCAGCTGGAGATACTGATTATTGAGTTCTGAAGTAGAGTGTTGGAAATAGGCAATTAGAGAAAGTCCATTGATGTCATTTTGTTTATAATATTGCAGTTCATACTGAATGACCACTTGATATGACTAATTCAGGGAATATATATTTTTCTATGAAAGCTATGAATGTTACTATCACGGCTTTTCCTTATTTTTACTTGTATGTAGCAGCATTTACAGAAATGCCAAAAATGTGCCTCATTAAGAGGCAGGTCTTAATCAGTTAGATAAAAATAAAATGTATAGCTTAAGATCAAAACAGTCATATTTTTAGATACAGTGAAATCTTTTATGTTTCTCTACAGCACCTTAAAAATTAGAACTTGAATACTTTGAGTAAACTTACTACAATCTCATCCCAACAAACTTTAATGGTAGCATGTTTGGCCTATTTCATTGTGGCCTGTACTAGGATTAGAAAATTTGGTCGTGGTATAACAAAGAAGTGTATTTACAATAGGATTTAATTTGTTGTTAATATGTATTTGTTGAAATTAAAATTGCCAGATTAAATGAATATACTGTCGCATCTTTTTAACATAGTAACGTGTTACTGGAAAAATTAAGTTGTTGAAAGTAAGTTGTTTTCCCATTTAAAAATATCTGAATATATGATTTGCATGTGTAAATCTGAAAAACTAAACTACAGAAACCTAGGGTTTTCTATTTCTTTTTTAAGTCAAATGCATTTTTTTTTTTTTGTTATACAGATGAACCAAGTGTCTAAAATACTTGAGAAATTTGTGGTTGCATGTCTGTTTTAAAAAAAAGGCTTTTTGTTTTTTAGCATAAGCCAGAATATTCTAACCTACTAAGTCTGTGTCCTTTGCTCCTTTTGTAGTATACTTTCATCTAAATTACTGATCCCCAATATGTTGATACACAGGTGAGAAAGGGAAGAATTCCTAATAAACTGCTATTACTTTTAGGTGCATGGGGTTTGATTTTTGAGCTCTAATGAAATGCTTAAACTTCTTTCCAGTTCAAATTTTACACTTAATTTATAATATTTATTGAGTATATTATGTCCTCAACAAGTAACTATAAAATGAAATACTTAACTCGGTGAAGACTATTTTATGCAAAGTTTTTTTTTTTTTTTTTTTTTTTTTTTAGCAATTTCAGTGTAATGAAAGAATTTAAGCTTTGAATTTATAATTTGCTGTGGTGGGGTTAATTTCTGTCAGTATTTGAGATTGTATTATCAGTCTTGCATAATGAAATCCTTTTTTGGCTAAGTATTTAATTCGAACATATTTGCCTTTTTAAAAAGTGCTTGGCCTAAACTTATTGTAACTGCATGAAATAAGCATTTGCTTAAAACTTAACATTGTAAAATTGTTCTCTCTGAAATGTGTGCAGAATTTAAATCATGGCCAAATGTATTACTATTACCCTATTTACAGTAATTTGCTTTGCAGAAAATATTTCTTCATCATGGAACTGTGAAATCAAATTGAAGATCTTACTGGTAAAAATGACAAATTAACAAAAGGACTAAGACAAGTGGTGCCCAAACAACCTTTTTATTCTGCAGTTCCATCATCATAATAGACCAGTTAACCCAGGAGTCCTAATGTTTTAAAACATCATTGTGGTGATCTTGTTTATTCTATCTCACTAAGGATATCCAGTTTCCTAAGCTCTTACTGGCTAGCAATTTCGTCTTAATTTTATTGCTAAATGTTCAAATTTTGCTTCCAAACTCACTTTATTTTTGCAGATGTGTACATCTGCTAAGTACTAATTTTATGTAAATGATTTTGTTGATTATCTTTCCACATCTTAAAATGTTTCTAACAGCTTTGAGATTTTATCTCAACAGGCTCTCTCTGACCCCAAAGTAGTACTTACCTTCGTGACTACTGACAAAGTCACAAAATGCAGGCGATGTCATGTATTTCGGTACAACTAAATCTAGGAAACGGTTTTTTCATTGCATTACTGCATATTTTCATTTTCATTTAAATTATGTCCCCTTTTTCTCTTGCTTGAAACAGTGCTCCTCGAACTTTGTCTTCCAGCACATTTTAAAGAGAACCAATTAAAGAACAATCACACATTCTGCTTATTAAAGGCTATTTAAAAAGAAACATTTTGTATTAGAAAATGGCCAACTTTAAAACACTATTTTTTACACTCATAAAAATGTTTTTTAAATCGCCTTGACAATCATCAGCTTTTGAAATGTGAATTCCTATTGCCAGAGTAAAGGTCTCGTTTTTATACCACCACGAAGCGCTGTATTTCTTGCTGCCCTTGCGTCCGCCCGTGCCCGCTGTCTGAGGGCGCGCCTGGCTACGGGGGCCCTCAGTACCACCGCGCCGCCACCTACCTGGGCAGTCGAAATTTGGAGCGGGTGCTCAGTACACTAATGCTACCCCAGTCTCTCCTAACGCAGAAGGAAAATGGAAACGGACGATGAGGGGACGGCCCCACAGCTCCCGGACGCCACGGCCAGCGGCGCTGGCTCCGCCCCTGCACCCCTGGTTCCGCTACCGCCACGAACGGAGGCCCCGCCCTCCTCTCGCCCCCTGCCCCTCTAGCCCGCAGTCCTCCCACCTCCTGGCGCCCGCAGGGCTCAAGCTGCGAATGAAAGCCTTTGGGGGCCGGACGCGGTGGCTGAGGCCTGTAATCCAAGCACTTTGGGAGGTCTAAGGAGGACGATCGCTAGAGTCCTGGAGTTCGAGACCAGTCTGGGCAACATAGCGAGACCCCCTCCCCCAATCTGTAATTTAAAAACAAAAAAGCTGCGGGGACTGCTGGCCCAGGGCATGACAGCGCGGGCGGGCGGTGTAGAGGGCGTGGCCGCGAGCTCAGGGTGTGCCTGGGAGCGAGCCCTGTGCGGGGCGGGACGTAGCGCCCGCGCGGTGGGGGTGTGGCCGCGAGCTTGGGCTGTGCGCGGAGGGCGTGGCCTGTGCGGGGCGGGACTTATTGCCCGCGCGGTGAGGGAGCGTGGTCTCGCGCAAGCCGGCGTGCGGTCCCGCGGCGCTGCAGTTGTGTCCAGCCGGTCACGGGGCGGCTATGGCGGCCACGTTCTTCGGAGAGGTGGTGAAGGCGCCGTGCCGAGCTGGGACTGAGGACGAAGAGGAGGAGGAGGAGGGGCGGAGGGAGACGCCCGAGGACAGGGAGGTGCGTCTGCAGCTGGCGCGGAAGAGGTGAGGCACCGGGATAAGGGCAGCGCGCTCACCGCAGCTGGAAGGTGCGCGGGCCTGGCAGCCGCGACGGCGCCTAAGGCCGGGGCTCCGCGGTCTTCCGAGTGGCCCCCGCGGTTGCCGCCGCTCCTTGGCTCTGCTTGGGCCCTGGGTCTCCGTGAAGCCGCGGCGTCCAGCGGCGCCAGCCCCAGGTGTGTGTGGTTCTCGCGTGGATCTGCTGGCGTTTCGTGGAGTCCAGGGTGAAGCCGCTGTGGGAGGGCTGGGTTCAAATCCGTTCTTTAAAGGCTTTCTGGAGCGTTTCTGGAGCATTTCTGGAGGCTTGGTGTCTTGCGGACTCGTGATCTTCCCGCTTGTCACACTGTCTTGGGCCGCAGCGCTCCCGCGGGCCCCACCACGTTTGTCGTGGATTGTTCACGGACACACCAATTCCCTCGAAACTTTTTAAACCTGCACCCAACACTTCAATTAGCATGATGTGTCAGTAGCCGATGAACACGCTTTAAAAAAATTGTTTCCAAACACAAAAAAGTGGGAGAAAATAGTCAAGTGAGCCCTGACCCCTACACAACCGGGTAAATTCAACAGGAAGATTTTGCCACGTTTATTTTCTCTCCCGCCACTCCTAAGCGAATTCCAGTCATCATGGCCTTTCACCTCTACATTTTTCAGAATACATCTCAAACGTTTTAGGGATTTTCTTACATATGCTATTATCACCCCTAACAACACTAATACTAATTTTCCAGTATCATTTTGTAGTCCATGCTCACTCACGTTTACCTAGTTTTTTCAAACATGACATTTTACAGTGGTCTGCGTGAATGAGAATCCTAACAGGGTCCACAGGTTACATTTAGACGTGTCACTTCATTTAGAGCAACCTCCTCTTACCCCTCCTAAGAGACAGGACTGATTGTCTTGTCCAGTGCCCCCACACTCTGAATTTGTCTGATAGCTTCGTTGTGGTGTCACTTAACGTTTGTATCACCTGCATGTCCTGTAAAATGAATGTTCATTTGGAGGCTTGGTCAGATTCTCATTCAAAGTTTTGTCGGCAAGAATGCTTCTACTAAGTGGTGCTTTCTGTTTCTTATTGCAGGCTATCCCCAGCTGTCTCACTTTTAGGGATGCTAAGATTGGTTCTTGGGTCAGGTGGACAGCCTGATCACTATTTTAGAGTTCTCCGTAAACACGTATGCAATAGTTTTATCTGTTGGTTATCATTGTCCGAGTCCATCGTTTTCTGAGGATATTAGTTATATTCTTTATAAAACTAACGTGCATTTTATTTATTGTAAATCATACATATAGTGCCCTTTTGCCATGATACTGTTTATATTGAAGTTGCTTTAGTTTCATCTTGTTTCTTGTGTTAGGGAAGTGCGGCTCCTTCGAAGACAAACAAAAACATCTTTGGAAGTTTCTTTGCTAGAAAAATATCCGTGCTCCAAGTTTATAATTGCTATAGGAAATAATGCAGTAGGTAAGTGAAAATGCAGAAGACTTAGTCATTTTGTTGAAAGAATGAAATATACTTATTTTCTTCCATCATAAAAGATTTAAAATGTTTAGTACTTTAAAAAGCCACAGTAGAGTGATTGTATTTCTGAGTAAAATCTCTCTCCTGTTCCTGTTGCATCATTTTTTTTTGTTTTGTTTTTGGTAGAGATGGTTTCTTGCTGTGTTGCCCAGGCTGGTCTTGCACTCCTGTCCTCAAGTGATCCTCCTGCCTCAGCTTCCCAAAGAGCTGGGATTACAGGTGTGAGCCACAGCACCTGGTCTGCACTATCTTTTTAATAAACTGAAAAAATCAGATTTAGGCTGGGTGCAGTGGCTCACATCTGTAACCCCAGCTCTTTGGGAGGCCGAGGCGGGAGGATCACTTGAGGCCAGGATTTGAGACCAGCCTGGGCAACATAGTGAGACCGTATCTCTACAAAAAATAAAAAAATGAAGCCAGGCATGGTGGTGCTTGCCTGTAGTCCTGGCTACTCAGGAGCCTGAGATGGGAGGATTGCTTGAGCCCAGGATTTTGAGGCTGCAGTGAGCCACGATCCTCCCACTGATCGTGCTCCAGCTTGGGTAACAAAGCAAGACCCCAACTCAGAGAAAAGCTTTAAAGAAAATGTTTTTAGCTTCAGGAACTTAAAACTCAAGGAGCTGTTTCTAGTGTGTTGAGGTATCCGGGTTTATGTTAATGTTTTTGAGTTAATAGACTCCTTTGAGAACACAAAACTCTAAAGACAGTAATAATTATCAACATGTTTAAGTACTTAAGTTTTAAGGTCCTTGCATGTATTAATTCTCTTGGTGGATTAAAGTAAAAACAGTGTAGAGTGCAGCTAGGACAATGTACATTTACAAATACACACATAGACCTTTATATTTTTAGGGTGTTCACAGGTTGTGATGAGAACATTCAGGAAACCCAGTTAAGATCCCTTCCTCTGTAAGGTACCCCTAGTGGTTGTAGAACATAGTAAGTACATGATGGCAAGTAACTATGGACTCATTTATATAAAGTTCTGCTGGCCTAAAGTTTTTCAGAAGAGTATTACCCCGTGAGCATGTGGTAGAAAGTCTGTCAACAAACCTGCCTTCTTGATCCCTAGCTCTAGGATTGTCTTACTCAGGGTGTGTGGCCTTTTACTTCTTGGGGGCCTCAGTTTCTTTTTCTGTATAATGGTGGTATTAGGTAGACGGTCTTGAATGGCTCTTTCAGCTCTCAAATTCTACAGTAACTTGAGCTTACTTTTTATTGAATAGAAAATATAGCTTGCAGAGCCAAACACTAACTTATGTGAATTGTTTTTTACAGCATTTCTGTCATCATTTGTTATGAATTCAGGAGTCTGGGAGGAAGTTGGTTGTGCTAAACTCTGGAATGAATGGTGTAGAACAACAGACACTACACATCTGTCCTCCACAGAGGCTTTTTGTGTGTTTTATCATCTAAAATCCAATCCCTCGGTAGGTGGGACTTGTATGTTTGAAAAGCAGTTATTTAAGTATCACTTACATGTTATTTACTGGTAGTATACTTTAGTATGGCAAATCTTTCAGTTGCTCTGTCAGTGTGCACTTTTTCTGATACTAATCACCAGTAGTGGTTTGACTGTTAAATTTTAAAGAGAAATAAGTAGGTCAATAGTGGAGCCAGGAAAATAAGTATTACCTAAGTGTTGTCATTCACATGTTACATATATGGTGATAGTTTGTGGTGTGTATAAAACTTACTTGACAAAAAGCGTGGAACTTGACTTTTCAGGTTTTTCTCTGTCAGTGCAGTTGCTATGTTGCAGAAGATCAACAGTATCAGTGGCTGGAAAAGGTAAGAGAGAAATGAAAACCTGTGAATGGTTAGTCTACAGGAGTTTTCATTTTTTAAGGGTTCGATGTCTTTTAACTTAAACTTATGCAGTCAGATATTTATTTCTTTAAAATATTGTGGGAATTTCTTTTGGAATATAAAGAATAAAAGAACTTGCTTATTTAACGTGACCAACCAGTTGTGTTTTATACTTCTGTGTCCTCCCGTCCTCAATGCTGAGGTACAGAAGTATAAAACACAGTTGGTCCTCAGCATTGAGGATGGTAGGTCACAGAAGTATAAAACACAATTGGATTCCTCCCGCCCATCTTTCTTTGTTTACATCACTTTAGATCTTATTAAAAGGTAAAAGGGTTCTTAGAAATCTATCAAATCCAGACTCTTCTACTTATAGAAGAGGACATTTAGAACCACAGTGATTGAAGCTTACCTATAAGTGTAGTAATTCCAAAAATGAATTTCATGAGAGTTATTTTTAAGGTGTCAGTGGTAGGTGGGAGAGGGAATGAATGTCAGGTGTGTACCTGTGACTTTTTTTCTCTGGACGGCAGACCTGTAGTCGCTATTCTGGCACTCTGACTTCATTTACTCCACATCGCAGGCCCCTTAAGTAGGTAGTGCTGGCATTACGTGTTCATCTATTCTTGTGTTGCTATAAAGAATACCTGAGGCTGGGTAATTTATAAAGAACAGAGGTTTAAGTGATTGACAGTTCTGCAGGCTGTATAGGAAGCATGGTGCTGGCATCTGCTTGGCTTCTGCTGAGGCCTCAGGAGCCTCCAATCATGGTGGAAGGTGAAGGGGGAGCAGGCAGATCACATGGCGAGAGCATGAGAGAGGGGAGGAGCCAGCCTCTTTTGAACTACCAGCTCTAGCATGAACTGAGCGAGAAGTGAGAAGTCACGTATCACCAACAGGGTGGTGCTAGGCCATTCATGAGGGATCTACCCCCATATCCAGTCACCTCCCACCAAGTCCGGCCTCCAACATTGGGAATCACATTTTAACATGAGATTTGGAGGGGACAGGCATCTAAACTATATCACCTTAGTTCACTAATGAGGAGAGTGACTTGGAAAAATTGCCCACCTAGAAAGCAGAACCAAGATCAAACCCAGGTTGTGACAGCAGGTGTGTTCTGTTTCTCCAAGGCACACTCCCACCCCTGCTAGGCATGCTATTATTGTCTGTGGTGTTAGGTGAATACCTAGAGGAATGTTTCCATTCTGTAACAAAATTATATGTTTTTTTTAATTTGAAATAAATTTTATGTTAGGTTTTTGGCTCTTGTCCAAGGAAGAACATGCAGATAACTATTCTCACATGTCGACATGTTACCGATTATAAAACCTCAGAATCCACCGGCAGCCTTCCTTCTCCTTTCCTGAGAGCCCTAAAAACACAGAATTTCAAAGACTCGGCGTGTTGTCCATTGCTAGAACAACCGAATATAGTACACGACCTTCCTGCAGCAGGTGGTATTAAAATTTGTAACATTTACATTCTATCTTATTGCTTTATTGATACTACTTTTCACCATTAGAGGTCTTTTTGAGGTAGTTTATTAATGATGATTGATACCAATATATTGCTGTTAGTCCTCAATATCTGTAGTTACAAGTGCAGTATATTTAGTTTGAGTTTTCAGATTTTCCAGACACAGTTATTTGAGGAGCTCATGTTTCTTAACTGTTGGGCTTCAGACATGCTGTGTTTCTTTTTGGTCTTTGATTATTCAGAATGCAAGCCAGTGTTAAATATAAATTATTGGTGCATCAAAAGTTGATAAAGTACATTTTAATTATCAAAACAGAAGTTTTGAATATTGAATCTTGATAGTTGCTTTAATTTTTTTATTACCATCACACACATCTGCCATCATATGACAAAGAGACTGCCATTTACTTTTCAGTGGGTAATATATTACATAATTGTTATTTATTATATGAACTGTATTAAAATAGGGTTTGGTTGGGGTTTCTTTTTGCTTTCAATGTTTACTAGAATGAGAAGTGGCTAAATATTTCACTTTATGCATTTTGTACTTATTTGTTATTTATATGCTTTATTATAGTCAGTAGAATTTTAATCTTTCAGCTACTTAAATCATCTCAGCTGTATTTTCAGGAAATATAAAATTAATATTTGCAAAAGAAGAGATTATTAGGAAAATAAATTGACTTTGAAAGAAAATCTTCATTATAATTGGTTCAAAATTGCAGTAAATACCTTGATTGAAAGAGGCAGCTGAGATAACTACTTTTAACAACAGCCTTTATTATTTAAAGGTGTTTAATTTAAAAGTAACATAATAGAAAACTTACATCGTTTTTTTTTCTTGTGTATTCATAGTTCTAAGCTACTGTCAAGTATGGAAAATCCCAGCAATTCTGTACTTGTGTTATACTGATGTGATGAAATTAGACCTAATCACAGTGGAAGCTTTTAAGCCTATACTTTCTACCAGAAGCTTGAAGGGTTTGGTTAAGGTAAGGTTTTAACTCATTTAAATTAATAGCTGCATTGTTATAATCAGCTTAGTAACAAACATAAATGTATACTGTCATTTTAAACCCTAAGCAATGCTTGGAGATCCATTCTTCTCAAAGCGAAGCTTTCTAGTCTGGCAGTTTGAATTTGATTGTCATCATCTCTTCTGTATACGTCTGTAACTTGACGAATGCTTTGTTCTTGTATGATAGATTAATGCAGTGCAATTAAATCCCAAATGTCTATGTGGACAGATGGTTTTACTGTTCAATAAGCTTCTATAACTACTTTGCAAGGTTTTTTAAAAAATTTTTATTTAATTTTTGAGACGGTTATTTTTGAGTATAGTGTGGATCAAATTATTATAATATTTATTTACCCAATTTTACAGAGAACTGTATATGTGAAGATGAGAGAATTACATAATGAACCTCTTCCTTACCCTTGGTTTATACCTTTGGTCTCATTTTCTAAAAAAATTGGAACACGTACATGAAAATGTTTGCCTGTAATCTCAGGTAGTTTAGGGATTCCATTGTTTTCTCTTAAGAGACTTTTTTGGAAGTCCACAGCCTCTGGTTTAAGCATGGTTTCTTTAAAGGAAAGAGGTTGTAACAACATTGTCCCTCAGCCCGGTTTTATTCTGGAATGGCCATTAGTTTTAAGACTTTTGTGGTAAGTTGTTGGAAGTAGCTCATTTCCCAGGTCTCATAAATTAGTTTGTTACTAGATTGTCAGCTCCTTGTGGTAATGGACCACGATTTTTAATTTTGGTATCCCAAGTTTACCACATACCTGGCATGTTGAATAAAGCCATCAATAACCATTTGTTGAAGAGTACAGCTGTAAAACTCTGATTTAGTATACTGCAAGCTTATCTTGCAAATTAGCTAGAATCCAGGGTAATCTTTCTGACACATGGAGTTAATTTATTTTTAGCATCTCTTTCAAAGTATATGCTGATCGTCTTGTTTGTTTAAATAGCCAATTGCCTCATCCCACTTAACTCAGAGATGAGTTCCCATGGGCAGGGGCTGGGCTGTTTTGTTTACTGCTGTAGGACTGTGTGTAGCACACAGGTGTGTCATAAACGCTTGGACTTGTTCAGAGACTTGGAAATCATCTGTCATATGGGGCTTAAGGAAACTCAGCTTTTATGAATATACTTTCAAGGGGAAATTTAACTCAGCATTTTCATTTTTGCTTTGGAGATAATGATTAGCAGGAGGGTAAGATGGTGGTTCTGCAGGGTGCTGTTTTCTTAATGACCAATTACATCAGCCTGAGTCAGTTCGTTGTTTCTGACCTTTTAAAAGTGGTATTTTCAATAAGGTGGAATTATTTTGAGTTCTTCCTGTGTGGCAGTTTAGTTGGATTTGAAAGATGGATGAATCTTGGGTAGAAGTGTGCAGAGGGAAGCAGTGTGAGCAGAGTGGGAAAGTGTGAGGAGAGCCGTGAGGAGTGTGGTGTTGGTGGAGAGGGGAGGAAGACATCTTGTGGGGAAGGTCGGGCGGGTTAGAGCATAGACTTCCTCCAGAGGCCAGGAGACCATCGGAGGCCAGGAGATCATCGGCGAGTGTGGCAGGGAAAGGGCCTGTTGAACTGACTTTCCCACTTGCCTTTTCGTTGAGAAGGAGAGTAAAGGCCACGCCTGTCCCATGGCTGTTTTTAAGTCTCGAGTGTGGAGATTGTTGGTCGTGGAGGGAGGGGTGTTGCCTCTGCCTGAATCCCTGGGGTCTCACTGTATTCACTTTTTTCTCTCCTTTCAGAATATTCCCCAAAGCACTGAGATACTAAAGAAATTGATGACAACAAATGAGATTCAGAGTAACATTTATACATGATCTTAAACATTGTTTTGTAGTGTATATTACTTGTCCATTCCTTTAAGGGGAGCAGCCTGCACTCTTTTGTAGATTACTTTTGGGGGATATATTTTGAGAATGATGAAACGGAATAAAATTGTAAAAAATTAATTGTAGTTTTAATTCCTTATTTATGGTGGTATTATTCACAACCAAAATAAGCCAAGCATTTTCCTTTTATCCACTAGGTGGGAGTATTGTTGTATTTGAATATTTTAAGGTACTATAGTTAAATTTTTATCTTATTTATTTATTTATTTATTTTTTGAGGCTGGGTCTTGCTCTGTTGCCCAGGCTGAAGTGCAGTGTGCTATCATGGTTCACTGCATCCTCGACCTCCTGGGCTCAAGCATTTCCCCCGCCTCGGCCTCCCAAAATGCTGGGATTACAGGTGTGAGCCACTGTGCCCAACTTTAGTTAAATTTTTCAAAGCTACAGATATCAGCAGATGGTATTCATGTGGCAAAGTGTAGTTAATTAGGTGTAACTATTCATTGACCTGTTGGTGATTCTTAATATGTGGAAAGTTTCTGGATATTTTAGGAGTCCTGCAGTTTTTTTTATCTTGTGGGTAAAAATTGATGACAAAGTAACAAAATTATATATTTACTAAAAATGAAACAGAAATGTGTATGTCCTCACTTTTTAGTAATATCTGACAGATAGCCTCTTCACCCAGACTTTCCCAGGGCTCTCTTTCAAGGCTGGCTCTGCGCGTGTCAGCAGTTCTCTTACAGTCATGTGTTATCATTAGGAGTGTGAATGGAATCATGAACCCGGAGTAGCCACACAACTTCACAGGACCACAAACTGAACTGCATTCATGAAAATAAATTTTAAAATGGTGGAGTTAAATGCTTCTTATCTCTTCTGCTTTCTTTTTCACCTTTTTAGTTATTGAATCATTTACATACTATAGATTTAGAGTACTTACCCATTTATATTTTCTAGTTCCAGTTCATTTACTGTTTTTGGTAATGATTAGAAGTATGGTAAGGAGATACTGTGTTCTAACTCCTTCTTGAGTAAACTTGGTTTCCTTTACATAATCAAGAATTGGAAGTCTTGTGCATAGTATGCTTATGAATATATCCCGAAGGCAGAAATCTAAGCATTTCCCTTGTTGCAAAAAAAGTTTTCATTCATTCAGAAATGTGCCTGCAGAGCCCTGAGGTAACATCATATGACCTGGAATCTGGTCCTAGCTGGAGCTAATCCTCTTCTTGTGCTGAGGGTCAGTGTGGTAAGTAAGGAAGAGTGATCTTGGAAAAGCAGACTATGTTCAATCCCAGGCCAGCCCTTACAGGCCAGGTGACTTTGGGCAGATGCCTTGAAGCTTCCTGAGCAACAGTTTTCTCAGCTGTAAACTACAGATAATACTGGTGACAGTACTCCCTGGGTGGTTATCTACTTCCCTTGGGGTCCAGGTTTTCATCTGCTTAATGAAGGAAATTCTCTGCTTGCTTTGCTGAATTGTGAGAATAATGATATAAGAATGCTTTTGAAGAACTGTAAGGTGGTATTTCCATGTTGACACACCTTTGTGTGCCCCACCTCAAAGATGCTGACGGTGATGTGGTAAGAAAGGAGTGGGGAGCTGCTCTGGGGGCAGCTGGAGCTGTCAGTCTTCATTCCTTCTTGTACTTCCTCTTGCTAACTTGAGAACCACAGAGCTTGGCAGTGTCAAATGGCTAAGAGTGGAAGTAGTTGGGGGACAAGTTTTGCATCGGCAGTAATCCTGGGAGAACCCTAGAAGCAGATAACTCTGGGCATTGTAGTTTTTAATAATTTTGGTAAGGAAAGAATCATAATTGCTTCAGACTGTCCAGGAGTAAACCTCTTCTTGTGATAAGAAGCAGGCAGCAGGTGCAGGAGGTTGGCTGTCAGTGCAGCAGAGCCACGTTAGGGCCAGATACCAAGCCAGGCACAGCGGTGCTTATCCGTAGTCCCAGCTACCTGGGATGCTGGGGCAGGAGGATCGCTTGAGCCCAGGAGTTCGAGTCTAGCCGGAGCAGACATCAGGCCTGGGTAGGTTTCCCATTCAAAGGAGAGTAGCTGAAGAAAACAAGCAATACGAAGGATAGAAACAGCATTAAAAATGCAGAAGAAGAGCATTCTGTTGAAAAACATGACTGTAGGAAACAGCTATTTTTTAAAAGTCAGGAACCCCTGCTTTTTCCAAAAGCAAATAATGAGATGTATGAGAAGCAGCAGCTAGCTGAAAGGAAATTTAAAAAATTTCATGGAAAAGATTTTAACAGAAGCAAAACTTCAACTTTAAAATCTGTATTATATAAAATAACAACAAATAGTATGTGATCTAAGTTGTATATATATTACATATATATAAAATAGGGTATAATACAAAGCCATTATGTGGAGGACTAACTTGAGTTGGTGTCCTAAGATGCAGGACAGAAATAGAGAAGTAACAGATGACACAGACAAGACAGTATATGCCCAGTATATTAGAGCAGTCCAGAGAGAACCAGTAGGATGTGTATAGTCATGCACCACATAAGGACATACCACTGGCGGACCGCATGTAGACAGGGGTCCATAAGATCGTATGGAACTGAAAAATTCCTATCGCCTAGGCTGTGGTAGCCATCCTAAGGTCAGACCTCATGTGTTACTTGTGTTTGTGGTGTTGCTGGTGAAAACACGCCTACTGTGCTGCCAGTTTAAAGGTCCAGCACATACAACTATGAACAGTACATAATACTTACAATAAATGACTATGCTACTGGTTTATGTACATCCTATTTTTTGCTATTTTAGAGTGTATTCCTTCTACTCGTAACAAAAAAGCGAACTGTAAAACAGTCTCAGGCAGGCCCTTCCAGAGGTATCCAGAAGCAGACATTGTCATCACAGGAGATGACAGTTCCATGTGTGTTACTGTCCCTGAAGACCTTCTAGCGGGACAAGATATGGAGGCGGAAGACAGTGAGATATTGATGATTCTGACCCTGTGTAGGCCTAGGCTAATGTGTGTGCTGTGTCTCAGTTTTTAACAAAAAGCAAAAAACAAAACTTTTGAATGGAAAAAAGCTTATGGAATAAGGATATAAAGAAAAAATATTTCTGTACAGCTGTACAGTGTATTTGTGTTTTAAGCTAAGTTATTAGAAAAGAGTCAAAAAGTTAAAAAAATAAAAGTTTAGAAAGCAGAAAAGTTACAGGAAGCTGAGATTGACACCAGCAGAGGCAGCAGCCTGAGCAGCTACAGGCTGTGCTCTCTCCCACCTGCCCTGAGGTCTCTCCCTTCTTTCTCTTCCTCCACCACCTTTTCTCCTCCTTCTCGTTGCCTTTCTGCCCACCCCTGTTGTTCCACCCCTGCCCCACCCTGCCTGCTCTCCTTTTTCCCTGAGTTGCCTCCTGCCTGGAGTTCTTGGTTTTCATCCCCACTGGCCAAAGACTTGACCACTCCAAGTCCAGCTCCCCATAGCCCTGCTTGATATGGACACTGGTATGATTGAAATTGGATTAAATGTCATTCTCACCACCTGGCTACTTATGCATGGAAAGGAAGTTGGCAGTATCATCAGAAAGAGGAGAATCAGTTAAGATGCATGAGGAGAGTGGTGCATGTATCAGCATCTCAGAAGGGAGTTGTTCTGAGAGAATTATCATCTTGGCTGGACCCACTAGCGCCATCTTCAAAGCAAGATTGGAAGAGGATATCAGTAGCTCTGTGACCACTAGCACAGCTGCCAGTGGACCCCCTGGTCACCCTGATGCTGGTGGTCCCTGCTAGTCACTGTGGCTCATTGGAAAAGGTGGTTGCAAGATCAAGGCAATACGAGAGAGTACAGGGCTCAGGTCCAGGTGGCAGGGGATATGCTCCCCAACGCTGCTGACTGAGCCATCACTATCGCTGGGATTCCGCAGTCCATCATTGAGTGTGTTGGACAGGTCTGTGTGGTGTTGGAGTCTTCCCCCAAACGCATGGCCATCCCATACTGGTCCAAGCTGTCCAATTCTCCGGTGATCTTTGCAGGTGATCAGGACAGGTACAGCACAGGCAGCGACAGTGTGAGCTTGCTTTCTCCACACCACTTCGTCCATGTGCCTCAACTGTGACCTGGAGGGACCACTTCTAGAGTTGACCAAGCTGCACCAGTTGACAATGCAACAATCTAGTTTTCCTACAGTAGATAGCAACGCTGGGGTTCAGTGCAGGTTTGGATGCATCTGCTCAGACCACTTCTCATAAACACCATTCCAAATGATACTGGCTGCATAATCAGGTGTCAAGGCACCAGAATAAATGAGATCTATCAGATGTCTGCAGCGTAGATCAAAATTGTGAACCCAGTGGAAGGATCTATTGATAGGCAGGTTACCATCACTGGATCTGCTGCCAGCATTAGCCTGGCTCAATGGCTAATCAATGTCCGGCTCACCTTAGGATGAGTGGCATGGGGAACAGCTAGAACAATGCAGATTCACGTACTATAACCCCTTTCTGCTGTTCACCACCACCCATCATCCATCTGTAGTTTCTGAACAAGCAGCCATGTCAGGTTTTAAATAGTTTTAAATTTTTGGTTTTTAACACTCATCCATTCCTTTATTTTTTATTTTTTAAAAAAATGAGATGGAATCTCACTTCATTGCCCAGGCTGGTCTTGAACTCCTGAGCTCAAATGATCCTCCCACTTCGGCCTCCCAAAGTGTTGGGATTACAGGCGTGAGCCACTGTGCCAGCCTGTCATCCACCCTTTTTTTTTTAATTAAGGTGTTTTAATTCCTTTCTCTGTTCCAGTGTTGACGCTGAGATTGTATTTAGCAATATAAGTTTCCCCCTGTTTTTGTAGTTGTTTGTTTTTTGAGAAAGGGTCTTGCTCTGTCGCCCAGGCTGGAGTACAGTGGGGCAAACATGGCTCACTGCAGCCTTGACCGCTCAGGCTCAAGCAGTCCTCTCACCTCAGACCCCCAAGTAGCTGGGACCACAGGTGCATGCCACCACACCCGGCTAATTTTTGTATTTTTCAGAGAGACAGGATTTCATTATGTTGTCCAGGCTGGTCTTAAACTCCTGAGCTGAAGCGATCCACCTACCTCAGCCTTTCGAAGTGCCGGTATTACAGGCATGAACCACTGTGACCAGCACTCCCTGTTTTTGTTTTTTGGCTTATGAATTTTTCTGTTTATTATGAAAATGTAAGAGTGAGATGTTAATACATTTCAATTTAGTTCTGTAATATCAGGAATTTTTCAAAAAATTAAAAGGTGCATTGGAGCTTTTTCTTTGTGGGTAGAAACTGGATGCCACAGTGAACAACAAAAAAAGGATGCGAAGATTAATTTATTATTGGAGAGCAAATTTTTAAAAAATAAATTTAGTGTAGCCTGTGTACAGTGTTGATAAAGTCTACCGTAGTGGACAGTAATAACCTAGGCCTTCACGTTCGCTCACTGACTCACCCTGAGTGACTTCTAGTCCTGCAAGCTGCATTTATGGTAAGTGCCCTATATAGGTGTGCCGGTTTTTGTCTTTTATACCTTATGTTTACTGTATCTTTTTAATGATAAGATATGTTTAAATATGCAAATATTCACCATTGTGTTACAGTTGCCTACAATATTCAGTACAGTAACATGCTGTACATGTTTATAGACTAGGTGTGTAGTAGGCTATAGAATCTAGGTTTGTGTAAGTACACTATGATGTTTATGCAATGACAGACTCATCTAGCGATACATTTTTCAGGCTGGTAAGCAAAACATGATTGTATATCTATATAGATACCAGGGAAATTGGCTTACTTGATTATGGAGGCTGAAAAGTCCCACAACAGGCTCTCTGCAAGCTGGAGACCCTGGGATGCTGGTAGTATGGCCCAGTGCAAGTCCAGAAGCCTCAGAACCAGGGAAGCTGATGGTGTAAGTCTCAATCCTAGGCCAAAGGCCTGAGGGCCTGGGGTAATTGGGGAGGGGCACTGGTGTCAGTCTTGGAGTCCAAAGGCTGGAGAGCCTGGAGTTGTGATGTCCTGTTCAAGGGCAGAAGAAGGGTGACCCAGCTCCAGGAGAGAGAGAGAATTCACCATTTCTTCATCTTTTTCTACCTGGGCCCCCAGTGGATGGATGGTTCCTGCTGACATTGAGGGAGAATCTTCCCACTCACTCCACAGACTCATGCTAAACTCTTCTCAAAACACCTTCACACAGACACCCAGAAATCATGCTTTACCAACTCTCTATGCATCCCTTTGTCAACATGGTACTAAACTCAAGCAGGAATGGCTGTACTTACATAAAACAGACTTTATGCCAGAAGCAGTAAACAGTTATTATATAATAGTAAAGAGATCAATCTAATGAGGAAATAACAACTAAATATATGCACCCAACACTAGACCACCCGGATTTATAAAGCAAATATTTCTAGATTTAAAAAGAGAGGTAGACTCCAACACGATAATTGTTGGGGACTTCACCTCAGTCTCAGATCATGATCATCTAGACAAAATTAACAAAAACTCATTGGATTTAAACTAGACTTTAGACCAAATGGATCTAACAGATATTTGTAGAACATGTTACTCAACAACTGCTGAGTACACATTTTTCTCATCAGCACATGGAACATTCTCCAGGATAGACCATATGTTAGGACAAAAAACAAGTCTTGACAAATTTTTAAAAATTGAAATCATATGAAGTATCTTCTCAGACCACAATGGAGTAAAAATAGAAATAAGAGGAACTTTGGAAACTATACAAATACATGGGAATTAAATAATATGCTCCTCCTGAATGATAAAAATTAATATGGAAATAAAATGTTTGAAACAAATGAAAATAGAAACAACATACCAAGACCTATGGGACACAACAAAAGGAGCTCTAGGAGGGGAGAGTGTATAGCAATAAACACCTACATCAAATGAGTAGATAGATATCAAAGAAACAATTCAATGATGCACCTCAAGGAACTAGAAAAGAACAAACCAAACCCAAAATTAGAAGGAAAGACATAGTAAAGTTCAGAGCAAATCTAAATGAAATAAAGACTAAAGACGTAGAAAGGGTCAATGAAACAAAAAGTTGGTTCTTCAAAAAGATAAAATAGATAAACCCCTTGCTAGACTAAACAAGAAAAGACCCAAATAAAATAGGAAATGAAAAAGACATTACAACTGATATCACAGAAATACAAAAGATCATCAGAGACTATTATGAATAGCTATATACTACCAAACTAGAAAACCTAGAGGAAATGGATAAATTGCTGGAAACATACAACTACTGAGATTCCAGAAGAAATAGAAAATCTGAACAGATCAGTAATGAGCAGTGTGATTAACTCAGTAATGAGAACCCTCCCAAAAAAAGAAAAGCTCATGACTGAATGAATTCACTGCCAATTTGACCAACCACATAAAGAAGAACTAATACCCATTCTCCTCAAACTCTTGCAAAAAAATCAAAGAAAAAACAACTCATTCTACAAGACCACCATTTCCCTGACACCAAACTAGACAAGGACACACACACAAAAAGAGAACTACAGGCCAGTGTTTCTAAGGAACCTAGACATAAAAATTCTCAAAAAGAACAAAACAAAAAGCTAGCAAACAATTCGACAGGATGCCAAAAAGATAATACACCATGACCAAGTATAATTTATACCAAGGACACAAGGATGGTTTAACATACACAAATCAATAAACATGATACATCACAACAGTAGAAGGAATGACAAAAACCATATGATTATCTCAACAGATGCAGAAAAAACATTTGATAAAATTCTACATCCTTTTATGATAAAAAGCTGTCAACAAACCAGGTACAGAAGAAACATATCTTAACATAATAAAGGCTATATATGACCCACAGCTAACATCATACTGAGTGGGGAAAAACTGAAAGTATTTCCTCTAAGAACTAGAGCAAGACAAGGAAGGATGCTCACTTTTACCACTTTTATTCAGTATAGTACTGGAGGTAGAGCCAGAGCAATCAGGCAAGAGAAAGGAATAAAAGGCATACAGATTTTTAAGAGGAAGTCAAATTGTCCCCGTTTGCAGATGACATCGTCTTACATTTAGAGAAACCAGAAGACTCTACAAGCAAAGCAAAATACACACTTAAAGCTGATAAGCAAATTTGGTAATGTTGCAGGATAGAAAATGAACATACAAAAATAGGGTTTCTATGCACCAAAAATGAACTAGCTGAGAAAGAAGGCAGTCCCATTTACAGTAGCTACAAAAAAATACCTAGGAATTAATTTAACCAAGGAGGTGAAAGGCCTGTAGAAGGGAGATTATGAAACACCAATGAAAGAAATTGAAGAGGACACAAACAAGTGGGAAGACGTCTCATACTCATAGATTAGAAGAATTAATATTGTTAAAATGACCATGTTGTCCAGGACAATATACAGATCCAGTGCAATTCCTATCAAAATACTAATGCCATTTTTCACAGAAATACAAAAATCCTGAAATTTGTATGTAACCAAAAAGCCAGAGTATGCACAGCAATCCTGAGCAAAAAGAACAAAGCTGGAGGCATCACACTACCTGACTTCAAAATATATTACAAGGCTATGGTAATCAAAACAGCATGATATTGGTATAAAAATAGACACATAGACTAATGGAACCACATAGAGAACCCAGAAATAAATTCACATATTTATAGCCAACTGAATTTTGACAAAGGCACCAAGAACATACAATAGGGAAGGACACCTTCAATAAATGGTGCTGAGAAAATTAAATATCTATATGCAGAGGAATGAAACAAGGCCCCTATCTCACCATATACAAAAATCAACTCACAATGGATTATAGACTTAAATATAAGACATGAAACAATAAAACTACTAGAAGAAAATATAGGGGAAACACTTTAGGACTGGTCTAGGCAAAGATTTTGTGGCTGAGACCTTAAATGCATAGACTACTAAAAAATAGACAAATGGGACTGTATATAAAGTGCTTCTGCACAGCAAAGGAAACAGTCAACAGAATGAAGAGACAACCTGTTGAATGGGAGAAAATATTGGCAAACTCTTCATCAGATAAGAGACTAATATCCAGGATATGCACTAAACTCAACAACAACAAAAAATAAATCTTTTAAAAAGCCAAAAATGAGTAGACAATTCTCAAAAAAAAAAAAAAAAAAAAAAAAGACACACAAATGGCCAATAGGTTATATGAAGAAATGCTCAATATCATTAAATATCAGGGAAATGCAAATCAAAACCATAGCGAGATATCCTCTCACCCCAGTTAGAATGACTATTATTAAAAAGACAAAAAATAGCAGATGCTGGTGAGGATGTGGAGGAAAGGGAAATCTTATACATTGTTGATGGGAATGTAAATTAATACAAACACTGGAAAAGTATGGAAATGTCTCAAAAACTAAAAGTAGAACTACCGTATGATCCAGCAATCTCACTACTGGGTATTTATCCAAAGGAAAATAAATCAGTGTATCAAAGGGATAACTGCACGTGCATGTTTATTGCAGCACCATTCACAATAGCAAAGATATGGAATCAACGTAAGTGTTCATCAATGGATGAATGGATAAAGAAAATGTAGTATATATACACAATGAAATACTGTTTGGCCACAAAAAGAATGAAATCCTGTCATTTATAGTAACATGGATGGAAATGGAGGTCATAAGTGAAATAAACCGGGCACAGAAAGACAAACATCATATGTTTTTGCTCATATGTGGGAGCTAAAGAAGTTGATCTCATGGAGATATAGAATAGGATGATACATGTTAGAGGTTGGGAAGAGTGAGTGGGTAGGAGGGGGCAGGGATAAAGAGAACTAGCTTAATAGATACAAACATACAGTTAGATAAAAGGTACAAGTCCTGTCATTCAATAAAAAAGACTACAGTTAACAATGTATTGTATATTTTAAAATAACTAGAAGAGACGACTTGAATTGTTCCCAACACACAGAAGTGAGAAATTCTCAAAGTGATGGACACCTCAGATATCCTGACTGGATCATTACACATTCTATGTATGTAGCAAAATGTCACATGTACCCCAGCAATATGTAAAATATTATGTATCAATAAAAAATAGAAATCATTGTATAAGTATCCAGACAGATAAAATGATTATCTGTCTTATTCATTAACTGTTACTACCTAATGCTCACACTGAAACTTGGAAGCTTAAGACAACTAGTATTTATTTCTCAGAGTCTGTAGGTTGGATGGGTGCTGCTGCTAGTCTGGGCCATACACAACTAATCTTGGTTCGTGCAACTATGTTCATGTGTCTTGAACCATGAACTGGGGCCTGGCTGGTCTAGGATCGTCTTGGTTGGGACAATGTGACCCTCTTCCATGTGCCATTCTTCTTCCATGGCAGATGAGCCTGGGCCTGCTCAGACCTGCCTAGACATTTCTTGTGATTGTAGAGGAACAAGAGAGGAGACAGAAACATGCAAGTGCTTTTTCCAGCCTCTGCATCAAGTTTCCCATGGTCACAATGGCCAAAGCCATTTGTGTGGCCACCTCCAGAGGCAGTTTGGGAAGGCACCATGAAAAGGAATAGGTGTGAGGGACAGTCTGCCCTCTAACCGCAATTACTCACGCCCTCCCACCGGCAAAATATGTTCATCCCAATTCTAGGACAGTCAAAGTCTCATCCAGTCATTATATCAGACTTGAAGTCCAGGATCCTGTAATCTAGGTTAGGCCCACACACATCTTCTCTTGATACAGAAACCTACAAACTAAAAAGGCAAGTTGTCTACACTCTACAAACCTAATACACAATGGTGGGACAGAGGCAGGTCGTCTGCAATAAATGCTTCCATTTGAAAAGGGAACAAATTGAACACATAGAGCAGTCACTGGTCCATAACAATTCTGAAATTTCAGTGAGAAAATATTGCCAGCCTCCTACTCTGGGAACAAGAGATGTTCCTTGATTAAGCCCAGTTTCTGTTCTCTGACAGTGGCTCTCCAGTCTTATTCTTGGCTCTTTTCTGAGATGTCTTTTTTTCGTCACATGCCATGCCTGCTTCCAAAGAAATGGCCTTTGTTGCCACCTGAGGAGCTTTCTTATCCATAGAAAGAAGAAAGCCTGAAATACAATACCCTTAAAAACATTGTGAGCTTTCTTTGTATCTAATTATAAGCCCACTCTGTGCTCCGAAAGTCATAGAACTGAAGGGTCTGGGGTTGTGCCTTACTTGCAAACTGACTGACAGATTTCACCCATTTCTGGGTTAGAGACAGAGAATTTTCTTACAGGACAGCAAGAAGTGTGTGCTTCATGTTTTTGTCAGCATCCTTTGTCCCCTAAGTCCTACAGGGATGATGAAGAGTCCAGGTGGGAGCTCTGTGTCACAGCTGAGGAACCTTGAACTTAGGGAATTCAAATCTTTTATGATGGACAAGCAAACCTGCCCTTTTCTCTCTTATTTTACCACATAGCAAATCTGCCCTTTGATCTAGGAGATAGCATCTCTATCTTCTAAGACTGTTTGCTATACAAACAGCCTTGAAGAGAGAGTACTTCTGCTCTCAAGAAATGCAGAAATGTGAGTGACCCATGAAGAGTTGTATTCCAATAGTATTCACCCCTTGTATCTATACCATTCCATTAACCACTCTGATTAATCTGGCCAATAGGATTTGCTAACAGCTCAGATGTAGGTATGAATGGGAGGAACCAAATTGATATCAAATGTGTGGTCTGAGCAACTGGAATGGAGTTATTTTAGCTGAGATGGGGGTATGCTGTAGACAGAAACCCAGACATTCTGATTTGTATACATCAAGTTTGAGAAGTCAACTAGACATTCAAGTGAAGTTGTTGAGTAGGCAGTTGGGGAGGCTAAAAATGGGAGTTGTCTGAAGAGATCGCATACAGTGCTGTGGGCTTGGTAGAGATAAGCAGGCAATGAGTACAGAGGGAGGACCAAGGGATGAACCCTGGGGCTCTGCAGTGTCACATGGTCAGGGAGATGACAGGAGATGGAGAAGAGCCCATGGGAGGTAGGATGAAACCATGGTTTCCTAGTTTCCTGGAAGCCTGGTGAAGAATGTGTTGAAGCAGGAAGGATGGCTCACCTGGGTTTAGTGCAACTGATACACCAAGGAAAATGAGGATTGATGCTCAATCATTGGACTTAGCATGTACTGGTTGGTCAAATGAGTTGTATATTGCATACTTTATACTGAAATCATGAGTAACAGATCAATAATTATTTAGAGGTATATAATTTGTAATTATATTCATGCCAGTAAATTACTAATTTGAAGGCCAGTAGTTTCTGGAGAAAACTAAAAAGCAGAATGAACACAAATGGCACTGTGGTTTGAATGTCTGTCCCCTCCAAAACTCATGTCGAAACTTAATTGCCATTGTGATGATATTAAGAGCTGGAAGCTTTAAGAGGCGGTTAGGCCATAAGGGTTACCCCTTCATCGGTGGGATTGGTGGTGTTATGAAAGGGCAATTTCGGCCCCCTCTTGCTCTTTCTTGGCTCTTCTGCCATGTGAGGAAAAGAGTTAATTCCTCACCACCTTGGAAGTGGATGCCAAGCCCTCACCAGATACCAAACCTGCTGGCACCTTGATCTTGGACTTCCCAGCCTCCAGAACTGTGAGCCAGGACATTTATGCAGAATTCCATTCATGATAAATTACCCAATCCAGTTTCTATCTTGTTTTTGCCAATGGAGACTCGTTCCTGAGTTGTGTTCAAGTCTTGCAGTCTTTTAGTTTTTATTTTATTAATTAATTGAAGACAGTCTCTGTTGCCAAGGCTGGAGTGCCATGGCGCCATCATAGCTCACTGCAGCCTTGAACTCTTGGACTCCAGTGATCCTGCCACCTCAGCCTCCTGAGTAGCTAGGACTGCACGTGTGCCACCATGCTGAGATGCCACCATAGTGAGATGGTGTCTCACTATGTTGCCCAGGCTGGCCTCAAACTCCTGGCCTCAAGTGATCCTCTCACTTTGGCCTCCCAAAGTGCTGTGATTGCAGGTGTGAGCCACCAGCCTTGGTCAAATCTTGCAGTCTTAATTTGGGTTGGAAGAGGGTCAAAGAGAAGGAGGATGTAGAGAAAGATGAAAGGAGAAAGAGAAGGAGAGCACCGATGACTGCCTGGAATTCTGGGTTTTGGGTAGAGAAATGGGTCCAGCATTGGAACTCTCTTGATAAATCAAGCTTCAAGAAAAGCTTAGATAGATGAGACTGGGCTGGGAGCCTTTGGTGGCAGAAGGAACTCAATTTGCATGCCATGCCATCTAATTCTGGGTAGCTTCTTGATTTAATAATCTGACTTTAGAATACCTCCGTACTGGTTATCCAATTTGTGGTCCACTCCTATCACATTATATACAATTACCACAAACATTTTGAACATGAAAAATATCACCAGCCCCTATTTGGTGACCTCTTTAACTCAAGAACAATCTGGCGCTGTTTAAATGAACTCCATTAACCACAAATAGAAGCCTTGTCTCAGTATAATCTGTAAATTATATTTTATCTTTAGTGAAATTCCAGGGTGATGTCACTCCTCATTAACACCTTAGAAAAGGAAACGAAGGGAGATGAAAGTGCGATCATTTTGATTACTGTTAACAATAAAAGTAATCCAGGGTTATCGGCAGATTTATTTGTATTGCCTTTGGTTTCGTTATAACAAATCTGTGAGAGAAAGTGCACATAAAAGGTTTTCAATGAAGCCAATTCAGTGTAGTTACTTGTAGGAAATGATAATTTTAGAAGCCAGAAATGTCAGTTTTACTTATTTGGAAAAAGGACAAACAATATAAACAAAATCTCCCTCTCCTTCCTGCATCTTCATTGCCATTTGTGGATGCCACCATCCTAAAAAGGAGCTACTGAGATTAACCAGGAGAGAAGGAAACTGATGCTTTTTAATTCCCTGCAGTGCACTAGACATAGTGTCTAGACAGTTTTAGATTTGTCCTTTCATATTGTAGGGGAAGCAAAACTACTTCCATCCTCTTAGGGTCCCCGGCTAGGCCTTGAAATCAGATTGGCACAAGAAGGATTAACACGAGGAAAGCACACAGATTTTTACACATACACGAGAGTCCCCATAGGAAAATGAAGACCCAAAGAAGTGGCAAAACCCAAGTGCTTAGCTACTGGGTTGAACAAAGAGAGGCAATTGTGAAAAGTAAGATAAGTGGGGAAATGAAAGGAAGATAAGAGTTATTTCACGAAGTCTGTTTGTTCAAAATACTCTGGAGCTTTGACTCCCTGCTTCTAGTGATAAGAATCATCCTTTCCTCCCGCTAAAGGGAGGGTGCCTTTCACATGGAAGTTTTATTTCCTACCTCTAGGGAAAAAAAAGAGTGGTAAGTGGGTGGGGTTGGGGTCAGAGTGCTCTTCTTGGACCTGCGGTTTTTCTAAGTTCCTTTGAGTCAATGTTCCTTGTGCCAAAGTGGCATATTGGGATGGTGCATTCTGCCATCCTTTGATATCATCCTTGAAACAGGCCTAGAGATGAGGCCTGTTGTTCAAACGAGGGCACCAAGGCTCATGGATGTTAAGAAAGAAGTGGATTCAGACTCAGCTCTGTGTTCAGAGCTTGCAGAGCCAGCTGGTTGATTTGACTTTGCCCAAGGCTAGTTGGACCCTCTAGGAATTATGGCAGCAGACGTCGGCATAGAAGACCACCTATGGGCACATGGAGTCCCCCCTGGCCCTGATGGCACAGAGGATGCCATGGTTCTGGGGCCCTACAGCTGGAATAACCCAGAAGGAACAGAAACCCTGGGGCTCCTGGAGGAAACAACTTTGCAGGGAGGGAAATGGCCGCAAAGAACAAGATTCCTTGCCTCAGCAGATACCGGCATCACAAATCTCTGCATCTCAAGTCACTGTGGGTGGGCTCAGCATAGAGGGCCAGACGTTGGCCAGCCCAGTTTGCACCAGGCCAACCAGACTGGCGTTAGACAAGGTTGTTGAGTTGTGATCTCTCCAAGTCCTGCGGATGTGTTCTGATCACAGCTTCTGTGAACTTCGTACCTGGCTCTCTGGACACTCATCGCCCTTGTCTGAATTCAAAAGTCTTCGTCCAGAACGTGTTTCCTGCTGCATCAATTTCAAAACTGAGTGGGAGCCTTCATAGAGCATGGCTCTAAGTTCTACTCTCAAGTTGTACTGGAAAGGAAATTCAAGGTCATGTGGGCTGTGGCTCAGAGCATGTTAGACTAAGGATTTTGGGAGTTGTTTTGCTAAGAGTAAGATACACCGAAAGTTGCAGAACTTGTCACAGAAATGTGCTTTAGACAGCAAAATGGTACTTGGAAGCTGGTCTTCTGGGAGTGTCAGTTCCTCTGACTGAGGCTGCTGAGGGCCAAGGAGCCATCCAGTGCACGCAGTGTCTACCTGCTGCATCAGGTTAGACTCCAGACGGCTCTACCTGCTAGGCCTGACTGATAATCCCGATGGCAAACACTTCGTGCCAACCCACCCACCCAAGAAAAACCCCTGCCTTCAGGCAGGCCTGGCAGTTCTGGCAGTCCAGGTTGGTTTCTCGGCTCACCCCTGGAGATGTTGGACTTCTCTCTTTGGCCCCAGAATGCCTCCAACTTCAGGAGATACTGGGCCTGGCAGGGGCCCCAGAATGGGCAGGCAGCATGGCCTGCCCTGTCTGTTAGGCTCAAGCCCCAGGGACTGAGCCAGAGCTGGCCTGCGGTGGGGTCCATGGGCAGGTGGAGCTTGGGCACCTCCAGGGCCTTCTGAGGGGCCATGGGCCACTGCTGGACTCTGAGCTCGCACATGTTGGTCTTGCCTTGCAAGTACTCTGAACAGGGGTGTCTCCATTGGGTCAGATGTGGGGCTTTGATGTTTATAACAAGCACCTGCTTCTTGGGCCACCATGTGGCAGCCAGCCTGCTGAGCATTGCTGTGACGCCTCAGGAATCCAATGCGTGTTCTCAGATGTCTGAGTGCTGGGTTTAAGCCACATATTAATAACTTGGCCATCTGTTCAATCTCTTAATAGGAACTGGGAGATTGTTCATATATTTATGTCTATACATTGTGAAACCCATATGAAACATTACTGATACCAAAATAGCTCAAAGTGTACTTGTTCCAAAGGAAATACAGCCATTTACATCTGATTGCTCATAGCCACAGCGAGCTTTAAAGGATTAAAATGTGCAATTGTTATTGCAAGTTCGCAGAAAGAGTTGAACTTTTGAGATAAGAAATCCTTATTCAGCAATCGTAGATGTTATTTATAACCCCAAAAGCATTTCTACTTTTTAATTCATGATCTGTTTAGATTTTTGACTGAAACTTAATTCTCTTTCTCTCCATGGGACTCTTTCTTCTTTCCTTTCTAGAAACCCCTAGCCTTCTTTCTACCTTGCTAGTCCTTTAAGTTGCTGTCCTGTCTCTTGTCCTTCTGCTCCAGCACTTCTGGAAGAATATTCTGTAAAGGTGGGTGAGGCAGGCCTAACTCACCAGAGGCCATTTCCTCCTAAATATCCAACCACTTCTTCTCAGCTTAGCCCCATCATAGAGAATTTTATTTTACTTTATTTTTTGAGATGGAGTCTCACTCTGTTGCCCACACTGGAGTGCAGTGGCATGATCTTGGCTCATTGCAACCTCTACCTCCTGGGTTCAAGCGATTCTTCTGCTTCAGCCTCCTGAGTAGCTGGGATTACAGGCATGTGCCACCACACCCAGCTAATTTTTTTTTTTTTTTTTTTTTTGAGACCAAGTTTCACTCTTGTTGCCCAGGCTGGAGTGCAGTGGCGCAATCTCGGCTCACTGCAACCTCCGCTTCCTGGGTTCAGGCGATTCTCCTGCCTCAGCCTTCCTGAGTAGCTGGGATTACAGGCATGCACCACCACGCCCGGCTAATTTTGTATTTTTAGTAGAGACGGGGGTTTCTCCATGTTGGTCAGGCTGGTCTTGAACTCCCAACCTCAGATGATCCATCTGCCTTGGCCTCCCGAAGTGCTGGGATTACAGGCGTGAGCCACCACGCCTGGCTGAATTTTTCTATTTTTAGTAGAGATGGGGTTTCGCCATGTTGGCCAGGCTGGTATCAAACTCCTGACCTCAAGTGATCCACCCGCCTTGGCCTCCCAAAGTGCTGGGATTACAGATGTGAGCCACCTAAAATTTTCTTTCTTTTTTTTTTTTTTTTTTTTAGCGAAGACAAACACAAATATACTGATATAAATGTATCATGTTTAGTAAATTTCCATCTGTGTAAACTTTATTGAGTTATTAATCTGAAATAAAATGTTAAATTATTGTAGTAGTTATGAAGAAGATCCTCTAACTTTTTTCTTTTAACTTTTTAACATGACAATTATATTAATCCATTTTCTTTTTTTTTTTTTAATTTTATTTATTTATTTTTTTATTGATCATTCTTGGGTGTTTCTCACAGAGGGGTATTTGGCAGGGTCATAGGACACTAGTGGAGGGAAGGTCAGCAGACAAACAAGTGAACAAAGGTCTCTGGTTTTCCTAGGCAGAGTGTTTGTGTCCCTGGGTACTTGAGATTAGGGAGTGGTGATGACTCTTAACGAGCATGTTGCCTTCAGGCATCTGTTTAACAAAGCACATCTTGCACCGCCCTTAATCCATTTAACCCTGAGTGGACACAGCACATGTTTCAGAGAGCATGGGGTTGGGGGTAAGGTCACAGATCAACAGGATCCCAAGGCAGAAGAATCTTTCCTAGTACAGAACAAAATGAAAAGTCTCCCATGTCTACTTCTTTCTACACAGACACGGCAACCATCCGACTTCTCAATCTTTTCCCCACCTTGCCCCTCTTTCTATTCCAGAAAACCGCCATCGTCATCATGGCCCATTCTCAATGAGCTGTTGGGCACACCTCCCAGACGGGGCGGCTGGCCGGGAGGGGGCGCTGACCCCCCCCCACCTCCCTCCCGGACGGAGCGGCTGGCCGGGCGGGGGGCTGAGCCCCCCACCTCCCTCCCGGACGGGGCGGCTGGCCGGGCAGAGGGGCTCCTGGCTGGGCAGAGGGGCTCCTCACTTCCCAGCAGGGGCGGCCGGGCAGAGGCGCCCCCCACCTCCCGGACGGGGCGGCTGGCCGTGCGGGGGGCTGACCCCCACCTCCCTCCCGGACGGGGTGGCTGCTGGGCGGAGACGCTCCTCACTTCCCAGACGGGGTGGCAGCCAGGCGGAGGAGATCCTCACTTCTCAGACGGGGCGGTTGCCAGGCGGATGGTCTCCTCACTTCTCAGACGGGGCGGCCGGGCGGAGGCGCTCCTCACATCCCAGACGGGGCGGCGGGGCAGAGGCGCTCCCCACATCTCAGATGATGGGCTGCCGGGCAGAGACGCTCCTCACTTCCTAGATGGGATAGCGGCCGGGACGAGGCGCTCCTCACTTCCCAGGTGGGACGGCGGCTGGGCAGAGACGCTCCTCACTTTCCAGACTGGGCAGCCAGGCAGAGGGGCTCCTCACATCCCAGACAATGGGCAGCCAGGCAGAGACGCTCCTCACTTCCCAGACAGGGTGGCGGCCAGGCAGAGGCTGCAATCTCCGCACTT
Organism: Homo sapiens; assembly: GCF_000001405.40. Classification (NCBI taxonomy): domain Eukaryota; kingdom Metazoa; phylum Chordata; class Mammalia; order Primates; family Hominidae; genus Homo; species Homo sapiens. The sequence goes on along the minus strand of NC_000021.9, from coordinate 39,157,015 downwards.
TGGGGGGCCAAGGCAGGCGGCTGGGAGGTGGAGGCCGTAGCGAGCCGAGATCACGCCCCTGCACTCCAGCCTGGGCACCATTGAGCACTGAGTGAATGAGACTCCGTCTGCAATCCCGGCACCTCCGGAGGCCGAGGCTGGCGGATCACTCGCGGCTAGGAGCTGGAGACCAGTCCGGCCAACACAGCGAAACCCCGTCCCCACCAAAAAAACATGAAAACCAGTCAGGCGTGGTGGCGCACGCCTGCAATCGCAGGCACTCGGCAGGCTGAGGCAGGAGAATCAGGCAGGGAGGCTGCAGCGAGCCGAGATGGCAGCAGTACAGTCCAGCTTTGGCCCGGCATGAGAGGGAGACCGTGGAAAGGAGAGGGAGAGGGAGACGGGAGAGGGAGAGGGAGAGGGAGACGGGAGAGGGAGAGGGAGACGGGAGAGGGAGAGGGAGAGGGAGACGGGAGAGGGAGAGGGAGAGGGAGACGGGAGAGGGAGCTAAAATTTTCTTTTAAAATAAAAAAATTAGCTGGGTGTAGTGGTGTGTGCCTGTAGCCCTACCTACTTAGGAGGCTGAGGCAGGAGGATGGCTTGAGCCCAGGAGTTTTAAGCAGTGAGCTATGACCACGCTACTGCTCTCCAGCCTGGGAGACAGAGCGAGACCCCCACTCTAAAAACAGAAAACAAAAAAACCCTCAGCCTTGGAAGACTTTGCCTTCCATGTGCCTCCAAGCAAAGGTAAGGGCTCTCTGCAGTTGGGAGTCGGGCCCAAAACAAGACGCTGACACATGCGGAGAACATGAGAAAAGAAAACAAGCCCAGGGGATTCCCACGGTTTAGAAGCAGAATTTTAGCCCCAGCACTTCAGGATTTTCAGGAATTTATCAGCAAGTAGGAATTAGAACTATCAGAACACACTGTGTCTAAGGAGGGTACCATCTTTGAAAAGCAGAAAGGTCATGTGTTTGGATACGTGAGTAGTGGGTGCAAATCTCAGCCCCCAGACCCGAGGGCCTATACATGTGCTTTACTTTTCTGTAACTGGATTTTAGCTTCTCTTTCGGGCCCACGTTGCACCATGACAGGAAGAGATTTCTGCCAGTTCAGAAATGGCCCCTTTCCCTGGGTGTGCTCCCATGTCAGGGACTGACCCAGGGCAATAGTCTTGAGGAAGCTACAGTGGGAAGGCTCATTTTCAACCTTTTGTGTTGGCATCTATGGACACAGCCTTGTGGCCATTCTTGCCACTGTGGTGACTGATCCATGTTCTCCAAGTGCTGACCTCAGGGACCTCTTAGGGCTATTTCTGCCACAGAGGGATGCATTCAGATGTGCTTGGCTTGCTGAGGGGTGTCCAGGGACAGTGAGGACCATTTCAGGCTTAGCTTCTTGACACCACAGGAAGGTATTTCTTCTGCTCCCACTGCAGGGAGCCCATTCTGTTTCTTGTATAATTCAATTATAAGCATGTCTGATGCAAATTCTGGGGTCAGACACTTTGCTGGGCTCTGTCCTCTGATCATGGGATTCTATGATCTCACCCTCTGCCTAGTCCTGGCTTCCAAAGTGGGGTATACTCAGGGACCCCAGCAACACACCTGTGCTCTTTGTCTCCCTATTCTTTGTCCAGACATCCTTTAATTCCATCTCTGGGGATGGGAAGAACTGGTTCAGGCTGATCTTGTATTTCTCATCTTTCTGAGTAGACCAAGACCTCACATCTTGGGACTGTAAGTGCCCAGAGTTTAACTCCTATTCTCCAGACTTTGGGGTGTCATCTGTTTACATGGCATGGGGATCGGGGATTTATGAGGAAAACAGGCCTCAGTCACCACTGCAAACGCTGTGGGCAAAAAAACATTGAAAGAATATTTGCTTAAATTTTAGTCGTTGTTTTTAGGTGATAGGGAACTCATTAAACAGGAGCAAAAGATGTAAGAAGTCAGAAGTTAAAAAAAGCTTTGGTAGTTTTTTGTTTTTACTTTTTTTTAAAAAAAGTTTTCAATATTGAGAGTGGATTACTTACATACTTAGGGGGAAAAGACTCTGATACGGTTTGGCTCTGTGTCCCCACCTAAATCTCATGTCAAATTGTAAACCCTAGGTGTTGAAGAATAGACCTGGTGGGAGGTGATTGAATCATGGGGATGGACTTCCCCCTTACTGTTCTCATGATAGTGAGTGACTTCTCATGAGATCTGGTTGTTTGAAAGTATGTAGCACTTCCCCCTTCTCCCTCTTTCTCTCTTTCCCCTGCTCCACCATGGTAAGACATGCTTTCTTCCCCTGCACCTTCTGCCATGATTGTAAGTTTCTTGAGGCCTCCCAGCCATGCTTCCTGTATAGCCTGTGGAACTATGAGTCAATTAAACCTCTTTTCTTCATAAATTAACCTGTCATAGGTAGTTCTTTATAGCAGTGTGAGAATGGACTAATACAGACTCCAAATGAATGAATTATGAAAAGGAGACCCACTCTGTTTCATTCTTAGATGTGTCTGCCTTGGATCTCAATTTAGAATGAGCAGTCAGGTATGCTCATCAAATCTTTTGTTAATCTTTATAACAAGGATTAAAGATCTGAGTTAAAGATTTGGATCCTTCATTTTCCTCTGTCTGCTCTTTGGCATGTGCTTACTTCCAATTGCTCAGGAGGCAGTGATGGGCAAGGGATGCAGTTTCTGTCCTTGTATTTTGTGGTCAGTGAGCGTCTTAGTCTATCTTCTGTTGCTATAACTGAATATCTGAGAGTGGGTAATTTATAAAAGCAATTTATTTCTTACAGTTCTGGAGGCTGGGAAGTCCAAAGTTGAAGGGCTGCATCTGGTGAGAGCCTTCTTGCTGGTGGGGCCTCTGCAGAGGCCCAAGGCAGCTCAGAGTATCACATGAAAAAGGGGCTGAGAGTGCTTGCTCAGATCTGTTCCTCTTTTTATACAGCCACCTGTCCACTCCCATGATAACCCACAAATCCTTCAATCCATAAATGGGTGAATCATGACCCAGTCACCTCTTAAAGGCCCCACCTCCTAATACTGTTACACTGGGGATTAAGTTTCAACACGGGTTTTAGAAGGGACAGACATTCAAGCTATAGCAGTGAGGAACCAACCTGGTAGATGCCTGGGTCTAACACCCAGGTCCTAGCTTTGAATGAGCAAACTCGGGGCAGCCACCCTTACAGATTGTCCATCCTGACGAGGCTGATTTTTGTTCAGGCTATGACATGGTGGCAGAAAAGTACAGTTGCACGTTCCATATTTGAAAATTTACCTATTTGCTAAAATTTATTTGTAACCTCCAAATCAATACTTTGGGGCAATTAGTGGTCATTTGAGTAGACACACACAGAACAGTGAAAATTCTGAGGTCCCCAATACGCATGTTTCCACCTGAGGTTGAAGCAGGCCATACTCTGCCCAGTTGTTTCAGCCTCATACACAGATGGCCTGTAGGGGGAGATGGGAGGGAAGCTCCAGCTCTGGGCCAGTTGGACAGGGTCAAATCCTAATTCTGGCACCTGTTAGTGGGGCAGCTTCTGCTGAGTCACTTAACTCTTCTGAACCTCATTTTTTTTTCTCTTGTAAAATAAAATAGAATCTACTTGGGTGCGTTGTCTTAGGATTTAATCTTGACTCTATGTGTGTGAGATATGTGTATACTGAATATACGCACATATTTTCCTGTGGAGCAGAGGTTCAGTGTTTCCTAATTCAGTGTCCGTGGTGACTTCTACACGGTCACTATGATGAATAGTGAGAATCTACACTACCTGGCTTGGACGTCTCCAGCCACAGAGGCTCCTGTCGGGTGGACATCTCTCAGGGTGACAGTTCTGTTCCCTGAGGCCTCTGGGAGGCTGGGAGTTGTGTGGACAGCAGGATGGTGACGCGTCGAGGAGGAAGAACCATTGTCCTGCAGGGCAAGCCTGGATAAGGAGGTGTGGAGAGATTTCTGCAGTCAGGGAAGGATACATCCTGCATTCAGCACTTGGGGAGAATGGGGAAGAAGATGCCGAGAGAGGGGGTGGGGGCTGTATGGGATCCATGCTTCCGTGATGTGGAGAACAGTCCTTGGGGCTAACACGTCAACACATTGCAGGAGGGAAAGTCCAATCATATTTATAAGTTCCTATTTCCTGGATTTAATATTGGGTTATTCTTTATTCTTTACTTTTTGTTTTTTATAGAGAGGGTCTCACTCTGCCACCCAGGCTGGAGTGCAGTGGTGCAATCATGGCTCACTGCAGCCTGGACCTCCCGGGCTCAAGCAATCCTCCTGCCTCAGCCTCCCAAGTAGCTGAGACTACAGGCACATATCACTACACCTGGTTAATTTTTAAAATTTTTTGTAGAGAGGGAGTCTTACTATGTTACTCAGGATGGTCTGGAAACCCTGGCCTCATGTGAGCCTCCTGCCTCTGCAGTGGGATTACAGGAGTAAGGCACTGCACCGGGTCTGGGTTATTTTTCAGACATAGTTTTATTTTTCATTTTCAATGACCATTTTTCCCTGACTTTGATTGCTTTGGAGCTTAAAAGCACAGTTCTTGGGATGTGGCCACTGCATTTGCGTCATAGCAGACAACCACTATCCTAATCCTTTCATTACCAATGAGACAGTTATTTTTCCAAGTCTTCCATCTTAGCTGAGTGGGATATATAATAGAACTGCTGGGGTGTGTGACCCTCCCTTCTCTCCTTTCCTGTCAGGGCCAGTGCAGAACCTTTGGGCTGGAGTTCAGTCTCATCAGTGATCTTTCTGCAGCTCTGCTGGCTAGAACTGAGTAGGGCAGGCGGAGTTGCAAAGCTTTGCCCCTTTTCTGGTGTTATGGACTGAATTATGTCCCCCACCACACCCACTGTGACAGTATTTGAAGGAAAGGCCTGTAAGGAGGTAACAAAGGTTACATGAGGTCATAAGGGTGGGACTCTCATCCAACAGGACTGATATCCTTAGAAGAAGAAGGAGAGACACCAGAGCCCTTTCTCTGCAGGCGCGCAGAGAAAACACTATGTGAGGTCACAGGGAGAAGGTGCGCTCTGCCAATGAGGAGAGAGGCCTCACCGTAAACCAGCCCTGCTGGTACCTCGATCCTGGAATTCCAGCCTCCAGAATTATGAGAAAATAATTTTCTGTTTGTTTAAGGCACCCAGTGCTTGGAATTTCATTAGGTTAGCCCGAGCCACCTGCTACATTTAGTAATGAAGAGTGAGATCAGGGCTCCTCTCTTGTGCCCTGGAGCAGGCCTCCCAGACCACCTCCTCAGCCTCCATGCAGCCGCTCCCCTTTCCTAACAGGACCCAGACATTCCTAGTTACGGGGCTTGAGTGGGCTCGAACCTGAGCAGCGAAAGCCAGTCTGCACATTGAATTCCTTGGGCCATGGTGATGAGTTCAGGAGTGAGCATATCAGTCCAAGCAGAGGCAAGCCCAAGGCTTTCGTTCAGTGGCTGAGGAAAGAGAAGTTCCCTCTCCTTGGATGTAAGTGAGGAAGCCTCTAGAGTCTAGAAGCTACTGACAGACCTCTCACTACCACGAGGGCTTGAGGACCAAGACAGTACCGTGAGACAGATCCAGTGGCACCTCAGAGCTGCTGTTCTGAAGGATGTCATGAATATCTCGCCCAAGCTGCACAGGACTTTTCAGTTACTTGACAACGTATCTCTTTCATTGCTTCCTGGGACCTACCGCTGAAAGCCTCTAACTGGAACTCTCTCCTACCAACTGACGCTCCCACAGTAGGCACAGTGAGCACATAGGAATAGAAAGCTGATTCCTGGTACTTTGCAGCTTGACTCCTTTTAGTGGCTTCCTGGTCTAGATGGAGTAAAACCTGGGGGATCTACTTCTGGTATTGGTTGTATGAGGAAGTCAAGGGATTTCCCTTGGCAGAAAGTAAGTAAAAAAAATGGACAAAATGATTAAAGACAGTCATTTCAGGCCATTAGAAAATGATGAAAGACAAGGCAACATTTGAGAAGAGTTTACTCATGAAACTGCTACAGCATTTGCTAAGAATGGTGATCTGTGGGCTTCCTGCCTGGAGGTATTCTGTGATTTTGGATATAATAAGAAATATATATTTGGTCTTCATCCCTGGGCTCCTGACACAGACCTCCTAAAACCTTTATGATTTCCTGAATAGTAAGGGTGCTAGGAGCATCTTCTGTCCTACCATTTTGTCTTTGACCCCAGTTCCTGACACAGAGCTCATAAGTCCCTTCGATTTGCCTGGGTGATAGAAGCCTCTTTTGTTCTAATGAGGTGACTCTTGGTGGGCTCCTGGATAGCTTTAGGATTGGGAGTGGTCACCAGAAAGACCAAGCCATGATGAGAAGCTTTGAACTTTTAGCTTCAATCCCCGTCCTTTGGGGAGGAGAGAGTGGCTGGAGATTGAGTTAATTGTTCATGCCTGTGTGATGAAGCTTCCATAAAAATACTAAACAGACGGGATTTGGAGAGCTTCTCAGTTGGTGAACACATGGAGGTGCTGGGAGCGTGGTGCACCCATAGAGGGCACGGGAGCTCTGTGCCGCTCCCCCACACTTTGCCTTCGGCATCTCTTCCATCTGGTTGTTCCTGGCTTGTACCTTTTATAATAAACTGGTAAACATAGGCAAATGTTTCCTTTTTGTGAGCTTTGTGAACAGTTTTAGCAAATTATGTAAGCCAAGGAAGGGGTTGTGGGAACCCCTGATTGATAGCTGGTTGGTCAGAAGTTTGGGCCGCTCAGACTTGTGACTGACATCTGAAATGGGACAGTCTTGTGTAACAGAGCCCTAAAAGGGTCTATACTAGCTCCAGGCCTCTCAAAATTCATTTGTTTGTCACAGGAAAAATGCATTCATTCCATCCCTGTAACCCCAAAAGTCTTAAATAATTCCAGCCTTAACTCAAAAGTCTAAAGTCCAAAGTCCAAAGTCTCATCTAAATATCATCTAAAGCAGATATGAGTGAGACTCAAACTATGATTCATCCTGAAGCACATATGAGCCTATGAAATTAAACAAGTTATGTGTTCCCAAATACAATGGCAGGGCAGGCATAGGACAGACATTCTCATTCCAAAAGGGAGACACAGTAAGGAAGAAAGGGATAACAAAGTCCTAAGTAAATCCAAAACCTAACAAGGCAAACAACAAGTAGAAAATAGAATTCATAGTCGGGCGCAGTGGCTCACGCCTGTAATCCCAGCACTTTGGGAGCCTCAGGTGGGTGGATCATGAGGTCAAGAGTTCAAGACCAGCCTGGCCTACATGGTGAAATCCTGTCTCTACTAAAAATACAAAAATTAGCCAGGTGTGGTGGTGGGCGCCTGTAATCCCAGATATACGGGAGGCTGAGGCAGAGAATTGCTTGAACCTGGGAAGCGGAGGTTGCAGTGAGCCGAGATCGCACCACTGTACTCCAGCCTGGGCAACAGAGCGAGACTGTCTCAAAAAAAAAAAAAAATAGAATTCATGAAGAAATAGAAATATGAATAGCCCTATAATTAAAAAAAAATTGAATTCATATTTAAAAACCTTCCCACAAAGAAAAGTTCAGGTTCAGATGGCTTTATGGGTGAGTCCTGTCAAGCATATCAAACATGTAAGGAACAACCAATGCTAATCTCACCCAGAGTCTCTCAAAAAACAGGGGGAAGGAAAAATTCCCAACTCATTTTTTGTTAGTATTATCTTGATAACAAAGTCAGACAAGGGCATCACAATAAAAGAAAACTACAACTCATTGTCCCTCTTGAACACTGCTATAGTCTGAATGTTCTTGTCTGTCCAAAGTTTGTGTTGAAATCTAATCCCCAATGTATTGGTATGAAGAGATAGGGCCTTTGGGAGGTGACTAGGTCATGAGATTAACGTCCTTATCAAACAGGCTTGAGGAGGGAGTCTTTTGCCCTTCTGCCATATGAGAACACAGAAGGCGCCATCTATGAGGAATGGCTCCTCTCCAAACATTGCAAGGCACATCTGCTGGTGCCTTAATCTTGAACTTTCCAGCCTCCAGAACTGTGAGCAATAAATTTCTGTTGTTTATAAATTCCCCAGTCTAAGGTATTTTGTTATAGCAGCTGAACAGACTAAGACAAATATGATATAAAAATTCTTAACAAAGTATTAGCAACTTGAATCTAGCAACACATAAAAAGTATAATATACAGTCACCAAGTGGTGTATATCCCAGAAATAAAATTCATGCAATACACCGTATTAATACAATAAAGGAGATAAAACATGCGATCATCTTAATAGATGCCGAGAATGTATTTGATAAAATTCAACATCTATTTATGACAAAAACTCTCAGCAAACAACCAATAGAAGATAAGTCCCTCATAGTAGAGGATTTGTAGATAATAAAAAGCATCCACCAAAAAGCTATGGGTAACACAAAACTTAAAGGTGAAAGGCTGATTGCTTTCTCCCTAAGATGAGTAACAAGACAAAGATGTCCACTGTTGCCATGTCTATGCATATTGTACTGGATATCCTAGCAAGTGCAATAAAGAAAGAGAGAAATAAAGGACATACAGATTGGAAAGAAGTAAAATTGTCTTATTAGTGGATAACATGATTATCTATGTAGAAATTCCTAATGTATCTACCAAACAGCTACCAGGACTAATGAGTGAATTTAGCCAGGTTATAGGATACAAGCTCAATATACACAAATTAATTGTATTTCTATATATTGATAGTAAACACTCCTAAAATACAATAAAACAATTCCATTTGCAATAGCATTCAAACAAAAAAACTGAGGAATAAATTTAACAAAAAGAAGTTCAAGATCTATGTTCTGAAATCTAAAACACATTGATGAAAGAAATTTTAAAAGATCTAAATAAAATGGGGGATATATCATATTTATGAACTAGAATACTCAATATTATTAAGATGGCAGTCATCCTCAAATTTGTCTGTAGATTCAATACAATCCCAATGAAAATCCCAGCAAGAATTTCTTTAGAAATTATAAGCTGGTTCTAAAATTTATACGGAGAAGCAAAGAATAGCTAAAACAATTGCAAAAAGAAAAAGTCAGAGGACTTAAATTATATGATTTTAAAGGTTTACTCTAAACCTATTGTAAATAAGAAAGCATGGGATTGTCATAAGGGTAAACATAGATGAAAGGAACAGAATAGAACATCTAAAACTAGATACATATATGGTCAGTTGATTTTTGACAAAGGTGCCAAGGTAATTCAACAGGAAAAAGGATAATCTTTTCAATAAATGGTGCTGGAATAATAAAATATTCACATGGGAAAAATAAGCCTTTACCCATATCTCACACTAGGCACAAGAATACATTCAAAATGGATTATGAAACTAAACAAATTGCCGGGGCGCCGTGGCTCATGCCTGTAATCCCAGCACTTTGAGAGGCCGAGGTGGGTGGATCACCTGAGGTCAGGAATTCGAAACCAGCCTGGCCAACATGGTGAAACCCCCTCTCAATTAAAAATACAAAAATTAGCCAGGCGTGGTGGTGCTCACCTGTAGTCTCAGCTACTCGGGGGCTGAGGCAGGAGAATCACTTGAACCCTGGAGGTGGAGGCTGCAGTGAGCTGCGATCGTGCCATTGCACTCCAGCCTGGATGACAGAGCGAGACTCCATCTCAAAATAAAAAAATAAATAATAAATAATAAATAAACTAAACAAATTATGCATAAGAGATACATAATAAACCTTTAAGAAGAAAACATAGGATAAAATCTATGATTTGGGGGATAAGATGAGTTTTTTTGGATAAGATATAAAAAGCATGTAGCCATAAAAAAGAACAAAATAACGTCCATTGCAGCAACATGGATGCAGGTAGAGGCCATTATCTTAAGTGAGTTCATGCAGAAACAGAAAAACAGATACTGTATGTTCTCACTTATTAGTGGGAGCCAAATATTGGGTACACACAGACACAAAGATGGGAAAAATAAACACTGGGGATTCCAAAAGAGGAGAGGGAGGGAGAGGGGAAGAGTTTGAAAAACTACCTATTGGATGCTTTGTTCACTGCTTGGGCAGTGGTATCATTAGAAGACCAAACCTCAGCAACATGCAATGTATCTATGTAACAAACCTGCACATGTACTCCCTGGACCAAAAATAAAAATAAAAAATAACGTAAAATAAAGCAACAAAAAAACCACTGTAATCACCTTGCATGGTTCTTCAAAAACTGACAATAGTAATTAAAACGTGAATTCTAAAGGAAAACAATGGATACATTAGACTTCAAAAGCAAACAATAAAAAGGTAAGCTTTTTATAACTCAATAAGAAAAATAACCCAATAGAAATGGAGAAATGATTTGAAGAGGCATGTCACAAAACAAGATATGGGAATGTCCAGTAAACACATGAAAAGAAAAGCTCAATACCATTGGTCTTTAGAAAATGCAAATTATGACCACAAATGAGAAACTACTACAGACCTAGTAGAGTAGCAACAATTAAAATGAATTAAAATATCAAGTTGTGACAAGAATGTGGGACAACTGGAACCCTCAAACATTGCTGCTAGGAATGCAAAATTGTCAGAAAAACAGTTTTGTAGTTTCTTACATAGTTAGACTTATCATATGACCCAGCAGTTCCACTTCTAGGTATCTATCCAAGAGAAATAAAAACATATATTCATAAAAAGACTTGTACATAAATGCATATAGTAGCATTCCAAAAAGCAGAAACAATCCAAATGTCCATTAACTGGTGCATGAACAAACTAAATGTCACATGTCCATATGATGGAATACTACTCAGCAATAGAAGGGGAAAAAGTGCTGATACGCACAACAATATGGATGAATCTAAACAGTTATTTTGCTGAGTAAAAGAGCCAGGCATAAAAACTACATGCTGTATCAATCTATTTTATTAAATTCTAGAAAAGGCTGAATTAGGCAGAAAGCAGACCTTTGTTTGCCTGGGGTCAGGTAGGGATCTGGACTGAATGCAAAAGAGCATAAAGGAAACTTTGAGGGTAATTCAAGTTCTAAAACTTGATTGTGTTGGTGGTTGCATGACAGTATACATTTATCAAAACTCATTGAACTGTACACTTAAAGTGGATAAGCTTTTTTTTTTTAGCATGTAGACTATACCTCAACAAAGCTGTTAAAACATAAATCTAACCTGGCCTACAGGGATCTATGTAACAGATCCTATCTACTGTTCTCGCCATCTTATCCCACTTCTTTCACTCACCATGGTCTGGCCATGCTGGTCTTCTGTTGCTCTAACTCAGCAGCAGGCTCTTTATATTTCAGGGCCTTTGCCTAAGCTATTTCCCTTGCCTCAAAGCGTCTCTCACTCTACTATTTATTCATTGGCTCCCTACTGCCCTCCTTTCCTTCTCCCTCCTTCAGCTCTTGGCTTAAGTGTTACTTCCTCAGAGATAACTTTTCTGATCCCCCCTTTTATAGTCTTTCCTGGCTCCTTAAACTTTCCTTCACAGTTCGTATCAACATTTGTAATTAAATATTGACTTGTGCTTATGAATTCAGCAACAACTTATTAAACCCTTATTTTGTGCCTTACATTGAGCAGAGGGCTGCAGATGCAATTGTATGCAAAATAGATATGGCTTCCTTCTCCTCCTGGAGCCTGCAGTGGGATTATTTGTTTAGTGACTGTCCTCCCCTCCTTAGCCTGCTACTAGACTACAAGTGCCTTAAGGACAGGGACCACTCTTGTCTTGGCTGCTGGCACCAGGTGATTGGCATTTCTTAGCAATTAGTATTTATTGAATGAATGTATGGAAAAGTGAATGAGAGTTACACAGAGGCTGCACAGAGTCAAGTCTTGAGGATGAGGATTCTTCTTAGCTACCAGTGGCGGTAGTCTGGGAATATGGACCATTCCACAAGTGTGTTGGCAGATTTCAGTTTCTAGGAAGTGGGTAGTACATTAACCAAGTAGACTGACTGCTATAACAGAGTATCCTCAAATTTCAGGGCCTTGACACAATCCAAGTTATTCCTTGCTCATGTTATATTTCTGTGTGAGTTGGGGGCGTGGGGGAGAAAAAGGGACACTCTGCTCCACACAGTCACTCAGGGACTAGGCTTTTTTCATGTTTTAGCTCTTCCCTCCCCCAGATCTTCAGAGTTTTTTCTCTGCAGATGGGGAAGGAGCAAACATAGAAGATTGTGCAGGAGTTTTTTATGGCTATTTTGCTGTTCATTAAACTACCCCTAACTTGGTGGCTTAAAACAATAAATACATAATGTTTCTCACAATTTTGTGGACTTCCTGGGTGATTGCTGTGGTCAGGCTGGCTGAGCTGAGGCTGGCTGGTCTAGAATGAATCTGCTCACTTATCCAGGGCTTCAGCAGGGATGGCTGGGCTTCTGTCCCTGTGCTTCCTGTTCCAGAATGCCAGCCTCCACTTGTTCACATGGAGGAGAAGAATTCCAGCCACAAAAGAGGGCAAGCCCAAAGAAAAAAATTGGAAAATTTTTTCAATTTCTGCTTCTAACACAGTTACTGTTATCCCATTGGCCAAAACAAATCACATGGTTAAACCAGGACCTGTGTGGGAGGAAACAGGAAGAGGAATTATGGAAGCCATTTTGCAAACAATCTGCCGATGTCCCAAGCTGGGCAGCACTGTACCTCACTTCCTCCCTCATTCCATTGGCTGGACATAGACACGTGCTCCCCCAGTGCAGAGGAGGATGGGAAACGCAGGCTTGTTCTATGCCCAGGAGGCAAAGGCAGTGGAGCTGAGGGATTTGACAGTTTCTACCCCACTGGTACTTCTAAACAGTTTTTTTTTTGTTGTTGTTTCTTGCCACATCCAACAGTGGAGATATTAGACTCTACCTAGGATTTTAGAGTCCCCAGCTCTATCTGATTGTTTATTGTCCTCTCTGTCCAGCAAATTGAATATAACATCTCCCCAAATGATGGAAACAGTGTGTCTGACTCTCTCCTTTCTCCTGATTGGGGGAATCTTCACCAGTGCATTTCCTCTGGGCTGCTGTTCTAGGTGCTTGAGGAGACCCTTTGGGCCTTATGTGTGGTATCTGCTGACAGCACCTCGTTCTCAGCATCTTGATGACCCTGCATTCACAAAGAGCAGCTCTCTGAGTGCTATCTCACATGCTTATCTGAACCTTATAGCCACATTCCTGGTCTTTCTCTGGTGCATCTGGAAGTTCCATTTCTTAAACTTTCGGTGCTGGCCACTAAAATGCAAACATTTTATAAAGAAATCTAACCAAAGGGAAGCACTGCTTAGGGCTACTCCTGTTTCTTTAGGCCCTTGGTGTGTTTTCCCTGATGGTGAGGAAGAACCGTGTTGCGTCTGCATGACTTACCACTCCGGGTAAAAAACCGGGATGAGGAAGCAAATTGCCTTCAGGGGCTGGGCTGACAAACCAGAAGCAAGGCTTACTGCTTTTACAGATCTGTTCTTAAGTTACCCCCAGGAGGTTAGGATCAGAAGCCAGCCTGACGTCTTCTATTCTTAGGTCCACAGCAAACTGATCTTCTTCTCCTCTTCCCTACTATCTAAAAATACATACTATCTAAAAACCTGTTACAGGCTGAATTGTGCCCCCTACCCCCACAAAAAAATCATAATGTTGAAGTTTTGACCCCTAGTAGCTCAAACTGTAACAATATTTGGAGATAGTCTATAAAAGGGTGATTAAGTTCAAATGAGGCCATTGGGGTAGGCCCTCACCCAATATGAGTGGCGTTCCTTGTAAGAAGAGGAAGAGACACAAAGGGATAATCATGGAAACAGCAAGGGCATGGCCATCTGCCAGCCAAGGTATGAGTCCATTCTCACACTGCTCTAAAGAATTAGCTGAGACTGGGTAATTTATGAAGAAAAGAGGTTTAGTTGACTCACAATTCCACAGGCTGTACAGGAAGCATGACTGGGAGGCCTCAAACATAGAATCGTGGCAGAAGGTGAAGGGGAAGCAAGCACGTCTTACCATGGTGGAGCAGGAGAGAGAGAGAATGGGGAGGTGCCACACACTTTTAAATAATCAGATCTCATGAGAACACACTCACTATCATGAGACCAGCAAGGGGCAAATCTGCCCCCATGATCCAGTTATCTCCCACCAGGACCCCCCACCTCAACATGTGGGGACTACAATTGGAGATGAGATTTGGGTGGGGACACAGAGCCAAACCATGTCAATATCAGTGTCAGCATTTTGGTCAAAACCACTCAACAAGTCTCTAGGAAGTTCTAGACTTTCCCACATCTTCCTGTCTTCTTCTGAGCCCTCAAAACTGTTCCGACCTCTGCCTATTACTCAGTTCCAAAGTTGTTTCCACATTTTCAGGTATCTTTATATAGCAGTACCCCACTCTCCTGGTACCAATTTTTTTATATTAGTCTGTTCTCACGCTGCTATAAAGAACTAGCTGAGACTGGGTAATTTATGAAGAAAAGAGGTTTAATTGACTCACAGTTCCACAGGCTGTACAGGAAGCGTGACTGGGAGGCCTCAGGAAACTTAGAATCAAGGTGGAGGGTGAAGGGGAAGCAAGCACGTCTTACCATGGCAGAGCAGGACAGAGAGAGAGAGAGAATGGGGAGGTGCCACACACTTTTAAATGATCAGATATTGTGAGAACTCACTCACTATTATGAGACCAGCAAGGGGGAAATCTGTCTCCATGATCCAATCACCTCCCACCAGGTCCCTCCTCCAATTCAACATGAGATTTGGGCAGGGACGCGAATCCAAACCATATCATAAGGACAGAGGCCACAGAGGACACCAGTCCTTCCAGCACCTTGATCTTCCCACCTGACCCAGTCATTCTCTGTCACACTGGCCAACTTTATTTTCATTGTAATCGCTGCCTTGAATTCATTATTTGTTTGCTTGTTTGTTGTCAGTCCCGCCCCTTACCCCAGGACAAAGGTTCACGAAAGTGGACACCCAGTCTGTGCTGCTCGTCCTCAAGACATCACTACCTGGAACAGTGACTATGCCACTGCCTGCAACAGTTTCTATACATGCTTAGCACACAAGACAAGCTGAAAGCATCAATGACTCTTTGCTAAATGCAAAGAGAAGAGCCTTCTGCTTCATAGCTGGTAACCAGTTGTTTTTAAAGAAAGTAAAATCTTGCCATTGCTCTAGTCCCTGAGAAGCAGATCCTGCCCTGAGCCAGCCCAGGAAGGCCACACAGGCCATGGCTCTGATGAAGGATGCCGTGCTGTCAGACCGTCCCCAATCTCTTCATCAGTGAGCAAGTTTCTATTTTCCAGCAGCTCCAAGCTGCAGCCCTCATGATAGCCAGCTGCAGAGCAGATGGCAGAGGCTGAAACATCAAAGCACTGAGCGTGTAGGGTTTGACTCATGGGAGTGTGTTTGTGTGTGTATTGTGGGTGGGCATGTGACATATGGAACAATGAAGAGAGAAACAAAAACATAGTTTAGACACAATTACCTAATAAATAGAGAAGGGCTCAGCTGTAACTTGGGTTGATGTCCAATCAGGGCTGTTTGCTTTATAAAAGTGTAAAAACAAATATTTGTCTTAACTCCATAATCCCGGCTAGGTGTTGGCATCTTATATGGAGGTCGTTCTGGATACTACCCATGTGATCTGGCAGCTCTTGATCTGCTTAGTTTAATTAACGTTGGGCTGTCCTTGCTTGGGATGAGTCTGATGCTTGTAATGAACCATGTGGTCTCTAAGACTGAGCTGTGCGGTACAGTAGCCGCTGGTCATATGTGGCACTTATACTCAAATTACTTAGAATTAAAATAAAATGTTAGTTCCTCCAGGTTCTTGCCATATTTATAGTACAAGTGCTTAGTAGCCTCACAAGGCTATTGGACAGTGAAGATACAGAACATTTCCAGGATTTCAGAAAGTTCTATTCCTTTTGGGACAGACAGCAGTCAGGGCTGGCAGAAATCACTTCAGGCGTGTAGAACAGGTTGAGAGGGGAGTGGCCTAGGCTTGGAAAGATTCTGTGAGAGATGTTCTCACTCTCAGAAATGCTGGTTGGTTGTCTGCTCACTTTGTCATCAGCAAGTCGGGAAAAGCTCTACTTTAATCGAGTTCCTACTATGGGCCAAGCTCTAGGCATTTTAGATGTGTTTAACACTCGTGTTTAAGCAACTAGACCGACTGCTATAACAAAGTATCCTCAAATTTCAGGGCCTTGACACAATCCAAGTTATTCCTTGCTCATGTTGTATTTCTGCGTGATTTGGGGGGTGGTGGGGGAGAAAAAGGGACACCCTGCTCCACACAGTCACGCAGGGACTAGGCTTTTTTCATGTTTTAGCTCTTCCCTCCCCCAGATCTTCAGAGTTTTTTCTCTGCAGATGGGGAAGGGGCAAACATAGAAGATTGTGCAGGAGGTTTTTATGGTTATTTTGCTGTTCGTTAAACCACCCCTAACTTGGTGGCTTGGCTCCAAGCTAAGTATTACCTCCTTTTCATGATTGAGAAAACTGCAGATCAGGGAACTAATGTATCCATCACCAGTTAGTGAGTAACTGAGTCAGGATTTGAACTTGGATTTAGATAGCCCCGAGTCTTCCTGCCTTCCTGTGTCCCCAGGCTCTGGCAGAAAACTGGGAATGATGAGGATGATTGCATCCCTCTCTAGGCCTTCCTCCCCTCCATCGGGTACCCTCACTCACAAAAGATGTCTGAGTCTCCTCCTACCTGGTTGGAAACCTGGAGGCTCTGAGGAGTCCATGCGGCTCTCCTGAGGGTTCTGGGTGTGAAGCATGAGCATTTTCCTGTATCTCCAGGCAGGTAGAAACAGACAAAGTCACCTATAGCATAATAGTACACAGCCACGTTGCAAGCAGAAAATCTTGAGCCAGCTCATCCAGCCCTGTGGTATTGCAGTTCCTCTAGATGAAGGGCTGTGCCCCTCTACCTGGGGCCACCTGCTGTGTAATTTGGGCTCACAAATATTATGGAGTTCTGCAGCTGGTGGCCACAGGCTGTGGTGACGTCTGACTGTGGGTATACATGGGAGACTGATGCCGGTGACTTGCAAGTAGTACTCAAACCCTGTTTTTTTTTTTTTTTTACCTCAGTTTTCCTACTCATAAAATGGGAATAGAAGTAGGTCACACAGCAGCCTGATTTGCAGATTATATGTGAAGTCATTCTACATTTCGGTTTATAAATTCTTTGCTAGAACTTTTATGGTATGTATGTCTCTTTAAGAAGACTTAAAAAAATAGGGATTTTAATTCTGACTTTACTAGAAAAATCTATTTTTGATTTCTGGTGCTTTTGTGAGATTTTGGTACTTAATTACCATATGTTCCTGTCATGCGAATCCAGATCATCTTAATTAGGCACAGCGAGAAGAGCAGTAAGTACCAGACACTTCAGGGGACCCCAGCGGAGAGATTTTAGGATTTAGAGACCAGAGGCCTTAGGTACAAAACAGATTCTGCTCTTTCACAAAGCACAAAATATTTTAGCCATCTTGCAGAGGAGAATGTGGCTTGAGGCAGGAATCTCCAGAGTGTCCCACCTTTCCCAAGTCCCGCATACAGAAAAGAGCACAATGGTTTGGATGGGTGCAGTGGCTCATGCCTGTAATCTCAGCACTTTGAGAGGCTGAGGTGAGTGGATCGCTTGAGGTCAGGAGTTCGAGACCAGCATGGCCAACATGGCGAAACCCTGTCTCTACTAAAAACACAAAAATTAGCTGGGCGTGGTGCCTGTAATCCCAGCTACTCAGGAGGTTGAGGCAGGAGAATAGCTTGAACCTGGGAAGCAGAGGTTGCAGTGAGCCAAGATCACGCCATTGCAGTCCAGCCTGGGTGACGAGTGAATAAATAAATAAATAAATAATAATCTGTCTCAAAAATAAATAAGTAAACCCCTGTTGGATAAATATTTGCTGAATATCAGGATTAAGACACTGTGGGGACAGTGCCAATGATTATACATCATAAACAGCACAAAAATGACCAACGCGAACTTTTCTTTTCTTTTTTTTTTTTTTTTGAGACGGAGTCTTGTTCTGTCGCCCAGGCTGGAGTGCAGTGGCCAGATCTCGGCTCACTGCAAGCTCCGCCTCCCGGGTTCATGCCATTCTCCTGCCTCAGCCTCCCGAGTAGCTGGGACTACAGGCGCTCACCACTACGCCCGGCTAATTTTTTGTATTTTTAGTAGAGACGGGCTTTCTCCGTGTTAGCCAGGATGGTCTCGATCTCCTGACCTCGTGATCCGCCCGCCTCGGCTCCAAAAGTGCTGGGATTACAGGCGTGAGTCACTGCGCCCGGCCCGAACTTCTCTTTATAGGTAGTCTTAAAATGTCACTGGAAATGTTTTGAACAGCAGTCTTTTGTTACTGCAAAAATTCAGCAAGTCAATTATATGGGCCGGGAGGAATTTACACTTTAACTCCCTTGCACATTTGCCGTTCACTTACTTACTCGTGGGGAACAGTGAAAAAGCTGGGATGGAAGTGAGGCTTTCTTCACCACATCGATGGCCCACATTTTCCCATGCTGTGAACTCCATCATGAATACCTGAGGCCAATTTTCTTAAATCAGATTTCCCCTTACTTAGAATTGGTATTGCATATGCATGTTTCCTGCAGGAATGCAAGTCTTAAAGGGCAGCAAAATGTAGAAGTCGTTTACTACTGCAGAATGTCCCATCAAGCAGCTGTACTTAACTTAGGAAAGCATTAAGTGAAGATTGGACACAAGGGGACAGTATTGCTCAACAAAGGTTCTTTGCTGCTGCTGGTGAAGTTGGAGTTTTTAACCTGCTCTCTTCTAAATATGTAAATGTATAAATAATGCTCTTTGCTCATTTTTCTACAAAGACCCTTAAGCAATTAAAAACACATCAAAGAAATCAGTATGCATGAGCTTTTTAGTGTGTCTATTGATTGTTTTTTAAGTAAATATTTTTAAGGATTTTTTTTCCCTCCCAGTTTTTATGAGACTGGCTGGTTATTAGCAAAGATAAAAAACTGCTCCTTTTCCTGGAAGAGGCTGTTCTTTATCAGTAGTGCTGGGACATTCAGCCCTGGAGATATTAATATTCTTAAGATTCAGGAGGTTCTGTTCTCCGAGGAGAAACTGATCTGTGGGGAACCTATTGAATCAGGATCTCAAAATTGTCACCCGTTTCTTCTGGGTGGAAATTGTCACCACTTAAAGGGGCCACTGAGTGGTCTCAGATCACACTGCCAGTTTTTCATGTCCACACTGGTGTGCTCCACATTTAGGCCTCAGTGTTCTGGGCCCTGCCTCATCCTCGCGTTGCTCTGAGCCAGCCTCCTGTTGCGTTGTTGCATTGATTAAAACCACAAGCGCGTGGATTTCTCCGTTTTTTTAAGATTTCTTACTAGAAGTTGTTGGAATGCTGAGTATTTTCCTCCTTCCACTGAGCTGTGTCTGCCATGGGCCTCCCTTCAACAAGGCTTTCCTTCTTGTATTCATGGCCGGACCCCCTGGTGTGGCCTCATTTCCAGATTCCCGCTCTCCCTCCCCAGAAATGGTTTCCATATGTGACCCCACGCGCTCTGGGCAGGCACCTTTGGAGGGGCTGACCTCCCAGCTCTCTTCTCTGCAATCATCAACTCACACCTCCTGGGTTTCCTTCCAGGCTGCAGAGCTGAGAGCTGAGAGCTAAGAGCCCACAGGCAGAGGGCCCTCTCCAGGCAGGTTTTATCTGCGACCTCTGCTGACTCAGGAGTGTGGGAGGTGATGGCCTTAGGGTTCTGTCTGGTGCTTTCTGTCTGATCTGCTGCCAGCTCTCTTCTTCCAGCCGAGGCCATGAGGGTTTTCATGGATAGCTGGGAGCTGGATTCTAGGAGACTGGATGCTGTCACAAAGAAAAGACCGTTTGAGGCTGGGTGCTGTGGCTCACACCTGTAATCCCAGCACTTTGGGAGGCCGAGGAGGGTGGGTCACTTGAGGTCAGGAGATTGAAACTAGCCTGGACAACACAGTGAGACCCCTTCTCTTAAAAAAAAAAAAAGAAAAAAAAAGAAAAAGAAACACTAAGGGAATTCCTGTGTGGGTCCAGGTCCAGCGTGAAGCCCTAAGGCCCCACAAAGGGATGTGAGCAGCCTCTGCCTGCCCTCCAGGGCTGACAGTCACATAACTAACCTCGTTATGACTCAGTGAGCCAGGCCTGGCAAATGCCTGCGGCAGATGACTGACCCATCCTGCAGAGTTCAGGTTTCAGCTGAGAATTGAGCCCAGGGTCTCTTGGACTCATGTGCACACACAGGACCTGAGTGGGGGCCATCCGGCCTGGGGCCAACTGACTCCCAGGTCCATCAAACCCAAGTCCGTGTCAGGGCCATGAAGGCAATGTGGGTGCACCAGAGGCAGTGGCATGCTGGTGGACACAGGTGGTTTGTTTTCCGGATTTTCAGCTTGGGAAGGAATTGGGATGTGTTTTGTGAGTTCACAATGGGGTGGATGAGAAGTGGCAGGAAGGCAGATGGTATCTGTTGGAAGTGTACATGGTTGCAAGTGTCTCCTGACTGCAGAGGCAGAAACAAATAACATGAATAGTCATATATATATATATATATATATATGCGTATATATTTTAAATTCATAGACTTTACTTTTTAGAGAAGTTTTAGGTTCACAGCAAAATTGAGTGGAAGGTACAGAGGTTTCTCAGCCCCTACACATGCACAGCCTCCGCCATTATCAACATCCTCCACCAGAGGGTACATTTGTTACAATGGATGAACCTGCATTGGTGCATCACCGTCGCCCAGAGCCCAGAGTTTACACAGGGCTCACTCTTGGAGTTGTATGTTCTACGGGCCTGGACAAACGTGTAATGACATGGATTCACCAGAGCCAGAGTTTACACAGGGCTCACTCTTGGAGTTGTATGTTCTACGGGCCTGGACAAACGTGTAATGACATGGATTCACCAGAGCCAGAGTTTACACAGGGCTCACTCTTGGGGTTGTATGTTCTACGGGCCTGGACAAACGTGTAATGACATGGATCCACCATTGTAGCATCATACGGAACAGTTTCACTGCCCTAAAAATCCTCTGTGCTCCACCTATTTATCCCTTCCTCCCCTTAACCCCTGACAACCACTGACTTTTCACTGTCTCCATAGTTTTGCCTTTTCCTGAATGTCACATGGTTGGACTTACGCAGCGTGTAGCTTTTTCAGACTGGCTTCTTTCCCTTAGCAGTGTGCATTTGAGGTTCCTCTACGCCTTTTCGTGGCTCCACAGCTCATTTCTTTTCTAGCACTGAATAATTGAATGGTCATATTTGTCCAGAAGTCTGGAGTGGACAGTCCCGGGATGCTGCAGGGGCTCAACAAGGTTATCAAGGACCTGGTCCCACTGCTCTTTCGGTTCCACAATCTCCATCTGGTCGCCTGATCCCCTCATAGCTGCAGAGGCAGCTGCACCTCCAGGAACCGAGACCTCCAAGACTGAAGCTGGAGGAAGGGGAAAGGTAGGGGAAAGGTGATGCCAGCCCAGGCTGACCCCTGTTGGTGCAAAAGCAAGAGGTTTCCTAGAAGGTCCCTGCAGAGAACATCCACTTACATCTCACTAGCCAGACATGGGTCATGTGGCCATCTCTGGACAGCAAAGGGAAAACAAATGGCCACATCTGGTCTAGACCAATCATGGCTCACCACAGTGCTGGGTAGGGGCGTCCTCTCCACTGCCTCGGAACACACTGGGGCTCTGTTAGTAAAGAAGTGTGTGCATGTGTATGTGTGTGTGTTAGTGTGTATGTGTGTTAAGGGAGGAGACCACCCCTCATATTGTCTTATGCCCAATTTCTGCCTCCAAAGAAAGAAGAAGTAAAAACTAAAAGGCAGAAATGAAATCCACAAGCAGACAGCCCGGTGCCACCCCCTGGGCCTGGTAGTTAAAGATCGACTCCTGACCTAATGCGTTATGTTATCTGTGGATTACAGACATTGTATAGAAAAGCACTGTGAAAATCCCCATCCTGTTCTGTTCCGTCCTAATTACTGGTGCATGCAGCCCCCAGTCACGTACCCCCTGCTTGCTCAATCCATCACGACCCTCTCACGATCACGACCCACTCATGCGGACCCCCTTAGAGTTGTGAGCCATTAAAAGGGACAGGAATTGCTCACTCGGGGAGCTCTGTTGTTGGAGACGTGAGTCTTGCCGAAGCTCCCGGCCGAATAAAGCCCTTCCTTCTTTAACTCAGTGTCTGAGAGGTTTTGTCTGCAGCTTGTCCTGCTACAGTGTGAGTGTGTTAGTGAATGTGCATGTATGTGTTAGTGTGCATGTGTGTTAGTGTGCATGTGTGTTACTGAGTGCGTGTGTGTACACGTGTGTGTTAGTGAATGTACATGTAGTGTGTTAGTATATACATGTGTTAGTAGGTGTGCATGTGTGAATGTGTGAGTGTGTACATGTTAGTGAATGTGCATGTGTGTGTGAATGTGTTCGTGTGTATGTATGAGTGTATTAGTGTGTACATGTTAGCACGTGTTCGTGAGTTTGTGTGTGTTAGTGAATGTATACATGTTTGTGTTAGTGAGTTTGTGTGTGACTGTGTACATGTGTGGGTGTGCGTGTATATGTGTACATGTGGGAGTGTGTGCGAGTGTGTACGTGTGTGTGTGCGCGAGTGTGTGTTAATGTGTGTGTATTGAAACAATGCTGAGAGGTAACGGACGGTGTCTGTCAGCCACAAAGTGCAATACAAAGACCATTTTCGCGGCAAGAAACTGAAGGAGCTAGGCAGGAAAGCGGAGCCCCCTTAGCGGAGGTGGGCGCTGTCACGCTGGATGTAGAGGAGATTCAGGGGTCAGCCTGTGGGAGACAGGCCATGTGAGGGTAATCATCACATGAATGGTACAGATAAAGTTTGGAGATGGAAGGAATCACTGTTAGTTCAGAGAACTAACGGTGTTGGTGATGCTGGAGCTGGGCATTGGAGAATGGATATAGAACTGTTTAGCTGTTTTATTATATAAGAGTGACAAATATTGCTCCTTGTTCTTTAATCTTTATTTGTTCCTTCTCTGTAGTTAAAGCAGCCACAGTTTTCGGCAACATAAGGGCTGCCTTTCCCATCTTCCCTTGTGGCCAGGAATGGCCCCGGGGAGGGAAGGAAAGCATTCAGGCACCTTTTGGGTTGTGGCCCCCAGGGGAACAGGCCCCTTCCCTTTTCCCCACTCCTACCTGCAGGCCTGCAGCCTAGGTGGCAGGACAAGGAGATAGAAGGAAACTGAACTTGTGCAGCTCTGTAAGAGAAAATAAAAGGTTTTCTTGTTTAAATCAGTATTATTTTGGGTGTCTTTGTTAATATGAGCCTGTATTATAATTAAAGTCATAAGCTTTTAGTGTCTCCTGAAAGCTGCTTTAATCATACTTATCTAAATCAAGGCTTACCTTGCCTTGCAGTGTTAAGGAGCAATTTATAGCTTCCTTTTTAAGAAGGCCTTTCCTGCACTATGATCGGTTGATGGTCCATTTGTGTCTTGGGTCTGAATCTTCTGGTTGCCCTCCAGCCTTGTGGACTGGCGTGGTGGGTATTACTTGGAAATGCCAATTGGTGCTTCCCTTTTTGCCCTCTAACCTTTCACTTGGGAAGGGTTTGGTTGTCTCAGGGAAGAGATGGGACAGCAGAAAGAGAATCAACTGGGGTCAGGTCTAGGCTTTCCATTTCCAGGGCTGTCAGAAAGAACAGCTGTGCACAGACACTGGGTGGGGAGGCAGATGTGAGGGACCCATTGCCAGCACATGCAGAGACAGTTCAGGACTGTGGGGGCCTTCAATGGGGGAGTGGGGGTGCCTCACCAGGATCGATGGCAATGAGGTCTCCTCAGAGGGGCAGGCATGGATATCAACCCCCTCGGCTCACCTCAGCCCCTCCCCAAGGCAAGAATGAGGCAAGTCCCCTAAACCTCAGCTGCAGCTCGGCCAGTGGACTGAGCTTTAGCCTCTGCCATTGATAGGGTGAGGGCTTATGGTGGAAATTAAGCCATGCTATGGAGGAATGCACAGAGCTGAATTTCTCACACACCTCCATTCACTGACAGAGACTGATACCTGCTACACAAGTACTTATGGAGATCAGTTCTGAAGGGCCTGGCAAAACACTGGGTATTGCAGATTGAAAAACTGTGGCTGATGCAGGGATGCATGGGTCGGCCCCTCCCCTCCCTTCCATCTTTTTTCTGTCTAGTCTAGTCACAAGGGCTCTAGGTGACCATGCTGGAAGGTCTTGATGCTACTTGGTCATCTGAAGACTATTGGAATATTATCACAAATGTAGAATCTGTAGAACTAAAAGATGAGTCGCCTTTCCTGGTGGCAATTTTGAAAGGGGGTATTTTTTTTTTTTTTTTTTTTTGCCAGCAGCTACCCACTTTGCACAGAGTGCTTGGCCCATTGTAGAAGGTGCACTGAATATTTGCTGATGGAAAAGAAGAAACTCTGTGTTTCTTTGGGATTTCCAAATAATTTAGCCTTTGTTTGAGAGGCAAGTGATTGTAAGTAAATGGATCCTATTGGCACAATCATCGTTTTGTATTTGGAAGGAAACAGTCAGCACCAGAGTGACCTCTGAGGGCAAACACCTGAGAGAGACCACAAAAATGTGTCCCCTGTAGAAGAAAGGTCGAAGAGAGCTGGAAAGAACTGTATCGTTGACTCAACATGAATGATGCTGATTTTGCATAAAAAAGCTGCTTTCCATGAAATTTTATTGCTTATCTTAGAGCTGTACTAAGAATTGTAAACTAAAGGGTGAAAATAATTTGCTGAAATCCCACTTCTTTACCTTAAAAAGTCACTGATGAGCAAAACTGTGAACAAATAGCTTTCAAGCAAGTCAGCAGCAAAATAGTTTATACAAACAAATTATCCTGGTAGTGAAGAAAACGTTCTGAAAAATGGGATGCTTGGCCATAATAATATGAGTTATTTTAGGAGCCAACATGGGTGGAATTTCACATAATCTTAGGGGAGGTCTTTCATGAAATGCCATAAATCATAACAAAATCCAGAAGCAGTAAAGGAAAATATTGATAAATTTGACTTCACACAAACTAAAAGCTTTTGTAAGTCAAGAATGCCATAAGCACATTTAAAATACCAACCACAAAATAACCATCAAATTAAAGTATGAAGCCAATTTTCAACCTAGCACTTTTCTGAGCATTTTTCTTTGCTAAGAAAAATATTTGCAACACATTTTGTGGTGGAAGCTGACAGCTAGATATCCACTGAAATCTATTTTCCTTCTTTAATTGTCATGGGATTCTAGAGAGGCCTACATAGCACTCTTGGGTGGCCTTCACAATCCCTAGTACCTGGTGTTCATGCCCTTATGTTGCTTCCTCCCCTTGAGTATGGGTAGGACATATGACTTCTAATCAATAGTGCATGGAAAAGGTATCAGGATTGACATGATTGTGTGTATGTAATTATATATATAGCATTGTCATATCCATCTTGCTGGATTTTCTCTCTCCCCATTGGCCTTGAGGAAACCCTACATGGCAAGGAACTGAGGGCTTCTAAGAGCTGAGGATAACAGGGCAGGGCTGATGGATAACAAGGCAAGACGTTGAAGCCTCCAGTCCAATTGAGTTCTGCCAACCTGCCTGGACTTGAAAGTGTATCCTTCCCCAGTCAAACCTCAGATGAGACTACAGCCTAGCCAGTGCTTTGACTGCCATCTTGCAAAGGACCCAGTTGAGCCAAACCAAACTCCTGACTCACAGATTCTGTAAGATAAGAAATGTTTAGTTTTAAGCCCTAAGTTATTAGTGGTAATATTGTTAGGCAGAATAGAGTAGATAGTTAATACATAGCCCAACTATACTCTATCTTTCAGCTGTCCTGGCAGTTAGATGTGGCCATATGACCAAATTCTAACCCATAGGATATGAGCAGAGCAATGTGGGTCACTTCTGGGCCAGGGGTTTGAAGGAGTTGGTATGACTCTTGCCCATGTTCTTCCCCCTTCTCCATAGCTAGAACACAGATGTGCCCCTACCCCAGTATTGACATTGCGGAAGAGAACAACATCTTGAGTCATGGTGGAAAAATAAGATGGAAGGAACCTGGGTACCTGAATGTGATTTTAGTGTATCATATGAGTGGCCATGTGTAGCAGTATGAGACATTCACTTCAGACTGTCATAGGTGAGAGAAACAACCATTTATTTCATTTAAGACACATATTTTGTTGGCTATTTTTGTTATAGCAGCTAGCCTAACTAATTTCCATAAGAAATAAAACATACAATTCCAGAAGAAAAAGCAATAAAATAATAAAAACTGGGCAAAAGACAAATAAAGACCCTTCACAAGAAAATAAGTATAAAAAGATGGAAAGTTTTTCCATCTTGTTCTCCTCCCACCTCCTGGCTCCTAGAACAGAAACCATATTATTCTTAAGAAAAGTAATATCTATTTTCTCTGAGACATACTTTTTACCTATCTAACTGTCAATGTTAAAATGTTGATGGTTTCCCATGATGACACTGGCGTAAGGAAACTTTCCTTCTAATATACAATTCTGTTGGTAGAAAGCTAATTATGTGTAACTTTTCCAGAAGACACACACACACATACAAAACAAGCAGAGTACTAGAATATATTTGGGATGTATAGTAATGTCTATAGTCTGCCTACTCATGCAAATAAAAATATACAAGTACATATTTCTGAGTATATGCATAATCATTTCTTTCTGGAAGGAAATTGCAAGGAATTGTTAACCAGTGGGTAGAATGACTGGGGCTGAGGTGAAAATGTCATTTTTCATTTCATGTCTCTCTTGACTGCTTCAATTTTATTACAATGAATTTTTATTTAAAAAACACAAATGGATTATCTGGTGGTGGGTTGGATGATTCTGCCTTTTCAGCCAGAATAATCTGTTTTTTTTGTTTTTTTTTTTTTTACTGCAAATAATTTATGCCAAGAATTTTACTTCCAAGAATTTATGTGTGTGTGTATATATACAAACACACACACACACATCTGCACATAAATAAAAATGTATACTCTATCATTTTTACAAAATCAACACAGTAGAAAGGAATTTAGGGCTTTAGCAGGGGACAGGTTGGAAAGGGATGGTACCTCTATATGATGGAATATGACTGAGCCATGAAAGGAATGAGGGAATTCTGTATGGGCCCACATGGACAGATCAACAAGACAACAGGGAAAGAACGGTTTTTCAACAAATGGTGCTGGGAAAACTGGATCTCCACAAACAGAAGAATAGAGTTGGACCTTTTCTAACACCATATACAAAAATTAACTCAAATTGGATCAAAGACCTAAATGTCTTTGAAAACTATAAAAGTCTTAGAAGAAAACAGGGCAAAATCTTCATGACATTGGATTTGGTGAGGATTTCTTAGATAAGGCACAAAAGGCATGAACAACAGAAGAAGAAAATAGGCAAACTGGACTCCATGAGGGTGAGAAACTTTTGTGCATCAAAAAGACACTTTCAACAGAGTAAAAAGGCAACCCATAGAATGGGAGAAAATATTTGCAAATCATATGTTTGAGAAGGGATTAATATCCAGTATATATAGAGGACTAAAAATCAACAACAAAAAGACAAACAACCCAATTGAAAAAGGGGCAAAGGACTTGAATAAACATTTCTGTAAAGAAGATGTATAAATGGCTGGTAAGCACATGAAAAGATGTTCAACATCATTAATCATTAAGGAAATGCAAATCAAAACTGTAATGAGATACCACCTCACACCCATTAGGATGCCTACTGTAACAAAAACAGAAAATAACAAGTGTTGGTGAGGATGTGGAAAAACTGGAACTCTTGTGCATGGTTGATGGGAAAGTAACTTGTTGGAGCTGCTGTGCAAAACAGTATGGCAGTTTCTAAAAAAATTAAACATAGAATTACCATATAATCAAGAAATTCCGCTTCTAGATATAGATCCAAAAGAATTGGAAGCAGGGTCTTGAAGAGATATTTGTACACCACATTTACAGCATTATTCACAACATCCAAAAGGTGGAAGCAATCCAAGTGTCCGTCAGTGATGAACGGATAAGCGAAGTGTGCTACATGTAACAATGGAATATTATCCAACCTCAAAAGGGAAGATTCTGACACACGCTCCAACATGAATGAACCTTGAGGACATTAGGCTGAATGAAATAAGCCAGTCCCCAAAAGACAAACACTATGATTCCACTTATATGAGGTATCTAGAGTAGTCAGATTCATAGAGACTGAAAGAATGATGGTTGCCAGGGGGTGGAGGGAGAGAGATATGGGAAGTTGTTTAATGGGTACAGAGTTTCAATTTTGCAAGATAAAAAAAGTTCCAGAGATGGATAATGGTGATGGCTGTACAAATATGTGAATGTACTGAATACTGCTTAACTATACGCTTAAAAATAGTTAAGAGGGTACATTTTATTTTATGTGCATTTTACCACAGGAAAAAAGGAAGAAAAAGCAACCAGCAGCAACAATGTGTATATAGCACAACTATAATTTATCAAAATATATATTGTTTGTTGTACGTGTAAAGAATTTCTGAAAGAACACACAAAAAAACTGTTGACAGTAGGGAGATTGGGAAATCAGATGACAGGGAGACCTTTTTTATTGTATACCTTCTGATAGTGTTTGGAATTTTAGTTTGTGATGTACACATCTTTTTGAATTTAAAGCAAATTATTGATTACATTTACTTTGAGGTTGATTTCCTAAATGACTCTGGGGGCAGCCAATGAGGATTATACTGATTCCTTATGTTGGTTTCTGCTGAGATATTTTGAGTTGTTGGATTTTGGTTTCTTTTATCAAACTCAGTTTTCCAAAGGATAATACTTAATTATTTAAGAGGAGAACAGTGAGACAAATTAAAAATTTAGTTGGATTGCATTTGAACAACTTGAATTAATATATAAAACAGTAAAGGAGCCTTCAGCATTTCTTTTTTTTTATGGTGAAAAGGTATACATATATTTAGAATTAGCCAGCTGGACTCAGTTTAGATGATCCCAATTTTGTTGGCAACATCCAAAGCATCGTAATCAGGAGCCAGTGGAACATATGCCTTCTTCTCTCCATCAGGCCAAATCAGGGTGTTGACCTTGATCATGTCAATATCATAGAGCCTCTTCACAGCCTGTTTGATCTGGTGCTTGTTGGCTTTAACATCCACCATGAACACACGTGTGTTATTGTCTCCTGTCTTCTTCATGGCCGACTCAGTGGTCAGCGGAAACTTGATGATAGCATAGTGGTCAAGCTTGTTTCTCCTGGGGGTGCTCTTCCAAGGATATTTGGGCTGCCTCCGGAGTTGCAGTGTCTTGGGCCGCCGGAAGGTGGGGGACGTGTGGATCTTCTTTTTTTTGTGGTTGTGAACACCTTTCAACACTGCCTTCTTGGCCTTTAAAGCCTTTGCTTTGGCTTTGGCTTTAGGAGGGGCAGGAACTTCTTTCTTCGCTTTCAGCACTGTCTTGTGAAAAGGGTCAGCATTTCTTAAACAACAAATAGGGCAACAATCTAGAAAGCATTTGGCAAAAAAAACAAAACAAAACAAAAAAAAAACAATGAATATATATAATCACTAATTTGTAGGGAATGTGCTTCTGTGATGTCTAGTAGAATCCAGGCACTATGAAGGAAATGTGAATACATCTGTGCTGGGTAGCGAGTAGTTCCATAAACAATTTTCACAGCTAATGTTGATTATTGTAGATCATCTGGCTAGTTCATTTTGATTAAATTATCTATTTAGAGACAAGGAAGGATAAACAAGACATTGCCTTTAGGGAAGAAAAGAATGAGTAGAAATGTATTTTTATCCCTTTGAGTGATCCAGCATAAGAACTTTGGATTTCAGTGCACTCACAGGTCCATGGGGGAACAGTCATTAGGTAGTAAGTGGTGTTCGCTGGAGAATGGAACAGCTTCCCAGGCTGGGAAAAAGATGCATCTAAAGCCCAGGAAGTGCATGGTCTCACTCTGCCGTTTTCATTAGGCAGCTTTGTTCTTTTAAAATGCAAGATAAATGCATCTGCCTTAGAACTGAATTCTCCTGTAATAGAATTTTTTAATTCTAAATCTTTAGCTGAAATGCCCAATTATTTAAAATAAGTAATAATTTACACCCACTCTTCCGCCATTGAGAACTTAAGGCACAATATCTTGGCTTCATTGCTATTGCCGTTTGGAGCCGGATGCTCCTTCACGTGGGGCTGCCCAATGCACCGTAGGATGCTGCACAGAACCCCTGGCCTCTACCCACCAGCTGCCAGTACATCCTCTTCCCCGGGTATGCCAAGCAAAAATGTCTCCAGATATTGCCAAATGTCCCCAGGGGACAAAATCATCCCTGGCTAAGAACCGCTGCTTCAGAGGGTGGGGACCGAGAGGGGGCAGGATGGAGGGAGCCATCCACACTTGCGATGCTGCTGGGCCTGGGAGCAACATGAGCTCCCAGCTTCCTCCAGCCCTTTCCCTGCAAGGGGGAATGGCCCAGCTGAGGGGCTGGGATTTTCAGGGGCCTTATTTCAGTGAGCTGGGGTGGGCAGGAGTTTTATATGCACATATATGTTGGGTATAGATCAGGAGTGTGACTGCTGTGCCGAGGGGCTGCACATGCTCAACTCAAATAGATATTGCCAGATAGTTTCCAGAAGTGATTGACCAGTTTGCACTCTGAGTAGAGTGGCAAAATTGCGAGGGGATACTGAGCACTTCCAGGTCTTGGGGACCTGGCCAGCAGCTCGGACAGGCAGCCCCAATCTCTCAAGTCCTCATAAGAAATATGAGTGCCTTCTTTGGACATTACAGGCTCATGGGACCACCTCCTGTTTCATGAGGCCAGTGGCTGGGCCTGTCTTTTCACTCAGAATTGAGAAATCATGCAACAGAGGAGCCTCTAGGTGGCACTGAATTCTGAGGCTTAGAGGACTTGGGCCTTTCCTATCCATGCTGCGAGTTCATTGTGACCTGATGCTGGCCTGGTTGGCCAGCTGAGCCCTGCCCTGCACCTGGGCTCAGAAATGCTGCGGGAGGGGTCTCAGCGGGTGGTGAAAGGCTCTTTCCTGACAAATGCATGTGTGTGTGTGTGTGTGTGTGTCAGTGTGGTGTGTGTGTCTGGTGTGTATGGCCTATGTGTGTTCATACATTTGTGCTGTGTGGGTGTGTGGCATGCATGTGTGTGAGTACATGTGTGCTGTGTGGGTGTGTGGCATACATGTGTGAATACATGTGTGCTGTGTGGGTGTATGGCATGCATGTGTGTGAGTACATGTGTGTTGCGTGGGTGTGTGTGTGACATGCATGTGTGTGAGTACATGTGTGTTGTGTGGGTGTGTGACATGCATGTGTGTGAGTACATGTGTGTTGGGGATGGGTGGGGAGGGGAGGGCTTGCTGAGCTCCTGAAAAAGTTTTGGTCCCTGCTGGAGATTAGGAAGTCAAGCAGAAATTTTTTAGAAGACAACAGTTTACCTGCAGGACACACACACACAAATTAATTTTTTCAAGTACAAAATTCAAAGCCACAAAAAGTTACACAGTGTAAAAGCAAGTGACCCTTCCGTCCTGCCGCAGCCTCTATTTGTCCCTTTTCTACAGTGAAAATAGTGTAAGCACAGTGAAACAGAATATATATAACATATCATCTATCTCTATAATCACTATATAAAATTAATGTATACATATCAAATACAAATTTGTATATATTTGAATATATTATGTATATTATATATATATCATTTTCTTTGGTATGTGGTGAGTGACAGCGTCTTATCTGGGCCCTCAGGAGTGATATTTGCTGCCTGGGCTCCTGTTGGTCTGCAGGCCCTTATGCTACAGAGTAGGCAGTAGCAGTGGCAGGACAAGTGGGAGGAGGGAGGTTCTGGAAGGAGAAGGTCCCTCACCCCCATACACACTTAGATGCACTGATGTGCATGCGTGCACACGTGCAAACACACACACACACACACACACTTGATCCTTTGGTGTTTATTCTACGATTGGTTATTAACAGATTTGGGTGGATTCCTTAAAAGGAATTCCTTTATAGAGTTAGGAGTCTCTATTTAGAGCTCTGTGTACATGCAGGATGTGAGTTGAACAAGCTCTCCCAGGAGCACAGATCTGGAGTGTGTGTGTTTTAAAAGCTCGGCTGCTATTTTTGGGAACGAT
The DNA here is from genome assembly GCF_000001405.40 of Homo sapiens. Classification (NCBI taxonomy): domain Eukaryota; kingdom Metazoa; phylum Chordata; class Mammalia; order Primates; family Hominidae; genus Homo; species Homo sapiens. Next base: position 39,124,868 of record NC_000021.9, on the reverse strand, counting down.
GCTGGGGAAAGCGATCTTCGCAGGGAAGGGCAAGAGAGAAACTCCTCCTCTACTCCACTTCTTTGTTGACCACAACACTGAAGTGTTGCTAGCAGCATCCCTTGTGCAGTTCTTGGAGGTATATCACATCTTTTTGGCTGTAACTTTAGAGGAGTCTTAGGTTTCTCCAGCATCTTCAGTTTTGACAGATGGGCTGACTGGAGTTCATTAAAAAATGTCCATGTGTGTTCAATTTGCTGGAAACACGTTGGTTCTATTTTCTTAAAATGGGACACGTAAGAGTATTTGAAGATGGTTCAGGTCTCTTCCCATCCACGGTGAGACCTCCTGCTGGGGGGCTGCACTCCCAGCCTTTCTCCAGCTTCTGTCACTGTCTCCAATGAGACTGATACCCCTAAGGACCTCTCAGATGTGTGACTTTCAGATGTAGTGTTGCTTGAAGAGATGTCTGGGGGTCTCAGGAGCCCCTCAAACTCAGTGGTACATCAAAGCCAAGGGGGACCTGTTTCTGGTGGGATGGTGGTTGTATTTGAGGCCTGCAGAGCTGGGAGAGGGGCTTGACTCTGAGCTCCTCCACTTAAAAGCTTGAAGCTCTGGGAAACTCACTGACCCACCTTAAGCCACTCAGTCCTATCCCTGACTATCATTTTATTAAAGTCTATCTCTCCCTTTAGATCTAATAATATTTGCCTTATATATCTGGTGGTCCAGTGTTGGATGCATATATGTTTAGAATTGTTATATCTTCTTGCTGAATTGATCCCTTTATCATTATATAATGACCTTCTTTGTCTCTTTTTACTGTTTATGACTCAAAGTCTGTTTTATTGGATATGAGTGTAGCTAATCCTGCTTGGTTTTGGGTTTCTGTTTGTGTGGGATGTCTTTTTTCATCCCTTTACTTTAGGTCAATATGTGTCTTTGGAGGTGAAATGAGTTTCATTTATACAGCATATAGTTGGATCATTTGAAAAATTCATTCAGTCTATATCTTTTAAGTGGAGTGGTTAATACATTTTCCTGTCATTTTATTAATTGATATCTGATTGTTTTGTATATCCATTGTTCCTTTCTCTCTTATTTATGATTGTGGTTTGGTAATTTTCTGTAGTAGTAATATTTGAGTCTTTGCTCTTCCTTATTTGTGTGTTTGCTTTTCCAATGGGTTTTTATATTTTTGTGTATTTTAATTATGGTAGATACTGTCCTTTTGCTTCCAAATGTGGGACTGCCTTAAGCATTTCTTGTAGGAATGGTCTAGTGGTGATGAATTCCTTTAGCTTTTGCTTGTCTGGGAAAGACTTTATTTCTCATTCATTTATAAAGAAAAACTTTACTGGGTATAGTATCATTTCCTTGGACAGCAGTTTTCTTTTCTTTCAGCTCTGTGAATATATTATTCCACACTGTCCTGGCCTATAAAGTTTCTGCTGAGAAATCTACTGTTAGTCTGACTGAGGTTCCCTCATAAGTGACTAGATGCTTTCCTCTTGTGTTTAGAATTCTCTTTGTCTTTGATTTTTGACAGTTTGACTATAATGTGACATAGAAAAGACCTTTTTTTGCATTTTATTTGTTTGGGGGTCACTGAGATTCCTGTATCCAGATGTATACATCTCTTGCTAAACTTGGGAAATTTTTCAGCTCTTATTTTGTTAAATAAGTTTTCTATTCTTTTAGTTTTCTCTTTACCTTCTGGGACACCAAAAATTAGAATATTTTGTCACTTTATAGTGTCCTATATGTCATGTAAGCTTTGTTCATTTTTTTTAAGATAGAGTTTTGCTCTGTCGCCGAGGCTGGAGTGCAGTGGTGTGATCTCAGCTCACTGCAACCTCTGCCTCCCAGGTTCACAAGCAATTCTCTGCCTCAGCCTCCCGAGTAGCTGGGATTAAAGACGCCCACCACTATGCCCAGCTAATTTTTTTCATATTTTTAGTAGAGATGGTGTCTCACCATCTTGACCAGGCTGATCTTGAACTCTTGACCTCGTGATCCACCCGCCCCGGCCTCCCAAAGTGCTGGGATTACAGGCATGAGCCACCGCACCTGGCCTAGCCTTGTTCATTTTTATTCTTTTTTCTTATTTTTATCTGACTGGTTTATTTCAAAAGACCTCTCTTCAAGTTCTGAAATCCTTTTTCTGCTTGATCTAGTTTATCGTTGAAGCTTTCAAATGTATTTTATATTTTATTTAATGCATTCTTTGGTACTAGAATTTTTATTTGGTCCTTTTTTTATGATACTCATTTCTTTGGTAATTTCTCATTCATATCCTGAATTATGTTTCTGATTTCTTTGAACTATTTTTCTGTATTCACTTGTATCTTACTCTCCTTCTTTAATATCATTATTTTGAATTTCTTTCCCTGAGATTTCATAAGTTCTTTTTGATTTGGATCTGTTGCTGGAGAATTATTGTGTTCCTTTGGTGGTGTTATATTTCCTTGCTTTTTCATGTTTTTTTCTCCTCACATTGATATCTGCACATCTAGTGTAACAGTCACTTCTTCCAATTTCTTGAATTTGCTTTCATGGGTGGGAACTTTTTTCTGAAGATGTATCTGTAGTGTTGAGTAGGGCACTTTGGTTTCGATTGTGGGTACAGTAGCATAGTTTCTGTGTGATTTCTTTGGCCTAACAGTGTCAGTGGTGTTTGATTTCCTCAGTGGCTTAGGATGTGGTTATTAGTGGAGGCTGTGGTCAAATTTTGCCGGGGGAAAGATGCCAGGTTGGCCTGTCCTCAGGTCCCAGTGGTAGTAGCAGTGTGCCAAGTGTGCCTGTCCTTCGGCTTCAGGGATGTGTACGCTGGCGCCAGTGTTAGCAGGTTAAAGAGAGCTGATTTTTGGGACTCCAGGCAGCTTACTCAGATACCAGTAGTGGTGGGCCAGGCAGGTGGGCAGGTTCTTTGGCCCCTAGGCAACAAGCATAGTGTGGGTGATGGCAGTAGCAGTGGCAGGACAAATCTCTGGCTCCCAAGCAGTTTGTGCTGGTGTTGGTGGTGGCTACAACATGCTAGGTGGGCCAGTTGCCAGGCCTGCATGTGGCATGTGCAGGTGGGTGCCCACTGTTGCAGGGATGGCAGGTTGGATGGGCCTAACTTGAAGCCCCTGGGAGGAGGGCTCAGGTGTCAGCGGTGGGGACTAGGCTAGGCAGTCCTCAGTCCTCTGGTTGGCATGCCTGGACACTGGGGGTGCAGAGCCAGGCTGGGTGGACCTGTCCTCAGACCCCCAGTGGTGCTTGCAGGTCCTCGTTGTGGTGGGCAGAGGTGGGGTGATCCCCAGGCCCAAGATGTGCTGCAGCCCTGCTTCTGGGGAGGGCTAAGTAGCTTTCAGTGGCAGCAGCCACAGGTGGCTGAGGAGTGCACACTTTGCGTGTGCATTGGCATCTGTGACTGCTGTGGGCAGGGGGGTTTGTTTTTAAGGTGCATGAAAATGCGTGGCAGCATCACTGCCAGGGGCAGTGGGCTCTTTGTTACTGACTCGCACTTCAGCCCTGGGGGCAGCCGTCAGTCATGGTAGCATCTGTGGGCAGGGGATGTCAGTGGGGCTCCAGGGATGTGGAGATCCAGGGGCTATTGGGTCCAGGATGCAGTCTGGTGAGGGCTAGGCTCTTATTGTGACACCCTGCTGTAGCTGCCTAGGGTGGGGGTGAGGTGGGACCTGGCACGAGTTCCCCTCTGGAGCAAAGCCATCACATGGTCTGTAGGCAGCATCCTAGATAAGTCTTTGGGGCTGTGAGAGTCTAGGGGCTTTCCCGTGGCTAGGATGCAGGAGTCTGCAGTGGAAGTGTGGACCTCTGGGGGTCACTCACTCACCCTTTCCCTGCACTGGGAGCCTCTCCAGGATCCCAGCTGACCCCTGCCAAGCAGGCTGCCTTGCTTTTCTCGCCTTCCTGGCTTTAGGTGTTTCTTTTCACTCTCTGTTGAATTCTAGCGTTCTCTTAGATGATCTGTTCAGAGTGTGACCATCTACTCGCTATTTTCGGTCTTTGTTGTGGAGGGGGTGAGTACCAGAAGCCTGCAGTTAGCCATGCTGAAGCCCTGCTGAGAACCTAATATTTTTGACTCCTTGCTAATTTTGACAACAAAACTTTCTTTCGCTAACTTTATACTGATCCTTACTTATATCTTTTTCTTGGATTCGTCTTTTTTCTTCTGCCAGAGGAAACCCTTTAAGAATTTTCTCAAATAGTGCTTTATGGAACAAGTTCTTTGAAACCATCTATATATGAGCCCGGAGCTATTACTTTTTTGTGTTAAATAATAATCTAACCAGATGCACTGTTCTAAGTTAAAATGCTTTTCTTTAAAATATCTAAGGTATGACTCCATAGTTTTCTTGTATCCTGTTGTTATTGAAAGGCCTGATAAAAATCTTATTTTTGTTCTTTTGTAGGTGTGGTGGGCTGAACTGGGTCGTCTAAAAGGATGTTGAAATCCTAATGCCTTTGGAACTAGGGTAATTGCAGATGTAATTAGTTAAGAGATGAGGTCCTACTGGAGTAGGCTGGGTCCCTAATCCAACATATTGATGTCCCTCTAAGAAGAGGGGAAGAGACACAGAGATGCAGACACTCAGGGGGAAGGCTGTATGAGCAGGGAGGCAGAAGCTGGGAGTGTTGTGTCTACAAGTTGAGGACAGTGGCAAAACCAGAAGCTACGAGGGGCATAGAATGGAATCTCTCCTAGAGCTTTCCGAGGGAGCGTGGCCCTGCTGGTATCTTGATTTTGCATTCGTAGCCTCCAGAACCATGACAGAATGCATTTTTGCTGTTTTAAGTCACCCATTTGTAGTGCCACATTTTGTTCTGGAAGACCTAGGAGACAAATCCAGCAGGTCACCGACTTTTTCTCCTGGAAGATATAACCTCTCATGTTTTTCTTTGCTCTTCCTTCCTGCTGCCTGGCTGGCGTGGGTTCTGCCTGTCCTGTTCACTGCCCCATGAATCCTGTCAGTCTGAGGATTTATAAATGCATGTGACTTTTTCATTTTAGTTTTGGGAGACTTTCAGTTATTGTTTCTTGAGCAACCTCTCCCCCGTGCCCTTTTTCCGCTTCTCTCTCCCTTTAGGGAGCTGTTGCCGCCCCTCTTGTTCTCTGCCTCACCTGACTGTTCTGCCCTTTCGGCTTCTCCTCCCTTCCTGACCCCGGACCCCCAGTGCACTCTTTTTTTTTTTTTTTTTGAGATGGAGTCTTGGTCTGTCACCCAGGCTGGAGTGCAGTGGCATGATCTCAGCTCGCTGCAACCTCCACCTCCCTGGTTCAAGTGATTCTCCTGCCTCAGCCTCCCGAGTAGCTGGGATTATAGGCGCCCACCACCACGCCCAGCTAATTTTTGTATTTTTAGTAGAGATGGGGTTTCACCATGTTGACCAGGCTGGTCTCAAACTCCTGACCTCAGATGATCCGCCAGCCTCGACCTCCCAAAGTGCTGTGATTACAGGCGTGAGCCACCGCGCCCCACCCCCCAGTGCACTCTTCAATGGGTCTGTCCTGCTTCTTAGCCCATCCCTCCTGTCCTTTATTTCATCAATTCTGTTTCATATCTAGCATCAGCAAGTGTTTCTTCTTTCTGTTTGCTTCTGCTTTGTGTTTCCCAAATCCTCTGTTCTCGCACTGGGGGCGTCGCTCGTGTTCACTATGGATTTTCGCTGCCCTAGCTTGGTTCTGTTTCCTCAGGAAAAGGTGATTCTGTGGCTCTTTCCTCTCACTAGGGACTGTGCTCCTGGTCACCTCCCTGCGGGCTTGACCGTGATTCTGCTGGGATGATTGAGGGGTGTAGCTGGAATTGTCTCCCTGGGTATTGGGTAAAAGACTAGGCCTAATGTGGGGTCCCTCGGGTGAGTTTCAGGAAGACAGCAGGTTCTAGTGTGTACAGGGCCCACAGCCCCTGTCCCTCAATCCCTTTTTGTTCCAGGTACTTCTCTCTGTGGGGAAGCCACCCTCCACCCATTTCCCTGGGTAGGGCCGGGGAGGGCAGCCTTTGCTCAGGGGTCTACCAGGGCCTGGCTCCAGAGCTGCTGGGAGTCACCCTGACTGGCACTGAAGCCGCCTCCCCATGGCGGGGCTGGCCTGGATGCTGGCCGAGGCCCCATCTGTGGGTGTGCACAGAGGTTGTTTCCTCCTCCGCCTTCTCTTTTATGGGGTCCTGAGAACCCTGAGGTCCCTGCCCAGCCTGTGGTCTTTGGCTGAGCAATGCAAATGTAATGGGAACCAGGAGGTGTCTTCCAGGTCCCATCCAGGCCTGGTCTGTCCTGGCTACTCCTAGGGGAGAGAACAGGCCTTTCCAACCCCATCCGAGACCCTGCTGGGACCTCTGCATCCACGCTACCTTCCTTCCCTGCTATGCACACCACCCCCAGCAGAATAGTTTGGATGTCGTCTCCTGTAAATCTCGAGTTGAATTGCAATCCCCACTGTCGGAGGCGGGGCTTGGTGGGAGGTGGTTGGATCATGCGGGCGGATTTCTCATGAGTGGTTTAGTGCCATCTCCTTGGTCTTGTCCTCGTGATAGTGAGTGCTTGGGAGATCTGGTTGTTTAAAAGTGTGCGACACCTCCCCTCCATTCTTTCTCTTGCTCCTGTTCTAGCCATGTGACATGCCTGCCCTTGCTTCGCCTTCTGCCATGAGTAAAAGCTCCCTGAGGCCTCCCCAGAAGCTGAGCAGATGCCCTGCGCCATGCTTGTACAGCCTGCAGAACCGGGAACTAGTTAAACCTGTTCTTTATAAATGATGCAACCTTAGGTATTTCTTTATAGCAATGCAAGAATGGCCCAATACACCCAGTGACGCTCCTGGGTTCCTCAGAGCTATTTTGTCAGCTGATGAAGAGGCTCGTAGGTCCAGCCACTTCTGTGATTGCTTGTTTTATCTCCGTGGATGGGGAGGGGGTCCCTGTCAGGGAGCTGGCAGCCCGTACTTGTTTTCCGTTTTGTGTGGACATCACACAGCTTTTTGAACAAAGCAAGAGTCTCACTCATGGCTTCTTGTGTTCTGAGATGTACTTAAATCCTTAAGCAGCGTCCGTGTGAACATGGGACAGCGAGAAGGCATTTGGACTCCTCTTCTGGGCCTTGTGTATTTTGTGGTGCTGAGGGGAGGGCAGGGCGAAATGGGGATGCTGTCTTTGACATGCTGCACAGGCCATGAGGCTGGCTCAGCCTACACTGTAGCGCAGGGACCAGGGCAGGGGAAGCCCTTTTATCTGTTGCTCCTGACTTGGCGGTTCTGTCCTAACAGCAGCAGGGTGGGGACTGCTGAGGATTCAAGAAAAACCAAAGCTCCAGGAAGGATCTGGGCCGATGTGAGGCCCAGCCAGGGGCTGTGTATTGACAAACAAGGACCTTCAGGGACTATCTGGTGGGGCGAGCTTTGCATGGTGGGGTCCTGGGGTGCGCTGGGGTTTTGATCACCACCCAAAGTCTTCATGCATTTGAAGTTTTATAGCCCAGTAATCCAAGGGGGCTGTTTCCTCCCACACAGTCTGCACATTTAGGGCTTCCTGGGGGAGCAGCCCTGTGGCAGAACAGCCCTGTGGCAGAACAACGCCGGCCCCTTCCTCTGGGCCACGCGTTACAAGGGAAAGGCTGAGCCGCCATCTGGGCACGATGCTCGGAGGGATTCCTTCTGCTCATGGCTGCGCTTGACGGTCCAAAATGAGCACCAGCCTTTCAGCATAACAGTGCACAGCCCAGGGTTCTGGAAGGTTCTGATTCTCATGAACCCCAGACCTTGTTCACGCCAAGTGAGCGCTTCAAGATTTTTCCGTGGTGCCAACCAGGCCCTTGAGCTTGCGGAGTGTGAGTCCCAGAGGCCGGCAGGGTCATTGCATGTAGACCAATGACTTCTCCCTGCAGACCACACGGGCAGGGCCCGGGACCTGGGCTGCAAACTCAAGGAGGCCCTCACATTCAGGGTGTGCACCTCTGCACTTCCCTGCTTCCTACACCTCACCCCTTCCCGGCCTAGACCATGTGCTGTCCACTCAGCATGCGTTTACTGAGGGTCCATTCTGTGGCTGGCTATGGGCTAGGCACTGCTGGGGTCATGGAAGTGGAGGAAACTCAGTTTCGGCCTCTGCATGACTTACAATCCATTTGGGGAGCCCATATGTCTACCAGCATATTAGGGTGTTCCAGAGAAACAGAACAAATAGGATATCTCTCTCCTTTCTCTCTCTCTCTCTTTTAACGAATTGGATCATGCAATTATGAGAGCTGGCAAGTCTGAAATCTTCAGGGCAGGCCCATTGGCTGGAGAGCCAGGGAAGAGTTGATGTCTGAAGATGATTGCCTGGCAGAATTCCGTCTTCCTCCAGGGACCTCCATCTTTTCTCTTATGACCTTCAATGGATTGAATGAGGCCCACTCTCATTATGGAGGGTAATTTGCTTTACTCAAAGCCTGTTGACTTAAATGTTAATCCCATCTAAAACATATCTTCACAGTAACGTCTAGACTGGTGTTTGACCTAACAACTGGTCACCACGGCCTAGCCAAGTTGACATATAAAATCAACCATTGCAACCAGTAACTACTAAAAAAAGTCAAATGCAATAAATGCATAATTGCACTGGAAGTATGCAGTGGCCCAAGGACCAGTGACTCTGGGGACTGGGAAAAGCTGCATGGAAGAGAAGATAACTTGGAGAAGGAGGAGGAGATTCCATTAGGCCTAATGTGGTGTGTGGTGGGGAGGCGCTCCTGGCCTCTGTCCTTCATCCCCAGCCCTTGTCTTTGGCATGGGCCTCCAAGAGAGTTGGGAGCAGGAAAGACCCTGGGTGGGCTGTTGTGCGTGAGGGGCCCAGAGGTCCTCGTGAAGCTGTGCTATGCATGAAAAATCCACAGTCAGCTCCAGTGCTGGGCTGTTGAGCCTGGACCTGGAGGGTTGAGGTCGCAGCATCTTGAGCCCAGGTCAAGCTCCTTGCAGGAGAGGCACTGAACTCTTCTGAGACATCCTCAGGAAACATGCGGTGCAGCCCTGCTGGAGTCCAGGGTTGGGGTAAGGCTTGTAGAAAGCTGCCACAACTCCCCACAAAGCCTGACAATGTTCTGACAGCTCTGCTGCCTCCGCAGGGGCTGGAACGCACCACTCCTGGTGGGGGTGGAGACTTAGGAATAATATTGACGTTGATTGATGGCATATTGGCCTGCATGGGTGGCTCATTCCTGCTGCACTGTCCTCAGCGAGCAAGGCACCAGAGGGATCATCTCCAGATGCCCAAAACCAGAGAGATGGAAAACATCATTCCGGGGCAAAGTGTGGTATGGGTTTCTCACTTCCCCTGGGAGCTGGTTGTGGGTCACACGACGTGTGCACAGAAAACACTCTGGCTTTCTGGGCTGGTCCTGCCGTGTTATTTGGAGGCCATTCAATACCTTCACAGTGAGGTTTCATTTTCCACTCACGAAGGGCCCAGAGCTCCCCAAGCTGCAGGGTAACACGTCTGCTATTGTTGAAAGGACAAGACACTCATTGAACACTCAACCCTTGGGTAGAAACACTACCTCACAGGCTGCGGGTGGAGCACAGGGGCAGGCCCCAGCAGGAGGTCCCATCCCAAGCATGGTGTTTAGAATGACAGTTCCCTGGCAGGGGGCTGTGCTGAGGTTGGCAAGCTTGGCTGTGGTACTCACTGACTTGGAATGTCAACCTCCCAAGGGGGGCTGTGCCTCCCAGCACACACAGGGGGGTCGGCAGTGTGGGGAGGGGAGGAGAGACCTGTGGAAATGACCACATGGCTGAGCTGGCCTGGTGCGTCTTGGGTTCAGGGTTCACTCGTGGGGGCATCTGACATCTGCTCTGTTATCCCTCCTGGGGGTGCCTTTGGCAGCTAAAAAACACTACCTGAACAGTCTTCTCGTGTTCAGGTCTTATGGTCTGCAGAGGGCAATTTATATCTATGAAGCAATAGTGACTCATGAGAATGCATTCAGTGCATTCAATGTCCAAGCCCAGCGTCTGGTCTCACTGTGTCCTGGGTTATGTGCAAAGCTTGGGATGCAGGTGGCTGAGTGGTCTGTGATGGACCCTGTCTGTGTTGAAGGAATGTTTGCCTTATTCTGGAAACTTCTTGAATCTGCAATGACCCTTAATGATCCCCTACAGAAGAAATCATTGTTCCCCTGAGAGCTGTGTTCTAAGATCTTTGTCAATGACTTTCATTTTTGATGAATTTTAGCTGAATATACAGAGTATTTGCCATGACATTTTCCTAGGAGTGGGATAAACTTGTTCCAAGCCATCTCTGGTAGACTCATCTGTTCCTTCTTGTGCCTATCATAGTGCGTCCAAGGTGGTTTATGCACGTCCCTTACTGACTCTTAATGTCCCTCTCAGAAATTAGCCAGGTCAATATGACCATCTTCAGGAGAACACTCTTTTATTTACACCGGGCCCTTATCTAGAAACCTAAAGTAGCACAGAGTGGTTTCCTGTGTCCAGTTCAATCCCCCAGTGCAGTGCCTGGCCCGGGTGCTACTGGCAGAATGCACTTCAGTTTCCGTAACCAGGCGTTCCTCTTTCAAGGAACACGCTGAAATTCAGGGCATATTCTGAATCATTTTGAGAGAGGGAAAAAATCCTACCTGAATGAGGAGACCTAGTTTGAGTCCTGCTCCTGCTGTAGAAGACCTCAGAGAAGTTAGTTTTTTGCCTTCCCTGTGCCTCAGTTTCTTCACTATAAAGGAGTGGCCAGTACCTGTACCATGAGGTCATTGTGAGAATTGGACAAAAGGATATGTAAGAAATAGTATCAACTGGTAGAAATGTTGTAAGAGGTTATTTTTCTTCTCATGGTCTTATCTCCTCTGACAGCACAACTTTTTTTTTCTGGAAAAGTTTTTCTTGGCCGGGTGTGGTGGCTTATGATGGTAATCCCAGCACTCTGGGAGGCTGAGGTGGGTGGATAATTTGAGGTCAGGAGTTTGAGACCAGCCTGGCCAACATGGTGAAATCCACCTCTACTAAAAATATAAAAATTAGCCGGGCATGGTGGTGGGCGACTGTAATCCCAGCTACTTGGGAGGCTGAGGCAGGAGAATCGCTTAAACCTGGGAGGTGGAGGTTGCAGTGAGCTGAGATGGCACCATTGCTCTCCAGCCTGGGCAACAGAGCAAGGCTCTGTCTCAAAACAAAAAAACAGAAACATTTTTCTTATGTTGAGCAGAAATCAGCTTCCTTATGTCTTATATCCGGCAGACCTAGTTGTTAGCTTTGGAGCAAAAAAAAGTAACTCCTAACTCTTATTCCAAGTGACATTCTTATAGATGTATAAGAACCTTCCTGTCCATCCACATTACCTCTGTCCATACTAACGCTTGACCCCCTCCACTATCACAGTGCCATTTCAATGCCTGGCATTATCTGGGCTGTCTTAAGAGGCTGTGCCCAGAAGAGAGGAGAATTCTCCAAACAGATGTAGTATATGCAGCTGTGTTCTCAGAGGCCTTTACTGTGTATTTTCCCTGCCTGTTCAATTGTAGGATTCTGAATGGCAGAGCCCCTTTCTGTCATTTGTCTTTTCTCTTGCATTCCAATGCCAGGTAAAGTTATTTTTATATATTGGATAAATAAAACATGTCATGGGCAATAATAATAATTTGCTTCAAGAGAGTGGTAAGTTGAAGCTAGTTTCTGAGAAAGGATTGTTGAATATTTGGAAATTTTGAGATCTGGTTGTTAAATGACTGAGAACTTCAAATTAGCCATGGTGGGATTATTTACACTTTGGAAATTGGCAAATGCTACAAATGAAGATTTTGTTTTTCCTCCCAGAGAGCTGGTTTGCCAGCACAGCACTGCTTTAAGATGAGAAAACCTCCTGTCATTCATTCCCGGAGAAAAATGACATTGACTCCCCCCTGCCCGTTGTTCAGAGGATAAAATTTAACTATGTTTTTTTGTGTTTGTTTTTGTTTTTTTTGGTTCCTGGAATATTTTTTTCTCAAGAAAGAATAAAAAGTAACCCTGGGCTAAAGATGGGCAACTGGAAAGAATGATAATGTTTCCAGGCACATGGAACCCATCCTCCTTCTCCTCCTTTTCTCAGGAAAGCTTTGGTTCAGCCAGAAAATCTGGCTGAGAAAAATATAAGACTTTGCAGACACTCCTCAGAATTTTAAACCATAAGTTTTACTGTCATCATTTTAGACACTTATTTGCTTTAAAGAAACTGTGGAGTAAGAATGTGAAATTCAGTTAACATTCAGGTCTGTTTTTTTTTTTTTTTAAATAACTTGCCATTTGGGAAGGCGATAAAGAGTGTTAATCTCAATTGCTTGGCTGAATGTCTTAGCAAAGTTTTTACTCTGCCAGTTCCAAGATTAGGTGCAGTGTTTCTCAAGGCATAATTTATTTTTGAAATGTTCCTTGGGTTCTGAAATTTCAGCATGCCAATGCTAAACTATTCCTTGAGGGAGAACGACTCTCCCTGAAGAGTCTCCAAGGCCTAATGTTGCTGAGCTTGACTGATAGGCAAAACATCGACAGCCTTAATTTTTTCTTTTCAAAACATGTTTAACTTCAGTAAACCTTAAGCCAAGCCTCTTGCAGATGGCAGACAGCTTAATTGCTGTGGTAACCTTGTCTGACGTTTTTTGGAAAACTTTGGGTGTTATAATAATCCATCGAACCCAGAGAAAATAGATTTCAACCCACACAAAGACATGCATATGGCTCAGAGTCTCAACTTGGCTGCTGAGGTTTTGTCCAAGGGTGTTTCTTTTTTTCCCTCCCTTTCCAGGCTTTCTGGTACAGCTTGCAAGTCCAGCATGTATTGTTTGGGCAGCAAATCAAGAGAGGCCCAAGATGAAATGAATCAGCGTTACTGTTTCTTCCCCTACCCCATCTGCCTTCCCGGAAAGTCTGAGATGTGGATGGTAAGAACAGTTGACTGTATCAATATATTATCTTTATTTTTTTGCCCATTTTTAGCCCATTTTGAAAAGCTTTATTGATATATAATTGATATACAAAAATTGCATATAATGTGTACATTTGGATGAGTTTGGACAAATCCATGTACCCAGGATATCATCACCACAATCAAGGTACTAAGCATATCCATCACCTCCAGAAATCTCTCTGTGGTGTTGTGTGTGCATGTGTGTGTGTGTGTGTTAACACTTAACCTGAGGTCTGTCCTTTTAATATATTGTAACGTGTGCAATACAGTATTGTTAACTCTAGGTGCTATGCTGTATAGCAGGTCTCCAGAACATATTCATCTTGTGTAACTAAAAATTTTACCTGTTGATGTTGGCTATTTTTGCAATTGGGTTTTACATCCTTTTCTTATTTGTTTGCAAGATAGCTTTACATTTTCTGAATATGTCCTTTCTTGGATATATGAATTTCAAAATCTTCCAGTTTGTGGCTTGCCTTTTGTTTCTCTTAATAGTTTTTTTTATGTATATGTCATCTCTCTCTATTTAAGTCTTCTTTGATTTTTCTCAGCAATGTTTATGAGTTGAGGAGGTTTTACACATCTTTTATTAGATTTATTCCTAGACGTGATAGTTTACTTATTTTTAAATTTCACGGATGGTTTGTGCCTCTAGGTTAATGTACATTGTCAATCCTTGAGGCGGCACCAGTTGTGTATTGCAATAATGCATTAGTTGTGCATTATAATAGTGCACTGGCGGTGTATTGCCATAGTGCACTGGCTGTGTATCACAGTAGTGCACTGGCTATGTATTGCCATAGTGCACTGGCTATGTATCACAGTAGTGCACTGGTGGTGTATTGCCATAGTGCACTGGCTATGTATCACAGTAGTGCACTGGCTATGTATTGCCATAGTGCACTGGCTATGTATCACAGTAGTGCACTGGCTATGTACTGCCATAGTGCACTGGCTATGTATCACAGTAGTGCACTGGCTGTGTATCACAATTGCAGTCTACATCTTCCTTGATCATGATCCATGGGCCAGACACCCACAGGCACGTTTTCTTGGGCAATGCATTTTTTCTTCCGTATCCTTGTATAATACGTAGGATGTTTTCTGAATGAATGATTTCTGGTTCAACACAGAATTTGTAATTTTGGGGATATGAGAAAAAAATTCAGCATGAAATCTGCAATTAGTTCTTGCAACTAAGATCGCTGCCATCTTAATGGCAAAGTTAAAAGTAAAACTCAGTGGAGAGTATCTTTGTTTATGTCAACGACCATGGGCTATGAAGTTTGATGACTTTTTCTCAACTGTGTTTATAAACACTGGCAAACACACTGTAGCATGGAGAGTGGCCAACTGAAACATGTTTGTACTTCAAATGGATTTATTTTCACCAGTTCCCCACACATGGGACATGTGACACCGTACCTCCTGAAGAGGTCTCAGTTTAGACCAGAGCTTCTCAACTTTGAACGGACAGCAGCCACCAGAGAGCTCATGAGAATCCATAGTCCTGGGCCCCTTATCCAGAGATGGACTGATCAGTATTCATGGGGCCAGTTAATCTACTTTTTAAACATGTATCCCAAATGATTGTGAGGGAGATAGTATGGGGACCGCACACTGTGAACTCCTGGCATTATTATGGAAGCTCAGTTTTGTCACATATTAGCTGTGTGACCTTGAGCAAGTCACTCTATTTCACTAAGCCCTAGTTTCTACATTTTAAAGAAGTGACAATACTGTATGAGTTAGGTTGCTTTCAGCTGCAACTAACAAAAAACCTGATTTCATCTGGCTTCAACAATCACGGGATTTTACTGGTCTTGGCAATTTAGGAGTCCTGATTTTAGAAGAACAGTAGATGTATTAATCAGCATTGTGAGCACCAGAAGCATGGAGGCATAACGCCACGATGTACACCTCTTGCTCACCGACAATTCAGTGCCGCTAGCTGGGCCCCTCCTCCATTCCTGATGCAGAGATCCACGTTCCTGCCCTCTTGTTTTCCCCATCTCGGCACCTGGCTACTAAGAGCATCATGGGATCAGGAGAGAGGAAAGCACACTGGCTCTTACCTGCCTTAGCCAAGAAGTGACACATACCACTGTCATTTACAATTTAGTGGCCAGACCTAGACATATGGCTCCAATTTAACTGCAAGGACATCCAGCCTCCAGAGCTGAGACAATAACCTACCGCATCTGGGGCACTTCAGTATGGCAGCCCTAGTGGCTCAAGGCACGTGGCAAGCACATGGAATATTTCATGAGTACTAACTGCTTCTGCCAAGCTGAGCTTGAGGTATAACTGCACCAGGCTCTGGTTCTGTTTCTCTGTGGTTCTTTTGCCTCTGCCTTGTCCTACATCATGAATTGGCTTTGTTGGATGAATTGGCTCAGGCTGGCTTCCCTCCTGGTTGCAAGAGGATGTCCAAGGGCATCCAGGCTTCACATCTTCCTATTAATATTTGGGGAGAGAGGTGGTGTTTCCTCCTCCATCTGAAACAGAGCTCTTGAGCTCTTGAGACTGACTTAGGACACACACTGTCCACCCTGGACACAGTCGGGGTCCATCTTTGGTGCTAAGGATAGGGCCAACCTCATCCTAATCAGAATGCAGCGCTTGGGAAGGAATGGAATGGATGTGGGGAGGCTGCAACGATCCCCACACCACACACCTGCATCCCAGGGGTGGTCATGAGCTCTAAAAAATCAGATCCTGACAAAGCACTTGGCTAGTGGCTGGAACTCGAAGGTCTCGGTAAATATCAGCTGTGATGATGATTATTTAACGAAAAGTGTTGTTAGACATTGGGGCACAAACAATATTGTCCTAAACCCTGAGTTGGTGAAGGCGATGCCAGCTGCTAGAACACATAGTTCCCACATTTGGGATCTTTCATGCTGAGAGGCGGAACTGAGAGAGCGGCTCAGGGACCCAGGGGCCTGTGTCATTCATCCTGTGGTCCACCGTGGCGCCCCGGGCTCCCTTGCTTCCTGCTGGGTGGTGGAGGAAGGGAGGAGGAAGGGTTCTGTAGCAGCTTCTTATGGGCCAGCATGGATATGGCTTCCTTGCTTTCACCCCATTCCATCAAGAGGAGCCTGCCCTCATCTGCCAGGGAGGCTGGGAGATGAAGTCTGGCCTGTACCCAGGAAGTAGAGGGCAGAGTTTGAGGACGCAAGGGAGCGGAGAGGTTCTCTCTCGACTCTGCAGACCTGGGCTTCCAAAGCCCCTCCTTCACTCATTCAGCAAGGGCTTAGCGAGAGGATGAGGAGCGCGGCCCGCCCTTGGGGAGCTCCCGTTCTCAGCCCACACCTGGTTAGGGCCCCTGGAGCCCGGGCCTTGTTGGGCAGACACAGGTCTCCCCGCTACCTTGCACACCTGTGGGAACAGAAGAATCTATGGAAGGTGGTACCTGGTGGGGGCAGGGGTAGGAGGAGCTGAGGAAGGAACCAGCTCATGCCAAGAGGTAGAGATTGGACTTTTGACCAGACTTGGGCCCGATATGAGCCAAGACAGCCCCCAAGAGCCCCCTGAAGCCTCAGTTGGGGGAAGGCCACGAGTGGGGTTGTGCCTCAGTGGACAGGGTGGGCTATGAGACAGTGCGCGGCTGGAGCGGGCGCCCGAGGAGGCATTTATTAGTGGCTTCCCTCCTCCATCCTGTTTCTCATCCAAGTGGTTTTGTGCATACACACCCCATGGCTGTTGGGTCACTAGATTGGGATTGATGGCCTGGACTCAAATTAGTAGTTCCATATTCATAGGCTCTGAGAAAAACCTTTTCTTTTTGTTATGTTGTATTTACTCACGTGCTGTAGACGGCACCAGTTCAACGCAGATGGAACCCCAAGGCTCAGAGCTTGCTGTACTTGCTTCGGCCTCCGCAGCACCTTGGTGCCAGGATTCTGAAGGAAAACCACACCATCAACAGCACTCGCCCCTGGGGCTGGGTCCCCGTGGGCGGCCCCACCTTCATCCTCTTCGTTTCTTCACCACCCATCTCTTGCTGCCTCCGTCAAAGCCGCTGTGTAACCAGATGTCCTTTATTTCCTTAAATACTCTCAAGTATTTGTTCTCATTCAGAACTGTCCCTGCAGAAATGACTTCTCCCAGGGCGCAGTGGTGGGTGTTGGCGACCTGCTTGCCTTCCCACTGCCTTCTCCAGGAAAGGCAAGGACGTGGAGTCCCTTCGCAGAAAAGAAACTCTCCACATAGGAGCAGGAAAAGGTTCATTTTCATTTGGAAGCTTTGGACTGAGAGCCAGGAAGAGTCCCAGGAAAAAAGACTTAAGTAGCAAGAAACCACATTTTAAAGCATAGAGGCAGCCTTTCTGGGGTTCAGGGGTTCAGAGGCGTCTTCCAGCATCAGGCTGCCTTCCCTCTTTCTGCTTGGCCACCTCTGTGGGATGGGTGCTTCCTAGGCCTATCTTCTGCTGGTTGAAAGAAGGCTGCTGCTGCTCCATCCATCACCTCCACACTCAGCCGGTTTAGAGTCAGACCTATTTCTCCTCACATGCCTGTCTTTATCAGGGAAGAAAACTTTTCTAGATATCACTGCCACTACCCAGGTTTCTTCCAGCCCGCCCACCACGCTCACCCAATCCACACCCCCTTGACTTGACTCCCTGCATGCTGTACACAGGCCAAGGCGGATTCTTCCTCAGGTTCGCCCAGGTTCACATCTCCTAGGTGCCTTCCTCTTCCTCTTCCGCCTTTTCTGAGCTGAAGGCTGGGGCTCTCCCTGGGGCTTGCAATTTCCTCTACTCTATGCCCGGGAGAGCAGGCTACAGGCCCCGATGCTCCAGGGCTCTCAGGTATCTTTCTGGATATGGTTAAAAGCTCTGTGCTCCAACCATCGAGGTGTGGGCTGCAGGGGGTCAGGTTTTCACTTGCTCCTGCTCTCCATTCTTCTGTCTCGGATCCCCTGGATCAGCCAAGGCAGAGGCTTGGGTTTCTAACATCCTTTGACCTTCTGGCGTCCTACCTGCGGCTGGGCCGTTCCCGTGGGAGGAAGTCCTCCTACCCCAGGGAAGAGCCTCGCTGAGCTGGTGCTTCTCTGCTTGCTCCCCGTGTGCTAAGGAACTTAGAAAATCCTCCTCCTCAGTGAGAACTGGCTTTCATGTGACAGTCGTGCCAAGATGCAAACAGATTCCCACTTGACAGCCCCAGTTGAGGAAGACTTTGTTATTAAGTAAAGTAAGTGCGAGGCACGTAGAAGAGTGGCTGGCACGCAGGAGCACTCGACACACGGTTGCTGCTGTCACTGTAGTGATTATTAGTGAGATAACTGAGCTTCAGGTCAGAATCAGTCCTGTCCTGAGGCCTGGACAAGAAGGGCCTCACCTTGTCCTACCATGGGGCCAGGAGCCTGTGGGGCTCAGAGGACATACCCCACCCTCACTTCCCTTCTAGACCATGCTTCTGGCACCTGGGACTCTGGAATTCCCACTCAAATGGTCCAAAGTCAGCTTCTTCCCAGGATCCCTCCCAAGAGCAAACCTGCAGCTGGTTGTGTACTGTTAGGCCCAAGGGGTAGCCAAGGAGTGGCCAAAGGGTGGCAATGAAGTGGAGATGGCTGTGTGTGTGGAGAGTGTTTGGAGTTTGGCCATGTGAGCTGCACAACCACAGGTGCCTATTTCTTAGGAGGTGAGACAGAACTGGGCAGGGGAAAAAGAAAGGGAGAAAGGAGGGGGTGGGATGCCAGCTAGTGGACAGAGCCACTTCCTCCCAGACCACCATATTCCAGCACTGTCTTGGGAGCCCAAGACCTCCAAATTCAAACCAGGTTTTCCAGGTTGTTATAAGGCATATTTATCAAGCAGGCGGCTAGAACACAACTGAACAGCTTGTTAACTTGATTTATTACTTTTCAGTGTTTAGCCGTGTGGTTTGTGGGCCTCCATTTTTATACATGCCTTGGGCCTCACCAATGCTAGGACGGGCCTGACCAGAAGGGTGTGCATAACTTGCTGATATAGCACCTTAACCACTGACAAAGCAGTTTTTATTTATATTATCTTGTTCCATTCCTCCACTCAACTTTCAAAACAACCACAGACTGGGGTATTACTATTATTCCCAGCTGACAGCGTTGAATGCTCTGAAGCTAATATACCATGTAATTCAATCGTGTAGTTTAAATTTCTTTCCTAAAAGAAAAATGATCAAGACACTGTATACATAAAAGCCAGTGTTCACTCAATGCTGTTTTTTTTTTTTTTCCCATGCAGCAGACCCGTCCTTGCTTGTCCTAAGTAACACAGAGTGGCTTTGTCTCCCCAGGAGATATTTTCTCAAAGCTACCATTCTCCACGTGCCTCCCAATGACCTTCTTTGAAAAGTGTCACCTCCCAATAAATACCTGATGCTTGGCAAGAAGGCCACTACAGAGATATTCGAGCACTGTCCTTGTGCTCAGCACTGTGCCAGATTCTGCCAGAAACAGAAAATTATAGGGCATGGTTCCTGCTTGCAGAGTAGTGAATAGAGCTGAGGAAATAAGAGTTAACAGTGAAGAAATACAGAATGACAATGCATATTTTAATGCTACGTTGTGTGGGAAGTCTAAGAGCAGGGGTCGGCAGACCTTTTCTGTAAAGAGCCAGATTGTAAATATTTTAGGCTTTGAGGGACAAATGGTCTCTGCTGCAAGCTACTCAACTCTGCTGTTGTAGCTCAAAAGCAACCACAGATGATAGGTAAGTGAATGAGCATGGCTGTTGCTGTGGACTCAGTGTGTCTCCCTCAAATCCATGTATTGAAGCCCTTTGAGAGGTAATTAGGTTTAGATGAGATCATGCGGGTGGAGCCCCCCATGGTGGGATTAGTGACTTTGTAAGAAGATGAAGAGACCAGAGCTCTCCTTTTCGTCACAGCAAGAAGGCAGCCACCTGCAAACCAGGAAGTGAGCCCTCACCAGAACCCCAGCCATGCTGGCACCCTAGACTCAAATTTCCAACCTCTAGAACTGTAAGAAATAAATATTTGTTGTTTAAGTCACCCAGCTGATGGTATTCTGTTATATTAGCCTGAGCTGACGAAGACGGTATTCCAATAAAAATAAAGGGACACTGAAATCTGAACTTTATATAATTTTCATCTGTCATGAAGTTTTGTTTTTCTTTTTAAATTTTTCCAACCATTTAAAAATGTTGCAAGTATCCTTAGCTTTCTGGCAATACAAAAACAAATGGCAGGCTGACGTTAGCCTTTGGGCTATAGTTGTTGACCTGGGGTCTACAGCAATGTCTCCTGAATTGTTCAGCAGAACAAAATTACTCATGAGCTATTAATAAGCATTCAGAGCCAATAAGTCAGGGAATGGCTACGTACTCTGCATCCTGGTTAGAGAGTCATATTGTGCAATAGCATATTAAAGGCTCTGAGGAGTCCCACAGTAAGGAAAGATGTTCATCATGTGCATGTTGTTTATTGCAGCATTTTCCAAACTTGGTCATGAGAATCCTCCTGCTCCTCCATCTTCCCTTCTTCTGCCCTCCCTTCCTCCCCTTCCTCTTAGACTTCTTCTCTTTCATTCTCTTCTTCCCCTTCTTCTTTTTCCTATCTTTCTCTCTTCTGCTCCGTCTTTCTCTCCTCCTCCTTTTCCTCCTTCTTTCTGTTTCTCTATTCCTCCTTTCCTGTCTTCCTTCTTCTCCTTTCCTCTCACTTCTTCTCCTTCCTTCCTTCCTCCCTTCCTCCCTTTCTCTCTCTCTTTCTTTTCTTTTCTTTTCCTTCCTTCCTTTCTTTCTTTCCCTCCCTCTTTCTTTCTTTTCTCTTTCTTTCTTTCTTTCTTTCTTTCTTTCTTTCTTTCTTTCTTTCTTTCTTTCTCCTTCCTTCCTTCCCTCCTTCCTTCCTTCTTTCCATCTTTCTTTCTTTTTCCTTTTCTTCCTTCTTCCTCACTTTCCAGCTTCTCCTTCTCCTTCTTTCTTCTCCTCCTCCTCTGCCACAGGATAGGTATTAACTCGTACACTGGATACTCTGAAGAGCCCAGATTGGGAAACGTCCAGATGCACTAAAGCTGTTGCTAGCACAGTTTGGAAGTGGTGGGAAGAGTTTGAGGAATGTTTATGGAAGAGCTGGAATTTAAAATTACACAACTTTCTTATGAGTTCAATTTCAGTGGGAGAGAAGTTATTTTTTTCCTTGACAAACAATCCTGCCCTCTTGAGGGACACGTGTCCTCTGCTGTGTCCCTGGGAAGCTCCATCCCTGGAATGGAAGGGATCTTTGGGGGGAAAACCTGCTACTGACTTGGATTTCAGGGTCTGTAACGTGCCAGTGTGGACCATAGACTCGTGATCCCCAGTGCAGCCTGATCCTTCCCATCTCAGGCAATGGCCAGAAACATAGGATTCATCCTTGACTCCTCTCTTGCTTTTATACCAACATCCAATTCATCAGCAAACCTTTTGAATTCTACCTTCAAAATACATTCTGAATTAACACTTCTTATCACCTCTAGCCCAGTCCACCTGCCCCACAATAGTTAGTGCTCCAGCCCCCCAAGTGTTCCCAGACCAGAGGTCTTCAGAGTGTGGAGGTACAGAAACCATTAAACATTTTATTTATATTAACTCATTCCCCATCCTTCTGTCATTTAATAATGTGCACATTGTACATTTTATGGGGTATATATTATATTATTAAAACAGAACATGTTTACAATTTATAATGTAGTGTTGAAGAGGGAAGCTTTTCCTCTGCCCTTTGACGATTCACTGATATGAACTAATAACAGATTAACAGGAGGAAAGGCAGGCATATTTATTAACATGCCTAAGCATGGGAGCCATACAAAATATGAGGACCAACGAAAGGCTGGATGGTTGAAGCTTTGATACCCTCATCATAGCAGGGAGGGAAGTGAGGAGCTGCAGGCAATTTTAGAGGGTAGTCAGTGATTTTAGGGTGCATGAATGGGCCTGAAGACCAGACAATGGTTTGTAAATTATTTTCTTAGGATGCTGAATGGGACCAAAGGACAAACAGCAGCTTGGGGACAAGTTATAGGAAATTAAGGGAGGGAACTGAAGTGTGAGCAAAGGCCGCCTTGTTATGTACGTACAGTCCCTCAGGTAATCTCTCAGAGCTGCCCTTAGAAGAATAGATGGAAAGTCTGTCTGGATGTGGAGACTTTGAGTCTCTTCTCTAGGGGTTAATCTTTCTTCGTTGTTCAATAAGATTCCTAGGGAGGGAGTTTAAGACAATTGAATTCCTTTTTTTTTCTTTTTGAGATGGAGTCTCACTCTGTCACCCAAGCTGTGGGGGCATGATCTTGGCTCACTGCAACCTCCACCTCCTAGGTTCAAACAATTCTCCTGCCTCAGCCTCCCAAGTAGCTGGGATTACAGGAATGCACCACCATGCCCGGCTAATTTTTGTATTTTTAGTAGAGACAGGGTTTTGCCATGTTGGCCAGGCTGGTCTTGAACTCCTGACCTCAAGTGATCCACCTGCTTTGGCCTCCCAAAGTGCTGGGGTTACAGGTGTGATCTACCGTGCCCTGCTGACAATTGAATTTCTTTTAGCAAGAAGTTTCCTCAATCATAAGAAGATTCCAGAGAGAGCCCCTCTCTGCATTTGGTTGTTGTGGGGAGGGGACAATTGTGGAGAGAAACAAGAGAAGGTTAGAAAGTCTATGGTTCTGCGGTAGCTTTTGAGGCTTTCCAATTTCCTTTAATTAAGATGTGCTCAGCATATCAAAGCACGATACTTTGGGGTATTGTCCTCTGAGCCCCAGCAATAAATAATGTGTGTGTGTGTGTGTGTGTGTGTGTGTGTGTGTGTGTGTAGATGGAGGGGTGGAGAATTTGGGTAATTTTTGCGAGCAATTTTTTCTGCACACATACAATAAAAGCCAATCCTTTTCCTGAGAATAGCTAGAAAAGAAGAAAATATTAAAAATATCTGAAGGCACTGGACAGTTCACAAGGCAGTCAATAATTTTAGGGACAAGATCTGGGAGAGAAATAAAATACAGAAAGGTGAGCCAGCATTGTGACCACTTTCCCCTAGGTATCCTTTTTCCAGAAGAGGTGCCTGAGAGAGTGAGAAGCTAATAGAGCTGTTGATAGACAACAGGGATAGGAGAACAGACATGGGCATTCAGGGTCTGCAAGGAACTTGAGACCCAGAGTCCCCTCCCCCACAACTATCTCAGTATTTGTGTTGGGAAAACCACGTAAGGGTACAGCCTAGGAGTAAAAATTGATCTAAAATAGTCTGGCATTTGCAATAAATTAAGCCAGGTTTGAATTGGTTCAACCCCAGATTGGATTAAGGAGGTTAGGGATTGTTAGGGCCCATAGATTCCAGACATAAGTAACTGTAATTTCTGTCTGGAAAAAGGTAACATTCTTCCATATCTCCATGTATTTCATGTACATTGTCTGGCATGCAACCAAAATAACCTGGTGCATGAGGAGACAAGACAGTGTTGAGAGAGAGACATATATCTAAATTTGTGGATTTAAAATAACCATGCTTAATATGGTCAAGGAAATAAATACAAATTGGGGATTTTGGCAGAGAACTAGAAAGTATAAAACAGAATCAAAAGAAAATTTTAGAAATGAAAAAAAATATCGAATTCAGACCCCAAGGTTTAATACAGATTAGACACAGCTGAGGAGAAAGTGAACTGGAATAAGAAAAATATCTAGAATAAGCACAAAGTGAGGAAATCAGAAAAGAGCAAGAGACATAAGGATGCAAAGTAAAAGGTCTAACAAGGAGAAGAAGGGAGAAAATGAGAGAGTGGTAATATCTGAAGAGATAATAATGAAAAATTTTCCCAAACAGATGACAGGCTTTAAACTACTTATTCCAAAAAGACTCTGAACCCCAAGCAAGATAGATATGAGGAAAACCACACTTAAGTGCATTGTAGTAAAGAGGGAAGACAGAGGGAAAACTTCATTAAAAAAAGATCAAATCCAATTTCCTGAGAATGGCTGGCAAAAACTACGTGACCTGGCCTTATCTTCTCAGCTTCATTTCTCACCACCTGCTACCTTGTTTCTTTAACCTTTATTGGATGCTCCTTTAATGCAACAACCTTATTTCCTGGTCAGGACTGCTGTTTCCTTGGTCTAGAAAAATCTTCCCAGATATTTATTTGGCTTCCTCCCTCGCTTCATTCAGGTCTCTGCTCAAATTCAGGGTCCTCAGAAAGGTTTCTTTGCTGACCCTCAACCTGCCCAGGACTCTATCTGTCTCCTTTCATGGCATTATTTTTCTTCCCTACCTGATGTGATATTCCAGGTGTATTTATGCAGTGGTCCCCAACCTTCTTGGCACCAGAGGGTGGTTTCATGGAAGACAGTTTTTCCACGGCGTGGGGGATGGTTTTGGGATGATTCAAGTGCATTCCATTTCTTATGCCCTTTATTTCTATTATTATTACATTGTAATATATATAATAAAACAATTATACAACTCACCATAATGTAGAATTAGTGGGATCCCTGAGCTCGTTTTCCTGCAACTAGCTGGTTCCATCTGGGGGTGATGGAGACAGTAACACCTGAAGTGTGGTGCTTATGTCCAGTCTACTTTGTGATCTCGTTTTGGTTGCTGTCACTGCAGAAAACCCTGCTTCACAAAGATAGGATGTTGGAAATGGAAGCAGGCTTTCCAGTGCTTTTCTGGCAACCGCAGGATATTCTGCCTTGACTTTAATCCAGAATGTATGGAGATGGGAAGTTGTCTCAGACCTACCTTTATTGCCACTTGATGCAGCTGTACAACTGAAGCTCACTTGCCACCATGAAGCCTGCAGCTTAATTGTGTCTTGCCACTCACTGAGAGGGTTTTGTTATGAGTCTGAAAGCAGTTGACTTATTATGGTCTCTGTGCAGTCAAACCTCTTGGCTAACAAAAGTCTGTATGTGCAGCTGCTCCCCAGCACTAGCATCACTACCTCAGCTCCATCTCAGATCATCAGGCATTAGATTCTCATAAGGAGCATGCAACTAGATCCCTCGCCTGCACAGTTCACAATGGAGTTTGCGCTCCTATGAGAATCGTGTGCTGCTGATCTGACAGGAGGTGGAGCTTATGCAGTAGTGCTCGCTTACCTGCTGCTCACCTCCTCCTGTGTGGCCCTGTTCCTAACAGGCCACAGACCAGTACCAGGCTGTGGCCCAGTGGGTGGAGACCCCTGTATTTATGTATTATTTGGTCTGTGTCAGTAGCATGTGAGCTCCATGAGGGCAGGGACTTTGTGAAGGCCACTACTGTATTCAGAGCACCTAGCACAGTGCTTGGCAAAGATAAGCCCTCAATAAATCTTGCTGGATGCATTAATGAAGAAAAGAATGAAAGAGGGAAAGCCTGGCCCTTGCTAGGTGCTCTAGGCAGGCAAAAGAATTCTGCATCATCCTGCACACTGAGACAGGGCACTTCCTTCCGATGGATCCACCGAGGGGCGGACGCATCCCCAGGTTACCAAGGAAAGCAGTTCTTTGCAGGTGGTAGAAGACTTGTCACTTCCCCTCCCTATAAAAGCAAAAAAGTGTAATGGCAAATTCTGAGAGCCTCTGAGAAAGTCAGGCAGGTCCCTTTCCAGAAAGCCACCAATTGCTCTGGCTAGGATTACATGTTCTGTGAATTTTGAGTCTAACTTTGAAAAATTTATCATAGCCAATTAATCTGTTTAAGAAGACCTAGTCAATGCAATAGAGACCTTTTTTCCCCTAAGATAATTGAGATGAAACCTAAAAGAGATTAATAAAAAAAATTTAAAGCCCTTTTATTTACTGAGCAGTTAAAGATGAAGCCATCTGTTACCATAATGATAGTCTTTAGGGAAAAGCTGTAAAGACGCCAACAACAAGTAAATATGCCCATAAAATGTCCACCAAGATCCTAAAAAGCTGTTCCTTCATTCCTTTTTTCTCTTTTAGATACCCTTGGGTAACCTAGGAGTAAATGGCTGTTTGCTGGTGTTGTTTGATAAGTTCAGAGGTTAAGTGGCACTCAGGGTTCATGGTGCTAATATCTGATTTGTTAGACGAGAGTTTCCTGGAGACAGAGAGAGGAGGCCTTGGGTGCTGGGGCCAGATTTCCTCTTGGGATGACTTTTGACCCTGTCCTTTTCCTAGGGGTAACTGACACACAAAGCCTTCCTGTGTGGGGCTGGGTCAGTTTACACCAAGCATCATTATGCAGGGGCTGCTGCTGGAAACCCCAAGGACAATTTGGGGCAAATGTGTGCTGCGTTGGCCTCTAATCAGAGACTCTAGTCTCCATCATGTACCAGCATTGACAGACTTCTGAGAACCCAAGGTGGGAACAGTAATGTGAGGATGTTATAACACGGATTGAGAGTTAGGCTTTGTAGAGAAGACGCGCCAAAGAGGGACTTAAAAATTCTACGCCACGCTGTGCCTGTGCTGGCCGCCTGGCTGCCTCTCCCTGAGAAGCTCTCCTTTTCCTCCGCAGGACTTCGGGGAACCTTCAGGCTGTCGCCCTGCCTCTTTTGATGTTTCTCGCAGGTTGCAGATGGAGACAGGTTTTGTACTGAGGATCATTTTCACTTTGCAAATCAGTGTGCAGGAGATGGGACGGGAGCATAATGTCAGAGACACTTTAATTCCTGCACCCCGGCTTAGGTGAATGTGGAAGATCTCCAGACAGTGTTATATTAGATTTTCACCCCAGTTATGCAGGGACCATCCTGGAGTGGTTAGCGCAGACACTGTAATTAGGAGGAAAGATTGCTGGGTGTCCCTGACGGCTCTGTTCCCAGGCAAAGTGACCTGCTGGCCCCAGTGGAAAAGGGCTGACACTTCTGCCTCTGATGAAAAACAGATGCAAATGAGACGCTGTGATTGCAGGAGCGCTCGTTAACGGGAAGGGCTCTGCAAGGGAGGGCACCAAGGGTAGAAAGCAGGTTTTATTGGTTTCGTTTTTCAATGAAGGTGATTCCTTCGTGGACACTTTGAAATGCTGACAGTGACCTGCAGGCTGTGGTTGGAGAAATCACACAGCAATCTCTGTGTTGTGAGGCCTCCTTACTCTGCAGAAGAAGAGCATCATCGGAGGGGGCTGTCTTTGTGGAGGGGCTGACTTTGCTTTGGAACAAGTGTCTAATGGTGGCCGTTGCGATGTGTGTCGTGTGTGGACTGGGGACCACCACCGCCACCAGGGGACATAGCTTCCTGCCCTCAAAGGCATGCAGCCCATAGGCAGGACCAGGCCACTGTTGCCAGGGAGGAAAGCGCCCTGTCACGTTCACTGCTTATGGTGTGAGCCTTCTAAGTCTTGCATAGTTCCCCTCAACGTTTACTTCCACTTCATTGCCCGACTGTGTTTCTCACTTCCCTGATATCTTGTTAAGGCCAAAGGAAAAGGAACAAATTGTTTTTTTGCCAAAGGTCATCTTCTGAAAAAGCACATGTGGCTTTCAAAGGCAGCAGGAGCTCTGGCCTCAATGGAGGAATAAACTGATCTGATGAACTTTGAGTTGAAAGATACAGGCAGAGGAAACAGATTCTAGAGAGGCCTTGGGAAGTGGGACAGGCCTGGGCGTCGGGGAGGCAGCACAGAGGCGACGGGAGGGAGGCAGTCAGCAGGAAGGCCCTACGCAGGCCCAGGGCAGGGAGGCCGTGGGGAGGAAGAGGCTGAAGTTAGGAAGTGGGAGAAAGGACCCACCTTGGCAGACTTCAGTTATCTTGGTGTTTGACACGATGGCATCAGTGCCCCCTTTTCTAACTGCTGCAGGGAGGGGATGAACTGATCTATGACAGTGGGTCCCTGTTCTGCTTGGAGCATGACATCCTCAGGCCAATACTTATCCTGACTTTTAAGCAATTCTTTTTCACAGTCCAGGGCCTCCACGGGGAAGGTGGGTGCAGCCCATGGCTTGTAAACAGGCTCGGAGGGCACGGGCTCCCAGCACCACCTGGGACTTACCCTGGGTGGGACTCACCCCCTTGGCCTTGCACGTGCAGCCTGAGGTCTGCCCACGGGCTCCTGTGCACCCTCTCCCACTCCCTCCTCCATGGTTTCTGTGCTGCAGCTATGGGCCCTGGGGCTTTCTGGACACACCCGTCTCTCCGCTGCCCCCTCCAGGTGGAACGCCTGTTACCTGGAGGGATGAGTGGCTTTTGTGGTGGGATTCTCTTCCAGATTTTCAAGAATCTGAAAACAAAAGTTCACTTTCAAAGAACAGTAGGTGAAGGCTGTGTCAAAAAAGAAGTATCTGGGAGCTTCAGCTGTCACATCAGAAGCAGTAGGTGACCCGTACCCTGGCTGGTGAGACCTGGGTGAGCTTTGCTGCTGGTTGGACCTCTCTGGACCCCCTGGCATGGTCTCTGCTTGCCAGAAGCCTGGAGAGGAGCCCAAAGACTTCAAGTCAGCCGCTGTCTCCTCACCTTGTGGGCCACACACCCCTCAAGTTTCTTCCTCTGGGGGAAGGGATGAAAAGGCCTGTTTATAAACATTAATTGAACTGTTTGCCTATTTCCATTGACTGAATCATACTTTCCTTGGCTGATATTAGCTCATGGTGTTTATCTGGGCTTCAAATCCTTTGCAATTTAATATTATTCAATGTCACAATTTCTCTGTGGGCACTTTTCACCGTGTGTCTCTTGAACCTCTCATTTTATCCACTGTCCTTCCCTGGTGGGTGGTTCTGTGCATTAAATTACCTCCCCTCTGAAGTTTGTGCCATAATTTGAGGGGACACATTTTTGTTGGCGGTCTCTGCATAGAGTAAGATTTTGAGGGCTCTTGACAAGCTCCAAGGGATTCGAATGTGGTTCTACTGCTTGGAAAAGACAGTGACTTCTCTGGCAACCAAGGTCTGCGGTTACCTCTTTGCAGTTGGCTCAAACCTCAACACCTTCAGATCTGGCCAATGAAAGCTTTCAGGGTGGCTTTTCCAGGAGAGCAGGTCCCCTCCGATTGCATACTGTCCCATCTGATGTGTGCTTTTGGCTCTCGTGCAGTGACCGGGCCTTGGGAAGCATCTGCTTTTGGGTGGGCCTCCTCCAGCCTTTTCCCGGGCCAAGGTTAGTCCTCAGCATGGGCACAACCAATGGTTAGAGTCCTGCCCTGGGCCAGAAAGCACGGTCAGTGCTTTATATGCATTTATCTCCTTAATCTCAGCAGCCCAGATGAGAAAACAGAGGAAACACTCAGGAAGGGGTGGGTCTGCCTGGCTCCCAGGCCTTCCTTCACCCTTCACCTCTTTGCTAGCCCACTGCTGCCCCTCACTCTGCCTGTTACTGCATCGCACAAGATATCCCCGCATCCTGAATTCATATGCTATTGGTTTTTAAAGAGAAGGACAGCAAGGAAAATAGCAGTGGAAAATCGCCTGCCAGAGAAGCTCTGGTGGTCAAAGTAGAAAGTTCCCAGCTTTTGGATTGAAAAGAAGAACCAGGGGACATGGGAATAGTCAACATGAAACGTGCCTCGTCCAACAGAGAGCAAGGGTTTTGGGAAAATGTCCAAATGTGACAGATTTTAAAATGCAGTTACTTTAAGCTCATAAAGACTCAGTGAGGAGGGATTAGAGCTTGGCGTCATTCTTGAAAAAGAAGGTAACTGACACCAGGAGGCTCATTTGTGGTTCTGGGTGAGATTGTGATCTACTCCCTCGTAGGCTGTGTGGTCATGGAGTGTGGAATTCCATCAACCAAAGCTCTCCGGGAAATTACTGTCTTATCTGCACCCACACTGTCATTGTGTACACGGCCCTTGCACTGCTTCTGTTTGCATATCTAGGCCTGGGAAGAATTCTATGTCATCATTTGCATCTGATGACTTGCATTTTTTTTTTTTTTTTTTGCTAAATATGTTCTTGCTGATCTATTTTTGAATCATGTTGAGATGTTGTAAACTACTACATCAGATGTGGTCCTCTTCATAGGGAGGATCCATCATTCACACCCAAAGCCTTCAGAAAGTTCGAAGTCCTACCGGGGGCAGAGAAAGCATAGGACTATGATGGTGGCACTGACCTCTTGTCAGTCGGCTGCGTTCTAGGCTGATGGGGACTTGGATGCCCTCCTCCTGCCATTGACTAGTGACTTTCTGTTCTTCAGCTTTCCATGTCCTTAGGATAAGCCTTGGGATTTCTTCCAGGTGACAAAGCCCCCAAGCGACCTCTTCCCTGTCTCTGTTATGTGCTGCCCGGCTCATGGGCATGTCTTTAGAGACTGGCTCTCATTCTGGGGACAAGCTGGACAATAATGCGGGAGCAACAATGACAGGCCATGGCTTCCCAAATCTCATAGCAGGTACATGTCATCACCTAATGGAGCCAGCCTCTTATTCTTCACTTTTCATGTACTCATACTTGAACTGACGCACTTCTAATACCAGGAAAAAAGGAACTCATGTTCCTTGGGAACCCCAAAGAGGAAGTGAAACAAATGAACAAAACAATTCCATTAAAGAAAAGAACAGACACTGCTTTGAGAAATGACTTGCACCCACAGTTAGCCAGCCTTCTAAAATGAGAACAGCACTCCGCCGGAACCTGGGAGAAGTACTTTTTAAGAATAAAAAGGGGAAATAAGGAGTTATCTGGGTTCCTTGGGGGTAGGGTTTGCCTTGTTCTTTGGGTTTGAACATGACTCCCCAACAAACAGATTCACGAGCTGTGGCCCACGGTTGGAGGGCCCACTCGCCAACGGCCTGTAAAGAGAAGCTGAGAAAAGTTAGCTTATGAGTGGTGTGCCTTGTACGGGACTCAGATGAGATCGTGGCTTTGCTTATTCAGTTTAAACTAAGGCAGGTAACCTGCCATTTTTATTACTCTTGGCTCCTTCCAAAATGGTTTTGTCCTTTCCACTGGCCTCCTCCCCAGGACAGGGCCCCTCCCAGCTAGGGAAACGGGGCTTCCTAAATGGATGTTGGCCACTTTCTACACCTGGGCTATGCCGTGTGGGGAATGAGGAGCAGTATCCCTTCCCTCTCTCTATATGGGCAGCTTCTTCTTCCCCTGATGGGTCCTGAGGCTTTTCTTGGGGTTGTAGGGAAAGGGGGCTGATTCATTTGATAGCAGGTGTGGGGTGAAGGCAGCAGGCCATACCTGCTGTGCAGCCCCAACTCACCGAGGGTCCGTTCTCCCTCAGCTGGAGTTGGCTGCAGAGGATGCACACGGTGGAAAACTTTGCAAAAGACACCGACTGCACGGAGCCACTGTCCAGTCACCGTCATCCCATAGTGACTGTTTTACAGAAGATGTGGCTGAAGATGTGTCTCTGCAGTCTCCCCCAGGCCTGTGTGTGCGTTCAGCCAGGCCCGTGGAGGAAACGCGAGGCAGCCAGGAGGATGCGAAGGCTGGGAGAGGAGATGAGGACGCGCAGCCCGGCCTCTCGCTCTGCTCCTGGATGAGCCGTTCTTAACTATGGACAAATTCAAGAGTCCTTGTGCCTGGACGGGAACAAACTGCATCTTCCTTTTCACTGACCTCTAATGCGTAACGGAATTTAGCATCTCCTTCCACTGTGGGGCGAGCATCAGACAGCAGTGGCAGCAGCTCCTGCCACGTGGTCACGACAGAAACCCCAGATACCTGCACACAGTGTTACAGCTATCCAGAGATACTGCTATGCTCATCACTGCTTCCAAGTGCCCAGTTCACTAGACTTGCTGCTAGCTCTTGCTGTTTAATATGTGAAAGTAGCCCATCTATTCTTATAACAGAAGCATAAACACTGTTTGATAATTCTGTATGTTTTAGTATCACTGGCTTCCTTTGGAACTCTCCCCACCTCATGCTTTATTTAATGCATTTAAAAACATTCTTCTGAGAAGGAGTTCATGGCTTGCCACACAGACACAGAAGATTAGGAGATTTTTTTGGGGGGGGAAGGGAGTCTTGCGCTGTCAACCAGGCTGGAGTGCAGTGGCGCAATCTCAGCTCACTCCAACCTCCACCTCCTGGGTTCAAGCGGTTCTCCTGACTCAGTCTCCCAGGTTCAAGCGATTCTCCTGCCTCAGCCTCCTGACTAGCTGGGATTACAGGCACCCATCACCACGCCTGGCTAATTTTTGTATTTTAGTGGAGACGGGGTTTCATCATGTTGGTCAGGCTGGTCTTGAACTCCCGACCTCATGATCCACCCGCCTCGGCCTCCCAAAGTGCTGGGATTACAGTGGGATTACAGGCGTAAGCCACCGTGCTGGTCTTTTTTGCTTTTTTTTTTTTTTTTTTAAACATTTTATATTTTATTTTTTTAGAGATGGGATCTCACTGTTACCCAGGCTGGAGTGCAGTGGCACGATCATAGCTCACCGCAGCTTTGAACTGCTGGGCTCAAATGATCCTCCTGCCTCAGCCTCCTGAGTAGTGGGGACTACAGGTGCTTGCCACCATGTCCAGCTAATTTTTTGCTGTCGTTTTGTAGAAATGGGGTCTTGCTATGTTGCCCAGGTGCATCTCAAACTCCTGGCCTCAAGAGATCCTCCTGCCTTAGCCTCTCAAATAACTGGGATTATAGCCATGAGCCACTACACCTTGCTTAGCTTTATTTAAATAAAGTTATTTTGTTTTGAAAGTACTATGGTTTGCTCATCATAGGAGATACAGATCAATTAAAAGGTAAAACACGCACATTACTCTCTGCACTCAAGTATACTGCTAAGGATTTGGGGTAGATCTTTCCTAACTTGAAGGGGCCTAGTATACATAGTGTTTGTCGCCATTTTATTATGAACATCTTCCCATGTTAAAGAGTTTCTGCTCTACTATTACTTCAAAATGACCTACTTTTCCTTTTCCTTTTTCTTTCTTTCTTTTTTTGTTTTTTTGTTGAGATGGAGTCTCACTCTGTCACCCAGGCCGGAGTGCAGTGGCGCAGTCTCGGCTCACTGCAAGCTCTGCCTCCTGGGTTCAAACGATTCTCCTACCTCAGCCTCCCGAGTGGCTGGGACTACAGGCACGTGCCACCACGCCCGGCTAATTTTTTGTATTTTTAGTAGAGACGGGGTTTCACCATGTTAGCCAGGATGGTCTCAATTTCCTGACCTCGTGATCCACCCGCCTCGGCCTCCCAAAGTGCTGGGATTACAGGCCTGAGCCACAGTGCACTGCCAAAATGACCTACTTTTTCAACACAGGGAGTTAGCTTGCGTCTCTAATGTATATGTTCAACCTCTTGTTGTTCATACAGTGATCTTACTAAGTGGTATTTATCTTGTGTTCACGAGTCAGTATTTATTGAGCCATGGAGAAGATTTGTCTTTTAATCTATAAATCAGGCTTGTGTTTCTTACTGGCAATACTAACTATGAGACATAGAAATTAAAAAATCAAAATTGAACCTTCAGAGTAATCAGAGTAATCAGGGTAGTTGCTCATTCATGAAATCACTCAACTGACACTTAGGAGCCAGCCAAATGCCAGGGAACTGCCCTGCCTTCCCCACGACGGGGCTGGGAGGAGGAGGAGGAGGAGCAGAGTGGGGAGAGGTCAGTGTCCAGGGGCTGGGCCTGAGAGAGGAGAGGGGACAGGGGAGTGTGACCATCTGAGTTGGGCTGTTCTTGAATTCATGAATCAACTTCATAAAAAAGGCGGGGTGCAGAGAGTGTTGTGCTGAGTACAGGAAGTTCTAGAATCCAGGGGGCTTGGTCCTGTCTTTGTCTCTAATTAGTGCTAAGACCTTGGGCACAACATTGTCATGTGTGGCCTTTAACTGAGCACTTACTTGGTGATAGCCATGCTTGTGCATTGGGTCCATTGCCTCATTTTGTCTTCCTCACAGCCCGGGAGGCCAGATGTGTTACCGCTGTTTTGCAGGGACGAAGCTGATGTAGAGAGCACAGACATTTCTGCAGCGACATGATCTCGGCTCACTGCAGCCTCCACCCTCCTGGGTTCAAGCAATTCTCCTGCCTCAGCCTCCCGAGTAGCTGGGACTACAGGCGCCCGCCACGACGCCCGCCTAATTTTTGTATTTTTAGTGGAGATGGGGTTTCACCATGTTGGCTAGGCTGGACTCGAACTCCTGACCTCAGGTGATCCGCCCACCTCAGCCTCCCAAAGTGCTGGGATTACAGGCGTGAGCCACTGCACCCTGCCAAACACAGATGTTTTTGAGCCTGAGATTTTCTCATAAAATGGAGAGATTCTTCCTTTACTTATTTTGCTGGTGTGTTTTGAGGATCAAATTAGCTACTCTGGGTAAAAATACTGAAAAACAGCCTATTTCAATATTGAATATGGGCAGTGTTGTTCTTATTAAAGGGAACTAAATCTAGTTCCTGTTGTAAGTGAATGCATCTTTTCTTCATAGAAACGTATCTTTCCCCTCCCAGGTTGCTGATGGAAGGTGCACCTTCTGGAGGTTTTCTTGCCCCCGGATGTCCACTGAGAACCCCAACTGTGGCTTTGGGGGCTCCTCCTTCCTCTTACCCTCAACCTGGGACTAAACAGCCCTGAGACAATGCAAGAGACGTGCAAAGCCCTCTGTTCTAGGCCCAAGGGCAGCAAAACAGTGAGCATCACCGGCTCTGGACTGCCCGCTCAGAGGGAGCACTTCCCAGTCTTTGAAGGCCTCTGTGTCCAGGGGCTGCCACCTAGAACCAGGGGCCCTAGTGCCAGCTGTGGCCTGAGATAGGCCAGGTTGGATCCTGGCTCTGACATTTACCGTATATGTGAGTTTGGATGGGCCACTTAACCTTTTATAGTTTTATTTTCCTCATTTGCAAAAAGGGAATAATAATAAAACAACAACTTCCTTTTTTTTTTAGAGATGGGGTCCTGTTTTGTTGCCCAGGCTACTGGAGTGCAGTGGCACAATCACAGCTCACTGCAGCCTCAAACTCATGGGCTCAAGTGATCCTCCCACCTCAGCCTCTTGAGTAGCTGGGACTACAGGCATGTGTCATCACATCTGGCTACTTTTTAATTTTTTCAGAGATTGGGTCTCACTATGTAGTCCAGGCTGGTCTCAAACTCCTGTAGTCTCAAACTGGGACTACAGGTGTGAGCCACCATGCAGGGCCTAAACACAACTTAGAAAATTGCCATGAGGATCAGATAAAATCACATACAGCAAGTACCTAGTGTATGACTCTGTGAGGGCCACCTAACAAAATACCACGGACTGGTGGCTTAAGCAATAGACATTTGTTTCCTCCCAGTTCTGGAGGCTGGAGTCCAGGATCAAGGTGTGGGCAGGGTTGATTCCTCCTGAGGCCTCTCTCCTTGGCTTGTAGAAGGCCTCTTCTCCCTGAATCCTCACAGGGTTGTCCCTCTGTGTGTGTCTGTGTCCTAATCCCCTCTTCTTATAAGGACATCAGTCTTATTAGATTAGGGCCACCCAAATCCACCTGCTGAATGAGTTCCCTGGGCCTGCTGTAACAAACCACCACAACCTGGGTGACTTCGAACAGGGGTCCCCAACCCCGGGCCATGGACCAGTATGGACAAGAGGCGAGTGTGGGCGAGTGACCATTACCGCCTGAGCTCCACCTCCTGTCAGAACAGTGGCGGCGTTAGATTCTTATAGGAGGTTGCGCCTTATTATGAATTGTGAGGGATCTAGGCGGTACGCTCCTTATGAGAATCTAATGCCTGATGATCTGTCACTGTCTCCCATCACCCTCAGATGGGACTGTCTAGTTGCAGGAAAACAGGCTCAGGTCTCCCACTGATTCTTCATTCTTGTGAGTTGTGTAATGATTTCATTACATATTACAGTGTAATAATAATAGAAATAAAGTGCACAATACGCATCATGCCCTTGAGTCATCCTGAAACCATCCCCCCCGTGTGTGGAAAAATTGCCTCCTGCAAAACTGGTCCCTCGTGCCAAAAAGGTTGAGGACCGCTGGCTTAGAACACAGAAATTTGCTCCCTCACAGTTCCGAAGGCCAAAGTCAAGGTGTGGGCAGGGTGGCCCCTGCTGGCAGCTGCATGGGAACATGTATTCCAGGCTTCCCTCCTGTTCCTCATGACCTCCATCCTTGGCCTTCCTTGTATGGAACCAGCATCACTCCAGTCTCTGCCTCTGTCTTCACACGGCCTTGTTTGCAGGATCTCCTTTTCTGTCTCCTATGAGGACACGAGTCATTGGATTTAGGGCCCGCCCTCATCCAGGATGATCTCATCTAGAGATCTTTACCTTCACCCTTTTTCCGTTTAGAAAATAAAGTGCAGCTCACTGCCAGTACTCATTTTTTACATAAACATGCTCTTTGAGGCTGAAGCAAATCTGATGGATTTTCAATGTGAAAATAAAATACAAAAACTGTTCTTGGAGTTATTTCTGCACAGAACTAACATCAGAATCGTCTAAATCATCAGAATCATCTGTTTCGGAAGAATCGGATTCATCAAATGAATCTCTGGCCAATAACTGTTTTCAAGAACAATGTTAACATCACGTGCAGGAATGCGACGTTTTCTAGGATTTGACATTTTCAGCACTCGAGAATTACTATAGTTTTGTAAATGGAAATACCACTACTAAAACCAGAATGCTATAAATGGAATGATGTGTTTTGTTTCCAAAGTCAATACACTAGAGCGATTTGAAAATAATAATAAAAGCAAGGTATTTTGCAGCAAAGTTATCTTGGGGTAAATGCTGCTGGGGAGTATTCTTGGGCAAGTGGGAAAAGGGTTAATGATATCTACAAAGACCCTTATTCCAGTCAAGTCACATTTGGAGGTTCTGGGTGGACATATCTTCTGGGAGGGGGCACCATCCAACTCACGACACCCAGGTAGCTCCTACAAATGCTGACGTCAGGCTGCACCGAGGTCAATTACATTACAGTCCCTGGGGCTGGGATCCTGGCATGGGGCGTGTTTGAAGTTCTGGGTGATGCCCGAGAGCAGCCTGGAGTGCAGAAGTGAAAGGAGCCTTTGTATTTTCAGTTGCCTTTAAATGTCCGAAGAACCCATCCTGATACAGGCTCAGAGGAGACCCTCTTGGGGGAGGGGCTCAGTGTGATTTGTGCCCAGCCTTCCAGTCTTGTCTGGTTCTAATCGGATTGTGGTGGGGTGTGTGTGTCCTTTTCTGTAAATGAAGCACATGAGCGAGCAGTCGTGGCCACACCATGCCCCGGCTTCAGTGTAATGTGTTATTTCTGGCTTTCCTACACCGAGACAGCCTTGGCTTCAGCGAGGCGCTGTTTGTTGCAGCCGGGCAGGGCCGCTTTGTAATCTGAATCTCTGGTGGTCCCACGAAGGTCTGGAACAAAGCGCTTCTTCAGTCCTCGATGTATTCACAGTTTTCTCATAAGAAACCATGAAGTCAGTTTTGTTGGAGTTGTCAGCTGGGTTTCCAACAGAGTGCTTTTGATCCACAAAAGGGTTATTCAGTGCTCCCTTCAGTCTTAATTAGCTGTAGACCCTCCGGATGGCCGGCCCGGTGGGCCTGGAGTGCCCTTTGTCTGGTTTCTATCCAGCCCGCAGGCTGCGCCCTCCTCGGCGATGCCCGCTGGCAGCAGACCCCCGGCGGCAGCTCTGTCCCTGCTGCCCCGGCTCAGACCCCAGCTGGCTCCTCGTGGGGTTGAATCAGAGAGAATTTGAGCCTCAGACGTCAACTTGGGGATCAGCTTCCCAGAGTGCTGTCTCAAGCTGTTGGTCCTGGATCCGGTTCACTTTTAAGGAAGGGGGTGAGAGCCTGGCTGGAGCCCTGCACGGGGAGGGGCTGGCCCTGCCTAGAGACAGGACATGAGTGTCTGAGAGCACTGACCTGGCACCAGCATGAACTCTATTTTGGGCTTTGCCTTGCCCAGCTGTGGGGCCTAGGGCAACCTCTTGTCTGCCTGACTGTCCCCACCTGCAAGGTCATTATGACAGCAGTACCTATGTCGGGGCCAGTTGCATGGGATGTAGTTAGCTCCAGGGCCAGGAAAGGCTTCTCATCATTGTAACCGCATTGCAGCCGTGACTGTCTCTGAGAATCATGTTTAGTTTAAGAAGCACAGTTTGATCATTGAAGATCAATGTAAAGGAAATCCCATCATTTATTTGCACTTCTGGAAGTATATTAAAGGGGATCCAACTTATCCCCAGCACCCCTTCTCATTTCATTTCTCCTTCTTCCGGCATTCCAATTTTCCCACACTCTCTGACTGCGTCCTTCTGACCTCCTTTCCAATGCCTCCCTCCAGCCATGACTGAAGCTCTTCTTCTCTTCTCTTCGCAGTTCTCCTTGATCTCCAAACTCAAATGCCCCCCAACATAGGGTAGGAGCAGCGTCCTCCTGGGAGGGTGCAGGAAGGGCAGAAATCCGGGGTGCAGAGCCAGATCCCTCCAGAGTGGGCCAGCAGAGGGCAGTGGCTGAGGTCAGCTGTAGGTTAACAGTTATTTTGATATTAATAATACGTAGTGATTAATTTGAACATAGGTCTGTTGAAGCCAAATCCAAGGTCCTTCTCCCCGCTATTTTTTTTTTTTTTTTCTGAGACGGAGTCTTGCTCTGTTGTCCAGGCTGGAGTGCAGTGGCCTGATCTCGGCTCACTGCAACCTCTGTCTCCCTGGTTCAAGTGATTCTCCTGCCTCAGCCTCCTGAGTAGCTGGGAATTACATGTGTGCACCGCCATGCCCGGCTAATTTTTGTATTTTTAGTACAGACAGGGTTTCACCATGTTGGCCAGGCTGGTCTCAAATTCCTGACCTCAAGTGATCCACCCGCCTTGGCCTCCCAAAGTGTCGGGATTACAGGCATGAGCCACCATGCCTGGCCCCCTTCTCCCTGCTAAACAGCAGGTTGGAAGGGCCTGTACCTTAGAGGCAGGTTAACTGTAAGGCATGGTTTTCAGGGGGTGCTACTGCCTTCTTGTTTTTGTAAAGGATCCAAAGCTCACTCCTAGGCTGCTGGACAGACGCCCAGTTGATCTGGAACCATTCTAAGGGTGTGGGCAGATCCAGAGACATTCATCTGCAGCAGTGGCTGTGTGGTTTCTTGCTTTTGTGATTGACCTCTATGCTGCCATCCAACACTTACTGAGCACCTTCATGATCAAAACTCTCTGGGGTGCTGAGTAATTTGACGGAATGAAAATAAGACAATAAATATTGACCCTGCCCTGATCGGACTATCACTTTTATTGGGGAAATAAGACAAAGGTTCAAGAGAGCCCCAAAGTGCCAAATTCTCACTGAAGGCAACGGCTTCTTCACCTTTGGAGAGCAGGTAGATCAGCCAGAGCTGGAAAGGGCTGGGGAAGTTTCCTGGATGAGGGGTGCTTGAGCTGGTCTGGGAAGGGTGAGGGAAGAGTGGAATAGGACTGGAAAGGGGTGGCAAGGGCTTGGAGGGCTCCGTGTGTTATCTGTAAATGAGTAGGACTGGAACAGAAATGCAAATGTTCAAGCCAACTTAAAGGGGACCCCCGGCTTTGTTCAGAGCCATCACTAGAATGAACAGTTCATGTTCATATAGGAGCAGAGGGGTATTTGTTCTGTACTTTAAGCTAGTAGAGAAAGCACACCCCACATTGGACATTGCACTCCTGGGACTCTGAGGCAAAATGCATAAGGCATGGGGCAATTCTTTTGCAGCGGTAGAGCAAGATAGATGAAACTGGAGCTGTGAGAAGTTAGCCAAACTGAGGGCAAGGCCTGCTCTCTCCCCATACAGCAGCCTTTCCTGCAAATACAGGTGCCTAAGGAGCTGTATTCTGGCCCCTGGGAGAAGGAGACAGCAGGCAGCTCCTTCTGGCCCAGATGGGGTGTCCTGGGCAGTCAGTGGTGAGGAAAACTCATTCACTTCTCTTAGAAGCCAGGGAGAGCCCCCGTGCTGACTCAGCACCAAGTACCACACTCTAAGCTGTGACCAGGACAAGTGCATGGCCTTGGGAAGCTCACAGTCTAACTCCAGTGGCTCTCACCTGGAGGGTGGGGCCTCATCCCGAGTTTCTGACTCAGGAGGTCTGGGGTGGGACCCAAGAATGTGCCTAACAAGCTCCCAGGTGACACAGGAGCTGCTTGTCTGGGGACTCCACTTTGAAAATCACTCATCCAAAGTAGGATCTCAAACTTTAGATGCCTGAGAATCACCTGGCCTGGTTTCTGGAGATGCTGATTCATAGACTGGGGTAAATGTAAAGGCGTGGATTTTGACAAGTGTCTGGAGATTCTGATGCCCATCAGTACTCGAGAACCACGGGCATATGGGGGTGCTTGTTGAATGGCAGCTGCCCAGAGTGGGAAGCTGGCTTCTGTAGCTGTGGGACAGGGTCTAGAACCTGTATTTTTTTTTTTTTTTTTTTTTGAGATGGAGTCTCACTCTGTTGCCCAGGCTAGAGTGCAGTGGCGTGATCTCAGCTCACTGCAAGCTCCGCCTCCCGGGTTCACGCCATTCTCCTGCCTCAGCCTCCTGAGTAGCTGGGACTACAGGTGCCCGCCACTGTGTCCGGCTAATTTTTTGTATTTTTAGTAGAGACGGGGTTTCACTGTGTTAGCCAGGATGGTCTCGATCTCCTGACCTTGTGATCCGCCTGCCTCGGCCTCCCAAAGTGCTGGGATTACAGCCATTAGAACCTGTATCTTTAGCAGGCACCCCAGGTGACACTTGTGCTGAGCATGTTAGAGACACTGGCCAGAAGGTGGAGGGAAGGTGGGAGTGGCAGCTCCTCCTTCACTGTGGAGGAAATGTCTGTTCTCTCTTTGTGAAGCCCTGATTACCTCCCACCTCCCACAGCCAGGTCTGGCCACACAGCAGTACAGCCACTAGCGTGGGCCCAGTAAGTGCCCGGCTTGGCAGTAAATGGACCCAGTAAGTGGGTCCGTCATGTTGTACTTGGCACCCAGCAAGCTGCCCACATCATTTGGTATTCTCAACTGTGGAAATACCCAGAAGATGTTAGGAAAATGTTGACCTTGCTCAAACTCAACAGGGCTGGGTCCTGAACTTCACCTGAACGTCACAGGGTGTCCCTGCCCACCAACATTCAGCTGCTGTTGACTCTTTTTTGCTTAGAGACTCGGTGAGTCTCTGTGGTGTTTTGTATCCTTACCTCCAATCTCCCAAGAAAGTAGAGATGCTATCCAAGGGCTGATGATATGCAGGTGGTCATTCAAAGATGTGCACCTGAATTCTCACTCATCTTGCACCAATAAGGTTTATGCAACCTGCTGCAGTGAGTCACGCCACTCCCACCCCTGCCCCACCCCCACAAGCCCAGGAGATATAGAGAGGCTAAACACCAGAGCTTGCAAAACAGAGTGCAGTTTAAACAGGATCTTGCATCCTAAACAAAAATGTTCCAGCTCCACCCCATGTAATTTTGTGACGAGTAGTTTAGGGAGATTCCCTTCAAAGAAGTTCCAGAAACTGGAGGGAAATTTGAGAGGTCAGAAGACGGGGGAAGAGGACGAAGGGCTGTTTTTGCCGGAAAGTTCTTTTGCAGGGCAATCATGACTGTAAAACAGAGAGGAAGGATAATTCAGTCTCATGCAGCAGGCGTGGAGCCCGTGAGCCCTCTTTGTCCTACATTGAACCAAGGGGTGGGGTGGGGACTCAGGTGCCAACCCGGCTCGCACACACACTGGTGGGCTCTGTTTTTGAATCCATAAAAATGGGAGGAAAGTGTCCTTTCTACTCCCTGCACGGGGAGATGGGAGGAAAGTGTCCTTTCTACTCCCTGCACGGGGGAGATGGGAGGAAAGTGTCCTTTCTACTCCCTGCACGGGGAGATGGGAGGAAAGTGTCCTTTCTACTCCCTGCACGGGGAGATGAGAGGACTGGCGTGGATGAAGCTGGCTTCCCCGGCATCACCAGGCCACCATCCAGGCCAGCCCAGTGACGGGCCAGGAGCCAGAACCTTCCCTCTCCAGGCGTTGGATTTTATTGGGAGACCCAGCTGGAGGAGCAGGAGGACTGTAAGTGCAGCAGCGGGTCGGAAAATGGAAATGGCTTACTACCTTTGGCATGCATTTTTGCAGATATTCTGGGGAAAGTGGACTGTCCCGCCTTGTGACCACTAGTTATTGTTTACCTTTGCATGGCTTGTCATAGCACTGGGACAATGGGGGCGCAGCGCTTCAAGCTTGTGAGAAGCCAAGGGACTCCCAGGCCAATAAGCAAGTGCATACTTGTCCTAATGATCGTCGTCACAGGGTGTCCCATGCACCTAAGTTCATACCAGGGGGCTGGACAGGGGTGTGGAAGGCGGGGCCGGAGGGACGGGGGAGGGGTGGGGAGGCCAGCACAGAGCGCATGCGCAGTATATGCCCGCACCTGGAGCGGCAGCCCAGCCAGGTGCCGGGACTTGGCGTCAGAAGACAGCTGTGAGGCTTTTCTCTGCCACCGGCAGGTGGGTTCAATGACTCTGAACAAAGCATTACATTCCTTTGCGTCTCAGTTTCTTTATTTAAGAAATGACAACATACTCAGCTTGCCAGCCTAGCAGTTGTGGGGTTCTAGTGCAGTGGCTTGCGTACCGTCCGTAAACTGTTATGTGAGAATAAAACATTTATCATCATCCATTTCTGCTCCACAAAACGCTTTGAGTCAGTTTAGTTATTATAAAGTGTGAATGTGGTGAAGATGCTGATGGATGACTGAGGAGCAGCCATCTCCCCGCAGCCTCTCTCGGAGTCTGCACCCACTTGGCCCACAGCCTTGGTTAGGGGTCTCCTGTGTGTGTCAGCCCCGTGAGCTGAGTTTTTGATGAGGGTAGGGGTTCCTTCCTCTTTGGGTGCCATGACCTCTATGGACCCCTTATTAGGAGAATGCTTTTAAATGTATAAAAGAAAACACTCTGGGTTACAAAGGAAATCAATTACACTGATACATAGTTACCCAAATATTTTTTTTTAATTTGTGCTCTTTAAAAAAAATTAATTTTTTCATAGATCCATCAACAGTCCTGATAACTACTCTCATTTCCATGTAGTGATGGGCATGAACGCTATCCTGAGATTCCTGGAACAGATGTAGTGTCATATGAAAGTAGCTGTGATTTCTAACTGGTGACCAAGTACCAGGTACTGTTTTTGCTTCTGTGGCTTGTTGTGTACATTCACGATGGAAGGAAGTGCTAATGTTCAGCTAGAGATTAGTGAAAAAAAAGTCATAGTTTCTCTATGCAAGTTCCAGACTGCTGGAATTCTGTCCACAGACAGGACACTTTGGGGGTCTGTGATTAGACCCCTCGAATGAGAGCTTCCCTACCAGGAATGTCTGCCTGGCACCTGTGCTCTTCTCCTTCTCCCCCTCCTTCTTCTCCTTCTCCTTCTTCTCCTTCTCTTCCTCCTTCTTCTCCTTCTCCTTCTTCTCCTTCTCCTCCTCCTTCTCCTTCTCCTCCTCCTTTTCCTCCTTCTCCTTCTCATCCTCCTTCTTTTTTTTTTTTTTTTTCCTGAGATGGGATCTTGCTCTGTCACCAGGCTGGAGTGCAGTGGCGCAATCTCAGCTCACAGCAACCTCCGTCTCCCAGATTCAAGCGATTCTCCTGCCTTGGCCTCCCGAGTAGCCGAGACTACAGGCACGCGCCACCATGCCCAGCTAATTTTTCTATTTTTAGTAGAGATGGGGTTTCACCATGTTGGCCAGGATGGTCTCGATCTCTTGACATCGTGATCTGCCTGCCTTGGCCTCCCAAAGTGCTGGGATTATAGACGTGAGCCACCGCACTTGGCCCTCCTTCTTATGGAGGGGGAAGGAGAGTGAGGGCTGGTGCTGAGGGGCGGAGACCTCGCCCTGACCTTCAGCAGGACATGGAGCCCTGGGGTTTTTGATGTTCTTAGCTGGTGACTTAGAAGGATGCCACCCCTTTTGACTTGGGGAAAAATTGAACACCTCAAAAAAAGGAAGACATAGAGACCCAAACCACAGAGCTCCCAGCAGGATAAATGGACAGGGATTGAGAGGGGAGCCTCTCAACTGAGTGGGGCGCCACCCTCACCAGACCCCGTTTTCCTAATCACACACGGGCTGGTGATGATGTCTGCCTAGGATTCTGGGGCTCAGATATTTTGCTGTAACAGGCTGGTGACTAAAATTGCTTTTTATAATGTTATTTATTTTTAAAATAAACCTTAGGGGATCTCTTTGTAAGTGTTGTAAAATAAAGACGGTA
Source organism: Homo sapiens (assembly GCF_000001405.40). Lineage (NCBI taxonomy): Eukaryota > Metazoa > Chordata > Mammalia > Primates > Hominidae > Homo > Homo sapiens. The sequence continues at coordinate 39,080,962 of NC_000021.9, read as the reverse complement.
TTCTCTGGGCTGATGTTTCACAGGATTTGTTGCCATTTATAACCCCCTGGGTGCTATCAGATGTGCTGAATGCTGGAAGAATCAATACTCTAATCTTTGGTTCCAGAGAATCTGACTCAGGTTCATGAAAAATCGGAACTTTCTCTGGTGCGAGCTTTGCTTATAACTTTGGCATAGGGGACCAGGAAAGTCTCACGGATGCAAAGAGACATCGGTTGGTACCTATTACTTTTTCACATTTTAAAATTGATTTTTAATTGGAATTTAATTGTTCCATTTAGAATTAATGTTATGCCCTGGCCTCTTCAGGAAATAGATGAACATCCCATTGCTCCCCACAGGGAAAGCCATTGCTGGCTGGCCTCTGCCCTGCTCGCTCTCCCTGGCAGCACGGTGGAGCCACAGGATAGAGCTGCCAGGGGCTCCCAGAGCCCTGAGAGCTGCTCCTGAAGGGTGCTTTAGCCAGCGGCTTCAATCTCCCTGGCTGTAACTGACAGCAAGAAGCCCATGTTCTATTACATGTGTGCATATACATATGTGTAAAACCAAAAACAATTTAACAAAATATGTATATACATACGTACATATGTATATATGTGTGGATGTGTGTATATACATATGTAGATATGTATATATGTGTGAATGTATATATATATACATACGTACATATGTGTATATGTGTGAATGTATGATATATACATTGCGTATACATATATATAATAGGAAAGGTTTATCTGAATAATACTCCTTTTTTTCCACCTTTTTCTTTGTTGTTTTGAGATAGAGTCTCACTATATTGGCCAGGCTGGTCTTGACCTCCTGTTCTCATCAAATCCTCCCACCTTGGCCTCTCAAAATGCTGGGATTACAGGCATGAGCCGCCGCGCCCGACCAGTACTTACTCTTACCATACACTATGCACACTGCACGCTGACATTGTTGATTCTAGTCTTCGTAAGTGCGCCTGTATCCTTATGTAGATGACATAAGCAGGTATACACATGTGCGTATTACTGAAAAGGTTCAACAATACAGTATTTCCCCCAGATGTGCTATGCACTCTGACCTGTTCTAGTTTCATGTTTGTCCATTGCCGGCTGCGGCCATTGGAATGGATTTCGTAACTTGTTCGTGGGTTGCGACTCTGCAAAGACTGCAGCTTGAGAACAGGATCTTGCAGGCGTGTGGGCGGGAAGGGGTGAAGCCTGTGACGCAGCCAAGTGTTTCTTGGAGGCTCTTGCAGGGGTGGGGTTGGGGCGCCGCTTCTAGTGGCTTCCGCATTTGGGTGCCCCACTTGTGCTTTTTCGCCTTTTCTCCTGTCCCTGACCTCTGCCTGCCTCCATTTCCTCCAGACTTTATTTTTTCTTTTAATTGAATCCATAGCCCCACGTGGCACTTATGAGCCATCTCTGTGGTGTTTCTGCACCTTCTTCTGTTTAGCCGCAAGAGAGTGGCCAGGTGGGAAGGCCAACTGACTTACTAATAGCTCGTGGCTCTGTGTGACCACTACAGATGGCGTGTCTCATTCCATCCCACAGCCATCCTATGAAACTGGTACTATTCTAACCGGGTTTTACAGTTGAGGAAACTCAGCCTCCTCTAAGAAATGACATGCACCAGGTCCCTCAGCTAAAGGGGGAAAGAGCGGCCTTCAAACCCAGACCTGCCAGGCCCCAAGACCTGAGTTTTCCGTCTCTGTGCTGTCCTGCCTCTCATTTGCCTCTTCTGGAGACAAGGTTATTTGTTTGTTTTTGTTTTTTGAGAGAGGGTCTCACTGTGTTCTGTTGCCCAGGCTGGAGTGCAGTGGTGCAGTCATGGCTCACTGCAGGCTTGACCTCCTGGGCTCAAGCGATCCTCCCTCCTTAGCCTCCTGAGTAGCTGCTGGTACCACAGGTTCACCCCATCATGTCCAGCTAAGTTTTTAAGTTTTTGTAGAGATGGGATCTCGGTACATTGCCCAGGCTGGTCTTTAACTCCTGGGCTCAAGCAATCTGCCCGTTTTGGCCCCACAAAGTTCTGGGATTATAGGCCTGAGTCACTGTGCCTGGCTGAGACCATAGTTTAAACAAAGAGTTCTGATAATTTTCTTTCCTAATATCCTCTTCTTAATGGGAAGCAGCTCCTTAGAATTCAGCTGTCAACTTTGCCCAAGTTTGGGAACATTTCAAGATGTCTTGGGTGTGAAATTGATTTTGTTCTGCTTTTTAGAAATACCAGGAGTAAGAAAAGTTGCCGTCAGTGTTTCTTTGTTTGTTTGTTTGCTTGCTATTTCCTCATTTCCTCACCTGTTCTCTGTGTACCTGTTTATGGTGGGGGTGCCTGTTGATATTTGACTGGTGGGAGGGAGGTGTGTAAGCATACTGGTGAGGTTTAGGTACTTCTGAGGAGCAAAGAACTGCGCAGCCATGGGGTAGGATGCCCTGTGTAGGTAGTGAGCTCCCCATTACTAGAGGTATCCAAGCCAACTTGCCAAAGAAAACCTCCAGGAATGCATCATTTTAAATACCAAGGATTTAGTATAGTGCCTGCACACAGTAAAGGCTCAGTAAATGCTTGTTGGGTGAATGAGCTTTTGAGCATGAGCGACCCTTTCTCCCCTGATAAATCTCAGAAAGGGTGAATGTTTGAAAGGACACCAAGAGATTGGTCAAGGTACTCATCAAACTTTTATTCTCAAAAACCACCTGAAAGATGGTAGCCTAACTCTTAAACATCAACAGAGAGCACAATGCTGCTCTTCATAGCAGAAGCACATCCCAAGATTTCACATATTTCATAATCAGTTTTAAAGGCAGTTCCTCAACTCTTCTGCCACAGGCTAAGTCCGTCTCCCTTGCTCATCCTCACTGGCAATAGAAAGCTAGGTTGGAGGAGGTGCCTCTCCTGTGAAACGGGGCACTTGGAAGAGGCTGCATCCACTTGGGCTTGTCCTAGAGCTGGGGTTGGCAAACCACGGCCTGAGGGCCAAATCTGGCCCTTTGTCTGTTTTTGTGAATAAATTTTATTGAAGAACAATAAACTTTTTATGGATTGTCTGTGGTTGCTTCATGCTACAAAGGCAGAGTTGAGTAGTTGCATCAGAGACCACCTGGCTTGCAAAGCCTAAAATATTTACTATCTGCTTATTTACAGGAAAAGTTTGCTTTCCTTGACCTCTAAAAAGATTCAGAATAAAGGCTGGAAAAATGAGAGGATATCATGATGAAGATGCAATTCCATTCCTGGGTATATATCCAAGAGAGCTGAAAACAGCACTCAAGAAATAGTTCCACACAAATGTTTGTAGCAGCATTATTCACGATAGCTAAAAAGTGGAAGCAACTCAGATGTCCGTTATTGGAGGCATGGTTAAACAAAATGTAGTCTTTTCATATATTGGACCATTATTCAGCCATAAAAAAGAATGGAGGACTGACACGCGTTACAACCTGGATGAATCTCGAAAATATTATGCTAAGTCGAAGAAGGCAGATACAAAAGGTCACATGTTGTACGATTCCATTTATATAAAATGCCCAGAATAGGGGCATTCAAAGAGACAAAAAGCAGATTAGTGGTTGTCAAGGGTCAGGGTGGGAGATGGGGGAGGGAGAATGGGGAATCGCTGCTTAATGGGTATGAGACTTTCTTTTGGGGTGCTGGAATGTTCTGGAACTAGATGGAGGTGGTGGTTGCACAACATTGTGAATATACTGAATGCCACTGAATTGTTCCTTTTAAAATGATTAATTTTATATTATGTGAATTTCATTTTAATTAAAAAGAATAATGGGGGTGCTAAGTGGTATGATGACATCCCAGAGTGTCACCTACAGCCTGGGAGTCCTTGATGCACCAGCCACTTGTGACCCCCCATCCCCACATTTATGCTGTATCTGTGCATAATGCATTTATGATGGTTCTAAGCCCCTTATGGGAACACTGTGTACATTTCCACCTCAGAGTATATTTCCATGAAGGAGGCAGGCAGAGTCTTATTATCCCTCTTTGGAATTTCTCCATCAGGTATGCCCCATCTGCTGCTGGTAAACTTCCCCATTCCAACCTTCATGGTGCTGGATTCCTGCACCTGCAGTAGTTCTTAGGTAAAAGACTTGTTTGCACAACATGTCTGCATTAGGATGTGCATACATTTCTTGGCAGAGTGGGGTTGGGTGTAAGCAGGCAGGGGAGTCAGAGAACAGAATGGAAATGCATTAACAAAGAGGGTCTTGTTATGGGGTTCTGAAAAGGACAGGATGGTGATGGCTTTGGGGAATGAGAAAAAGTCATCTCTCTTTTTCTCTGGGGAACCAGAGAAAAAGTCCATGGTCACAGAGAAATGGGCAATTAATATGAAGACAGGGGTCTTAGGTTGAGGAGGAGTGAATTTGTTGAAGCCATGGTTGCTGTGCTATGCAGTTTTGGAGGCACACTCACATCATGGCTATGCACATAGAGTTCTTGAGGTGGTATAGTGCACAGCCTTTGCAACTGTACATGGTGTCTTGGGTTAAAATCTATTCATCAGGCCAATCAATTAGCTTATTTTTTGGTCTCTTAGATGTTAGCATAATATAAACAACTTCAATGCTAAATACTACAATTTTAGTTACTGATGATAAAATATGTGTTTCTATATATCTATTAATCGAAACCAAATTCTTGTTAATGTTAAAACATTTCTGTTAAAGTTCTTAAGCAATCCTGTAAAACACTGCAGTCTGTTAGTTTGGCCAATATAACATCTTGGTTATTTGGTCAATTGGTATTAATTGAACAGATTTGTGGCCAATGCCCCAGGCCCCGAGCAAAGCCGTTGTCTGGCAAACGTCGACAATTGAGATTGTAGGTATACCACCGTTTGCACAAGCCTAACCCTTCTTGATCAAAGACAAATCAAAATCCCAAGGAGACTGTTGCGGGAAGTCAGGGACCCCAAACGGAGGGACCGGCTGAAGCCATGGCAGAAGAACGTGGATTGTGAAGATTTCATGGACATTTATTAGTTCCCCAAATTAATACTTTTATATTTCTTATGCCTGTCTTTACTGCAGTCTCTAAACATAAGTTGTGAAGATTTCATGGACATTTATCACTTCCCCAATCAATACCCTTGTGATTTCCTGTGCCTGTCTTTACTTTAGTCTCTTAATCCTGTCAGCCGAGGAGGATGTATGTCACCTCAGGACCATGTGATAATTGCATTAACTGCACAAATTGTAGAGCATGTGTGTTTAAACAATATGAAATCTGGGCACCTTCAAAAAGAACAAGGTAACAGCAATGTTTAGGAAACAAGAGAGATAACCTTAAACTCTGACTGCCGGTGAGCTGAGCAGAACAGAGCCATATTTCTCTTCTTTCAAAAGCAAATGGGAGAAATACCGCTGAATTCTTTTTCTCAGCATGGAACATCCCTGAGAAAGAGAATGTGCGCCTGCAGGTAGGTCTCTAAACTGGCCCCCCTGGGCATAGCCATCTCTTATGGTCAAGGCTGCAGAGATGAAATAGACTCCAGTCTCCCATAGCGCTCCCAGGCTTATTAGGAAGAGGAAATTCCTGCCTAATAAATTTTGGTCAGACCAGTTGATCTCAAAACCCTGTCTCCTGATGAGATGTTATCAATGACAATGGTGCCTGAAACTTCATTAGCAATTTGATTTCACCTCGGTCCTGTGGTCCTGTGATCTTGCCCTGCCTCCACTTGCCTTGTGATATTCTATTACCTTGTAAAGTACTTGATGTCTGTGACCCACACCTATTCACACACTCCCTCCCCTTTTGAAAATCTCTAATAAAAACTTGCTGGTTTTTGTGGCTTGTGGGGCATCACAGATCCTACCAACGTGTGATGTCTCCCCCGGGTGCCCAGCTTTAAAATTTCTCTCTTTTGTACTCTGTCCCTTTATTTCTCAAGCTGGCCAATGCTTAGGGAAAATAGAAAAGAACCTACATGAATATCGGGGTAGATTCCCTGATAGGAGACAAACAGATCCAACTGGACTCACCAATGAGAGGACCAAGAACAAGGTCAGGGCTCCCTGTCTTCAAGGGTCATGTGTGTTTTGGAGCATGCTGGGGCTATAGAGACATCCTTGGATGGGTTTGGACCAAATCAGATCTCTGGCCCATCAGACAAGAAATACATGTTTGTTGTTCTAAGCCACAAGAGTTGGGATTGTTATGTAGCATTATCACAGCAATTGCTGACTAATACAGTGGATCACAAGCCTCAGATTTAGAAAATTCCTGCTGTGCTTTGTGGGATAATTAATGGTTATAACTTTGGTGTGCAAATTATAGGTTTCTATGAGATTATTATGTAATTGAGCACTCTTATTTTGTAGATGAGGAAATCAAGATCTTGAGAGTTTCAGTGTCTTAGCCAAAGTCACAGAGAAGTGACTTTGAGCCAGAATTCAGTGCTCCTTTCCTGATGCTCTTTGCATGGTGGCATCACTGAAGACATTGGTGGGGAACTGGAATGGAACTGGAAAGCCAATGTTTGAAATTTCTTCCCCTAGGCATTGGCTTCATCACCCTCGTCAAGAACTTTGAAAGGGACATTAATGAGCAGCAAAATCAATTTGAATCTCATCTTTTGGTTCTTCTCCCCTGGAGAAAGACCTGAGCAAAAAATGGGTCAGCTAGGGGCATGTGGAATAGTGGATGGGTTACAAACAGGGAGAGGACAAGGAAAGGGATAAGGGGAATTCGGAAGGAAAACCTTAGAGGAGGAGAAAGAAAGCTGAACCCTGTACATGAGAAGGGAGGGAAAAAAAATGAAGATTAGAAAATAAATGTGGCTGATGGCAGAGAGATTTGGTTCCACACAAGCACACCTTTGGAATCAGCTACTGGTGGGAAATTAAATAGCCCCAAATCTGCTGGTTCATGGGGCTTCAGGCAAGTCTCCATCCAGCCTTCAAGTTGCTATGAGCAACAATTGTCCTTTAAAAACCACAGTCTTACAGAGCCAAAGACAGCAGATTCGACACTGGGTGTTCCCAAGGCCAAGTTGGAAGAGAATCCAGACAACAGCTCATACAGCACACACAGAATCAAAAACAGTCTTTTCAACCAGCCAGACACTAATTAAATTAAAGCAATGCTGGAGACAGCAGCACGTGGCAGAGGAGAGGTGCCAGGCCAAAGGGCTCTAGTTGCTTAGAAGCGAGTTCAGCAAAGAATAGGCTGAGGCATCTGTCACTTTTCAGTGATGGAAGCATTTTGTGCAGCAGCTGACGTGTTATTAGGTACACCTGTCCTCGGACCGGTGACATCGTTTGTGAGGCCCAGTGCAAAATAAAAATGCAGAACCCCTTGCTCAAAAATTACTGAGAATTTTAATACGGTGACTGCAGAGTTTTGAATCAAGTGTGGGGTCCTGAGCGCAAGGCCCTGTGTGGCTGTGTGGGTCATGCACCCCTGAAGCTCACCTGTCTGTTATGAATAGTTTAGGGTTAGGGTGATTACACTCATTTTAGGCGGAACAATTCAGTTATGGGCATGCATTAAGATGATGCTACATTTTGAACCACAACATAGGTATTAGGTACATTGCAACAACAGAAATTTGTGACCTACATGGGAAATGCAAGAATCAAGCTTTCTACTCCAATTAATTGTTCCTTGGAGGAATTAAGTTTCTGCTTCTCATTGTGGAAGCAGAAGTGAGCTGATGCCAAGCAATGAACCCTGTGTTTTGGCCCAGCCTCATGGAAATTCTCCCAGCCCGCCTCGTGGCACCAAACACATGTCTTTTCCAGGGAGTTTAGAGTATTTCAAAGATGCTTATTATTTAGGTTGCCAGATAAAATACGGGACATCCAGTTTCAACATGAATTTCAGATAAACAACAGAAAACTTTTTAGTATAAGTATGTCTGAAGGACATTACTTATAGTAAATACTTATACTAAACACTTACAAATAGTATACTAAATACTTATACTAAAAATTATCTGTTGTTTATCTGAAATTCAACTTGAACTAGGCATCCTCTATTTGTATTTGTTAAATCTGGCAACCTATAGAATGCATTTTTAAGATGCTGCCACTATACGTGGTCACCCCCAGATCACTGACGCATACTAAGGGACCAAGGTGGGATGGCATGTGAGAATGATGGCAAAAAAAAAACCCCAAAAGTCATGGGAACTGTTAGAATTCAAGTCTGTATTAGTCCTGGGGCTACTGTAATAAAATGCCACCAACTGGGTGGCTGAAAACATGAGAGATTTATTCTCTTGCTGTTCTGGAGGAGAGAAGACCAAATCCAAGCTCTGCAGAGCCGTAGGGAGAGATCTGTTCCAGGCCTCTCTCCCAGCTTCTGGTAGCCCCAGTCATTCCTTGGCTGTGACAGCCTAAGTCCAATCTTCTCATGGTTCTCGGTGTCTCCTCATGTAGTTCTTCCTTTGTGTCTGTGTCATTCCCCCCTTTTATAAGGACATCAGTCATACTAGGTTAGAGCCCACTCTAATACCCTCATTTTAACTTGATTACCTCTGTAAAGACCCTACTTCCAAAATTAGGTCACATTCTGAGATATCAGGGGTTAGGAATTCAATACATCTTTTTTGGGGACACAATTTATGCTATAACATTGTCCCACGACTGTCCAGGGCTTTTCTATTCTTAAACTTCATGGGATGGCCTGCATTTAGAGAGCTGGAGAACCCTTCTGTACTTGGCCTTTGTGTGATCAGTCTTAACTGAAGACAATTCAAAGAGGTGACAGCCACAGTGAATCAAGAGGTGTCAAATCCTGCAAGGGCAGCTCATCAGAGGACACAGGCATGGAGAGTTCCGTGGCCATCCATGGAGTGTCTATTCCACACTCTACCCATTGAGCTGCCATGTGGAAGTTTTCAAACAGAGTGACAAACACACAGCTTTACTCCTGCAGAGTAAACATTTCTGGCAATGCTTGCTTCATGGGAGCAGCCCACGCATTTTGCACAAATGTTATACAAGCAGCCTGTGGCTTTGGAAATCATGGATGGAAATTATTTGCAAATTCCTTTGGAGCCTTATAACAAATGTTTGCCTTGGTCTTGAAGCCTTAAACAAACAACCCCTCTACTTCAAAAATGTCTGCTAATGAGAAAGACATTTCAGCTGAAAGAAAAGAAGTGATCATTAGGAAAAAATGGACTGGATTGTGTTAACCAAGCAAAAGATCAGCCTGGGACTCTAACCACATTTGTTGCTTTTATCAGAAATTGGAGTGATAGTCGGTCTTTAGATAATATTATGTTGAATGGACTTAACAGTCATTTTAACAAGGACGGGCCTCTCTTATCTGGAATTGGCTATGTAAAATCAAAAGCCACCATGATATTATTCAAAGGAAGCCTTGGCCATTATGTGGGACAGGTTATCTGGCTTTGATCAGCCCTTTCTCTTGCTACTTCCTAGTGAGAAGAGGTGGATGGATAAGACCTTTTTGGCAGGTTGATAAATTGTGTATATTTCCAAGGAGAAGGCAAGCATATAAAACCATTTCTAAGAGCACTTTCAAGAATTTTAGCTTTAAAGCTTGTAGAGTCTTGCAGATCAGTGCTGACCAATAGAAACATGGGGTGTTTTTATAATGGAAAGTTTTCTTGTAGTCACATGTTAAAAAATAAAAAAGAAATAGTGAACTTCCAGCTTCATTCATGTCCTTTGACTAACACAGGAACAGAAAACCAAACACTGAATTTTCTCACTCTTAAGTGGAGTTGAACAATGAGAACACATGGACACAGGAAAGGGAACATCATACACCTGTCGGGGGATGGGCGGCAAGGGGTGGGAGAGCATTAGGACAAATACCTAATGCATGCGGGGCTTAAAACCTAGATGATAGGCTGATAGATGCAGCAAACCACCATGGCACGTGTATACCTGTGTAACAAACCTGCACATTCTGCACATGTATCCCAGTATTTAAAGTAAAAAAAAAAACAGTGAAGTTAATTTTGATACCATAGCTAATTTAAACCAATATATTCGTATCATCTCATCATATATTTGATATAAAAATGATTAGTGAACAATTTTATCTTCTTTGTCTCATTCTATCTTTGAAATCTTGTGTGTGTGTGTGTTTTAAATTATACTTTAAGTTCTGGGATACCTGTGCAGAATGTGCAGGTTTGTTATATAGGTATACACGTGCCATGGTGGTTTGCCGCACCCATCAACCCATCATCTACATTAGGTATTTCTCCTAATGCTATCCCTCCCCTAGTCCCCCACCTCCAGACAGGCCCTGGTGTGTGATGTTCCCCTCCCTGTGTCCATGTGTTCTCATTGTTCAACTCCCACTTATGAGTGAGAACATGCAGTGTTTGGTTTTCTGTTCCTGTGTTAGTTTGCTGAGAATGATGGTTTCCAGCTTCATCCATGTCCCTGCAAAGGACATGAACTTATTGTTTTTTATGGTTGCCTAGTATTCCATGGTGTATATGTGCTACATTTTCTTTATCCAATCTATCATTGATGGGCATTTGTGTTGGTTCCCAGTATTTGCTATTGTGAACAGTGCTGCAATAAACATACATGTGCATGTGTCTTTTATAGTATACTGATTTATAATCCTTTGGTTATATACCCAGTAATGGGATTGCAGGGTCAAATGGTATTTCTGGTTCTAGATCCTTGAGGAATCACCACACTGTCTTCCACAGTGGTTGAACTAATTTACAATCCCACCAACAGCGTAAAAGCATTCCTATTTCTCCACATCCTCTCCAGCGTCTGTTGTTTCCTGACTTTTTAATGATGGCCATTCTAACTGGCGTGAGATGGTATCTCATTGTGGTTTTGATTTGCATTTCTCTAATGACCAGTGATGATGAGTTTTTTTTCATGTTGCTGGCTGCATAAATGTCTTCTTTTGAGAAGTGTCTGTTCATATCCTTTGCCCACTGTTCAATGGGGTTGTTTGTTTCGTGTAAATTTGTTTAAGTTCTTTGTAGATTCTGGATATTAGCCCTTTGTCATATGGTAGATTGCAAAAATTTTCTCCTATTCTGTAGGTTGCCCATTCACTCTGCTGATAGTTTCTTTTGCTGTGTGGAAGCTCTTTAGTTTAATTAGATCCCATTTGTCAATTTTGGCTTTTGTTGCCATTGCTTTTGGTGTTTTAGCCATGAAGTCTTTGCCCATGCCTATGTCCTGAATGGTATTGCCTAGGTTTTCTTCTAGGGTTTTTATGGTTTTAGGTCTTACATTTAAGTCTTTAATCCATCTTGGGTTAATTTTTGTATAAGGTGTAAGGAAGGGGTCCACTTTCAGTTTTCTGCATATGGTTAGCCAGTTTTCCCAACACCATTTATTAAATAGGGAACCCTCTCCCCATTGCTTGTTTTTGTCAGGTTTGTCAAAGGTCAGATGGTTGTAGATGTGTGGCATTATTTCTGAGGCCTCTGTTCTGTTCCATTGGTCTATATATCTGTTTTGGTACCAGTACCATGCTGTTTTGGTTACTGTAGCCTTGTAGTATAGTTTGAAGTTAGGTAGCATGATGCCTCCAGCTTTGTTCTTTTTGCTGAGGATTGTCTTGGCTATACAGACCCTTTTTTGGTTCCATATGAAGTTTAAAGTAGTTTTTTCTAATTCTGTGAAGAAAGTCATTGGTAGCTTGATGGGGATAGCATTAAATCTATAAATTACTTCGGGCAGTATGGCCATTTTCACAATATCGATTCTTCCTATCCATGAGCATGGAATGTTTTTCCATTTGTTTGTGTCCTCTCTTATTTCCTTGAGAAGTGGTTTGTAGTTTTCCTTGAAGAGATCCTTCACGTCCCTTGTAAGTTGTATTCCTAGGTATTTAATCCTTTTTGTAGCAATTATGAATGGAAGTTCACTCATGATTTGGCTCTCTGTTTGTCTATTATTGGTGTATAGGAATGCTTATGATTTTTGTACATTGCTGTTGTATCCTAAGACTTTGCTGAAGTTGCTTATCAGCTTAAGGAGATTTTGGGCTGAGACGGTGGGGTGTTCTAAATATACAATCATGTCATCTGCAAACAGAGACAATTTGACTTCCTCTCTTCCAATTTGAATACGTTTATTTCTTTCTCTTGCCTGATTGCCCTGGACAGAACTTCCAATACTTTGTTGAATAGGAGTGGTGAGAGAGGGCATCCTTGTTTTGTGCCGGTTTTCAAAGGGAATGCTTTCAGCTTTTGCCCATTCAGTATGATACTGGCTGTGGGTTTGTCATAAATAGCTCTTACTATTCTGAGATACGTTCCATCAATACCTAGTTTATTGAGAGTTTGTAGCATGAAGGGTGTTGAATTTTATCAAAGACCTTTTCTGCATCTATTGAGATAATCATGTGGTTTTTGTCATTGGTTCTGTTTATGTGATGGATTACCTTTGCTGATTTGCGTATGTTGAACCAGCCTTGCATCCCAGGGATGAAGCTGACTTGATCTTGGTGGATAAGCTTTTTGATGTGCTGCTGGATTTGGTTTGCCAGTATTTTATTGAGGATTTTTGTATCAATGTTCATCAGGGATATTGGCCTAAAATGTTTTTTTTGTTGTGTCTCTGCCAGGTTTTGGTATCAGGATGATGATGACCTCATAAAATGAGTTAGGGAGGAGTCCCTCTTTATCTGTTGTTTGGAATAGTTTCAGAATCTTGTGTGTATTTTATACTTGCAGCACATTTTAATTATAACTTGCTGCATTTCAAGGGCTCAACAGCCACAGTAGGTAGTGGCCATTGTATTGGGCAGCTCAGCTCTAAATCTTTGCTACTTAAAGTGTGGGCTGCAAGGACCAGCAGCATCTGCATCAACTAGGGGCTGTTAACATGCAGAATGTCAGGCCGTGCCAGACCTACTGAATCTGCATCTGGATTTTAATCCGGTGAGAGGCTCTGATCTAGGGAGCTTCTCTTCAGACCTTTCAGCCCGAGGAAGGATGCATCCATTCCATCTGGGTGCACTCTGGGAGGTGGTGGGTTATCTAAGTTCTTCTTCTACTTTCCCGAAGAGTGATTTCCCGAAGCTTTTCTGCCTTTCATGGGTAAGTTTAGATTCCCATATACAGGACTCCTGTAAACGGCAGTTCCATCCTGTGAAATCTACGTGGAGGTCAGTCCATGCATTGCACCTTTGGCTTATTTGCATACTGATGCTGGGGTAGATGCAGTCACGGCAGACACACCTGTGGCTAAAGAAGGAAGCCTGGTGAGGATGAGGGTGTGTTAATGGAGCCTCTGCCTCCTTAGGTGTCTGAGTGGAGCACTGGGCCTGTGTGTGTGGGTGCCCCTCGCTGAGGCCGGCCAGCGTGGCTGGAGCAGGGTCCAGGCAAGGGTGAATTCGCTCCTCGCCAAGTCCTCTTGGTGTCTCTATTTTCCCATCGATAAAAATGGAGCTTACAGCCCCAGAGGGCAGTTTGTTGAGATTGGAGAAGACATTTGAGAGCCACTGGGGAGTGACGGAATGAAGTACAAATGCTGGAAACCACACAGATGTGCAGATGCGATATGGAAATGTTGGAGTGATAATCTCCAGGCAGGAAATCCAAGAAATTCCCAAGTTAAGATTTTTACCAGAAAGGTCAAATCATCCTCAGGAGGGATATCAAGAAGAGGAAAAATAAAATAAAACAAAACCACCAAGAAATCTAAGAGATTATGGACAGAACTATCCAGCCAGATCTCCCAGGGTGCCAATGACTCCATGGGAGAGGAAAAGGCCTGATGATGGCTGTATTAATATTCTGAATGCTTCTGGAACTTTCTAGGCTTATGGGTTGTATAGGATTTACTCAGATCTCTCTCTGCATTTCTTTCATATGATTTTAAAGAAAGATTCCTAAGAGGGCACTGGCATAAAAATTCCTTTTACACAAACACTCCACTGGAAAGCAAGGCCCTGCTTATGGGAGGTGCTAGGGCTTCGGGCCTCTGAGGAAATGTCTGCTGAGAGAGCCCCTGACCTGGCATGCTCTGCCCTGCTGAGGGACTAACAGTCTGCTTTCCTGTGGAGAAAGGCAGGAGAGGAGTGTGCATAATCCCCTGGATCACGTCTTGCAACAGAACAAAAACTGTAAAACGCCCAAGTTGTCTCTGGCACAGAAGTTTCTAGAACAGTGATTACCTAGTGATAGTCATTTACCAAGCTGCGCTCCTTTGGGGACATCCGAGAGTCAAATATGTGAGATTATTGCACTTTTTTCATTCCTTTGGTCATACTGAGTGGAAACATAAATGTATCAATCCTTTGTTTACGGCGCCTCAGAAACAGAGTGGCACGTTGCCATCTTACACCAGATGTGACTTTTAGGTGCTAAGAGGCACCCTGGGGTGGTGCCAGCTCTCTCTCAGAGGATGTTACCTAAACACATCACTCAAGACTCAAGACTCAAGAGTATTATTTCAAATGGCTCATAGTTCACCTACTCTTAAAAACTAAAATAACTATCTGTTTTTCCTAATTCGCCAGGTCATATGTGCCCATTGTATTAAAAGAAAGTTGGAAAATTAGTGTAAAGGATGACATTTATCCATAATAAGCCCACCACCCAAAATAGCCACTGCAAACATTTGGGCATTGAACATACTGATTTACATAGCTTGGATCTTACTATATTGATATTTTTTCCTGCCTTTTCCCACGTAATATTGTGTCATAAGCATTTTCTATGTTACTGAAAATTATTTGTCAGCATGGTTTTTAAAAAACTTAACGCAAAATTTAAAAACATATACCAAGTTAGAGAGCCATTTATCATGAAGCGAATGTACTGACCACCTAGCCTCAAAAATTATCAATTTAGCCAATCTTGTTTTTTCTAACCTCTTTAATCTTTGCCCTTACCCAATTGTTTTGAAGCAGTTTCCAAGAATCAGATAATTTTATCTCTAAATGTTTCAGTGTGTATCTGAAAGATAAGGAAAAGACAAAGAACTTAAAAACAAATAACCACTATACTGTTATCTCATATAAAAACAATCTTTTAAAATATCAGCAAATACTTAGTCAGTGTTTACAGTTCCTAAATTGTCTTAAGAATTTTTTTGGATGATTTATTTGAATTGGGATCCAAACAAGTTTAGTTTGTTTAAATTGGTTCATAAGTCCCTCTCTGGTTGTATGGTCATTTATTAATTGAAAAAATCAACGCATTTGCCTTGTAACTTCCTATAGTGCCATGCTTTTGTCTAACATGTTTCTCTATGCCTTGCTTTTCCTAAACTTTAGTAGTTGGAGCTAGAGGTTTGATCAGATTTGAGTTTAAATTCTTGAGTGTTAAGATGACTTCATAGATGTTGCTGGGCTCTTCTATCAGAAAGTATTTAAAACCAGCTTCTCTCAGGTTTTCTTGTGGTTTCCATTGCCTTGATCCATGAATTCATTAGGAGTTTCAAAATGTGACATTAGATCATCCCTTCTTTGTTTACTAATTGGAATCCTTTCGCCCATCAATTCTTTTGTTATCCTGCAGTTTGTATTGTGAAGGCAAAGATTAGTAAATGCCTTATCTTTTCTCTTTATCAACTTCAGAGTAGCGATGTGGTTCATGACCATCTTCCAGTTGTGAGCAGTGAGCTTTTTAATATTATTATGAACCTATGGATTCAGCCTATTGTAGTTATTATTTTTATTGATGCTTAAATTATATCTTTTTTTTTTTTGAGACAGAGTCTCCCTCTGTCATCCAGGCTGTAGTGCAGTGGCACAATCTGGGCTCATTTCAACCTCTGCCTCCCAGGTTCAAGCCATTCTTGTGCCTCAGCCTCCTAAGTAGCTGGAATTACAGGTGTGCACCATTATGCCCAGCTAATTTTTGTATTTTTAGTAGAAACGGGGTTTCACCATTTTGGCCAGGCTAGTCTTGAACTCCTGGCCTCAAGTGATCCACCCGCCTCAACCTATCAAAGTGCTAGGATTACAGGTGTGAGTCACCATGCCTGGCCTTTATTTTTGATGAGTAAGATTTTATTCAGATGAACTCCTGATTTCTTTTGGCATGCCCCTATTAATGTTTGGTAGCTTCTTTGATTTCTGGATGACACAATTTTAGATTCATTGTGTGTATTTTCATTTTCGGATCTGGAATCAGCCATTCCTGCAGGCAGCCCCGTTCTTTTTGGTAGGAAATGGTATTTAGAGACCACAGTGCAGCATGACAGTGCTCAGTGCTGCTGGGTTGATGATACATTTCTAGGCCTTTTCAGGGGACAGTATCTTCTTAAAGATAGTTTATATTTCCTTTGAGATCAAATGCATCATGAACTCATACTGACAGATGATTTTGTGAGCCAGGCAGTTGAGCAGGGACTGGCGGGGTGATTCTTCTGTTTCAGGCGTCCTGAACAGAAGTCACTTAATTATATTCAGCTGTGAATGGGTTGGTTTAGAGTATTTGAGTGGCTGTTGACTTCCATGTCTGGTGACTTGAAGTGGATGCCAGAGGGTGAGGCTTAGCTGAGGCTTAGGCCGAGCACCTGCAGAGTGCTTGGACTCCTCACCTGGCCTCAGGGCTCCTAGAGAGCATGTTCAGCAGGGCCAGGCAGAAACTGCAAGAGTTCTAATGGCCTAACCTCACAAGTCTCAGAATGTCACTTCACTTCCACCATGTTCTTTCTTCTTTTCTCTTTTTAAGAGACAGGTCAGGCTGAAGTGCAGTGGCATAGCTCACTGCCTGGAACTCCTTGGCTCAAACAATTGTCACACCTCAGCCTCCCGAGTAGTTGGGACTATAGAGCTGCCTATCATGCCTACCTAATTTTTTTATTTTAGCAAAGATGGGATCTTGGTACATTGTGCAGGCTGGTCTCAAAACTCCTAGCCTTGGGTGATCCTCCTGCCTTGGCTTCCCAAAGTGCTGGGATTATAGGAGTGAGCCACAGCACCCAGCAAAGAAGTAGCAAAGAATATATATATATATTTTAGAGACAGGGTCTGTAAAAAAAAAAAAAAAAATCACCCAGGCTGGAGTGCAGTGGTGCAATCATAGCTCACTGTAGCCTCTTAACTCCTGGGCTTATGTGATCCTCCCACCTCAGCTTCCTGAGTAGCTGGGACTACTAGTGTCTACTGTCATGGCTGCCTAATTTAAAATGTTTTTTGTATAGACAGGTCTCACTATGTTGCCCAGGCTGGTCTCAAACTTCTGACCTCAGGTGATCCTCTCACCTCAGCCTCTCAAAGTGCTGTGATGACAGTTGTGAGACACCAGCCTATGTGGCTGTCTTAAATCTACCACAAAAGGTGTATATTTTTGGTTACCTCTCTATTAATACTTGTATATAATAATCATCCTATCTCTCTTTTCTTTTTGCCTATGGTCTCTCAGTTCCCTATTGTGAGCAATATTGAAAGCAGCTATAACCTCTTCTTCTCTTTCTCCTACCTCTTCTCCAGCATCTGATTTGAAAAACATCCTTTTATTCCTGGTTAATACCTGTAAGGCAATCAGGAGGTTTATTCTACTCTTTATATGCACTTCCCATCATTCCACCATTTGATAGGGTTGTTCTGTGTCTCACTCTCAGAGCATAACGCCATTGCCAGCCACACTCTCTCCATCATAACCATCACTCATCCTTAGTTCTGCAGGTAAGTGTGGCATTTAATGCTCACCGCCACTACTCACATCCGTGGCTCTCTACTCTTTCTGAATACACCTGTACAATATTTTCGGGCACCTGTCATGAGGTAGAAGTGAGAAAGACGTGTCCTCTCTGAGAAGGCTCCGCATCCCTCTACATCTCTTGCTGCTCCCACCGTTGTTCTCCATCTCCAGACATGACACCTGGTGGCTCTTGGTTGACCTTGACTGGCTCGGAGGGTGGAAGCTGGATGCCACTGTGTGGCACACTGGGACACTCCATCCAGCAGCCCTGCTGCCTGTCCCCATGCACCAGCTTCCTTCCTACCTTCCCCACTGCTGCTGGCACCACAAACATGGGGCTGGAGAGGCGAGTGAATGGAGCAAGGTGAAATAGCATTGGAGAGGTGGGCGTGCAGCCTCGGAGCACAATTCTATGGACAAGAACACTGCCTCTAAGTCCAGGATCTGGTGAAAGCGAGGGTGCAAGATGTTTGCAAATTAAGTAAGACACAGGCAGTAAGGGAAGGCTGAGATGAATGCAGAATGGGGTTAGCGAGCTGCAGGTTGTCATGGTGCAGCGATTTTCTTAGGCGATGACGGGGCCCTGCCCAGATTCCCCAGCTGCGATGCTCAGGAACTCAGGGGGAGAAAGGTGACCAGGTCTCATGGAGAGGATTAATGTGCGGAACACGCAGCCGCTCCAGATCCCCTGGAGAGGATCTCGTTCCCGTGAAGCTGGCAGCTCCCGGAGGGCTGAGTGCTTGTTTCTGCTCTCACTGTGTTAGCTGCCTACAAGCGTCCCCGCTGGCCTTTGCCTTACCGCCTCGAGACTACTGCTACCCTGAGCATCTTTCGTCTCAGGTATGGGCAGGAAGGAGTGGAGGCTCATCCAGGATCCCTGCACATGGCCTGAGGCCTCATGGCCTCAGCTGCCCACACTGTGTGTGACTCTCAGCCTGACTCACCCTAAAGCTGGTGCCTTCCTGTGGGTCTCATGTTCTGCCTGCAGCGGCAGGGCTGGGCTGGGCTGCAGCCCTCCCCCGTGCTGGTGAGCCTGTGTGTTGGAGGCCTCAGGCCAGGTAGCTCCTGGGTGCTGGTCACCTCCATGCCTGCCGTGGGCAGCTGTGGGTAGAACGTCTGGGATCAGGCATGGGGACTCATGTGTGGGGACCCCGCAGAGGGGGGCCGTGGCCTGCAGGCTTCCCCAGGCTCTAGGAAGGGTGAGGAGGGGAAGGAGAATGGGGCTCACTGCCTGGGAATTCATCACCTCTCTCCTGTCTGACCAGCGCTGTGCTATAGGAAGTGGCCCCACTGTCCTGGCCCCAAGGGACCAGGTCTCATTAGGAAGGTGAGGTCGGCCCATGCATGGAGTTACATACCTGGGGAGGCCAGCAGTGTGGAAACTGCCCAGGGGCACATGGGGATGCAGGAAGTTCGTCCCCTGGTGGTGGCTCATCCGGTCCCATCTAGCAGGAGTGGGTGATGCCTTCAGATGACAGCAGCTCTGCAAGCGTAGACAGCAGCCTGTCCACGCAGAGCTGGGGGTGGCCTGGCCATGTGAGAGGCGGGCAGAGGGCTTGTCCCTCAGGTCAAATGAGACGCCAGGTCTGGGGAGTCTCAGAGCGGGTCACACTGACGCCCAGCTGCTCTCGTCCATCCCTCGTCCTCTGCTCCTGTTCTGAGGATGATGGTGGGGTCATGTGAACCCAGCCAGTGAGCTAAGGCCTTGTTCTGAAGCCTCATTGATGAGCTCCTCCATGGGGTGACTGAGACTCTATGGGCCGAACCATACCACGGTCCCCAAATGGCTTGGAAAATGCGTTGATTCCTCTATTACATCTTCCTCCAGCTCTGTCACACTGCAAGCTGTGGATTTTAGCTCCTTCTGAGTGAGGTGCCTTTCAGTCCAGCTGGTGGGGGGTGGCGGTGGTGGTTCCAATCAGGGCACATTGATCACAAGCCTCCCAGTTTGGAAAACCAAACTGTTGGTGCAGAAATAGCAAAGGTTCTTAAACCCTGTTGGTGGGATCTGGAGAGGGGCTGAAGATGGGCTGAGCAGTAAGTGGTCCTTCAGAAACCACCGAGAGAGACAGCAGAGGTAGTGCTGACGGGCTGTGTCCCTGTGCCTGTTGGTCAGCCCTGCTCCGTCCTCCTGCTTCTATGAGCCCCTCCTCTGGGTTCCCCCCTGTTGGTGGGTGTCCGCAGCCCCTGTGCCTTGGGGACAGCCCAGGCAGATGGGACAGCAGGTTCTGTGCATGGGCCTGAGTGACCTGCTGCCTGTGTCTGACATTGCAGGCTGGCTCCAGGCTGCTCTGGGGGTGCTGGAGGGGAAATGGATGAGCAGGAGGCTCGGGGACCCTGCAGAGGAAGGTGAGGGCCCTGCAGATGCCCCGTCAAAGCTGGGATGGGTGTCTTTCAGCAAGCCTGCAAGCTGTCACCTGCTCCCAGGGAAAATAGGAATCCCAAGTTGCGGCTGTCACAGCAGGACCAGCTGGGGACAGGTCACCGAGAAATTCTAGCTGCAGGACAGCTGACAGGTGATTTATTCCGGGAGGGAACATATTGTGACTTATCCCTGTGGTTCCACACCAAGAGAGGCTACGAATATGGGCCTCGCAAAGGGCAGAGTGGAATGATGCTCTAGGAAATTCAGAGGTGGAGTGAGGGATTGAGTGTGTGTGTATGTGTGTGCATGCATGTGTGTGCACGTGTGTGTGTGTGTGTGTGTGTAAAATGCCCTTTAACTGCCTTTCCCCTGGGTTGAATGTTGTTGGTTGAGATATAATTTGTGTGGGTCTCAAATTTTGATATTTGAGTGTGTGTGTATGTATGTGCATGCATGTGTGTGCACGTGTGTGTGTGTGTGTGTGTGTGTAAAATACCCTTTAACTGCCTTTCCCCTGGGTTGAATGTTGTTGGTTGAGATATAATTTGTTTGGGTCTCAAATTTTGATATTTCCAGTAATTGAACATAATTTGGAGTGTTTGCAATAAAGTTTCCACGTGTGTGCAGTGAGGTGAGAGTAGCGTGGAGCTGGACTGGATGCCCAACAGATCTGCAGTTTGGTTTCAGCTCTGCCACCATCGATCCTTGTGATCTTCAGCAGACAACTTGTGCTCTGTAAGCCTCAGCTTCTTCATCCATTAAATGGGGCAGCAACCCTTGTCTACCTCCCAGCACTGTTGGGAGTGGAGAAGGAGAGACCCTTGGGAGTTAGGACAGAGATAGATGGGCAGGGGCCGTGTCGCTCCCCATCTTAGCGTCTTTCTAAGTGCCGAACTTGGAGCTTTGCACGTTGCATATACTGGATAAGCATTTGCTGCATTACATTTTTATCCAGTTTTAGAAAGATTCCCTGAATAGCAACAGGTTAGAAAAGGAGAAAGCAGAGGCAGGACTAAAATCCATGCATTGGGTTGGACTCTTCTCTACCCACAAAGGTGGGTCTTGCTTCACAGAATTTTGACAAAGGGGCCTGGTTTAAACAAACCCCAAAACAGCCCAAAGTCTTCCTTTGGGACGGAGAAGCTGGCTGCATTCTCACCTTAGCTGGGTGTTTCCTGAAGCTTCCCAAATGGAGATCATTTGATCCATAAGGAAAGTGACAAGGAACTCTCTTTGGCATAAGTCCCCGAAACGGAGTTCACAGACACTGAATTCCAAGTATCCATGAGGAGGGTTGATATTTCCAGGGTCTCGTCTTGCTGATAATCTGAGCCTCTTCAACCATGCATCATTTTATGGTATTTTTCCACGAGCAAGAGTGGTCACTTATATAATTTATAAAACTTTATAACTTATATAACTTTAATAACTTGCTAAAAATAACAGCAATTATAATGCTTGAATCTGGGACATTTCTCAGTGCATGAGAGGAGCTTGCAAGAATTGAGAGAAGATTAAGCACGGTCATAGGTGGTGGCTGTGTCCTGGCGTTTCTGTCTGCGTGGCTTCTGTGTCGTTGATCTATGTGTATATATTTGTATGTGTGTGTGAGACAAACTTGAGGTCCACATACTGAAACTGTTTGAGTTAGTCAGCATAGGCTAACCTCTGTAACACACAACCCCAATTTTTCAGTGGCTCAGAACAATGGAGTTTCTTTCTTACTCATGTAAAGTCCAGGTGATGGCAGAAACTTGCGGGGGAGAAAGTCTACTCCACAGCATCACTCAGGGACCCAGGCTCCTGCCTTACGGTGGTTCCATTTTCCAGGGCCTTCCCATCTCCTCCATTCAGCTGGTGGATGTGGGAGGAGACTGCGTGTATGAAAGACCACACAGAAGCTTTTTTTTTTGAGACGGAGTTTCGCTCTTGTTGCCCAGGCTGGAGTGCAATGGCGCAATCTCGGCTCACCGCAACCTCCGCCTCCCAGGTTCAAGCAATCCTCCTGCCTCAGCCTCCCGAGTAGCTGGGATTACAGGCATGCACCAGCACGCCAGCTAATTTTTTTGTATTTTTAGTTGAGACAGGGTTTCTCCATGTTGAGGCAGGTCTCAAACTCCTGACCTCAGGTGATCTGCCCGCCTCGGCCTCCCAAAGTGCTGGGATTACAGGCATGAGCCACCGCGCCCGGCCCACACAGAAGCTTTTTATGAGCCAGACCAGGAAGGGGCATAAGTTCCTTCTGCACCTATTCCATTGGCCAGAATGGTCACACCCTCACCCATCTGCAAAAGACACTGGGAAATTTGGTCTGGCCATGTGTCTAGGAAGCAGAGCAGCAGGTGACAAGAATAGATGTGAACACAAGGTGTTCCCTGTCATCCTGGCCAACCTGCGAATGGGTATAGCAAACTATCCCAGAAATGGCAAATAAGCTTTCCACGGAATCAGAGGATAGTAAGTTAGCATCTACTATGTTTCCTTGGGATTCCATTGCTTTTCAACTCGGTGAGAAGGTGTGTAAAATTAATATTTTGTGATTAAAGTCTTTCCCAGTGTTTAGGCAGACTCCATAGACCAGATTTAACGTGTTTGTATAAAGGCCTTAAGATACACAGTTTTAAAAAGCATTGTGAAGAATTGTGAGCTGTCTGAGATTTTACCTTACTTGCAAACTAACAAGTGGGCCTGCCATAGTTTCATGGATTCTGGCAGAAGACTCCCAGGTCAGAGATTTCATCTGTCTTGTTCACTATTGTCTACATAGTGCCTGGAAAAATACAGCCTGGCACACAGAACCCTCAATCAGTATTTATGAATGAGTGAACAGGTAAATGTTAGCTATTATGATTATGACTATTATTTCTTTTTTTTTTTTTTGAGATGGAGTCTCGCTCTATTGCCAGGCTGGAGTGCAGTGGCATGATCTCGGCTCACTGTAACCTCTGCCTCCCGGGTTCAAGCGATTCTCCTGCCTTAGCATCCTGAGTAGCTGGGATTACAGGTGCCTGCCACCACACCCGGCTAATTTTTTGTATTTTTAGTAGAGATGGGGTTTCACTGTGTTGGCCAGGATGGTCTTAAACTCCTGACCTCAAGTGATCCACCCACCTCGGCCTCCCAAAGTGTTGGGATTACAGGCGTGAGCCACCATGCCCGGCCAGTGCTAGCTATTATTATGACCTACTCTCATCAAGTCCCTTTCTGTCCCTGTATCCCCTGTCTCACATCTCAGTTGCCCAAATCAGAAATTAAGGGCTACTGTCAACTCTCTCTACCACGTGGAAGCCATCGCATGCATGAAAACACCTACCACCCCAAAATGATTCCTGCATGTGCCAACTCATGTTGATATGATTCTGCTGTTGCTGGCTTTGAAGGAGGAGGAAGGAGCCATGGAATGCAGGCAGCCTTGTCTAGAAAACCAGTCAAGGTAAAGAAACAGATTCCCCCCTGAAACTTCCAGAAGGAACCAGCCCTGCTGACACCTCAATTTTAGCCCAGTGTTTCCCATTGCAGATATCTGGCCTCCAGAACTGCAAGATAATCCATTTGTGTTGTTGTAAGCCACTGTGTTTGTGGGAACTTGTTATGGCAGCAGCAGGAAAGCAATACACCTGGCAAGGAGAGAGGGGGCTCACCAGGAGCCCTCCCTCCTGATGGCAACTAGCCAGTGCTGCTGGCCATGCTCCTGAAGCATTTTGTTTGTAGAATGAGCACAGAGGGAAGAGGAGTGTCTGGCGGGTGGGCATGGGCAGGGATTGGAGTCTCTGAGGAGGTTTCCAGGTGAGGCTGGAAAAGGAGCCAGGAGGGAGTGTCTGGGCTCCTCCTTCATCTTACTGAGTCTTCAGCATGTCCCTAAGGGCATGGGGGCAGGAGGGAAAGGAGCGGTTAAAATTAGCACACAGGTGCACCGTGGCTCAATAACACCAAACCCCCTCTATGTTGTGAGAAGAGAATTTTTCTTTCCTTTGCAGGAATTCTGTGACTTTGCAATTTGCCTCACATCAGTGCGGTTAAGATCTAGGAAGCTTACATGAGCTCAATTTTCTATATTCTGGTTGTTGTGAGAGTGGCATTTTCTGTTTCTAAGTCCTTTTTAATATTCTTGTCATCTGCCACTTGTTCCTCTCTCCTAGTTTTCCAGTGGAACTTGGAACTTAATGAGGAGGAAAAAAATTGCAGATAAGACTTCAAAGGCGAATGTTCTAAATTTCTAAAAGGAGAATACTGAAAAGGAAAAATGTTCCAAGCAGCATCTCAAAGGGAAGGAAGAGAAAAAAAGTGACAGCAAATTAAAAATGGGATTAGGCAATAGGCCTGAATGGTCAGGGGTGAGATGGGAAGTAAAGAGAAGAAACTGAAGGGGTCCCAAAGAAAAGCATAGCACCTGCCGGTGATCCTGTCTCCCAAAGAGGGGGACATGGGTGGAAGTACAACAAGGAAAGAAAGTCTGGGTATTGCCCTAAACGTTAGAAAGTTCTAAGAAGGGAGGCATGCTTCACAGACACAATTGTTTGATTTTTCTCTTCTGATCTTTTCTCTTCTATTAGATGTCTTTCCTCAAAGCTCCATCATGTCAGAGGGAACAAATGGCTTTCGGAATTCATGCACTTTCTTTCACAAACTTTGAATAGTAATGCTGTTAATAGAGATTGCAGAGTCTTGGAGCACAGATTCCATTTTCTTCCACCTGTGACATCTTGGTGCTCTTTTGTTCCATGTGCTTTTGTATGCAGTACACTTTTCACAGGACTCCAAATACAAAGATGATCCTGATGATTGAAAGGAACAGTATTAAATGATTTATGCAGGTATCTATTTGTGAAAAATGCAGAATGCTTTGTTTCGCCCAACATTATGGAATTTGTACGTCCTTGTTGGGTGATTTTGTGGATTTTTCAGTAATCATTCTCTCTACAACTGCTTAGATGTTAGAAAATGTCTCTTGATATTGGCAGGTAGCTGTGCCTCTGAGCTGACAAATAGTCTCAATACAAAGATATTGCTAAACACTTGCATGTAGACACATTCTCTGGTGCCTTTCCTTACTGGTTAGAGCTTTGGTTTGCAGCTGTTTCTCAATCACGTTTCAGTTGTGTTAATTATGCTTTGTTAATTTGTTAAAGTTTTGTGTTTGCTGTCATGTGTAATCATAACATTGTAATAAAAGCCAATAATTTGTAGGTGATGGCAGATGGTGAGGACCCACATGAGTGCCAAAAGAAAGAAATGAATTTATAGATCACATCACAATATTTTTGTCTTCAAAGTTCCTTCCTGTTTCTCCTGCAAAATCCTTGCATGTGTGCTGGGGGTGTGTGTGGAGGACATGAGCCTTTGAGGTGATTTTTCTCCAGGAAGTCCTTATGATGCCAGCTCTCCATGACAACTGTTGAAAACACATTGAGATGTTTTCCGAAACAACCAACACAATAATAATAACGAAATTACTGGAAGCAAGGGTAGAGAGCGGTCAAGGCAATTAAGAAGTTTCTGAGTAGCAGATCAGTCATTTCAGTTATGTTAGAAATTGTCATTGTCTTGAATCCCTTTGATGAGAAATCTCTCTGGATCCTTTGTAACTCCTTTGGAGTGAGTGTCTTGGAAAAAACAAGTGTCATTTCTCGTTTCTCTTGGGGAAGAGGAAGATGGAATATTTTTTCCCACTCTTGAGCAGTGTGTGATTTTGCCAGATTCCGTTGTGTGAACCTTGGGAGCAGATGGCATTGATGCGATAAATGGCCACAGTTTCTGCAAATAATTTGGAATCCTGGGGAAATTTTTCTGAATAGACTGGAAGATGAGGACTGTGCCAGGGAAGTAGATACTTGATAATGAATGGAGTTTCCACCATGGTACACAGCTATTTCATGCCAGTTGCCCACCTAGAGAGGGCAGACCAACCTGTGCATGTCTGAGCTGGGAATGCTGACCAGTCTCAGCTTTTGGGGTGGCTGAGCTCTCTGAGACCCGCCCACAGCCGGTGTGGCTCTGTCCCACAGTTGGAACTTCAAGTCAGCATTCAGCTACAGTTATGCTGCGGTGGCATCCAAACGAAGATCTCCCCTGGGGCTCTTGTTCCGACTTGCAATTACGAGAGTAATTCACTAACCTGGAAAGCAGAGCCCCTTCCAGTGGGGAAAATGACATTGGAATGCGTCTTTGTGTGGATTCTGGCTACTGTCACTGCACACTTGCAGGCTCTTTGGGGAGGACAGTCCCACTCATGGGGCCCCTGGTTACAAAGACATAGCCAACCCCAGGTCTTGCTATCTCCACCCCAGAGACCTGGGTATCTGAAGATGGGAGAGGAAGAAGGAGTTTGTCCCTTTCTTCCTTGACCCTCCATGGCTGATTTTTCCTTGAGGAGTGAAATCATGGTCTCCCCTTCTCCATAACCTCTAGCACCATGAAATGGTCACATGTTCCAGTTCATCATCAGATTTTTGAGAATCTCAAAGTCTTTGAGAAAGATCCTCTAATTCACTGGCGTCTTCCCTGGAGTTTTCTTGAGGCCCTCAAGTCAATAAGAACTGAGCCAGCAGTTAAGCCATGTTTGCATAGATTCATAGAAACATTGGAAGCTCCCGGATCCAAGACTCTGCCTCCAGGGCCTTTTCCATGAAGCACTTACTCCTTCTTGGGCAAAGCCAGGGTTAGTGAAATCTTCACGAGCAGTCCTGGAAACCCCACAGCTATTATAACTCCCTCAGTGTGAGGAACTCCAGACCCAAAGAGCATGCTGCCATTCCTGCTGTTCCTGACAGGGCGACATTCCCAGCTTGAACAAGTGCATGCCGGTCTGCCCTCTCTAGATGAGCAACTGTCATGAAGTAGCTGTGTACCATGGTGGAAATCCCATTCATTATCAAGTATCTACTTCCCTGGGAAGTGGCACCACCCTCATCTTCCAGCTATCACCTCACTGATGAGTCCATAGCAGGGATTGGTAAACTTTCTCTATAAAGAGCCAGACAGTGGTTATTTTAGGCCTTGCTGGCCATCTGGGCAAGTACTCACTTCTGCCATTCTAGCCTGAGAACAGCTATGAACTATATATAAGTGAATGGGTGTGACCGTGTGCCAGTAAAACTTTATTTAAAAAAACAGGCAGTGGGCCAGATTTGGCTTGTGGGCTCTAGTTTGCTGACTCCCTGGCTATAGTAGCTCTCATTCCATAAAAAAGGATTAGTTTTCTTACGATCTTAGCTTATTGACTATAAAGGCATAGTTCTATCATACTGTGGTAAGAACAGAGGAATGTCGAACAGATGAACAGATGGAGGGATGTAGCTAGTGGAGCACAAAGGAGGGGCCCCTCACCTGCCCAAGTGGGGGACTTCTAGGTGGAGAGGGTGTGGGGATTTCTCAGGTGTAGTGGTGATTAAGGTGGGTTTTGAGGATAATATGAGTCCCATATCAAAACCAGAAGAGTGTTCAGGGGAAATTCACACAGCACGTGCAAAGGAGCTGGGACGTGGCAGAGCTGGGGTGTGGGGGACCCTGCATGTACTCTGCAGTGTAACTGCCTCGGTCAAGGGGGCTAACCTCAGCAGCAGAGGGGGCTGGGAAAGCCGGCCAAGACCGAGTCTGAGTGGTCTTACATCTCAGGCAAAGGAATTTGGGTTGAGAAGTTTTAAGCGGGTGGCAGACGTGATCAGAACTGGGAGGGTAGTGAGAAGAGGAGACCCGAAGTGGGTGGGATTTGGCGTGTGGGAGCCGATGCTTGGCCCTGGCTTGAGGACCTTTGGGTGAGCTCTGAGTTCTCTGCAAGTTTGGTCCAGGGCCCTGGCTCATAATTCCTTCAAGTCTTCCAAGTTCAGCCTTTCACGTCTGCATTACCTTGGGTCACTTAGCGGATTCCGCATCCTGTGTGTGTCTCAGCTGCTTCATCTAAACCTTGCACCCG
This sequence comes from Homo sapiens, assembly GCF_000001405.40. Taxonomy (NCBI): domain Eukaryota; kingdom Metazoa; phylum Chordata; class Mammalia; order Primates; family Hominidae; genus Homo; species Homo sapiens. The sequence goes on along the minus strand of NC_000021.9, from coordinate 39,053,107 downwards.
TGCACCTTATCCAACAACAGAGAAGCATTTCTGGCGCCGTGGTTGGTTCTGTGTGTCAATGTGGCCAGGCTGCAATACCTAGTTGTTTAATCAAACCCTGGTCTAGTCATTGCTGTGGAGGCATTGTGTCGACGTGGCTAACAGCTGCAGTCAGTTGACTTTAAGTAAAGGAGGTTATCCTTGATAATTTGGGTGGGCCTCATCCAATCAGTGGAAAGGCCTTAAGAGGCAAACTGAGGTTTCCTTGTGGAAGAAGAAATTCCATCTGCTGACTGCAGTGTCAGCTTCTGCCCGAGAGTATCCAGCCTGCCAGCCTGCCCTGCAGAGTTCAGACTTGCCTGGCCTGGGCCCACAATCGTGTAAGCCAGGTCCTTGAAATCAGTCTCTCTCTCCTCTGTCTCTACATACATTTTATACACACACACATGCACATTTAATATATATTTATAAAATATACATTGTATATATACATAATAGTAATATATATTCATATATAAAAAAGTAATCCATAGATATACACATTTAATATATATTTATAAACAATAGTAATATATATTCGTGTATATGTGTGTGTATGTATGTGTGTGTATATGTGTATGTGTATATATATGATCAGAATGTGTATATGTACACACACATTTAATATATATTTATAAAGTATACATTATATTTTATATACATAATAGTAATAGATGTATTTGTATGTATGTTTATGTGTGTGTATGTATATATGTGTATGTGTGTGTGATGTGTATATACATGATCAGAATGTGTGTATATATACACATTTAATATATATTTATATAATGTATATTTTATATATATTTATATACATAATAGTAATATATATTTGTGTGTACGTATGTGTGTTTATGTGTGTATGTACCTATGTGTTATGTGTGTATGTGTGTATATATATGTATGATGTGTATATACATGATCAGAATGTGTGAATACATACACACACACATATATATGAAATTGATCTGTTTTTCTGGTAGAACCTGACTGATACACATAGTAAAGGTAAACTTGATGATACATTTCATTAATAAAGTGCAAATTCAATGGTATGTTTCCCACTATGAAGGTAGGAAAAAAATAATCATTCTTTAATGGAGGGGGTTGATCTATTTTTGCTTCTTCTGCCTTCATCCCAGAGGGTCATTAAGAGACACCAAGGCTTCTGTTGACACAAATTCTTTGGAATGTGTAGCTGTCCCTCCCCATCCCTCGAGCTTTGGATGGGCCTGGGCTGCATGTTCAGCCATGATTCCCAGGGATGAATCAAGGACTCAAGGCATTGTGGGTGATTGCCTGATTCCAGCTCTGCAGGCAGGATTATTCCTTGTTCTCCATACCCTAGCGGGGCTTGGGGAAGATCCAGTGATGTGTTTAGGCATTATTCATCCTTGCTAATGGATAAGTCATCTCACGCAGATGACAGAGCTTGTCTGGGGAAGTAACTTCATGGGCTCAGAAGAAAGTTATGAGCCATGTCAAGTCTGAGCCTTAAAGTAAATTGCCCGGTTGGCTTTCAGGCTCAATGCCAGGAAGGGGACAGCATAGGCAATGGGGGCTGGGTCTTTTCACAGACATTCTGTTGAGCAGCCTCAACACCTGCTTGTAGGAACACAGTCCAACAAGTGTTTCTCTAAATTCTCACAGGCAGAATTCACTGTGCAATTTGGCTGACGGCCTAGGGGACTGGAAGAGGATTTCTGTGAACCAAGGTGGCAGGGGACAGGAAGAGCTGCCACTGGCTCGGTTCAGAGGCCCTGAACAGAGGGAATGCCTTCTGATGCCTGTCATCATGGCTAAGGATACAACTTAAAAGGGAATGGAGGAGATATAGGAGACCTGGACCAGGGGCCTTGGTTCCAGGAAAGAAAAACATTCATAAATTTTAGTTGCTGTTGCAGGATTTAGGCTCCAAACTTAAAGTGGAGTGAAGATTAGTCCAGATAGTTGAGCCCTAGCCAAGAGCTGGTTCCAATGAAGGCCACGTCAATATCATAAAATTAACAATTGCACCACTGTCATCACATGCCACCAGAGGCTGGGCCCAGTGGTCTCTCCTTTCCAGCCTCCACTTAGTGTTTAAGGCCAAGGGCTGAAGGAGGGTGTGGATTCATGTGGAGAGGAAAGAAGAGAATGAACATTTTCCTGGAAGAGATCAACTCTAACCCACTGATGCTCACAGAGGCCCTACACTTGTTCCAGTTGCTAAACCTCTGCCTAGGGTTGCCAGATTTAGCAGATGCCTGTAAAAAGTGGTGCTGGCACAACCAGACACCCACATGCAAAAGCATGAAGTTGGACCTCTTCCTTACACCGTATACCAAAATCGATCATAGGCCTAAGTGTAAGAGCTAAAACTATAAAACTCTTAGAAGAAGACATAGGAGTAAATCTTTATAACCTCGGGTCATGAAAAGCCTTCTTAGCTATGACACCAAAAGCACAAACAATAACAATAAGGCCAGGTGTGGTGGCTCATGCCTGTAATCCCAGCACTTTGGATGGCCGAGGCGGGTGGATCACTTGAGGTTAGGAGTTCAAGACCAGCCTGGCCAACATGGCAAAACCCTGTCTCTACTAAAAATACAAAAATTAGCTGGGCATGATGGCACGCCTGTAATCCCAGCTACTTGGGAGGATGAGGCAGGAGAATCTCTTGAACCTGGGAGGCTGAGGTTGCTGGAGTGCACTATTGCACTCCAGCCTGGGCAACAGAGTGAAACTGTCTCTCAAAACAACAACAACAACAACAACAGCAACAACAACAACAAGAAATAGATAAATTGGACTTTATCAAAATGAAAGAGTTTTGGGTTTCAAAGGAGACCATCAAGAAAATGAGAAGACAGCCCACAGAATGGGAGGAAAGATTTGCAAGTCATATATCTGATGAGGTCTAGTATCCAGAACATATAAAGAACCCTTAAAAATCAATAACAGAAAGATAAACAACTCAATTAAGAAACAAGCCAGGGATCTGAGAAGATTTTTTTTTTTTTCCAAAAAAGATACACAGGCCAGGTGTGGTGGCTCATGCCAATAATCTGAGCACTTTGGGAGGCCAAGGCAGGTGGATCACCTGAGGTTAGGAGTTGGAGAGCAGGCTGGCCAACATGGCAAAACCCCATCTCTACTAAAAATACAAAAAAATTAGCTGGGCATGGTGGTGCGTGCCTGTAATCCCAGTTACTCAGGAGGCTGAGGCAGGAGAATTGCTTGAACCTGGGAGGCGGAGGTTGCAGTGAGCTGAGATCGTGACGCCGCACTCCAGCCCGGGTGACAGAGCAAGACTATGTCTCAAATTAAAAAAAAAAAGAAAAGAAAAAGAAGATACATAAATGACCAATAAGCACATGAAAAGATGTTCATTAGCCATTAGAAAAATGTAAATCAAAATCACAATGAGATACCACTTCACACCACCAGGATGTCTATCATGAAAAAACCAGAAACTAATAAATGTAGTGAGGATGTGAAGAAATTGGAACCCTTGGATGTTGCTAGTGAGAATGTGTGTGTGTGTGTGTGTGTGTGTGTGTGTGTATATATATATATATATTTGAGATGGAGTCTCGCTCTGTCACCCAGGCTGGAGTGCAAGCTCTGCCTCCTGGGTTCACGCCATTCTCCTGCTTCAGCTTCCCAAGTAGCTGGGACTACAGGCACCCACCACCATGCCCGGCTAATTTTTTTTATATTTTAGTAGAGACGGGGTTTCACAGTGTTAGCCAGGATGGACTCAATCTCCTGACCTCGTGATCCGCCTGCCTTGGCCTCCCAAGGTGCTGGGATTATAGGCGTGAGCCACCGCGCCTGGCCGCATATATATATATTTTTAAAAAGTGCAGCTGCTATGGGAAACAGTTTAGAAATTTCTCAAAATGTTAAACATAGAGTTTCCATGTGACCCGGAAATTGTATTCCTATATATATATATGCAAGAGAAATGAAAACATATGTTTACAAAAAACTTAAACACAAGTGTTTACAGCAGTTTTATTATAATAGCCAAAAAAGTGGAGGCAACCCAAATGTGCATCAACTGATGATTGGATAAATAAAATCTGTTGTATCCATACAGTGGAATATTATTTAGCAATAAAAAGGAATGAAGTACTGATACATATTACAACATGGATGAACCTTGAAAAAACATGCTAAATCAAAGAAGCCACTCCTGAAGACCACATGTTGTGTGCTTTCATTTATACAAAATGTCCAGAATAGGCCGATCTCTAGAGACAGAAAGTAGATTAGTGGATGTCAGGGCCTGGGGCTGGGGCTGGCATAGGGAGTGGGTGTGACTAATGGATGTGGATTCCTTTGGGGCTGATGAAAATGTTCTAAAATTGATTGTGGCGATGGTTGCACAACCTCGTGAATATATTAAAAAGCATTGAATTGTACGCTTTAAATGGTAGGGTTGAATAGTATGTAAATTATAACTCAGTAAAACTGTAAAAATATAGGATGACTTGTTAAATTAAATTTCAGATAACCAGTGCTAATTTTTTATTTTTTGCAATATATTTCAGATACATTTCTTGCAATATTTGGGATGTACTTATACTAAAAAATTAGTCATTGTTTATCTGTAATTCAGCTTTAACTGGGTGTCCTGTATTTTATCAGGCAACCTCATGCATGTCGACTGCATGTGAGAATGACTTTAAGAATCATCCCCTCCAGGGCTCCTATCTTTTTATCCCTGTAGGGAATTTACTATCAGAGGCTGTATCACGGCTGTGGCTCCTGAGCTCGGAGGCCCTATTGTGGCTCCTGTTCTCTGAAAGCCCCACCTTGAGGCGTTTCCCTGGTAACCTCCAAACAACTCGTCAACCAGCCTGCAGGCCAGGGAGGGTTTTCCCAGAACAGTGAATGACAGGACTTATAGGCTACAGGGAAACAACTGGATTCTTTTCTGCATGTTGTTCCCATGAGATGAGCTCCTCTTCCATGACGCCTTGATTGAAATCAAGGCAGATTCCTTTGTTCCTCTGGTGACTTTCTCATCATCAAAAATTCTCTGGGCATTTCATTCTCCATAAAGTCTCTCTCTGCTCAGTAATTAGTATGTCCAGCCTCATCTACTCATGAAAACTCCTCACCTCACTCAAAATAGAAGATTCTTTTCTTCCAGGGCCAGCTGCAGACAGAAAATATGCCTTGGGAATGGGGGGTTGGTTCTTGTCTTTTTACTTAGGATAGCTCTGATAAGGTTTGGCTGTGTCCCCACCCAAATCTCATCTTGAATTGTAGCTCCCATAATTACTGCGTGCTGTGGGAGGGACCTGATGGGAGGTAATTGAATCATGGGGGCAGGTCTTTCCCGTGCTATTGTTGTGATAGTGAATATGTCTCATGAGACGTATGTAAGACATACCTTTGCTTCTCCTTTGCCTTCCGCCATGATTTTGAGACCTTCCAAGCCATGTGGAACTGTGAGTCCATTAAACTTCTTTCTTTTATAAATTACCCAGTCTCAGGTATGTCTTATATTACCACCATGAAAACAGACTAATATAAGCTCCTTCCTCCTCTCCCCTCCCCCTACCTGTCTCCAGGGAGGGGAGGGGCCAGGAGAGGAAGGAATAAAGGAGCAGGACCGTTCCTTCTTTCTGGTACCAATATGGCACTGTCCTTGGAGGCTGTTTAAACAGATAGATGCTTTCTCATGTTCTGCACAAATTCGTGAGAATTTTTGTATTCCACCTCATACTGTAGTTGTTTGTTCTTGATATGCATATATTGATCACCAATTAAACACTTCACTCTTCTTCCCTCCATCGGAATCCCGCCCCTACCCCTAGATCTTCAGGTTGAATTCCTGCTCCAGGTATCAATGGCACAGTCATGCTGGCTCATCCCAGGGGTGGGTGGGAATTGTCCAGTTAGAGGAGCATTGAGCTTGCTCTTGGGACATATGATCCCTAGAGAGTCATTCTTGTGGCCTGGTGGCCCAGGCTACATGGAGGTCTTTTGCTGTTGGGTGCCAGTCTGCATCACATGTATACACACACACACACACACACACACACACACACACACACACTTTATAGAGTGCAATGCTGTTATCTGATGTTTGCATTGCACTGAGCCTGCTAATAACCTCCAGGAAAAAATGCTGTTCTCTGCTCATGGAGGTCCTAAAAATATTGCCTGGCAATGGCTTCTCTGGGACATTCAGAAGGTGGGTTGGTACTGTGTCATCTGACCTTCCCTCCTTGAAATGCATGCTTGCTCAGGAAGAGAAGACTCAGATGTCCTTTCCAGCTGCCAGGGCCTGGGGCATTCTGCAGAGAATTGTTCTGGAGCATTTCCTGGAATAGTCACCTCCTCAGATGAGTACAGAGGGGCTGCGGAAGAGGCACAAAGTCAGCATTGCTACCACTGGGACTGAAGGGTGAATGTCTAGGAACCAGCATGATCAGAGACACCACACAAATGCAGGGGAGACCCCCGGCGCCGAGGTCAGGGGTAGGTGCTATGAGGAGTGGCGGGGACATGGGCAGGCCTGGGTCCACTGCCGTGTACAGACACGTCATTCACAGAAGCCGAGAGGTGGAAGCAACCCAAGTGTCCTTTGACAGATGAATGGAGAAGCAAGATGTGGTCCATCCACGTAATAATATTATTCAGCCTTGAAAAAGAAGGAAATGCTGACACATGCTGCAACATGCATGAACCTTGAGGACATTATGATAAGTGAAATAAACCAATCACAGAAAACCATATATATGATTCCACTTGTATGAGGTTCCTGGAACAGTCAAATCCATAGAGATAGAAAGTAGAATGGTGGGTGCCAGGGGCTGGGAGGGAAAGGGGAATGATTAATGGATACAAGTTTCAGTTTGGGGTGATGAAAAAGTTCTGTGGATGGATGGTGGTGATGGCTGCCCAACAGCCTGAATGTGTTTAATGCTGCTGAACTGTGCACTTAAAACGCTTAAGATATAAATTTTACGTTAAGTATAATTTACCACAATAAAAAAGGTAAAATAAAAAGTAGAAAAAAAACTTGAAAATATTAAAAAAAAGACACTGTGAGGCACGACTTCCTCACTTCCTCACCCCACACATGGAAAGTTCTGGAAGCTGGATTGCACTGTGTCCGTCTGTTCCAAGGCCCACAGGTGGGACTACTCTTCTTTGTTGTCTTTCATTTTTCAAAACCTAGCTCAGATTTCCCTTCCCTCTGAAAGCATCTTTGGGTCTCTTGACTGGGAGCTGCTGCCTTTGGCACGTTCTCATGGCCCCTTGTTTCTCCAGGGTGAAGTCTGCTATGTTTCATTTACTCGTTTGCCCGCCTGCCTTCCCCCTGAGACCCAGGGACCCTCTTAGGCAGGCTGGGTCTTGTTCACCTTTGTGTGTGGCTCCATGCTCTGCATAGAACTGAGTGCACCAGTCATGTCGGTGCTGCTTCTTGGGTTCCTCTCCAACCGTATGTAAAAATCAGGCCCTTTGGGAGGCTGAGGTGGGTGAATCACGAGGCCAGGAGTTTGAGACCAGCCTGGCCAACATGGTGAAACCCCGACTCTACTAAAACTACAAAGAATAGCTGGGCGTGGTGGTGGGCACCTGTAATCCCAGCTGCTTGGGAGGCTGAGGCAGGAGAATCGTTTGAACCTGGGAGGCAGAGGTTGCAGTGAGCCAAGATCACGCCATTGCACTCCAGCCTAGGTGACAGGGTGAGACTCCATCTAAAATTAAAAAAAAAAAAAAAAAAATCAGGCCCTGCCTATCTGTGAATCCCAGGAGCTTTTGCATGAAATCACTTGGCCATGTGAAGTCCCACCCCTTGCATTTCAAATTTTCTCCTGTGGTGAGAACACCTATGACTCCGATGAACTGAGAAAAATGATTTCTGCTTTGCAAGAGAACCAGTATATTAGAAGATTATGTCTTTCACAGCTGGGAGCAAGTCTTATTTTCCTCTTGTTCCTATCTTTCATTGATTTGAAGTCTCAATATTCTTTTGGGAATATTTTAAGTCTACAGTGTTCTGAATGTGGAATAGATTTACTGGGCATGGCTGGCACTGTGGGGGTTAGCCTATCAAAGGAAAATTGCAAGTTGTTCTTTGTCCTTCCAAATGTATCTGTCCTGATCACGTCAGTATCCTATCGATCACATTAAAATGAAGAGTTTCTGTCCAAGATAGGGAACCTTCGATAAAGTGAAGAGGCAAGTGTCAGACTGGGAGAAAATATTTGTAATATCTAAACCTGTTAGAGAATTGAAAGAGAGGCTCAAAGGTACAAAGAATTCTTGGAAATCATCAAGCAAACAATTGGCTCTATCTTCCTAACTTGGATTCCTGCATCTGAGTGTTTCCAATGTCTCTCCTTCATAAATAAGAAAAAGTTAAACAAAAGAAGTTTAAATGAAAAACTGTTTAGGTCAGTGAAGACCTGAGTCTCAGTTTAGGATGTTGTGACTGAAAATACCTAAAATATTAATGTCACTTTTGCATGTTGATATATTGGTGCAGAGAGGTAGCATGAAGTGGTAAAAGACCATGTTGTGGGCTGAATGTTTGTGTGTCACAAATGCATTTGTTAAACCCCCAACAACCACTGTGGCTATATTTGGAGCCTCTAAAGAGGTACTTACAGTTAAACAAGGTCTTAAGTGTGAGACCCTAATCTTATAGGATTAGTATCCTTAGGAGAAAAGATGCCATTGGGAATAATATTCACAGTAGCTAAGATACAGAAACAACCCAAGTGTTTATCAATGGATGAAGGGATAAATAAACATTATATATATATATATATATATATATATATTTGATTTTTTTGAGTTCCACGTATAAGTAAGTTCGTGCAATATTCTCTCTGTATCTGGCTTATCAGGCTCATCCATGTTGTGGCAAATTGTAAGATCTCATTCTTTTTTAGGGCTGAATAATATTCCATTATATATATTTTATAGATATAGTTATGCATATATTGTTATATATATAGTTATATATATAGTTGTATGTAGTTATATATATATATATAGGTTGTGTGTTCCAGCCAGGTCAACACAGATGGAGACAGAGACAGTGCATACAGGAGTACGTGTCCAGGCACTGGGACTCTGAGGCTGTAACCTTAGGAACCATCGGAGATGATGGACAGGGCCTGGTATTGCCACAGTCCACATGGAGCTGGGGGTTTAGGCCCACTTCCTCTAGGCCTGAGGGGAAGGGGGAACTCCACCTGACATCTGGCTACAGCTTTGATAGTGAGAGTCTCTGACAGTGGGTCTGACTTTGCCTCAGTTGGATTTAAAGAAGTCAAGTTGCCACCATGTTCCCCAGCAAAGCCTGGGCTCAAAGTCACACAAGAATCGCTTTTTGAAGCTGGTGCTGGAAGGAAATTCAGCCAATGACCTTCGGGAGGCTTCTCCAGGTGTGATGTGTCCCTCTGTGTTCACTGGTCATGTCTCAGCATTTCCTGGAGTGTCTCCATTGAGGCTTGAATGGGAACTTAGGCCACCAGTGAGACCACAGGATGAAGTGTGCAGAATGCTCACCCAGGTCCTAGTGACTGCAGGCTCCGGTTATTGAAACATGGATGTGTTTCACACACTTCCCAGGTGACACCCATTCCTAACACATATGAACCTGCATTCATTTTTATTGGAAACTATGGACCAAAATGAGCCCAAAGATGGTGGTGTTCAGTGGGGCTGTTCATGATAAGACAACAATGTTCTTCCAGGTGGTCTGAATGGAACAGCTCTGTTAAAGTTTCCTCTCTGGTGCCACCAGCCAGAATTGCAAATATCATCATCACTAGTGCCATCAGCCACTTGAATTTTGAATATATCCACTGTATTAGGGATCTCCAGGGAAACAGGACAGATTGTGTGTGTGTGTGTGTGTGTGTGTGTACGTGCTTGTGTGTGTGTATACATATATCTCATATGCTCCTTAAATGAAGAGATTTATATTTATTATAAGGAGTTGGCTCATGTGGTCATGGAGGTTTGCAGCAGGCAAGCTGGAGACCCAGGAGAACAAAGGATGTGGTTCCAGCCTGAGTCTGAAGGCTGGAAAAAACTGGTGCTCTAGCTTGAAGACAGCCAGGCAGAGAAGAGTTCCTCCTTATTCTTGGAAAGTCAGCCTTTCTGTTCTATGCAGGGCTTTGGCTGATTGGATGAGGCCCACTGGCATAAGGGAGCTGGTTGCTTTACTCAGTCTACTGAATCCAACGTTCATCTCTTTCAAAACATCGTCATAGACACAGCCAGAATCATGTTTAACCAAATATCTGGGCTCCTCATGGCCCAGGCAAGTTGACATATGAAGGTAGCCATTACACCTGCAGAGCAATCCCCAGAGGTACAGGCTCAAAACCATGACCCTCTGCATGTCATGACTGCTGAGGAAATGCCTAGATTTTATAATTGGCTACTGCCCTGTTTGTCTTGTAATTAAAAAATGCTTCATTAGAAACTTTGACTCCAGCTGGACTAAAGACCTAAAAGTGAAAGGTAAAATCATAAATTCAGTAGGAAAAAATGTAGAATCATATCTTTGGTCCTAGGAATGGGAAAGGATTAGTGAACAAAAATGCAAAAGATATTATTAAAAAATGTTAAAATGTTGTTGTCCATAAGACAAAGTTAGGGAAAGATGGTGGATTTGGAGAGGGTGTCAGCTTGCAGAAGGTTATGTCCATAACTAAAATAAATCAAGAATATCTGAGAAATACCTACACATTGATAAAAGAAAGCAGGAATTCTAATGGGAAAATGGGTGAACGATAGAAACGGTAATTTACAAGAGAGGTAACCTTCCCCAAATACCCAAGCATATGAGGAGACTCTCATTAGGAATGAGAGAGGGGCAAAGACAAGAAGAAGATATCACTTCAAATCCATTAGGCCACACAAGAAAGCCATCTATACTCAGCATTGGTGGGTGAGTGGATAGAGCAGCCCTCCGGCCTTGCTTTGGAGGTGCAGATGGGGCAGAAGGCTGAGAGCACATGGGGACACTTAATCCAAGTTGGCACAGATGCTCCGTTCTGCAGCTGTGGTGCTGCTGGGCAGGGATTCAATGCTTGGGACATGGGTGAGGATGTGTGTGTGTGGTGTGAAGGGTGGTCCCGGGAAGCTGCACACACTTGGGTGCCCACTGCTGGGGGTAGTGGTGGGTGATGTGGGGAAGCTCTTTGTAGAGCAGTGAATGGGAAGAGGGGTGGGCCAGATGTGCTGGGCAATCCCTGCTGGTGGTGAACATTCCATTCACATGCACCCGTCCCTCCTCTTCCCCATCTATCCCCACACCTCTTTCCATTTGTCTGTTTTCCTCACTGGTAAGCAGGGCACCCAGAATAACTTGCCATTTACTTTCAGAGAGTTTTTCTAGATTTGACTTAGTTGTGTTATTCAATAATAATCAATGGAAAGGTCTTCCTGCTTTCCTTATGCTGTCCCTCCTTTCCTCTGTCATGCATGGGACACCCACCCCGGGCAGGCACTGTGCTGTGTGCTAGGAAAATGAAGAAGGGAAGAGTGACCTGAGAAAGCAGGCTCACTGACCCCCTAGCACTTCATGGTAATGAGCTGATCATCGGCATACCTTCATTTCTTGTAGAGGCAGTGGTTCTCAACTTTTTGTTTTTGGGACCCCTTTACATTTTCAAAAATTATTGAAGACAGCAAAGAGCTTTTTTTTGTGTGTGTGTATTATGGTAAGCTGAGCATTTTTTTTTTTACCATATTAGAAAGTGGAATTAAGACATTTAAAAACATTTATTCATTTAACATAATAAACTTATTACATGTTGATATAAATAACATTTTTATTTAAAAAACCCTAAATTTTTAAGGGCAAAATGGTCTAATAAGAAGAGCAGTATGATTTTACATTTTTTCAAGTCTCTTTAACAGCTGGAAGATGGCTAGATTCTCCTATCTGACTCTGTACTCAATCTGTTGCACTACCACACATCACAAAACTTCTGGAAAACTCCACTGCACACTTACAGAGTAAGGGTGGAAAGGGTAGATGACATCTTAGTATGATTATAAAAATCATTTGACCTTATGGGGACCCTGAAAGGGTCTGGGGACTCCCAGGGGTCCCTGGCCTGACCACACTTTGAGAACCACGGGCGTTGGCCTTTCTGAAGGTTTGATGTAGTGCCTCAGTTCTAGAAGCCACTCAGTGCTTGATTCTAGAAGCAACATCTAGTGCTATGGTGAGGCCTGGGCCTGAAGTCTGGCTGTGATCTTGGAGCATTAACCTAGAAATTGGGGACTGAAGGAAACTGAGGTGGGCTGCAGGCATTGGACTTTCCTTTTAGTGTTTCTTTGTGTGTTTTGAGGGACTTTTTAGTGCTCTTTTTTTCTGACTATAGGAAGTAGGATATGGGTGGTGTATTATCTGAAGCTATCATTTCCTGAGCACTTCCTCCCGGATAGGCATGTTGCTTGTGCTCTCTCTGGCTAAAATTAGTTTGTTCTTTGGAATTTGCTGTCTCTTAACGTAACAAAGGGTTTGGAGTAAAAATAATAAAGTATTAGTGGAAATTTAAAGGTGCTAGCGAGCCCTTTTATTGTTCTGGTAACATTGATCTTACTTTAATCTGTGGTGCCCCTCCATGCTTGTATATTGGGAACAAGGGGTTTCATGTCCTTAGACTGGGGGCAAATTCTCAGACACATTTCTGGCAGAACTCAGGTGGAGAGGGAAACATCTTTAGCTCCATCTAAAGTGTAAAATGGAGTATAGATGTGTACTGCCTGATGAAAATCTGTTTTTCACAACTGAGACACAGCCTTTGAGGGTCCCCCCACATGTGATTTGTTTACCATTTCCGTGCCCTCCTCTGGCACCATCCTAGTCGCTAGTGAACAGATACCATCTGACACATAGATTTGTGTCGTTTTATAATTGCAGTGTTGGCAACCATGTAATTGTCCCCTAAGAGAAGACTAGTTAAGTATGTTGTCTATATAAATGGAATACAATAGGGCTGAAACAAACAAAAATGTGTTTTCTTGTACCATTGGGGAAAAATTTCCAAGAAGTAGTGTTAAATCAAAAATGAAGGCACAGAGCAAGTTTTGTAGAGTGCCAGTCTTTGTGGTGGGGGCAGGAGTATACCTTTGCTTGTATTCGTGTAGTAACCTTTGAAGACTATAAAACCGTCTATTAAGAATGGAAACTCATAGGCCATGGTGGGAATAACGTGACTGTGAGAGAGGAAAGGGAAGGAACTGCTCATATATACACCTTCTTAAACTTTTTGATATCATGTAGATGCATTACCCATTCAAACATTAAATCTGCTTAAAAATAATAGAAAAGCAAAATAAAATCCAGATGGCAAGCAGCTCAAATCCTTTTAACTAAAACCCCTTCATTTTTCTAGACAGGGAATAGCCCCACTGTGAACCGGGGGCAGTCCTGCCCCTGGGGTTAATGACTTTTCAGTTTTAACAAATGTCACCCTTAATGACCATGTAACCATGATAAATGCAGAAAGGCACCAACCCAAGTCCTCACTAGTTGGCTCAGCAAAGCAAACCTCTATTGATCCATGGTTCATCTCTTTAGCTTGGTTTTTAGCAGGGAGGCATAGAGACCAAGTGTTCAGAAACTTGTTGGACAGAGGGTGGAATTTTAGAATTTTAATAGTTGTCTTTGGACAGGTTTCATGTGCTGTGAACATGCCCCGAGAGAGTGCCTGAGTGTGCAAATCCATTAGGTTGGAGCCCGAGTCACCCCTAAAGGAGCTCCTACAAGAAGGAGGTGCTGTTTAGCTTCTGAGGGGTAGCATGGTTGGCTTACATCTCTGGGGAAGCTCTCAAGCAACAAAGGGTGAGGAATGGACAGTAGCGGCTTTTTAAATGCAGGTGAGGAATGTATATGGGCTTTGTAGATATCTCAAGCATGAGAGTCTTGAAAGAAAAGGGTTGAGTACTGACAGAAAAGCATCACTTTCAAAATGTTTCAGAAGCACATGTTTCTCATTCTATTACATAGACGTGTGTCAAAGTTTCAGTTTAGTTGACGAGACAAAAGTTGGAAATGTTACTTCATGCATTTTCCTTTCCTCAAATATGGCAGCCCTCTTTATCCATGGAGATCTGTTCCAAGACTCCCGGGGGCTGCCTGAGACCTCGGAGAGTACTGGACCCTACACATTGTATGTTTTTTTCCTATATGCACATACCTATGATAAAGTTTCATTTGTAAATTAGGCACAGTAAGAGATCGATAACAATAATAAATAATGAAATAGAAAAATTATAACAATATACTGTACTGAAGATTATGTAAATATGATTTCTATGTACTGTACTAAAGGTTATGTAAATATGATCTCTCTCTCCCTCTGTCTCTCTCAAAATATCTTAATATTTTTGGACAACAGTTGATGGCGGGTAACTGAAACCTCAGAAAGTGAAACTGAGGCTAAGACGGGATGATTGTGTTAACAATGCTGTTAATAATTTTAAGACATCGGTGGAGGTAGGCAAAGTTTATATAGGACATTTCTGTATTATTTTTGCAACTCTTCAGTAAATTTGAAATTATTTCAAAATGCCAACTTGAAAAAAATTACCTAAAAGAACAATAATAACGACACAGGAGGCTTTTATTTACAAAGCTGGGTTCTTAAGAGAGAAAAGCTTCCTTTTAGCGTTGGGAGCCAGCCTTCTAGGCTGGGCATGGCAGGCACTTCTCTAGAAGAACGTGAAGCCCAGGGGCTTTGGCTACCACAGCCCAGCCAAGACAGAAGTTCTGCAGAGAAGGACGTGTCATTTGCACCTTTCAGAGGAGTCGGGATGTTGTCAGAGACAGGCCCCAGGGCCAGGCCTCCTGTTCAGACATCACAGATTCTCCATAAAGCAGAGAGGATGCAGGAAATGACGTAGGAATCATTTCCCAGTGAGTCAACCTGTAGGCTGAAAGTGGGGCAGCTAGAGAGGAGACCAGGGTACAGATGAGTGTCCTCAAGAGGCCCCTCCAGGCCCCTGGCTGAGGTTGAGACCCTGGAACGTGGACAGGACTGAGGGACCCAGGTAGGAGGGCCTGACCCTTGCCCACCTAGAACCAGGAGGGGGCGCCATCTTGAGAACCCCTGCACCAGAAGGAGAGGCCCTGGGTTGGCCTGGGAATAGCGGCCTGGGGCAGGCAGAGGACTCCGAGGCGGCCTGACTTGCTGGATAAATGGATGTTAGCCTTTCCGGTCACCATTCGATGTTGGCACTGGCTCTCCTTGCTTTGCTGGGGATCTTTTCTTCCCAGCATATGTACTCCATGCTCCCTAAAGCATTTCATGTTCCTTAGTGAACTGGAGCCAAGGGAGGTCCCAGTGAGCTCGTTCAACCTCTGATCTGTAGGTGACAACTCACTGCCCAAATGCCCTCCTAGTGTTCTTTGTGCAGATCTTAGAGGGAAGCTGTCCCCTGCTTCTGGCCCCCTGCCCCATAGGAGTGAGCAGGCTGGGAGGACACCATCCAGTGACAAAGGGCTGAGATCCGTGTCTTGGGGCTTTCTTTGCTCTTTTTGGCTCCCAGAGGCTAGGTTAGCTCTGAAGTAAGGGCACCTCTTATGGTGACTTGGGGTTACTCATGGATGGCTTTATCCTTCTTTGAGGTGTGTGGTTGTGAAAGGACCCTGAGTGGCTGGTAAGATCAGTTTCTCTTCTTTGCCTGTGCTGGGTGGGGCACAGTGCACCACACTAGATCCCACGCAATGGGGAGCCTGGGAGGGGGCGTGACGAGGGACGCTTTCCACCAGCAGCTCTCTGCAGTGTTTCTTTTCTTTTCTTTTTTTGAGATGGAGTCTTGCTCTGTCACCCAGGCTGGAGTGCAGTGGCATGATCTCAGCTCACTGCAACCTCTGCTTCCTGGGTTTAGTGACAAGTACTCTTCCATCTTGCTGTAGAAGAGCTGATTGATTCTACCAGCCACACAGGGAATGTGCAGGGAAGTATAGTAGATACAATCACTATTGCGATGCTTGTCACTAAACTCAATAGAACAAAAACTAGAAAGCATTAGTTTTCAAAGCTGGCTGTCAGTTTGATGAAGTTAAATGAAGGTGGCTGAGGAGGAAGATGGAGAGTTCATGTAGATTCTGAAAGGGTTTTCTGGTCCTTTCCAATTCCTTAGGAGTTTGTTTATTATTCCATTATTGATTGAACAGATATTGATTCAGCCCTGTGAACTGCCAGGCTCATCAAGACAAAGAAGTTTCTCTCATAGCCCTTTGGTCCCAGTGTGGGGAGACGGCTGATAAAAATAAGCACAGTTGGGCAGAAATGACAGCACGTGCCAGCAGTGGTAACTGCACGAGGACAAAGAAGTGGCAGAGACTGGCAGGAAGACATGGGGCTATGGGGATCGAGGGGTGGGACAGGCTTCGATGTTCAATAGGACAGTGGACTTGGGTCCTAGGGCTGCCCTGATAAAGCACCATAAACTGTGTGACTTAAAACAACAGAAATTTATCCTGTCACACTTCTGGAGGCCGGAAATCGAAAATCGAGTTGCTGGCAGGGCTGCATTCCCTCTGCAGGCTCTAGGGAAGATCCTTCCCTACCTCCTCCACCTTCTAGTGGTTCCAGGCTTCCCTGGCTTGTGGCCCCATTACCCCAGTCTCTGTCCCCATCTTCACATGGCCTTGTCTCTGTATCTCTGTGTGTATTATCCTCTTTTTATAAGAACACCGATCATTGGATTTAGGCTCACCCTAAAACTAGGATATCTCATTGCAAAATCTTTAACTTAATTACATCTGCAAAGACCCTATTTCCAAATAAAGTCACAATGACAGGCTCCCCATGGACATGAATGTTGGGGAGGATGTGATTCAACCCACTGCAGGTGGTCAGGGTAGGCCCCGGAGGGAAAAGAAGGTGGGATATGAGCTTAGAGGAGGTGCTGGGAAGCCAAACAGCTCCCTGCAATAGGTGGGTTCCAGGGCAAAGGAGCAGCTGGGACAAAGCCCCTGAGCTGGGGCAATGAGGCCACTACGGTGGGGACAGGAGGCATGGATGGAAGAGGGAAGATGTGGGCGAGGCATCACACAGGGTTGTGGAGACCACGATGAGGCCCCTGCAGTTAGCGCTGAGTGATATGGGGGCCACACAGGAGGCTGAGTAGAAGACAGATGCCACTTGACCTTAGGAGACTGCCAGGAAGTTGGTTCAGGAATCCAGGAGCGAGCAGAGCGGGAGGATAATAAGTGGTTGGCTCCTGGGTTTACTTTGAAGGAAGGGCCAGCAGGACTTCCTGACCAATTGGAAGAGGGGAAGGAGGGAGTGAGAGCAAGAGGAGAATGGACAGGGACTCCAGGGCTCTTGGCTGGAGCAGCCAAAAGGATGGCGTCACTGGGGATGGGGAGGTCTTTGCAGGCAGCAAGTTGTGTATGAAGAGCAGGAGTTTAGTCTTGGGCGAAGGGAGTGTGAGATGCTGAGGCTGAGGTGTGGAGTTGGCTGTTGGACATGTAAGTTGGGAACTTGGGAGAGAGGTCTGGGCTGGAGGCACAAATTGGTGGGAGGATGACTTTTTTCATGATTGGCTTTTCCTAGATGTTGGGGTTTTTGGCTTACAGATGGGAAAGAGAGTGGGGAAAGGAGACAGAAAAAGAAAAAAGATAGTGAAGAAGGTAAGGAGTTAGACAATTTCATACTGGGGCCCCCACTGGGTGTTATTGGTGGAGGCAAAGTGGAGATGAGAAAGAAGGAGCCCTGGAATCAGACTGACCTGAGCCTTTGTTTTCACTGCTGCGAAATGGGGATACTAATCATCATGATGATGATGATGACGATGACCCAACCATCAAAACAAGACAATAACAGCTGCCAACCTTTGTGACACTCAGGATGCGCCCCACTCTGAGCACTTCATGGATGTACCCTCATTTAACCCTGACAATAGCTGTGGGGCAGGTTGGCAATTCTGTCTGTTTGGGAGCTGTGTAGTCTGAAGCACAGAGAGGTTGAATCTCCTACCTGAGGTCACACAGCTGGTGGGAGATGGTGCTGATTTACTCAGGCCTGAGCTCATTGCCCTGGGCTCCACCTATGATACTTCTCTACTGTGTGCTTGGCACATCTTTAAATACTCAAAAGGTACCTGTAGGTAAAATCGGGGCTTACAACTTGGGAGTACTGAGAATTACAAATAAAGGAGTCTTTCACATTCTGTCATGAGACCTGGGTCAGCCAGGTCACAGGGGCCGCCCCCCGGCTTTCCCCATCTCCCCCGGAGTTCCAGGTTGTATGTGAAGCTGGGAGCGATGAGGGTGAATTTCCGGTCGGGAGATTATAAAGAGGCCTCTCTTCTGCTGTCCTAAATGCTCCAGCGGACCAGCCTGGGGGCACTTCTCTTCATATCCTGTTACCTTGAAGAATAATCCCCTTTATTCTTGTTTTCGTGACTTGCCCATCTCTCTCTGGGTTTCAATCTTTTTTTTTTTTTTTTTTTTTTGTGGAGAATGGTATCATCTAATATTTATTAAGTAATTAAGTGTTCAATAAAGCTAGGGCATTTCCTCCAAGCAGGCTGGCTGGAAGGCAGGTTTGGGGGCTCACTTTCCCTTAGGTCTGTGTCCCTGGGGGTCCCAGGGCTGTGCACTGCCTGATCGGGAGGCAGCAGCCCTGGCTGTCACACCTGGCTATGGGCAGAAGGCCCGGAGGCGGGGACAGGAGAGGGTGCAGACGTGAGGTGTGGCAGGCACCGTCAACGCTGGACAGACAGCAGACTCGACCTTTGTGTGTGTGTGAAGATTTCCCAACCAGGAAACAGCTTTGAAGAGCCACGTCGCACACATGATCACACACCGCCCTGTGAGTGACCCATTTTGGAAATGAAGCTGATCAAACACTGGGAGCAGACAACTGTGACCCCAAGTCAACCCCGAGAATGTCGCATGGGGCTGGAGAGGGACGCGCCTCCCATGCTGGGACGCACCAGACATTGACCAGCTATTTCCAACCTACAGGCCTGCAAAGGTGTTAAAACTGATGTAAAAATATTCACGTCTCTATTCCTAACATGCAGACAAGGCATGAAGGGGCCCCGTTCCCAGGCGTCTCCCCAAGGCCCTCTACACGAACAGCGCTGCTCCCTCCGCTCCACTTCTCTTTCAAAAACAAAGCGAGCTGCCAAACCAAACAGCAGCCACAAACCCCACACTTTCTTCTTCTGAGTAGAAAATCATAAAGTCACTGTGGAGCAAATGAAAGTTCAGAAAAGTATCAAGGAGAAAAGAACCGCCTTCAGCTGTTCTGCCACTGGGAACCTTTTAGCTGACTGCCTGCTCGATACTTTTTCTAATATGTTCTCATGATTACATTAGATGTTGAAAAAAGTGATTGCAACTAAAATTATTTTCATGGAAACAGTTTCAATGGACCCCGTTCATCATATGAGATCATATCATAATTGATTGAGCCAATTTGCTACTGTTGGATATTTAGATTGTGTCCATTTTTTTGCACAATTATGCTGCAGTGAACATTGTAAATAAATCTCGGCGCATATCTCAGATCTGTTGGTGTGGATAGTGATTCTCCAACATCTTGCCAAAGTGTATCCCCCAAAGAGAAGCTTTGAGGTTTTCACCTTTTTCTTAGAATTTCAGGAGAATGTTGCTTTCTTCTTGAAAGTGATCTGATTTGTTTTAATGTTAAAATAATGTCTTCAATTACTAATCCGTGAAATGAGTCATTAATTTAGCCCTACCTGCAAAGGCTTTCAGTACAATGGATGTCCAGGGAGATGAGCCCTGGGGACCCTGAGGCCTCAGATCTCATCTGCTACTTCTCATGTTATGCCTCGGGGGTGCCTGGGTGAGAAACAGGTCTTCGTAGAGGGTTGCAGAAATGGAATTGCTGGGTTAACAGTGGGAAATTTTTAAAAGATTCTTGGTACATATGGTTCTTCTATGTAACAAAATTAATTCCACAAGTATAAAAGTTATTACTTATAAGTAAAAGTGTCATCTTCTATACTCTTGCATTATAAAAACAGTTACAAAAAAGATAAATACTGATCTATTTTTAGAGTTAAGACATTTCTAGATATAGAAGCAAAAAGAACAGCATAAAAAAAGAATTTGACTACATATCTAAAGATGATGTTAAAATGAAAAGGTAAATAATAAACCAGAAATTTCAATTTGCTATATATGCTATATATTTGTATCACGTGTATATAAATGTGTGTGTAAGCATCAGTGTCTTAATAAGGAACACTTTCAACAAATTAACAAACTGCAAACATCCAGTGGAAAAATGGGCAATGAACACAATTACAGATAACTATAAGAATGAATAGAAATGATTAATATATACATGTGAAAAACAGTCAACCTCACTAACAATCAAAGAAGCGTTAATTAATACAAAATGCCACTGTCACCTAATATAATTGGTCAGCTTTAAAGACGATCATGAGGGTCAGCAAGGGCACAGGGAAGCATCACGCTCCCTTGCTGCCTGAGCGAATGAATTCCTTCTTGTGTCCTGCCCCAGCCCAGGGACTACCTAGCCACACACCTTGGCTTCCATTCTACCCTGAGCCCCCCTCATGCCAAGGTAGAAAAGCTTTTCCTTTATTTAAACCCCATAACATTGTGTCTATGAGTCTCTTGTAGTAGGTGGTACAAATGATCTTACTTGATAATATCAATACTCAAAATAAATATGGTTTTCTAATAATTTATTTATTATTTTATTTTATGTTATTTTTGAGACGGAGTCTCGCTCTGTCGCCCAGGCTGGAGTGCAATGGCGCTGTCTTGGCTCACTGCAACCTCTGCCTCCCGAGTTCAAGTGATTCTCCTGCCTCAGCCTCCCAAGTAGCTGGAACTACAGGCACCCACCCCCATGCCTGGCTAATGTTTGTATTTTTAGTAGAGACGGGGTTTCACCATGTTGGCCAGGCTGGTCTTGAACTCCTGACCTCAGGTGATCCACCCTCCTCAGCCTCCCAAAGTGTTGGGATTACAGGTGTGAGCCACTGCACCCGGCCTGGTTTTCTAATAATTTAGACATAAACGATGCTATGTCACTGGATCTATTCAGCACTGTGTACCAGGAACTGTCCTGGTTACTGAGATACTGCAGTGGACAAAACCAGACCTGGTCCCTGCTCTCGCGGAGCTGACCTGCTGTGCAGGAGACAGACTCTAAACAACCACATACATTAGTGAACAAGTGTATGAGTTCAGGAGGGGTGTTGCCAAGAGAAAAGGAAGGAGGCCAGACAGCAGAGCAGTGGGCCAGGGGAGGGAGGCATTTTAGCCCAGCGTGTGAGAGAAGGTGGCTTCTGAGATGAGGCCTGATGGAGTGAGGAAGCAGTGGGAAGACCCAGGGAAGATGTTTCTAGCAAACGGAATGGCTTACGCCAAGACCCCAAGTCAGCAGTGTATTTGGGCAGTTCAAGGTTCAGCAAGGAAGCCAGCATGGCTGAAGAGCATGGGGACAGAACAGTGGAGGTAGGAGGTGCCGGGGAAGTGGCCAGGCATGAGAGCACACTGGGAGAATCGCGTAGGTCATGGTGAGGCTTTAGGGTGAGGTGGGGGAGCCTCTGGTCTGGTCGGTTTTATGCTAGGTGTTGTCATGCTCTGGCTTACTTTAAAAAAAAATTGGCGCTCATGCTTGCAATCCAACTTTGGATTGGATTGCAATCTCACTTTGGGAGGCTGAGGTGGGAGGATTGTTTGAGGACAGGAGTTTGAGAGCAGCCTGGGCAACATAGAGAGACCCCGTCTCGACAAAGAATAAAATAATGAGCCAGGCATGATGGCGTACGCGTGTAGTCCCAGCTACTCAGGGGGCTGAGGTGGGAGAATCGCTTGAGCACCGGAGGTTGATGCTGCCGTGAGCTGTGATCACGCCACTGCACTCCAGCCTGGGCAGCAAAGTAAGACTCTGTCTCAAAAAAGTAATAAAAGTTGGTATAAAAGGCACATAAGATAAAATTCACCATTTTAGTGATTTTAAAGTGTTTAATTCAGTAGATTCACAACGTTGTGCAGCCATCACCACTTTCTAATTCCAGAACTTCATCACCCCCAAAACAGGCTCACTTTCATCACCCCAAAAAGAGACTCTTAGTCTATGCACAGTCACGCCACGTCCTCCCTCCCCCCAGCCCCTGACAACCACTTTCTGTGTCTGTGGATTCGCCTATTCTGGGTATTTCATATCTATGGAATCCTACAAGCCTTTTGTGATGGTTTCTTTCCCTCAGCAGAATGTTTTCAGTTCATCCACGTCGGAGTGTGGGCCAGCACTTCATCCCTTGCCATGGCTGAGGAATAGTCCATCACGTGGACAGACAACAATTTATTTCTCCATGCATCAGGTGACAGACATTTGGGTGGTTCCCACCTGACTCACTTCATGAAAGAATATCTCTGGGCCCCATGTGGAGGCTCAAAAGAGCAGAGCTGGGAGACCAGGGAGGATGTAGCTGCAGGAATCCCAGGAATGCAGGTGAGGGCTGGAGGCGGTTGCCCTGCAGGTGAGTGATGGGAGAGGCCAGAGGGGCCAGCGAGGTGTGGGTCTGGAGCCAGCAGATCATGTTTTCTGTCTGTCCTTCCTCCACGACGATGTACTCTTTAGGAGCCGAGTGACGATGACCTGTGGATGAGCAGCCTGGGATGCCCCTGTCCCCAGCCTCTTCAACCTGACACAAGTTTGCATTCTATGCTCTCTTTCTTTGGAACAAGGATTGACTCCTAAGTGGCATCTGGAGAAGGCCGAGCTTCCTGCAGGGACCTGAAGAGGGTATTAATAGCAACTTTCCTCTGTGGGGTGTGGGACCAGCAGGTCAGGACAATGGACCCCAGCCAGGAACCGATCCAGAAGTGACCACTGGCTGCCACTGAGTGGAGCCCACCAGGCCCGCTCTCCTCTCAGCCACAGTGGGGATTGCTTTCTGCATCCTGCTGAGAAAAAAACTGCATAGAACAATTTCTGAAATTAAGGGCCATCCACTGGGTTATTTTAAACCAAAGAGCTGAAGCCTCCTTCAGTAGACACAGGAAAATTGATTAAAGTCCGTGCTTCAAGGGCCCTGAAAGCACTTTATGTCAATGTCCTTCCTGCGATAGTGCTTCTGTGTTTTAATAGTAAAGCCTGCATGAGTTTACTAAGAAGGAAAACCTTATGTGTTTTGCAGGTAAAATGTCTGTCACCCAGGCATTGAACTCAGCAGTATGGTTTGGCAATTACTGTCCTCAAGGCTCCTTTCTTTCATTATCTTTATCTCCTTTAAAAAAATTTTTTTAAAGATTTTTTTCTTATTTCAAATGGTGCACAATCTTATACAAGATTTTAAAAATTACAAAATTAACTAGCAAAAAGTTAAAATCCTCCCTAATGCAGACGGCAAGGGGCTATGGCTTCCTTCCTGTGCGACCAACATTCTTTTTGGTATGTTATGCTTTTATCAGCTGCTTTGGAATCTGAGGCTGATTGGTTCCATCTGCATTTCTGTTTGACTTTCAGCTCTGAGCTCACCCTAATCATAGCTCACTATCGAGAAAAAGCACAGAGACTGCTACAGAAGCTGCAGGCTTCTACTTGATAATACAACCTAGTAACATACTGAGCTGGTCTGGAACCACTCACACAGACCCCTCCAATCACTGAGAGCCCAGGGCTGATGGAGCAAATAGAAGATACCACAACGCAAGGAGGGCTCCTAAAAGAAGTCTTAGACAAGGAGTCTGCATCTGCC
This sequence comes from Homo sapiens, assembly GCF_000001405.40. Taxonomy (NCBI): domain Eukaryota; kingdom Metazoa; phylum Chordata; class Mammalia; order Primates; family Hominidae; genus Homo; species Homo sapiens. Next base: position 39,029,368 of record NC_000021.9, on the reverse strand, counting down.
AAACTCCATTTTTCTGGAATCCCAGCTGAATGCTGGGATTCATTAATGCTTCCACGTTGCATTCTAACACCCAGAGCTGCCCCAGTTCTAATCTGTGATTCACAGTTAGCCTGGTCATCATGCGTATGGATGGCCTTGCCCATAGGCACATCCATTCTCTCTTCCAGGCTGGCAGGTTTTCTCTAGGTTTGCTCACTTTTTTTGTACTTATTTCTGCATTTGCCTCCTGAAGGTTTTTAGAAACAGAAACGGAGTCATCAGATTGCTCACAGTGGCCAAATCTTGCCCTAAAGTCAAAGCTCTGAAGCACTGCACTAAAGAGCTCTTGGAACACCCGTGGATTCCCAAGGAAAGGAATGGATAAAGTTGTGAGCAACAGAGGTGGTGGCCGTGGGGGCGGGTGCCCAGGGGAGAAGGCAGCCATTTCCTTTGTCTTTCCTCTATTCTTCCTGGATGCAATTTTCCACCCAGGTTTTCTCTGTTGGGTGAAATCTCTGCCCAAGGAGGGGGCTGCAGCTCTCCCTGACCCAGGGCAGGCGGCTCACTTTTCCTCTGCCAACAGGGCCTGACAGCAAAGGCTGCTCAGACAGCCAGGGAGGGCATCTTTGCAGGGTTCTGAGATGGAGGCTGTATTTCTCAGAGCAAATCCCCTTGCTCTGTTTCTTTCAGAAGCCATGATGACCTTGTTGAATCCAGCCATTCTGCAAGTGCCTGTTTTGACTTTAGGGATGGAAGTCCTTCCAGGCATGCCAAGAGGGAAGGAAACATGGCAGGTGCACTGGCTTTGAAGTTGCCGTGGTGGTTGCAATCCTGCATCTGTCTGTTCCTGATGGGGTGACCTCAGGCAAGTTGCTTGGCCTCCCTGAATCCCAGTTTTCTAGTGTGCAAGATGGGGACCATATTGCCTTGGGGATGACTTCAAGGACTGAGAGAGGTATTTTTTTTTCTTTGAGACAAAGGCCTTGCTCTGTCACCCAAACCGGACAGCAGTGGTGCAATCACAGCTCACTGCAGCCTCAACCTCCTGGGCTCAAGGGATCCTCTCACTGCAGCCTCCTGAGTAGCTGGGACTGCAGGCATGAGCACCATGCCTGGCTAATTTTTCAATTTTTTGTAGAGATGGAGTCTCACTGTATTACCCAGTCTAGAGGGAGATAAATTCTAAGCTTAGTACAGCACCTGGCTTATATGAAGAACTCAGTAATCAGTGATATTTACTTCATGTATTTATAGTTCCTAACATGGGTGTTTAGTCAGCCTCCCTTTTGCCACATCTTCCAACTGTTCAGATATCCTACTTGTCTGCCTCCTCCTCCATGAACCCTCCCTAGGTTCCCCCAATCCTCAATGATTTCCATCTCCTCTGTTGTCAGTTTGCCCCATTCCTGCCACTAGGACTCTCTGAGTGTTTCTTGTGCATTAATGTTGTTTCATTAAGAGTGGGGAGGTGGCCTCAGAAGTGGTTCAGTGGTAGTTTAAGATGCTAGGTAAGAGCACAGATTCTGCAGCCACACTGCCTGGGTTCAAATCCTGACTGGGCCACTTAACACCAATACGATTTAGTTTCCTTATCTGTAAAATGGGTTCAATAACAGTTCCTGTCTCATAGAGCTGTGAAAAAGGATTAAGTGAGATCCATTTAGATCCATGCCTGAGCTTACATGTGCTGTGTAAGTGTTAGCTATTATTATGCCCACCTGTGTAATTTTGGTAAGTTGGCGTATCTTTGTGAACCTCAGTTTTCTCATCTGCAAACCAGTAGTAATAAAATGTAATCCTCTGGGCTGTGGAATTAGATGAAGTGCTGAACATGTGGGCACAGTGCTGGGTGCATGGTAAGCACTCAGTGTTGGTAGTGGTTGTTTTTGTCAGTTCCTGGGGACAGGAGCTCTGTCTTGGTCAAGCTGGGAATACATTTTCCAGAGTCTCCTTTTTTGGGGAGTTCTGATAGAACTTGGCCCATTTAACAAACAAAATAACAGAACTTCTATTTAAAGTTGAATGCAGATCAATCATAGCAAATTTTCAGTGTAACCATATCCCATGTATTGCATGGGAAATACTTATGCCTAAAAAATTATCCACTGTTGATCTGCAATTCAAATTTAGTGGGGCATCCTGTATTTTACATAACAACCCCTCAAGAGGAACTAGTGTGAGTCTCAGAAAATCAATGGATGGAGGCAGAGGTGCTGATGGATCCCAGTGTGTCTTCTCTCTCCTCTGCTCTGGCCCTGCTGTGGCTCCCCTGGGGTCCTGGCTCCAAAGGTGGACATGCTGGGCTTGTTGAATCCTGGCATGCTCTGTGCAAATCCCTCAACAATTGTCCAGAGTCTGCCCCCTCTCAGCAACCCCACAGCTATTGCCCTGGCCCCTTCCTCACTCTGGGTACCATACCCCAGCTGTTCTCTACACAGCATCCAGAGATATCCCTTTAAAGGTGACACTGCTGGTTGGTTTCGGTTGCTCACACATGTAATCCCAGCCCTTTGGGAAGCCAAGGCTGGAGGATCACCTGAAGTCAGGAGTTTGAAACCAGCCTGGCCAACATAGTGAAACCCCGTCTCTAAAAATACAAAAATAAGCTGGGCGTGGTGGCATGTAGCTGTGGTCCTAGCTACTTGGGAGTCTGACGCAGGGGAATCACTTGAACCCAGGAGTCAGAGGTTGCAGTGAGCTGAGATCATGCCACTGCACTCCAGCCTGGGTGACAGAGCAAGACTCTATTTAAAAAAAAAAAAAAGTGACACTGCCTTCTCAAAGCCCTGCAGCGGCCCCCTTCTCACGAAGAATAAAATCTGGAGTCTGGACCTTTGCTTCCAGGCCCTGACTGTTCTGGCCCCAGCCTCCCTCTGGCCTCTTTCCTCCTGTCTCTTGCTCACTTGCTCTGCCCCAGACACACCTGCTTCTTGATGTTCCTGGAAGCACCTGCTGGTCCTTTTTGGATGAGACATTCTGTCCCCTGAGTACAGGAATGCTTGCTCCCCCCACACTTCACAGCATCTTTGTGCAAACGTCCCGCCCCCGAGAACTCGACCCTGGGCTGGGCTCCCCTCTCACCTTGTCTTTTCCTCTGGGCGATCATCACCTCTTGACACTCCCAGCACTCTTCTGTTTGTTGACTGTCCCCTTCACAGTCCCAGGAGCCCATGAGGGCAGGGACTCCGAGATGTCCTCTGCTGCATCCTGGCCACAGCTACACGCCTCCCTGGATGGACGCCCCGTAGGCCAGTGTGGAACGAATGGGTCACGTAGTGGTGATGAGATGGGGAGGCTTTGCAGGTTCCCACGCTGTAGAACTTGGCAAATGAGTGAAATTGTGCCAGGAAACAATTCTTGGAGTTCTTGTATCAGCTCAAAGCCTTAAGGTTGAGCCTGTGGCAGGTAATGTTGAACCAAGCTTCTGGAAGTTTCTGCCAGTGACACCCATGTCCAGTGGTTGGACTCATTTTGACTTTGTGCTCTTTGTATCGCTGATTCTTCCTTCTTTTCCTCTTCCTGTTGTCAGTAGTATTGATTGGTAACTGGGCTCACTTAAGCATTTAAAAGGACAATGATGGAAATGCAGCCTTGCTCTGTAATAACATGAAGGGCGAACCGTTTCATTAGAATGCCGTAGAGTTCTCCGGGGGGTGGGGGGGTTGCATCCTTAGGACATTGCTACTGTTTGGATGTTCGCCCCTTCCAAATCTCATGCTGAAATTCGATCCCAGATGTTGGAGGTGGGGCCTGGTGGGAGGTGTTGGGTCATGGCGGTGGATCCTCATGAATGACTTAGCACCATTCCCTTGGTGATGAGCGAGTTCTCACTCATTTCACGTGAGATCTGGTTGTTCAAAAGTGTCTGGGACCTCCCGTTTTCTCTCATGCTCCTGCTCTCGAGTGTGATGTGTGTACCCCACCCCCTTGCTTTCCACCATGAGTGAGAGCTCCCAGAGGCCTCCCCAGAAGCTGAGCAGATGCTGGCATCACACTTCCTGTACAGCCTGCAGAACTGTGAGCTAAATAAACCTCTTTTTTTTTTTTTTTTTAAAGTTATCCAGCCTCAGATATTTCTTTATGGCAATGCAAAAATGGCCTAACACATTCATTTCAGCTGTGTCAGTACCCCAGCTGCCCTCAGAGGTGGAAGGGATGTATGTTTCGCCTAATGTGCACTTAGAAAACTAAGTGCAGGCCGGCTGCAGGTGGCTCACACCTGTAATCCCAGCACTTTGGGAGGCCGAGGTGGGCAGATCACCTGAGGTCAGGAGTTCAAGACCAGCCTGGCCAACATGGTGACACCCTGTCTCTGTTAAAAATACAAAAAATTAGCCAGGCATGGTGGTGCATGCCTGTAACACCAGCTACTTGGGAGGCTGAGGCAGGAGAATCATTTGAATCCGGGAGGTGAAGGAGGTTGCAGTGAGCTGAGAGCATGCTGCTGCACTCCAGCCTGGGTGACAGAGTGAGACTCTGTCTCAAAACAAAACAAAACAAAAGAAAACAAAAAAAACAACTGAGTGCAGAGGTTAATACCTTCCCAAATCCTATAGTCGCTGAGTGTAAGCTGAAGCTCACCTTTTCCCCTTTCTTTTTAATTTAAAAATATTTAAATACAAATATACACTTAATTAATATTAATTTAAAAATAAATATATAAATAAATATTAAATACAAAGAAGTTTAAGATAAAAAATATAATGAGAAAAATTGTCCATAATCTCCCAACTCCCCCACAGCAGTTTCATCTCCCCACCCTGGCCTCATTATTCATGTGACGTTTTCACATCATCACCACCATAGGTATCACTTAAGATTGTTAGAAATATATTGTCACCTCATCCCATTGTCTCTGAATAATAGTTTTCAGTGACTGCATAATAGTCCAACAAATGAAAGCTCCAGATGATGTATCTTCAGGCTATTTCTCTATATTTTTAAACAATAATGCTTATTTTATAAAGATTTTTGAGCTGTGACGTTTTTCTTTCTTTTCAGCCCAAGTGTTAGGATTCTGTTGTGGGTCAAATTGTGTCCCTCAAAAAGATGTGTTTAAGTTCCAACCCCTGGTGTTTGGAAACGAGCACTTATTTGGAGATAGGGTCTTTGCAGATGTAAGCAGGTTGAGGTGGTCATTAGGGTGCATCCCAATCTAATATGGCTTGTTCTTGTAAGTAGAGGAAAATGTGACGTGGAGACACAGACACACATGGATTGTGACAATGAAGGCAGAGATTGGAGTGATGCTGAGATAGGGTCTTTGTGGTTGTGATCAAGTAAAGAGGAGGTTATTAGGGTGGGATCCCATTGTAATATGGCTGGTCCTTATAGGTAGAGGAAAATGTGATTTGGAGACATAGACACACATGGAGTGTGACGATGGAGGCAGCGAGTGGAGCGATGCAGCTGCCAGCTGAGGAGTGCCAAGGGTTGATGGTCACCATCGGAAGCTAGAGGAGGCAAGGGGGGCTCTGTCTGGAGTCTCAGAGGGACAGCAGCCTTGATTTTGGACTTCTTGCCTCCAGAAAGGTGAGACAATACATTTCCGTTGTTTTAAGCCTCCTGGTTTGTGTTACTTTGTTGTGGCAGCCCCAGGGACTCTGAGTTGATATTCTGTCAAATACACAGCAGAAATTCGCCTTTCCTGATCACATCACACTGATTCCGGGACCAAGCAGGATGTCACAGGTGGGGGTCAAGCCAGGCTTGAGAAGATGGGCCGGGCTGGGCCTCAGCCTCTCATGGGCTTCTGTGGGTCATGGCCTTGGCGTTCCTCCAGCCCTGGCTAATGCAGTCTTCTGTGGAGGAATGGCATCCCAGGCCTTCACCCCTCCAGGTCAGCCGTGGCTGCCGGCCAAGATGGCCGCGTGGGCAGCCTCACATTCCTTCTCGGCTTTTGGCCCCATGTCCTCGGCACTCAGGTCTGCAGTTCAGCCCAAGTGTTGAGACTCAGGTATGCAGCTCAGGGCGGCCTTAATTAACCCTCCCATGGGCCTGGGCACCGCCTGCGCCTCATCAACTCTGGGCTGCTGGTTTTGTTCCTGACGCTGCAGCCTGACACTGTGGGCGGGGGTGCAGTTTGCGATGGAAGGCTGCCTCCGAATCGAGGAAGCCTTGACCTTGGGAGGGGCCTGCCTTTTCGCTGGGCTTGCCTTTCTCTGGGCAGCGTTCGCTCAGCACTTCAGTGCGGCCGATTCCCCTGGGACTGAATTCACACCAGCCACGACGACTTCCCGGCTACTTCACGTTCTCTATGTTTGCAGCTGTTCTTTGGTGGCAGAAAAAGATGATTTTTCTTCCCCCCACTCCCATTCCCTTTTGTTAGTTTCTCTCCCTGAACCACATTTTGAGCTGAGTGAAGGTCTCAGGTTGGCCTTTAGAGGGAGTCAATCCTCTGATAGCATCAGGTACCGGAGAGGCGGAAATGAGGGTGTTAGGCCCTGGAGAGCAGGTGCCACCGGCTTGCCTCCCACTGGGAAAGACATTTCTGTATCTTTGGCCCATGAATTATATTCTCTTCTCAAGCAGCTCCAAATGAGCATTTAGGGCTTTATCTATCTCCCATATGCATGATTGACTGGGAGGTAGGACGGCGGCCCTGGGTGTGGTCTTGGCTCACCTGCTCACCAGCTGGGTGACTGGGTCTCACTGCCACCCAACACTCACCCAGCCCCCTCCTGGGGCATTGGAGGGATTAGGGGTGGAGACATGGGTAAGAGAGTGAGCATGCAGGTGCCTGGGGAAGCACTTTCTGAAGGCACGTGGTTTGTCCTTGCCATCTCTTTGATTTTACAGTTGGCAAGAATTTCCAAGGCATCTCATCAACAACTTCTGATAAATGAGGAAGTGGAGGCTGAATTATAGTTCCACAGCATCGGGAGCCAGAAGCGAGGTGGGAATCCAAGTCTTCCGGATTCCCAGCTCCGTGATTCGTGCCTGTCACAAATTTGGGACCAAAAGCCACCTGTCTGTGGGATTAACAACAGTCGAGGCTATGACTGACATCGTGCCCTAGCGAGTGCACAGGTCTGGCCAGCTGGGCGGCTGGACCTGGCTCTCTCGCCTTGGGTCCGTTCAGCCCATTTTGTGGATGGATCAGGTGAAGTGTGGCTCCTGGGGCTGCTGGCTGCTTTCCAGTGTGCGGTTGCCAAGCATGTGAATGAGGCTTTCCTGAGCCACAGCTTCCATGGCGCATGCCGGAGGAACCCTCGCATGGAACCTAAGGGCGCCAGAGGCGGAGTTGGAGGCGTGGTATTGGGGGATCCTGGGGATGCGTGTTGGGGGCTGGGTGGGTGCTAGGAGAGAGGAAAGAACTGGACCCACCTGGAAGACCAGCCAGGTGTGGGTCAGAAGCTATAAACATGAGAGGGCTCGAGGAATTCTCATAGTGCTTTCTGGAGCCGGGGAAAAGAGGGCTGGCCAGGAGGCCCCCACGTTTCTCTCCACCATCCTGCAGTCTTCATTTTCCCTCCAAATGGGAGGGTTCCCCGCAGCTGGCCAGCCCGCCGTGGCACAGACTGTGTTTCTCTTCTTTGAGTGCCACACGAAAAACACTGAATAGATGCCGACAGGCAAGTTGGAAGGTACAAGGGAGTCCTGGGATTATTTTTTTGAAGGCATTTTAAAGGGTAGATGGCTTCCTTTCTGCTCTGTGCCTGTCCCCAGCTCAGCCCTCCACAGGGGGACCCAGGCCCGTCCCCTTTCCTCCTCCCTTCCCCCCTCCCGCAGCTTGTGTTCAGGGCTCCCTCCCAGAGCGCCTCACCCTCTCTCCCCCTTTGCGCCCAGGCCCAGCTCCAACAGGCTTCTCTCCCGGAGAGGTCTGTCAACGGGGTGGCCCACCACCTTGCTCCCCATGTCCACCAGCCCTGCCCACCCACCCAGCCTTCCTCAGTCCCAATCTGCCTGGATTTCCCTGCAGAGCCAAAAGCCAGAACAAGTCGAGGCCGCTGCTGTTGCCCGACACACACCGTTGTCCCCAGCTCCACCCCAGAACAGCCCAAATTCCCCAGATTGCTGTGAAGAGAGTCAGCCTGTGCTCAGAGGCATTGAGCAACTCGGAGCCTCCCAGGGTCCCTGACCCTGCACCCGGGAACAGCCAAGCGGCCTGAGCATCCAGGGTCAGATCGGAAGGCGTTTAAGGGAGGATGGCTTCTTCCTTTTGGGGTGTAGTGGGAAAATGTTGTTGGTGGGCAAAGGTCTCTCCACATTGCCCATCCTTGGGGTGGGGGGTGGGTTTCAGTTTGGGCTCATGATGTCTGGTTGCTGTTTTGTTTAGGGTGTGGGAGTCAAATGCTGGAGGGTGGCGTTTGCAGATGGTGCGAACCTTTCACCTCTGAGTTGAAGGGAAGAGGGAAGCAGCTGCCCTGGCAGCAGGAAACAGAGTCCGGCCTCGAGCTGACACCTCCAGCTGGCCGGGGAGGAAGTCACCAGGCAGTTGCTATGTCTTTGATGTTGGGGCTGCCTTTTCTCCTCTCGCTGACCACCAGACAGCTGGGTGGGCTGAGAAGGAGGTGCCCGGCACACACGTCTGTTTCCTGGAAAGCTGTGGCCACAAAGGTCACTCCATGGACTCTGAGCAGGGGCCACAGGGGCTTCTGGATGGAGACCTGGGATTTGGCCACACATTGCATCCCCAGACTTTGCTGGATATTCCCAACCGCTCTGAGTGAATTCCAGGGAGGCATCCCCTGAAGCAGGAGTCCCACCCCGCTGACATGCTTGACAATTCACCACAAACCCAAGTACAGGTGACCCAGGAGAAGAAGGCTGCCGAGCGAATGTCCTGCATGCATTTAAAGAGTTAATAAGGGAGGGCCAAGGAGCCTGATTTAAAACAGAATAGGAAAGTCTTTTAAAATATCTTTTTTTAAAAAAAGTAAAATACCTTTAAAAATCTTTAAAACATGTATCTTTTTCTTATTATAAAAGATTAAATGTTTGTTGTAGAAAATCTGGAAATGACAAAAAAGTATAGAAAACATGAAAATTCATCTTGAATCACCCAAGAAACTGCGAACCCGTGTTAACATTATGATCTACTCTTGATACACACAAACACACACCAGCACGGGTATTTTCACACTCGACCAAGACCGTCCTACAAATACAACACTTATCTTTCTTAATTTCTCTTAAAATTCCATAACAAGCATTTTCCCATGTCTTCAAAACATGAATTTTTACAACTACCTATCATTCTTTGCAACGGCTAAGCAATTTATTTAACAACCTCCTTATAGGTTATGTATAGCACTTAATTTAAACCAATTAAAATGTACAAGTGTGCCTTATGGAATAGAATAAGAAACCTGCCACCCTGAGCCTCCATTTTCCCCATCTCGAAAGTGGGAGAACTCTGCCTCAGCTCAGGTGGCTGGTGTGCTCTTTAATTAAGATTTAGGAAAGGCCTTGCCATTTGTGGGTGAAGGATTGCTACCTCAGTCAAAGGTTTGGCGTAGTCATCCTTAATTATTATGATGTGCTCATTATGGGCAATTAGCACATTGCAGGACAACAGAGAGGAATTTATTTGGGAGTTGATCTGTGTTGTTGTCCTGGGTGAGCCAGGGTGCTGGAGGTTCAGGAGGCCTGTGGTTGGCTCCTGACTGCAGAGACAAAAATCAGCCAGCAGCATCCAGGCCTCAGTGGGCTGAGATAATCGCTGATGCCAGGCTGATCCTGAGGGTGGGAAGGAGAAATGCCACCTGGTAGGGCAGGGAAAGTGGGTCTTTCATGGGTGCCAAGTGCCAGCTCTCCATTTTCCTTTGCCTTCCTGATTTTAATCTTCTGGAATACATATACAATTCACCAGGATTTCTGTCTTCATATTGGTTCATTGAGTGTTTGTACAGATTGTCTTAATGGCCCATGAGCTATGGTGTTTGTCTTTGGACTCTCCAGAAGTTTTCACATGTGACTTTTTTTTTTTCCTTTGAGACGGGATTTCACTGTATGACCCAGGCTAGAGTGCAGTGGTGTGATCACAGCTCACTGCAGCCTCGACCTCCTGTGCTCAAGCAATCCTCCTGTCTCAGCCTCCTGAGTAGCTGGAACCACAGGAGCACACCACCATGCTTGGCTAATTTTTGTATTTTTTTGTAGAGATGGGGCCTTGCCGTGTTGCCCAAGCTGGTCTCAAACTCCTAAACTCAAGCGATCCACCCCCGCCTGGGCCTCCCAAAGTGCTGGGATTACAGGTGTGAGTTGCCCCACCCAGCCGTGATTAATTTGGGCTTTCAACACCCTAAAATGGGAGAAGGTGGTAGCATAGAGTGTGTATGACTGATTGTATTTACATTTGTTGCAATTTGAAGAAATGTAGTTAGAAGTCCATCTGCAGAGAGATTATGACCATCGCTTCTGTCTGACCAAGGTCTGTTTTCCTGATCGGTGAGTACAGTTATGTAAAAGGTAAAGGGGTAGACTGTTTGCAGCAGGCACTGTCCTGGAACGTGCAGGCCACGTGGTCACCTTGCATGTGAGAGCAAGGTCTGCAGCTACAGTCCCTGAGGGAATTCTCAATGCTCTAGCACACTTTCTGGAATGTTCAGTGTCTTGCAAATAGCCTAACAGCAATTTCAGAAGCACCCAGAGATGCTTAGGAGCAGTAATGATGATTTGACAGGCTTTATTCCTAACACTCTTTTTTATTTTCATTTTATTTCTTCATTTATTTGAGATGGAATCTCGCTCTGTTGCCTCAGTTGGAGTGCAGTGGTGCGATCTCCGCTCACTGCAGCCTCCACCTCCCAGATTCAAGTGATTCTCCTGCCTCAACCTCCTGAGTAGCTGGGATTACAGGCACCCACCACCACGCCTAGCTAATTTTTTTGTATTTTTAGTAGAGACAGGGTTTCGCCATATTGTCCAGACTGATCTCGAACTCCTGGGCTCAAGCGAGCCACCTGTCTCCGTCTCCCAAAGTGCTGGGGTTACAGGCATGAGCCACCCTGCCTGGCCCCTAACACTTTTGATTGTGGAGGTACAGGGTAGTGGGGGAAGAATTGTTTAGTGCATTCTTGAGTAACCCCTAGTTCTCAGCTAGTCTGGGGAAAGATTCACATCCAGAAAGCTGAGGGTTCAGATTATTGACTGGTCCAGATGTAGGCTGCAGAAGATAGCTGGGGAGGCATCCCCCATAGACAATTTCCATGGCATCCAGGAATGGCTCGTTCCAAGGCTGGGATGACCCACTGAGTTATTGTCAGACTTTGGAAAAAAATGAATTGGGATGGCTTCAAACCCTCCAGGAAAAAAGGGAGGGGAAGATGCAGGGCATCCCACATCATCCCACATCCTCCTTCTTGATCGAGATAAAATATTTGAACGCTTGACCGCATTGCACAGTTTTAACTGGTCTAAGTGCTTCTGCAGATTTTGAGCTGAATGATACAAGCACAGCGCTACTCAGATTTGAAATACTGAGATCTTTTCTATTTCTCACCTCTAGGCTTTGTGAATACATGCGAGCATGCCTTCATTTTACTAAAACATCTCAGATTGAGATGTTGAATGCACCATAGTTATTATTATTTATTTAATCTCTGGAGATGGTGGGCTAACAGAACACTCAAATCTTACAGGAGTTTCTCATCTCATTTTCTAGGTTGGATGCCTCAGCGTGCATTCCCAGGACTTTATGAGATGATCCACTGAAGGATTTCAGCAAGAACATTCTGGAGTGTCAACTGATACGTTTTTCAGTCTCAGCTTGCTCACTGTTTGAGTAGTGTCACATGTACATGCGTGTTATTAGAGGCGAATGCACGTTTTTGTTACTGAGAGAGTGGCCCTAGAGCAGATGCCAGCGAACTGCAGCCCACAGCCCGAATCTAGCCTGCCGCCTCTTTTCATGTGGCTCACAAGCTAGTCATAGTATTATATTTTAATAGTGTGGGAAAACATCAGAAGAAGAACAATATTTTGTGGAACATGAAAATTATATGTTTACATTTTAGCATCCATAAACGTGGTTTCATTAGAACACACTTCTATGGTTTGAATGTCCTCTCCAAAACTCATGTTGAAACTTAGTCTCTAACGTCACTATATTAAGAGATAGGGCCTTTAAGAAGTGATGGGGGCATGGGAACTCTGCCCTCATGAATGGATTAATCTATTCATGGATTAATGGATTAATGCATTAATGGATTGGTGGTTTATCATCGCAAGGAAACTGGCAGTTTTGTAAGAAGAGGAAGGGAGACAGTGGCAGGGAAACTGGCGGCTTTGTAGCAAGAGGAAGTGAGACTTGAGTCCTCTCACCACAGGTTGCCCTGCACCAACCACCACAGGACTCTGTAGAGAGTCCTGGCTAGCAAGAGGATCTTCACCAGATGTGGCCTCTTGACCTGAGACTTCTCAGCCTCCATAACTGTAAGAAATAAATTCCTTTTCTTTATAAATGACCCAGTTTTAGGCATTCTGTTTTAAGCAACAGAAAATTAACTAAGACAATGCTCATGCCCATTCACTACATATTATCCACGGCTGTTGCCTGCATTTTGATGGCAGAGTTGAGCAGTTGCAACAAAGACCAAATGGGCCAGTAAAAGCCGAAAATATTTACTATGTGGTTCTTACAGAAAACACTTGCCAACCCCTGCCCTAATCACTGGCTTCATTTCCTGGGACAATGTTTCTGTACTTATCCAACTTTGTGGATAGCATTTTTTTTTTTTTGAGATGGAGTCTCGCTCAGTCACCCAGGCTGGAGTGCAGTGGCACGATCTTGGCTCGCTGCAACCTCCACCTCCCAGGTTGAAGAAATTCTCTGCTCAGCCTCCCAAGTAGCTGGAATTACAGGCGCTCACCACCATGCCCTGCTAATTTTTGTATTTTTAGTAGAGACGGTGTTTCACCATCTTGGCCAGGCTGGTCTTGAACTCCTGACCTTGTGATTCACCCACCTTGGCCTCCCAAAGTGCTGGGATTACAGGCGTGAGCCACTGTGCCTTAATAAACTTTCTCAAATAACTTACATATATATCGAATGAGTAACCCCCCTCAGTAATTTTACCTGGGATTAGGGAAGAGGCATTAGAAGAAGGCCAGGGAAAACATCTTGAAGCCAGCAGACTGTGAAAAGTCAAGAAGCTGAACAAAGAGTTGATTTGGTGGGCTGTGAATGAGCTTGAGGGCAGGCCATGTGTGTCCTCCTTTAATCTGCTACTGTCTTTGTATGGATGTTGATACTGTAGTCAGCCAGTGGTTACAGAGTCACCTCAGCCTCATATTAGTGTCATGCTGCCTTGTACTATACTTACTGAGCACTTCCTTCCCCAGGAGCCCGCAGCTCTACGCTCAAATTTATTTCTCCCCTTAACATTCCTGGGAGAGGGGCTTTCCTTGGATACAATCTCTTGTGATCAATTCACTTTTTAGGTACATGAAATTTTAAAAAGAGACAAACCCTCATCAGAAATGGGAGAACCTTTCAGCAAAGCCCAGGTGGCTGTTCACAGGTATTTGCTGGTTGTTTTTTTTTTTTTTTTTTTTGAGACGGAGTCTCGCTCTTTTGCCCAGGCTGGAGTGCAATGGTGTGATCTTGGCTCACTGCAACCTCTGCCTCCCGGGTTCAAGTGATTCTCCTGCCTCAGCCTCCTGAGTAGCTGGGATTACAGGAGCAGGCCACCACACCTGGCTAATTTTTGTATTTTTAGTAGAGATGGGGTTTCACCATGTTGGTCGGGCTGGTCTCAAACTCCTGACCTCGTGATCTGCCTGCCTCTGCCTCGCAAAATGCTGGGATTACAGATGTGAGCCACCACACCCAGCCTATTTGCTGTTTGAATGTAGGTGAATGACTGGGTCCAGCCCCATTTATTGATTCCAAAGTTGACCCTTACTTGTCTGACTCTTATTTGATCAGCTACTCTGCTATTTTATATAGGAAGATTTAGATTCCAGGAACCCTGGTTATCTCAAAGTTTTGATGAGCACAACAGGCTTCTGCCATCAGGTAAGTGTTCATCTTACTTAACAAGATTTTTTTTTTTTTTTTGGTGGATGTCCAAAATAGAAGTTCTTGAGAACCCAGGTGAGAGGGTGCATGTGGGTTTAGGCAACTGGTCAGCCCCCCAAAATAAGATCCGGTAAAGGCATGACAGACAGAGGCTCTGGTGCAGGAAGTAGCTTATTCCAAATGTTAGGAGGAAACAAAGTAAGTGGCTGGATTGTGAATCCGTGTAATTTATCAGTGGATACTACAGTTGGATGATAAGTAGAAAACCTCAGAGAGCTGAATGAGAAAAGAAATGGTTCTGATGAGGAAGGCCTAACTCAGAGAAGATGGAAGATTTTATTCTGGGAGGAAGAATAGACTTAGTAACATGAATGGACTTCACCAGCTCAGAAGCCCTCTGGAGTTCTGAGTCAACTGCTTATTAATACAGTGTTACGTAATGACTTAAGGATGCACAACGTAAACTTTCCAGAAAAGCAAAAACCACAAAAGTGGGCAGAACCTTAATTTCTCCTTTGTTTGCTGATTCGTGGAGGCTCACATGATTTCTTTTAAGGCTGGTGCAGCCCCTCCACTGGCGTCCAAGAAACGGAAATCTCCCAATGTTAGTAATCCCGTCAGAAGTTTCGGTTTTCGTGGAAAACATGCCTGGTGGCCTACGTGGGGCCTCCAGGCCACACACCTCCACTCCATGAAGCTGTCTCTCTCAGGATGCACGGGTGACAATATGTTCAGATGGATGCTTTGAATCCAGGGCCCCAACCCCCAGCCTGCTGAGACACGACACCAATACTGTGATTGCCTGAAAAAGATAATTGGCTCATACTTCTCTCAATATTAAAAGTTTAAAAAATATGTGAAATGAAAATGCTAGAGAAATGAATTCAAAAAGTCCAAATCCAAAATAATCTAATCTGATTATTATTTTCAATTTTGAATATTAATTTATAGAAGTCTTAAAGCACTGCCAGTCATGGTGCTCACATGTTGTTTGCACATAGACCACCTCACAATGAATGAAATGATCGGCTCCTTCTTTCACTAGGGGCACAAAGTCACGACCTGGCTTGTCCCTGGGATTTGCCTGCTGTGTGTTCCCTCGTCTTCATGAGAGAGGTTCAGGCAGAGAATCCTGCCTGGATTCCCACGTCTGTACAGTGCCAGGCACCTGACAGTGGAGGGCTGTGATATGATTTGGCTGTGTCCCCACCCAAATCTTATCTTGAATTGTACTCCCATAATTCCCATGTGTTGTGGGAGGGACCCAGTGTGAGATAATTGAATCATGGGCGCAGTTTCCCCCTTACTGTTCTAGTGGCAGTGAATAAGTCTCATGCCATCTGATGGTTTTATAAGGGGAAACCAGGCCGGGCGCAGTGGCTCACGCCTGTAATCCCAGTACTTTGGGAGGCCAAGGTGGGTGGGTCACGAGGTAAGGAGATGGAGACCATCCTGGCTAACATGGTGAAACCCCGTCTCTACTAAAAAAAGAAAAGAAAAAAAAAATTAGCCGGGCATGTTGGCGAGCACCTGTAGTCCCAGCTACTCTGGTGGCTGAGGCAGGAGAATGGCGTGAACCCAGGAGGCAGAGTTTGCAGTGAGCCGAAATCGCATCACTGCACTCCAGCCTGGGCGATAGAGCGAGACTCTGTCTCAAAAAAAAAACCAAAAAACAAGAAAAAGGGGTGGTTCTCATTCTCTTTCTTGCCTGCCGCCATGTAAGATGTGACTTTTGCCTTCTGCTATGATGTGAGGCCACCCCAGCCACGTGGAACCGTGGGTCCATTAAACCTCTTTTCTTTATAAATTACCCAGTCTTGGGTATGTCTTTGTCAGCAGCATGAAAATGGACTAATACAGGCTGCACCCTGGTCCTGCCTTCTGCTGTGTTTCCCTGAGGCAGCAAAGCCTCCTATGAAACGTGTCTTCCTTTACTGTCTGCCTCACCTCCTCACTCCATTTATTCCGCGTTTCACTGCCACTTCTATGATGAGCCGCTGCTTTGGAAGGGTCCCCTAAATGGTCTGCTGATGGCTTGGCCTTCTGAGCCTCCCTCACTCCCTGTGCACTGGGGTAGGCCCCTTCTCCTGCAGACAGGCTCTCAGGCCACAGGGAATGGGTATGGAATGGCAGGTGTGGCCGGAAACATGGGGATGTGTGAGGAGTGTGTGCATGTGGGGTGTGTGAATGTGAGCATGTGTGTGTGCATGTGATGTGTGTGTGAATGTGAGAGTTTGAGAGAGTGCATGTGGGGTGTGTGAATGTGTGTGAGCGTTTGAGATTGTGCATGTGTGTGTGCATGTGATGTGCGTGTGAATGTGTGTGAGAATTTGAGAGTGCATGTGGTGTGTGCATGTGTGTGTGAATGTGTGTGAGAGTGTGCATGTGGTGTGTGTGAATGTGAGCATTTGAGTGTGCATGTGTGTGTGTGCATGTGGTACATGAATGAATGAGAATGTGTATGTGTGTATTGGGAAAGTGAGTGTGATTGTGTATGTGTGAGTGTATGTGAGCATATGTGAGTGCAAGTATATGTGCAGGTGTTCATGTATGTGTGTGTGTGTGCATGTGAATGCATATGTGTATGTTGGTGAACATCAGCCCGAGAGTGTGGACACCAGAGTGAGTGAGAGTGTGTATGAGTGAGTGCAGGCGTGAGTGTGAGCATGAGTGTGAGTGTGTGAGTGTGAGCATGAGTGTGAGTGTTAGCGTGAGTGTGAGCGTGTGAGCATGAATGTGAGTGTGTGTGCGTGAGTGTGTGTGTGAGGGGTGAGGTTGCAGTAGGTGTCTTACTCATCTAACTTTGTCGGTGGAACAGGCGCTCCCCTCCCATCTTGAGGTGCCCTGTGCGGTGAGCTCCGGGCTTCTGAGGACAAGAGTGTGGCAGAGGGCGCCACTTATGGCATGAGTGAAGTCTGCTGGTGGCTGCTGTAAGCTGTGTGTCACGTTGCCTTACAGGCACATTCTATAAAGGAAATTGGTTTGCTTTTCCTTAAATGAGACTAGGGAAGCTAGGGGTAGGGTGACAGGTAGCTGGAGATGAGGATTTTCTCACTCGCTCCTCGAATTGTACTGTTGGGTGAATGGGCAGGTGCATGAGGGGTCAGTGGTAGGTGCACTGGGTGCAGAGCCCCACTGCACAGGGTCCCTCTGACCCACCTGGGCCAGTCCCATGCCAGCCCCTTCCCAGGTGCTTTTACCTCCAGCATCTTCCGATCTGCTCAAACTTCCAGCAGTGGGGTCTTTGGGGGTCCTCAGGGCTCTGTCCTGGATGTGCCTTGAACTCCAGCCTGTTTCCTTTAGGGCCTCCACAGCCTCCCGGGGCCCCAATAACCTCCATATGCCTGTACTGCCCTGGCTGTACCCCTGCTCGTTCTTCTTGTCTGAGCTCCACACCTGTGTGTGTGTCTGCACATCCTGCACCCACCTCCCCACACTGCTTCTCAGAACCTGCATAACTCCCTGCCATGAATAATTCTATGTGGCAACTTGACTGGGGCATGGGGTGCCCAGATACTTGGCCTAACCTGATTCCGGGCATTTCTGTGAGGCTGTTTTTGGATGAGTTTATCACTTAAGGTGATGAGTGCGCAAAGTAGATTGTCCTCCCCAGTGTCGGGGGGCCTCATGAGATCAGCTGAGGGTCCCGAGCTGAGTAGAACACGGCTGGCCCTCCCCCAGGTAAGAGAGAATTCCTCCTGCCTGCCGGCCTTCGAGCTAGCTCATGGGCTTTTTCCTGCCTTTGGACTAGGACTGAAACACCAGCTTTTCCTGGGTCTTGAGCCTGCAGCTTTTGGACTGGAACCTACACTCTGGGCTCTCCTGGTTCTCAGGCCTTTGAACTCAGATGGGAACTGTACCCTTAGCTCTCCTGGGTGTCCAGCTTGCTGACCACAGATCTTGGAACTTCTCTGCCTCCATAATCACGCAAGCCAATTCGTTGTAATACATCTCTATCTGTCTATGTCTTCTAGGTTAAGTTTCCTGGAGAATTCTGAAGGATATGCCCCCTTCCTCTCCTACAGCTCAGAGTTGTTCTGTGCACTTGGATCAGCCTCCACAACTTCCCCCCGGGACAGGGCACCCATCACCATCTCCTACCTGGACAGCAGCAAACACTGCCCCCGTGACTTCCTGGTGCCATCCTTGGCTCCATTACGTCCATTCTCCAGTGGCTGGCAGAGTGAGCTTGAAGAACGTGTGACATGCCCTTCAGAATGTTCTACTTCCTGTTCCAGAAGGACAGCCCCTCATGCCTTCCCGCGGGCCACACGCCACCTCTTCCTCAGTGCCCCAGCCTGGCATCCTCTTCCTGCATTCAGCCTTCTTTTCCGAGGTAGCGCTGATACCAGTTGTCACTAAATACAACATGCATAACTGTTCAGCTTCTCTCTAGTAGAATAGATCATAAGCCTCATGAGACCCCAGAGCCTCTGTCTTCTTCAATACCCCCCAGCACCCACCCCAGGGCAGGGCCACAAAGAGTTGTGGAGTGACCAAGGGGTAGATGAACATGGAATGCAAAGGCTGAGGGTGTGTCCACCAGGAGCACGGGGGGCAGGAACTTGTGCAACAGCAGCGGCACAGATGAAGTGGCCGGGCTCCTGGGACACCAGCTAGGGAAGCCTGGCTAGGGGAGCTGGAGGGAGGCCTGGGGGTGGCAGGAGAGAGGGTGTGTGTGTGGTCGTGGCCTGGGAGGCCAGCAGGCCAGAGCTGGGAGGGCTTCGCACATCTCTCCGGAGCTTGGGTCCATCCTGGAAGCCATGGGGAGGAGCAAGGATTGAAACTGGGAGCGGGGTCTGGCTGTTGGAGGTAAAGCTACTGGTGCCACTGAGCCTTAAGACTCAGGATAGTAGCCCTGGCTGCGAGGTCAGGGAGCCAATGGAGACCAGGGCCTGATCCGCGTTGGGTTTTCTCAATTATCCCCCCAGGAAGAGGCTGCATCAGGAATGAGGGCACAGAAGCCGGCTAGGATGGCTTGTGATTCCAGTAGGGCCCCTCAGGAGCCCTGACAGCCAGCCTCTAGGTGTGGCTAGTTCAAAAGAATATTCTTATTTTATGGATGTGGGGCAAGCTTTCCTTATCTTGGAGGTCAGCAATGGGGATGCACTATTTTATTTATATAATCAAAATGGTTTCACAGCAACAAGAATGACTTTAATCCTGCCAGCATGTTGGCATTGTTTGTGCAAAGGTACGTCTGTTTGTCAGCATTTTAGGTGATCCAACTTCCTCTCCAAATCCCTACCTCCCACCCCAAAACACATTGGAAGCTCCACGGAGCAAGTCTCTTTTCCTTACTGGAGGCGCTGGCCCGACAGGGCTGGGGCAGAACACACAGCCAGTGCCTTGGGCCAGCGTCAGCCTTGGCTCTGGGGGCTGTTATTTCCAACTGACCGGTCTTGGCTGGCCAGGAGGGGAGTGAGCCAGGTCATGGGTGCTGGAGGCTGTGAAGAGGAAGCCATGTTCAGAGAGGTTCAGCTCGTTACCCACTCAAGCAGCCCTGAACAAACACCCTTTTCTGACCTCCAGCTGCTAGTAAGAAAGTGCAGGGAGGACACAACAAAAGCTGAGGGCAGACTGTTTCTTCCCCCACACCTCCGCAGTCTCTTCCCTTTGGGGAATGTGGGCCCTGCCCACTCACTGCCCACTTACCTAAGTCCCACTGCCACCCCACTGCCTGTACAAAAGCAGGTGAGAAGCCCCTCCCCTCAAAGAGCCTTTCCCCAGGCCCTGCTGAGGTGACCCCCATATCTTCACCTCCCAGGACACAGACTGCTTGGATCAGGGGTTCCCAGTGTTTTGGAATGAGGGTCCTTTGTAATGTCAACACATCTTGAAGACTCATGGGATAGGTTGGTATTTGTTGGTTGAGAAAATAACTATTGTCAAATAGGTGTTATAAATAAATTATTGACCCTTTTAAGGCAATTGGGGTTTTGCTAGCCTTAATAGCACCTACATATTTATTGCAAAACAGTCAATCAGATTTGTTCAGATTTCAGACAATGCTTGTTGGACACCTGAGTTCCCAGACACCTTGTCGTAATTCTGTGATTTCTCACCCCCGTTCTGTGGCTCCCCCAGGATGGGGATTACTGAAGTTACTGAATGATGCATTATATTCCTGAATTCAGCATATGACTTGTCTTCCCAGGGAATTTACAAGGCCTCTTGGAGGGCTGGGATGATGGCTGATGGCCCCATGCCTTGTGTGGAAGTGGGCACGAGGCAGGCATGTTGCTACCAGTGACCCCACAGCAGGGCCAGAGGGCTTTTATCCCAGAGGCTGTTTTGGGAAAAACAAATCTCCAGTGAAAGCTACACGGTAATCACATGAGGAGAAACTGTCATTCAAGAGGCCAAGGTGGTAGCACAATAAGGCCATTTATTCAAAGGTGTATTTTGTTAGGGAAAAATAGTCAAGGCTGTGGAAATGGTTACGGCTCAAACACCAGTTCCGGACACAGGGAGAGGGGTGGACGCCAATCATGTTTGAGCATTGCAGAAGAAACAGTGGAAACTCGCCCTTTGTAAAAGCAGAAGACACACAGACGGGAGCAGGGTCGGGGGGCCAAGAGCACCTGAAAACAAGCAACAGGGTGGCGGAGGAAGAAAAAGAAAAAAAGGTTTCCACCAGCACAGTCTGGCTTCTCTGCCTCATAGAAACCAGGAACAGGCTCAAACAGCTTAGAGCAGAAATCCTCTCTGAGGTGACAAGGTGGGAAAAGTCGTGACTTCCTTAGAAAAAACTGATTTATTAGCGCTGGAGTTATTCCTGTTAAATATGCTCCTCCAAAGAAGATAATTATGTGGCTCATTATTAATTAGAATTCAAAAATGCTTTGTTCACATGAGGTCAGGCCTCTAGTTCTTGCATTTTGGGAACCGTGAAAGCGTTTGAAGTGGGCCAAGTGCTTGTGGACGCGTGACCTAAGCCCTGTCCTCTCCATCTGCCACCCAGGGACTGTGGCTTTTCTAAGTGAAGAGTACAGTATGGTAGACCTCAGGGTTGTCCTGGTTCTGCTGCAGCCAGCTGGGGGACCCTGTACCATTGCCCTGTAAGAACCCTGGGCCTTAGTATGTTCATCTGTGAAATAGAGGAGTGGACTTCATTGCCTCTGAAGTCCCTAGAGGTTTAGATGTCTATCCTGTTCTAGAAAGCATCCCAGATAATTTTTCTTTCCTGCAGGGTCAACATCTTGTGAGTATGGGGACCAGGCAACGTGAGCTCCAGCTCTAACTCTGTCCCAATCAGCTGTGTGACCTTGGGCAAGATGCTTAACTTCTCTGGGCCTCAGTTTTCTCATCTGTGAAATGAAGTTAATAGAGTGTTTTTTGTTGTTGGTTTTTTTTTTTTAGTTTGTTATTTTAAATCCCATTGGTTGTTGGGAGGATTAAATGAATTTGTGCAGCGCCTGGTGTCTGGTACCTGCTCAGCGAATGATGCAAACCCTGTGAATTGTAGTTACTCCATCATACAGCAACTCCAGGAGTTGTGCTGAAATCTCTCTTGGGATCTGAGGCATCATATAATAGGTCAAAGGGACCCATTCCAAAGGGAAATAGGTGACAGGTGAAAATATGTGTAGAAACGCCCTAGGTTCAATTAAAAATATGTGCTAAGAGATGCTAGAATTCCAGGTTCTAGCATAACAATTTGAATATTCATTAGATTGCAACAGCGGTTCTCAGGTTTAGGTTGTGTCGGAATTCCCTGCAGGGCGTGTTAAAACACGGATTTCAGAGTTCTGATTCAGAAGATCTGGGTGAGGCCCAGGAGTTTGCATTTCTAACAAGCTCCCAGGTGATGCTGACGCTGCTGGCCCCAAGAGCACACCTTGAGGACCACTGGATTATCGATTCTATTCTAACGCTGCTTTTTTTCTCTCTTCCAAATTTGAGTAATGCTTAGATCCCACTTAAAGGGGGAAAAAACAATGGGTTCTCTTCTCATTTGTAAAATACTGTGTTAGTCTTATTCTACAAAACTGTCTTTCAACTGTGAATTTATGAAAGTAGACTAATTTTTAAAATTTATATTGTCAACTGAATGGAAATATAAAATGGAAACATTTTTCTAGAAAATTCACACCCGTGGAGTACAACCTGTCTAACAAACATTATGCTAAAACAGAAACGATTCTGTTCTCTCTATACTTGTAAGGGTAATGAGGAAGTAAATGCAGGGAGGGGATTGTGAATGGCCAGATTTGGATTTTGAGTCCTTTTCTGCCTGGGATCCCCCTCTGTGAGGGGCCGTGGGCTGTGCACAGCTCTCTGGCCCCTGTTCCTTAGCTGGAAGGAGCTCTGCAGGGTGGGCTCCAGTGTGAGGCTCTGAATCTTCGCCATCAGCTGCTGGGAAATACAGGACCTTCTGCCAGCAGGGTCAGGCTGTCAGGGTTCTTGGCTGAGGAAAGAGGAAGCTGGAAGCTGGGTGGGACAGGGTGGGAGGTGCCAGGGCTTTGGCGTGAGTTTTCCTGTTATTCTATTCTGTTGGCTAGCTCCTAAATTTAGATTAGGTTAAAAAAAGAAATGTTTCAAGTACAAAGTGAGTTGAGCAGTCCCCTGGGGCAGCTAGCTGTGCTGTGGAGATGCACACAGCTTGAACTGACTCGATATTCTTTTTTTTTCATCAGGTGTCATCTTGCTGGAGGGCAGAAGGATTCCCTGGAACCTGGGGGCCAGCAGGACAGAGGAAACAGAAAGTACATGACCGATGATGTCTTTCGACCACAGAAAGGGCTGGAAGAAGCAGGGGACCTACTGTTTGAATAAACCCAGTGGAAAAACAGAAGCCCCATTTCATACTTGACTCAGCTCTTCAAGTTTAAATCTTGAATCTCCTCAACTACACGGAACAGTGTCTCTCCCAAGTCATCTGACACCCACTCTGTTCTCTGGATCATTCCTTCCTAGAGAACGTTGCTCTTGGAGGGCTGTGATCTGCTCTCACCCACTTGCCTTTCTGACCCACTGAGTGCATCTCAACAGTCACTTGGGGTGATCCGATCTGACCAGGAAGGGTTGGGTGGCTCGTGGAGCTTGGGAAGCACTCTCACTGTGGCGGTCCCCATTGGTGGTCATGGGGTTGCCACAGTGAGCTACGTTTCTACCCTCATCTCTCTATATGTTACCGTGGAATCTCTGACTGAGGACCCATGGGCTCACCCAATGTGATAAAGTCCTGAAGCTCAGCCGGGACGTCCGACCCCAGCTGCAGGACTTTCCAATAGACAGATGCATAGAACTTGAGAAGAAATCGACTTAGAAACCTGAAGTTGGAAAACTGGTTGCCTGACATTCTGTGCAAGACTGAATCTCTGAGAAATGAAGGCTGTGTAACTTTGGGACCATGTCTTTTCCAGCCTACATAGACCCCCAGGAAACTTTGCAGTTGTTCCCCAAGTATGGATGGAGTCAAACTTGATGTCCTTTCATCCCCCCATCCCATCCACTAATCCATATCCTTTGGAAATTTTAGAGTGCCGGGCCTCATGTAAATACACCAAAAACAATTTAAGTCATTTATGTTCTACTAAGCCAAGAGTTCTTTAGCGGTGGAAGAAGATGGGGTCTTACACGAATGGAAGGGTCTTGGCTATTTGCGTCGGTATCAACAGAAGGACTAGACGCTTGCACTAAAAGAAAAAGCTGAGGGATGGGGGCAGGAAGCGGGAAGCTGGGACCCAAGCCCCACCTTCCTGAGTTGGAAGGTGACAGGTAGACTCCTGCTTGTTTGCCAGAGAGGCCTGGCAGAGGAGGTGAGTACACGACATTGCTAAGTGGATTGAGTAATGTCCCCCGCAAATTCATGTCTAACCAGAACCTCAGAATGTGGCTTTATTTAGAAGCAGGGTCTTTGCAGATGTTAAGTCAAGATGAGGTCATAGTGAATTAGAGTGGCCCCAAATCCAATGCCTGCTCTCCTTCTAGGAAGGGGAGAGAGACACAGGGAGAAGGCCGCGTGAAGCTAGAGGCAGAGATGAGGGCGGTGCAGCCACGGCCAAAGAATGCCGAGGATGGTGGCTGGGACAGGCAGGGAAGGTTCCTCCCTGAGCCTTCAGGGGAGCGTGGCCCTGCCACTGCCTTGTTGCCAGACTTCTGCCCTCCAGAACTATGAAAGGATAAATTTCTGTTGTTTCAAGAACAAAAGAATTAACACCTAGTTTGTGGTCATTTTTATAGCAGCCCTAGGAAATGCATACAGCTGGGGAGACCTTCTTCCAGGGACCTGCCTCTGAAAGCATAAAAGCAAGTGCCTTCCAGCATCTGGCAGGGTGATGGCCCAGCCTCGGCACTCCCCCACCCTCCTGCCAATCCCCCTGCCCCCCCGGGCCCCCCGCCTCCCCCCCCCCCCCGCCCGCTTCCTGCTCAAGGCTCTGTGGCTGCTGGCAAGGCCTCTGTAGGGAATAGGTTCAAGAGGAGGCCTGGCGTGGTGTCGGCCCATGGTCCATGCTGGACAGACAGCTTGGCTTACTGCGGTGGCCTTTTTCCTCTTTGTGAGCGTGTGCTGGAGAGAGAAAGGCAAGGGAGGAAGTAGAGGAGGCCGGGTCTGCAGAGCTGAGGAAACCGATGTAAACACTCTGAGAAACAGCCACTCAGCGGGTGTGAGAGTTGGCCTGAATGCCGTGGACAGGGCTCTACGGAGGGGGCTGGAGTGGGAGACCTTCGTCGTCACAGCTCTGCCCCTCACTATGTGACCCAAACAGGGTACACTTCCCAGCTGCCTCAGTCTCCTCATCTGAGGAATGGGCTGATTCACACAATATCACATCCGAGGGTGTGCTGAGGATGTCATACACATATCCCTGGCAAGGCTGCTGGGAGGACAGAGTGAGTGAGCAGGTGCAAGACTATTGTCTCTCTGGTCCGTGCTGTAAAACAGTAGCTGCTAGAGGATTGCAGTGATATTGTCGTTTCCTTAGTAACAGATGTTGCTGTTTGGGAAATTCCTACAGCCAACGGCCAAGCTCCTGGCATTTAATGCTGGTGTCTCCAAAGATTGGTTCTCATCTCTTGAGGGCTTGTTTTTAATGAGGGCACACTCGTGCCCCCAGAGCATGCAGGTTGATGTCACACGCAGCCCTGAATCACACTGTGGTACCGAATCACACTGTGGTACCACGTTTCCCTGACGTAAAGCTAGGAGAGGAACGATGTGACCATCCCAAATGTTCCAGTCACCCTGACCTTTAACCCTGGATTCTAAGAAGGCTCCAGATGTTTTTTGTGGTTAGAGCTCCCAGAAAATGACTCCTTCCTCTATGAGACATTATCTGATGACAAGAAGATTCTGAGCAATGTGGGGGAGTGAGAATATTTTCATAATATCTGCCATTAGAATGACTTAGAAATGGAAGACCCAGGTTCAGAAATTAGGATCCCATGCACACTGTACTCTTGTGAGGAGGTGCAGAAGTTATCTCTTCCCTTGGTAATCCTCTTTCTTAGAACTCGGATATTTATCAACCACCTAACTGGCTGCTTGAAGGATGGACACCTTTTTTTGTTTTGCAAAGAAAGGAAGTTGCAAAAGGTCACAAAGCAACTCCATATCCTTTGGAAATTTTAGAGTGCCAGGCTTCATGTAGATAAACCGAAAACAATTTAAGTCTTTTATGTTGTACTAAGTCAAGAGTTCTTTAGCAGTGGAAGAAGATGGGGTCTTACATGAATGGAAGGGTCTCGGCTATTTGCATTGGTATCAAGAGAAGGACTAGATGCTTGCTCTAAAAGAAAAAGCTGAGGGATGGGGACAGGAAGCGGGGAGCAAATCTGAGACTGAATAAATGTAAATAAAAGAGCTAAGATTGTTGAGCAGGTGCTAGGAGCTGGGTCAGATTTTATTCCCAAGAAATCTTAATTATTCTGCCTCCTCCTAGATAGGGAACGTGTTGCTTACCTTTGCATCCACACCTGGCTCGCACCAACCATGCAACCAATAATTGTTCATCTGATGAAGGTTGTCAAAGGCTTGGACAACCCTTCAGTAACTCTTTAAGGGAAACCACCCACCCATTTCATCTTATCGGCTTGGCTTTCAGTATTTATCATGTCAGTGACTCTTTATCCCAGACCCGAGGTTGATTTTGGTCACCTGGCGGGGTCATTAGAGCCGTGATGTCATCACACACCTGGCCCAGCTGGTTGGGACTGGGGCTTCGATGCTGTATGTGCGACCAGGCTTGTTAGGCTCAGCAGAGAGCTGGCATCCTGGCCACTGGCTGGGGTCAGGGTTTCCCAGCAGGGCGTCTCCTTCCTGGGAACACCCTCTTCTCCCCACCTTTGGTCTCCTCTCCTGCATCTGGCACCCAGAACCTCCCTGGGCCTTCTCTATCCCTCCAACCACCTGCCTGGACTTAGCTGGCTTCCACATTCAGCAAGGAGAGGGGTGAGGGGCTAGAGGGTAGGGCCCGGCCTGGGGTCTTCTGATGCCCCATGCTGTGACTTGGCCCTTGTAGCTGCTGCTCTGCCTCTGGGCCGGATCAGTGGGAGGTGGAGGCCCTGGAAGGAGGTGCAGTGGCTCTAGGGTTCTACTGGCAGCAGCATGAGTCTAGCGCATCATTGTCAAAGGAAATAATTACAGGCCGGAGACGCAGTTCCTTGTGGCCTGATTTGGGCCATGACGTCTCCCAGAAAGCCTCTTCTGAGGTGAGAGATTTTGATAATCCCAAGGGCAACAGGTTTCCTCTTTGCACCTCATTACCATTTTTCTTGGCTTAGAAATGAATGTCAGCCCCGGTCAATGTACATTCTGTGTCATTTAAGAATTACTAATATATGGGTGGAATTACACTAATATGTTCACACTGTGACGTTCCTTCTGGGTTCCATAAGGGATACAAAGGTGATTTGAGCATGCATCTTGTCTTTAAGAACTCTGGCATAGCAGGGATACAAGTGCACACACATGTGTATGCAGACACACACACACGCACACGCTGTATTAGTTCTGCTGCTGCTCTAACAACTTATCACAAACACAGTGGCTTAAAACAATGCAAACTTAGCATCTTACACTCCTGGTGGCTAGCCATCTGACCCAGGTCTCCTGGGTCTAACGTGAAGGTGGCGGCGCTGCTCTCCTTTCTGGAGATTCTGTTCTCCTGTGCTTCCCGGCTTCTTCCTGCCCCTGGGCTGGTGGCCCCTTCGTCTGTCTCTGACCCTTCCATGCTCACACCTCTCCGTGCCCACATCGGGGAAAGGATCCCCACTTTAAAGGCTCGTGTGATTAGATTGGGCTCACCTGGATAGTCCAGAAGAATTTTCCCATCTCAACCTTGATCACATCTGCAAAGTCCCTTTTGCCATGGAAAGTAACATATTCATGGGTTCCAGGGATTAGGAGATGGCCCTATTTTGTCATATTTTGCTGGAGGCGGGGAGGATATTATTCTGCCTACCATAAACATATGTACACACAAATAGTAACAATAAGTGTAAATTTATGTTTGTATATGTATAAACAATTACTATAATACAACATAGATGAGTGACTTATTGGAGCTCCTGCCTGGGGATGTATTCCAGATCTGGGTTGGAGAGGTGGGGCAGTGTGCATAGGGGATGAGTTTGCAAAAGCACGCACTCAATAACAATGAAGTATGGCATATATCTCTATATCATACCTTCATATCTATCAATCATCTATCTACCTATTTTTATTTTATTTTATGTATTTTTTTTTTTTTTTTTAGTGACAGGGTTTCAATCTGCAGTGGCAACATCTCTGCAACCCTGAACTCCTGGGCTCAAGCGATCCCCCTGCTGCAGCATCCGGAGTAGCCAGGACTATAAGCACACGCCACCACACCCAGCTAATTCTTAATTTTTAAAGGTTTTTGGTACAGACAGGAATCTGTGTTTTCAGTGTTACTCATAAGAAGTCATAGTTGAGAAACAGTGACTGCTCTGTGGGCGCTTGGGAGTTGGAAAGTCTTGGAGAGGAGGGTCCTTGGAGGATGTGAAGCTGGGCATCCAAGGATGGGAGGGTTTTGCAGATGGGAGGTCAGGCTAGGTAGGAAAAGACATCACAGGCAGGTACGAGGATCCCTGAGTCTGTCAGTCAGGTTGCAGGTGGGGGCTTTATAAGGAGCAGGTAACTGGCAAATCACGGAGGTCAGGGCCCCTGCAAAGGGTGTAGGCCTGGGGCAGCGTTCAGAGATGCAGAGCAGAGCAGGACACGGAAATACCCAGGACTGTCCGAGGAGCAGAGCACAGCAGCAGCAGAGATGGGGTGGTTGGTGGGTGTGGGGAGGACTCAGCCCTGCTGTGGGCACAAAGGTGGGGATGGAGGAGGGTGGGCACCAAGGCTGGTCCTGAGGCAGTAGAGGGTGGGTGGGTCCCTTCCAGAAATGTCCAGCACGGGGCATCCTTATCCAATCCCACATCAGTAGGCTCAGCGCCACCCTGGACTCATTGGAAATGCAGATTCTCAGGCCCTGCCCAGCCCTCCTGAATCAGAAATGCTGGGGAGGTGCCCCAACATCTGTGTTCTCACAGGCCCCAGGGGATTTTGTGGCGCTCAAGTTGTGGAGCCACTGTCCTATTGTGTTTTCCTCCCTCCCAGTCACTCCTCTTCCTTCTCCTGAGCTTGTCCTCCCCAGTGGTGGTCAAGGCTGGGTCTCCATGTGTCTCACACTCAGCTGTCTTCCCATTGTGACAGGCCATGGTGAGCCTCTGTGGCTTCTGAGAAGTCACCCAGATGACTCAAAGTTAAATCACCTGCTTTGCAGCAGAGCCAGGGGGCGGTGGGGGCATCACTCTTTG
This sequence comes from Homo sapiens, assembly GCF_000001405.40. NCBI lineage: Eukaryota > Metazoa > Chordata > Mammalia > Primates > Hominidae > Homo > Homo sapiens. The sequence continues at coordinate 39,000,651 of NC_000021.9, read as the reverse complement.
ACAACAGGAAGGGCTGTTAAACAAAGGCTGGTGGCCAGGAGTTCCCCTACTTCCCAAGAGTTCGAGGAAATAACTTCCTTGCAGTGTCAGGGATTCAGGGAGAGGAAACAGACTCCCTTCTAGCGTGTGATGTCAACACAGGAGTGACAATGGGCTTCCCACCTCCAATGTCCCTAAAGCGGGTGCTCATCCACTGCGACCCTGTCTCAGGGTGGGGAAATGGACAGGTGGCTTCGTGCAGCCCTGCACCCTTCCAAGCATCTTGTCAGCTCCATTCCTGTCTGGAATATTCCAAGAGGACCTTATAAGATTGAGAATGAGGGTCTCCTTATAAATGTAAACCTCACTCAGGCTGCAGCAGAAACCTACGGGGAGGCCAAATAAACTGGGGGCTCTGTGGATTGTATGTCCCCCCGGCTTGTCGAGGTGAGGAACAGTTTCACTCCTGGGCTGTGCCACCCGGTGCCGAGGGTGAGCTGGGCCAGGAATGTAACAATGATGGGACGAGAATAGGGAAACAAAGCTGAGTTTCTGTAGAAAGTGTTATCTATGAGGTCTTTCACTTTATTTTCTAATTTGCAAAGATACTTCTGATTTTCCTGCTGTCAGCCATCAATATCTTCCTCAGATGTTCTTTTTCCAGCTCGAGAGAACAAAGGGCATTTGAGGCAAAGATTGAACCTAGGAACAGAGAGGAATGTATGGTGCATGATCTGCCTGGGCCTGAGTAGACGGACCTCAGCACAGTGGTGGAGACTGGGTTGTGGGCACAGACAGCAGAAGATGGATAAGGACAAGGGTCTCTGGGTTGGCTGCTGGCTCCACCACTTAGCTGCGTGTCATCCCTGGTGAGAGATTGGACAGGAGAGAATGAGGTTGTCCATGTCTCCAGGACCCATCCCCATCTGAAACCACTGTCTCCTGTGGCTGTGACACAGGCAGCCTCCCTGGCCTGTCCCTGCTCTGATGGGAAGACTTGGTGCAAAAAGGGGTGCAGGCTCCTGATGTTTTTTAAGTGAACTTAAAAAAAATCATGGTAAAATACCTAACATAAAATTTACCATTTTAGCCCTTTTTAAGTGTACAATTCAGTGGCACTAAAGACATTCATACTATTGCCTAACTACCACCATTATCCATCTCCAGAACTTTTTTTTATCTTGCAGAACTGAAACTCTGTACCCATGACACACCAACCCCCTCCCTCCCTTCTCCTCTCATCTCCTGGTAACCACGATTCCATTTTCCGTCTCTATGATTTGATTATTCTCAGTAACTCATGTAAATGGAATTATACAGTATTTGTCCTTTTGTGTCTGGCTTATTTCATTTAGCATAATATCCTCAAGGTTCATCTATGTTGCAGCATGAGTCAGAAGTTCATTTCTTTTTAAGGCTGAATAATATTTCATTACATGTATGTACCACATTTTATTCATCTATCGATGGACATTTGGGTTGTTTCTACTTTTTGGCTATTGTGAATAATGAACACTGTTGTGCAAATATCTGTTCAAGTCTTTGCTTTCAATTTTCTAATGTAGATATCCAGAAGTGGAATCGCTGTATGATGTAGTAATTCCATGTTTAATTTTTCAAGGAATTACCATGCCACAGACACTGTACCACTTTATATTCCTACTAGCAATGCACAAGTGTTCGGATGTTTCCAAATCCTTGACAACGCTTCTTCTTTTCTTTCTTTCTTTTTAAAAAATATTTGGTATCCTATCCTGTACATAGGAATGGGCAAAGATTTTATGACAAAGACACCAAAAGCAATCGCAACAAAAGCAAAAGTTGACAGATGGGATCTAATTAAACCTAAGAGCCTCTGCACAGCAAAAGAAACTATCAACAGAGTAAACAGACAACCTACAGAATGAGAGAAAATATTTGCAAACTATGCATCTGACAAAGGTCTAATATCCAGCACCTATAAGGAATTTAAACAGATTTACAGAAGAAAAACAACCCCCTTAAAAATTGGGCAAAGGACATGAACAGACACTTCTCAAAAGAAGACATACATGCGGCCAACAAGCATATGAAAAAAAGCACAACATCACTGATCACTAGAGAAATGCAAATCAAAACCACAGTGAGATCCCATTTCACACCAGTCAGAATGGCTATGATTAAAAAGTAAAAAAAATTAATAACAGATGCTGGCACGGTTGCAGAGAAAAGGGAACTCCTATGCTCTGTTGGTGAGAGTGCAAATTAGTTCAACCATTGTAAAAAGCAATACGGCGATTCCTCAAAGAGCTAAAAACAGAACTACCATTCGACCCAGCAATCCCATTACTGGGTATATACCCAGAGGAATATAAATCATTCTACCTTAAAGACACGTGCACACGAATGTTCACTGCAGCACTGTTCACATGGAATACTGTTCACATGCACACATAGCAAACACATGGAATCAACCTAAATGCCCATTAATGACAGATTGGATAAAGAAAATGTGGTACATATACACCATGCAATACTACGCAGCTATATAAAAGAATAAGATCATGTCTTTTGTGGGAACATGGATGGAGCTAGAGGCTATTATTCTTAGCAAACTAACACAGGAACAGAAAACCAAATACCACATGTTCTCACTTATAAGTGGGAAGTAAATGATACGAACTCATGAACACAGAAGGAAATGACAGGCGCTGGGGTCTACTTGAGGGTGGAGGGTGGGAGGAAGGAGAAGCAGAAGAGATAACTATTGGGTACTGGGCTTCATATCTGGGTGATGAAATAATCTGTACAACAGACCCCCATGACACACCAGTTTATTTATGTAACAAACCTCCACAGGTACCCCCGAACCTAAAATAAAAGTTTTTTTTTTTTTTTAAAGAAAGGAATGGAAAAAAAGAAACCCACTAGGTATCCTGATGGTTGAAAAGCGGTAGTAAATCGTGGTTTTGCTTTGCATTTCCCTAATGGTTAGTGATGTTGCAGGTCTTTTCAGGTCCTTACGGGCCATCTGTATGCCTTCTTTGGAGAGACATCTGTTCAAGTCCTTTGTCCATTTTTGAGGCTGGCCTCTGATTTTAGTTCCAGATGCAAGACTGGCTAGTTGAGCCAAAAGATCCCAGTTTCCTTTAATTTTTTTTTCTTTTTAACTTTTACTTTGAGATGAAGCCACTTGTTCCTGTAACTGGCTGGACGAAGTTATGCTTAGACAAAGATGTTTCTGCAGTGTGAGTGAATGGCAGGCTACTATAGTTCTGTCTCTGTGGGGATGGGGGCATTCAGCTATTGCGTTTCATTGCCTCCCAGGTGTACCCACAGAGACTATGATTTGCTTTAGCCAATGCCTCCCCCCTTGCAACTGGAGCAAAAGGGAGATTTTGTAGGCTTGGGAAGTAAGTGGTTGAAACTGCTGAAGTATACAGCTGTGGTTATCAAGACAGAACGGCCAAGGCAGAGGGAGGTGGCTGGATGTTTGCTGTAGGCCTAAGTCTTGGCTTTGAGAACAATATGGAAGAAAGTCTTCAACCTCTTGGTTCTCACTCCCGGCCAGTAGGCACGTATTCATGCTGTTTGTTGTCAGGAAGATTTTGGGAACGTTCTATGGTTGTTTAAATGGGTTGCAGCATATTTTAAAACTGGACATTATGGTGTGGCATACTGATCGTGAGGGAGGCTTATGTGGGGTGGCGGGGACAGGGAGTACATGGAAACTTTCTGTGCTTTTTGCTCGGTTTTGCTGCGAACCTAAAACTGCTTTAAAAATAAAGTATATTAAAAAAGAAAGGGCTTTAGTGCCAAAATAACAAAAATATAAAGATTGTGTCATAAATTAAGGAGTAATATAAAACATATCTTTGGAGAGGTTTGGCTTTCATAAATAAGGCTTTATTGTCAAAGCTAGATTAATATTTATTGTTATTTAATATTTATTGCTCAGCCTTGCATTCTGGGAGTTAGATATCTGTATACTATATACAGTAATTGAATAAAACCCCATATCACAGGTCATTCACTTGTCTGTGTATGTGTCCATATACGCATGCACACACACACAACACACATGCACACACATTCATGGGTGTCCTGCACGCAGGACTGGGGAGTCATGAGGGCTTCAAGGCAACAAGTGCTTGTTGAATGTGGACTGTGGCATGGATAAGGTTGTTGTGTGTTTTCTGACTATGAAATCTGCCCCTACTTCTCCTTAACTAAGTTTATTTTGCTTTGATGAGCATCCTGCCTTCCACTGCCCCAACCACTGGGGTTGCTTGGGCCCCCCACATCTTCCTACATGCATGGCCTCTCTTCAAGTTCTTAACCTCTGCAACTCTTATCACAAGATCATGCCCCACTTCTTGAAATGATCTTGGCTTCTGGGACACCATTTTTTCTTGATTTCCTTTTTCTTTCTCTGATTCTTCCTGCCTGATCCCCCTGTATTGGTCGGATGGCCCACTAAGATGTGGCAATTTAAGAGTAGAATTTAGGAAAGGTACTATTACAAAGCTGGGGGCAGGGTTTAGGTTGTTGCAACACCCCAGGTCTAGAGACAGTGGGGAGAACTTACCAGTGCTCTGTCTGAAGGGCCAAGGGGAGGCAGCCATTATCATCAGCAGAACCTGGGGAGAGAGCTGGATGGAGCAGGTGCATCTCCTAACAGGTGCTGTTGCCTCAGGGTAGAGAGATGCTGCCTGCCTGAAGCAAGCAAGCAGGGAGGGGCCGGGGATAAACACCCTCCTCCCTCCTTGGCATGTCTTCATGTGCTCCCGCTTCATGGGGCTGGGAGGCAGGGAGTCATAAATGCATTTTGTAGGTCGGTGTCCTGGGGCAAAGGGCAGAGAAGAAAAGCAGGAAGGGTGGGTCTGCGGGTCCACACAGAGGGTGTCCAGCTTGCACCACATCTGTTATGGGCTGAATCGTGTCCCCCAAAATCCATAGGCTGAAGCCTCAAACCTCAGCACCTCTGAATGTGACTGAATTTGGAGATAGGGTCTTTCCAGAGGTAATTAAGATAAAAGAAGGTCATGGGGTGGGCCCTAATCCAATCCGGCTGGTGTCCTTATAAGAAGAGATTAGGACACACACAGAGGGAAGACCGTTTGAAGACCTGGCGAGGAAAAGAGGCCACCTGCAAGCCAAGGAGAGGGGCCTCAGGAGAAACTAACTTTGCCGGCACCTTGATCTCAGACTCGTAGCCTCCACAAGTGTGAAAAACTAAATGTGTATTGTTTAAGCCGCCCAGTCTGCAGACTTTGTGATGGCAGCCCTGGTGGATGAATTCACTGCTTAAGTTTGCAGGCACCCCCTACGCTTTCTTCCCTCACCTTGCTTCATTCTTCTGCTGCATGTATTACTGCTGGCTGTGCCCAGCGCTTCATTCCTGTCTTTCTCTGTCTCCCGAGGCTGTTCCCTTCCAGTCAGCCTCCTGCGGGTGGGCTGTCTCATCCTTCCTGCCGCAGGCCCGGTGACTAGAACAGCACCTCACATACAAAAGGTGCTTGGCCATGGCGGGCATTTGTTTAATGAAAGAAAGTTTTCCAAATCTCTTCTTTCTAATGTTCTTCTCTGGTTTCTTCTCCTCTGCTCACCTCTTAACTCCAAGGCCTCATCTCAGCTACACTTGGGGATATTTTCCACTCCCTGCATGGACCCAGAGTCCGGCTGAGGTCATGTGGCGAGGTCAGATATTCTGAAAGTTAATGCGTCCCCACTTTTGAGTGCCCCTTCTGGGTAGGCCATTCCAAGAGGGGCTTATAGGAAGTGCAAGGGAGACGGGCTTGAGCTGAGTTGGACGCACAGTGAGGGATATGTGTGTGAGAGACAGAGAGAGAGAGGGAGAGGGGAGACAGAGAGACACACAGAGAGACAGAGACAGAGAGAGACAGAGACAGAGAGACAGAGACATAGGGGAACACAGGCAGAGAGAGACAGAGACAGAGAGACAGAGACATAGGGGAACACAGGCAGAGAGAGACAGAGCTACAGAGAGAGACAGAGACAGACAGAGACATAGGGGAACACAGGCAGAGAGAGACAGAGCTACAGAGAGAGACAGAGGCACACAGAGAGAGACAGAAGCACACAAAGAGAGACAGAGACCAACAGAGCATTGACACAGGTCCACAGAGACAGAGCTAGAGACAGAGAGAGCGTGCACGGCGCACATGTATATAAAGCCTGTGGGGCGCCTTTTCTTTTCACATAGTGTGATCCAGTCCTATCAATTACTAGGATATTGGCATTTGTGATCATTGCGTCGTCTGGAATTTTTTTCTGGAAAAAAGAGGAAACACAGCCATCTGCCCAGAGCCATCCAGAATATGTCCCAGAGGCCTGTCTGTGTGTACGCGCACTCAGAAGCCTGGGGGCCCTTTCCTTGTCTAAATGTAGCTCCCCCACCGCGTCCCACCCCTGCACAGGAGCGAGGCCTGTGTCAACTTCAGCAGAGCGAGAATGAGGACAGGCCCAGGGGCAGGGAACTGGACGAAGGGAGTTGGAGGCCTTTTCTTGGGAATGGGTGGACCATTGCCCTGCATGGGGACAGGGACGGCACTGGTGGGGGAAGGAAATCTTGAGCTGGTTTCGGCCTTGACCCTCAGCAGCTAGCCCCGGGAGCTCTCATTCTCTGGACGCCAGGGCCTTGGGTTCCTTGGATGAGGTGAGCATGAGCATGTGGGGTAAGTGTTCATGTTTGTGCATGTATGTGTCTGTATGAAAGAGAGTGAGAATACGAGAACATGCCTGTCCTGACTCACAGAGTTGGTGAAATAAAATCAAAGACCCAATGAAAAAGCTCTTGAAAAGGTAAGAGGTCTGCCCAGAGCCAAGGTTTGTTGCCGATCCTGGGATTAGCTGACTTCTGGGCATTTGGAGCCTGCAGCCGTCTGGACATGATCTGGGGACAAGTGGAGGCCAAGAACTGAATATCAGAGAGAGTCTCAGAGAGAAGGAATGTGGACTATGGCAGGTTGCCAGGGATCACTCATGCACACGGATGTTTTGTTTCATTTTTTAGAAACTTTGGGAGAGGAAATAAGGGGGAGAAAATGTAGAATATATTGCATTTCAGAACTTAGGATGCCAACAACAAATTGTACAACTGCTGAAGCTTATTATGGGGGTTTGTTAACATGTGAACTTAAATGCACCAATCCTATCCCTTGCCTCCATTCATTTAACTGTTTAATAAATATTTGTTGAATGCCTAAGATTGATTAATTAATTCAGCCAATCACAGATACTATCACCCTCTTGCTGCATACATAGCATTGTGCTAGAGTTGATATAATGTCTAACATGTTTGAGGAATTATTTCATTCTGGAAATTATTCTTTCCACCTCTTCAGCATCCTAGGAGAACTCCAAATAAACCTTAGCATCTTATTTCAATATTTTTACATCACTTGTTTAAAATTTCTTAAAACCAAACCGGGTTTATTTATGTCAAAGTATACGCAAAATGTATGTGCACGAGAGATGCCATCTGCAAATATAAAAGTCTGTAAACCAAGTCCCTGCCCATGATGGGGTGACACAGGGTGGAAAGCGTGTGCAGGCTTGCATTCTTATAAATATGGATGAAATGCACATTCAAGAATGGTTTGGAAATGATTATTTCCTCCATTTGTTGGCCAAATGTACCAAATCCTTATCTTGGCCTCTTCCTTCTTTTGTTTGGAAAGCCCCACGTTGTCCTTGTCAACTTCCTCACTCATGCTGGTCTCTGGAATGAATTGTTCCACCTCTCCCTGGGCTATTCACTGCAACCAAGGACATCTTAGCAATGTGATATATTTTCCCCTCTCCGAAGTCAAATAGATGTTTTATATCCAATGGGCCAGATTGTGCAGGAGCTTGTCTTCACCCCCACAGGCCACAGGCTGGAGCCTTCCTGGAACAGAGGCTACATTGGCTGTCTTTTGACAAAGGTGCCTGGGTCCTGGGACTTCTTTTGTTTGGAGCTCAGCGGGCTGTGTGTCTGGCTGCTGACATAGCACAATGTTCCCATCTTGGCCCTCTCCTTTCAGGGGAGCAAGTTCCCCTGATGATGGAAGGAAAGAGGCCCCAGAGAGGAGAGGGCAGGGACGCATGATACAGCAGATCAGATGAGGCTCCCAAGACAGAAGGAGGCTTTCGGGTGCTACAGAAGTCTCTGCTGGGCTCAGTGCTGCTGAAGCCTCGCTGAGGGGTTGATGGAGAATCTTGGAAGGCCAATCTTCTCATCCGTGGACATCCTTAGGGGCAGAATACCATGGGTGGGGGTTATGGGATTTGAAGACCCCTGGCCACTGGGGGGCCAGAGGGCTTGCAACCTGCAGAGAACCCCTAGGGTTGTTCCCTTCTCAGTAGATCCTAAAGCCCTGAACTGCTCATAGGGTCCTTGGTGGCCTAGCCCTTACCAACCTCTCCAGCCCCCTCTGAAGCCCTCCCCACCTCCTCTTGCTTTTTTCCACAACCCTCCTGAACTTCTCCAGCCACCGCAGCTGCTGCGGCTCACCTCTGGGCCGGCACACACACTGTTCACTCTGCCGAGACACCTTTCCTTCTCCGCTCAGTAGCATCTGGACCCCCCGCCCAGCAGGCTTCAGTGCCCATGCTCCTGCTCCCTCCAGCACCCAGGTGTCATGACCAGTGGACAGCTGTTAAATATGAGAACCCTGCTCATCGAGGGCCAGGTGCTGAGTGAGGAGGAGAAAGATAGGGATAAGGAAAGGCAGAAACGTGCCCCAGAACAAGGATCTCCTAGGGCTGGGCTCTGGGAGCCGGGAAGTCAGCACACGGTGTGGAAAGTGCTCTGATACGTGGGACTCCAGGGTTCTTTGAGAGCCTGGAGGAGTAGTGCAGGGTACCTGGCTCAGAGGAGGGTGGCTGCAGCCAGAGAAGGCTGCCTGGAGGAGGGGATCCCAAAGCCCTGAACGGCTCATTCCAGTGAGTGTTCTTCTTACTGCCTCAGGCTGCCCACTTGGCCTCTGGATGAATGGAGCTGTGGTCCTGAGGTGGTATCCAGGAGCCAGGGGTGGGTTTGGTGCGCCCAGGACCCCAGGGATGGGGCGTGTTGCCTAAGGCACCCACACCGGCAGGAGCCCCGTGGCCTCTGGCTCTCTGATTGTCTTTGTATTGGTTTGTTGGGACTGTCATGGCAGAGGACCACAGACTGGGGGTTTAAACAGCAGGAGTTTATTTTTCAGAGTTCTGGAAGCTCAACGTCACAAGTTCAAGGTCAAAGCACCCGTGGGTTTGCTTTCTCCTGAGTCCCCTCCTCAGCTTGCAGAGGCCCCTCCTGTATGCATCCTGGGGTCTCTGTATCTTTCTATAAGGACACCAGTCAGATTGGATTAAGGCCCACCAAACGGCCTCATCTTAAATTAATCGCCTCTTTAAAGGCCCTGCTTCCAAATACAGTCACCCCTGACTGGGAGTTCGGCTTCAACATATTAATTTTGTGGGGTGCACAATATTGTCCATGACAGTAGGTGAGCCACATGATATTTGCATAATTTGTGTAACTTTTACCAACCTCTACAGAGTATGTAAACTGCACCTGAAGCATTTTAAAATGTGAATATGCCTGTTGTTGCTTTTCTTCGCTGGTTCTTGAGTTCTCCCTGTTCACCCACTGGGTTTCCTAACCCCAGCTTTCCCCAACAGGTGCATCCCAGCACAGAAGGGCAGCACAGAGGCAGCCTGAGAAGATTCTGTCGCTGCCAGGTCACCAGGACCTCTGGACCACAGCTGGGTTGCGCTGTTTTCCAGTTTGTGAAACTAGGACTTTGGGGAACATCCTGTGAATTGGTGTCATTTTGATTTTCCTGGAGGATTTTTGAGGTCAGCGTGACTGCTGTCACTGTAAGTGTGGGTGTGCTTTCCCACAAGAAGCATCCTGAGTCTGCGGGAAGGTGGGGACTTCCCAGTTTGGGGGCCTGAGGGTCCCTTCCAGGGAGCTGCAGTGACCGAGCCACCTGGGTCTCGTCCTCATTAAGGAAAGCATGCTGCAGGTGATGGTGGACAAGCGGCGCTTTGTTGCCGCCTTCCCCTCAAGGGACTCAGGGCTCTTCAAAGGCGGCTCCCTTTGATTGCCCCACCCCCACGTTAGGGGACTGTCCCTAGCTTTTCATTCCGTGGTTTTGCTTCCCAGGCAGTGACTGTTCTGAGGAACCTATTCGTCCACAGCCCCACTTTCGCCTCTAAAAGGAGCTGGAATGGCTCCTTACTGCCCTCCTGCCAGGCCCTCGACTGAATCCAATATAGAGACCTTTATAGGCATTAATTATAACCAAGGACTGCATGCTGTGTTTTATAGGCAAGTCTTCCCTGCTCTGTTTAACGTCCTAGCAGAAACCTCATAACAAATTAACATTTATATGGGCCCGTTAATCTTCAAAGCCTTTCACTGACTTGAGTCAATTCCAGTGACCCTCGTGGGCAGTAATAAGCCTTTTAGGACTCCTATCCTTTTCCCTTCTCCTTCTACTTCTTTGTAGATAAAGAAAAAACAAACCCAGAGAAACGTGTCATGCTCTGTGCGAGCTCCTGCATCAGAGCTGCGGGTGGGTTTGGCTGGGCGGTGTTCCAGGCGTCTGGTTTCATGCTCTGACCAACACACGCCTCCCCTCAAAGCTGCTGTGGAAGGGCTCAAAGCCGCGTTTCATTCCCAAAGCCTTTGACTAACTCTGAACAAGCTGCTTTTCATTAGGCACGCACACAAGCCTGCACACGCACGTGCATACATGCATGCACACACCTCTCTCAAACTGGATAAGAGGTTTCTGTGTGAGGGGTGGGGAATAGAGGGAGCTGGAATTCTCTGCAGAGCCCATGTCAGCTGAACAGGATGTGTACTGGCCGCTGGGTTCAGTGTGTGTTGACCAGGGGCCAGCCCCCTTCCCGCTTCAGTCCAGCTCAGGTGTCAGTTGACGGCTTGTGTGTGCGGAGCCAGGCTGAGTTATAGAGCCTTATACTTTATTTCCAAACCTGCAATTCCACCCGCGTTTTTGTCAGTTAATTACATACAGAGCCCCTTTATTTGCAGGGAAATATGTGAGTGGAGTTCTTTCTTTGTGGGTGTGGACGAGGCAGCTCTCACTCCTGCGAGGACGCGTCCAGCTCCTTGAGGAGTACGGTGGCAGGGAAGGGGACAGCACTGTCATGGAGTCAGATCTGAATCACGTCCACGGAGCGGTTTACTTTGGGAATTACCTCCTATACATTTCAAATTCCATGTTGGTCCCCATTTGCTACTCTTTCAGAACTAAAATAAAATCCGAAGTCCCCAAGTGACTGAACAGACCCCCTCTTGGCCAAGGGGACCCCAGAGAAACCTGAAAGCTGAGCTCCCAGCCATGAGGGGACGGGCGATCGGACACGCTTCATCACAGTCCCTCCCCTTTGTGGTTTAAACGACGATGATCGGCTGTCATGCTAAAATAGAGACACGAGACCGACAGCACAGACTCCTTATGGCAATAAGACACCAAATTATAAGCAGCACCTCAGGCCACGCCAGGTAAGGGTCGAGCCGCGCACTCTACACTTAGAGAACGGACTCTGCTCTCACACCACAGCGTCTTCTTTTTCTTCAGCAGCTAAACACGCACCGGCCCCGAGATTCAAACGACTGCAGCTCATCCACCTGCAGACGCTGGCTGACCCCGTTCCACAGCTGTGACTATAGCTTTGATTGGACAAGAGGTTGATTTCAGTCTCCTGGTAAGAGACCACCAACCATAGACCTGGTTCAGGCTGATTATAGAAGCTGCACACTTGTATGCCTTCGAGTCCCTGCCTCACCTTTTGACGTGTAGGGACTCATTGTAATGCTTTTAAATGTGAAGCCTCCACCCCAAAGTGAACATGGGACGCATGTAACGTGCATGTTCAGTGGGCACGGCTCAGGACTCTCTTTGTGAATATTCATAGCTCCTCCTGGAACCTGAATATGTATGTTTGGCCAGCTCAATTCAGCATGAGGCTCCTGCTGCAACACCGCCTCCTTCCAGGTGCCTGCCAGCTGTTTCTGCCAGAGGCTGCGTCTCCCGGCCTGTCAGAATGGCCACCCTGCAGGCTGTAATCCTTTAGAAGAAATAAAGATCCCCTTTCCAGATGTATAGATCTTGTGATTTTTTTCCATTCACATCCTTGCATCTTATAATGCCCTGTCTCCATGGGGGTTACATAGAAAGCCCTCAGCCTCTAGGGCAGATGGAGCCAGGACTGAGGGTGGGGGTGGAGAAGGATCAGGAGACTCACTTCAAGGACTTTCTGGTGCCGGCAGTGTAGGCTTGCCAGATGAAATACAGGACACCCAGCAACATGAACTTTCGTAATTTTTATAGTGTAAATGTGTTCCAAATATTGCATGGGACATGCTTATCCTGAAGAATTATTCATTGTTTATCTGAAATCCAAATTTAACTAGGTGTCCTGTATTTTTATTTGCTAAATCTGGTGACCCTTCACTGGGGAGACGCTTTTAAACAGCCTCAACTTAGAAATTCTTCTCTTCCTGCCAAAAGCGCTAGGGTCTGTATATGGGTGCATGGAAACACGAAATTATTGTCACAGGACTGAAGAGTATGAAAGACTTCTAGTAACCACCAGCTGTGGCAGGGGCCTGTGCAGGGGGTACCCTGGCAGGGAGGAAGCTGCCTTAATTTTCAACCTCGGACAGAAAAGCGCATCTGTTAGACACAGCAGAAAGCAGACCTACATGTATGGTTAATAAGGACTATGTATTTGACTGCTGTGGGTTCAATTGTGTCCCTGCGAGAGACACATTGAAGTCCTAACCCCTGCTGCTTCAGCATTTGGCTTTATTTGGAAATAAGGTCACTGCCAGTGCAGTTAGCTGAGATGAAATCATACTGGTGTCTGGTGGGCCCTTATTCCAATATGACTCGTGATATCACAAGAAGAGGAGGACAGACACAGAGACACACTCCAGAGGGAGAAGGCCATGTGACAGCCACGGACTGCTGGAAGCAGCGGAATCTAAAGGCAAGGCAGGGAACAGATTCTCCCTCCCAGTCCTTCGAGAGAACCAACTCTGCCGACAGCTTGATTTCAGAATTCTGGTTTCCAGAACGGTGAGAGAATAAATTCCTGTTGTTTTAAGCCTCCCGTTTGTGGTGCTTTGTTATGGCAGCCCCAGGGACTAATGCAGTCACCGTCACTTGATTGCAGACAAAACGACTGAGGGTTCTCTGCAATGAATTTCAAGTTCTGAATTGAAAGAGGCTTCAGAGCCTGAAGAAAGAGGCGATGCCAGCACTCTCTGGAGTGGGATCCACAGAAGCAGAGAAAGCCCAGGGGATGAGCCAACCCAGAATCCAAACGCCCGTGGATCGGGCCAGACCCAGGACGGCGCTATCTTGCACACCCATCACAGGCTTGGGGACACTAGAACTGCACTGTCAGATATTCCTGACTTCATGTGTGTGTGTTTGTGTGTGTGTAGATCAGGCCATATGATTTACTTGCTGCACTCTGAGCGATGCTGTGTAGATAAAGCTATATTATCTATTTGCTACACTCTGAATAATGCCTTCCTCAGTGATAATCATAATCAAGTGAGCTTTGGATTGTCATTATGAAGTCTCAAATTAAAACAATTGGTTGAGATACTGCCAGCAAGGCAACTAGATCGGGGATTGCAGCTGCTGATGCCAGTCTAGTATTTAGGTAAGAGGATGCCTCCACCCTCTTAGAGCATGTGGCTTGCACATCCATTCTTTCAGTGCAGGAAGGGCTGGAGTGTCCACTCCCTACTCCCAACCCCATCAGTTGTTGTATGGTCCAAAATGCAAAGTAATTTTAATGTGATCCAAGATGCATATAAAAACATTTTAAAAACAGATATGTTATGCATTGCTTAGAATGATGCACCATCCGCTTCATGAACAAGCAAGAACTAACTCTATCATTGACTTCATCCACAAATACTAGAGGTGATGAACTTGAGGTCAAAGTTCCGAAGTCAGACAGCATGGGTTTATTCATCGCCTGCTATGTGCAAATCCTAGATGTCACCAGGCTCTGCTCACTTGGTGTCTTGGCCACTCTGGGTGATGTTTACACAAGGCTTGGTGGCTTTGAGATGGGTTGCAAACAAGAGATATCAGTTGTTGGACTTTTGCTTATAGCTTGGGGTTGGACATCCTCTATCCCTCGATACCTCCTTGCACCCATCAGCCGTTATCTTTGAAGGAAACTTTTTCCTTGAGTCTGGTTCCTTGTCTTCAGGTTCTAACCTCATGGTTTTGGATCCTTGTCCCTATGGTTGTGATCCTTCCTGTCCTTGGCTCTAGTGCTCTTTTTTTTTTTTTTTTCTATTTCTTTCCTCTACCTGTGCACATGACCTCTTTGAAGAGCTCACCTCCTCCAGGAAGCCTCCCTGGAATCACCCTTTTGCCTTCCATTCTCCTTGTTTATACAGTCCATGTCAGTATATCCAAATTGAATTATCGCGGTGTGCTGCTTTGCAATGTGTATCTGATTTCACCAAAACCCTCTACTGTCTCTAATCCCGGGTATCCAATTTCATGTGAAGTTCAGTGATGTGCTCCTCCCTCCTCCTCTTGCACGCATGAGCAGGTACTCAACACTTTCTGGTCCAGCTACATGTGACATGAGGCCACTCACGCTCTTTTTAATTAACCCTTATGACAATCATGTGCGTTATGGAGAAAATTAATGGAGGAAAAATTACAGAGTCACCCGAAACAGTTGCGCTGCTTATCACCCGGTGTTTGAGCCTGTTTCCCCTGTAATTAGATTACATGTGAGGCAGCCCCAGCTAATTGTCTGTGCCACCCACCGGGGAACTCCAGCTCTATCTGTGAACACCCAGGCCTTCCCGCCGCAGGACAGATGTTGGGTGAGGCTTGCCTCCCACGCAAACATCTGCTCTGTTGTTCCGAGTCAGTCACGAGAGCCAGCCGGCTTAGACAAGCAGGGGATGAATTCCTGGGCGAGATGCTTGATCCTGCCAAGTTTCTGAGCACCAGGCTTGGGCCTCTTGAACAGTTCCCTGCATCTTCCATGATCGGCCAGTGCCTCTGCTTCTGCATTTAGAAACCAGAGTTCACTTCTGGTGGCCTCAAGCCAAAATGAGTCTACGAACCAGAAGTCTCTTGACATTGACACTGATAAACTTTGATATGGAAGCATTTTTGTTTTTGGCAACCATCAATTTTTTTTTGTTTTTCCTCAAACACATGCATGGATGATGTGAGAACCGGTACCTGGAAACTGAGAGACTGCCGCATGTGTTTCGGGCTCCCAGCTCTATCCATAACTGTCTTTGGGGGCTTCCTAGGCAACCTGGGTTTTGACCCTGCTGCCTCCTGGTCCAAGAACTCTGCCCTGTGGCCTGGCAGGAGGCCTGGCCCAGCCAGGGACCGTGGGGGCAGCCTGCGGTGGCGGTTGATTTTTTTTTTAAGCACATAATAATTTGCAGATGTTGGCAGTTACCAGGGAAGTCAGAGCAAAGCTGCAAATGCCAAACCACAACAATATATCATTTTAACCGTCTTATTCCTGGAAATGTGACAGCATCATAGTAAAACAATTCACAAAGACGAATATGCCTGCTGCCTTCGGGCAGCCTACTGCTGCCAATTTGGTGGAGATTATCGGCCATTTATCAATTGTGTTGCTCTACAGAGAAGAAGAGAAATCTCTTTGCTTCTATTTGTGCCGCAGGAAGATCACCTGTCTTCCTCAAGTGACAGTGCATCTTTAAAAAATTCCGACTGCACAGAGCTTGTCTGAAAAGTGATACAACAGCATTGGTGTAGGTTTCTAGTGTCCATGCCAGTGGCTCTTACCCTGTTCTGTGTCATGAACCCCTGCGGCAGCCTAGGGAAGCCTATGGACCCTTTCTCAGAATTCAGACTTCAAATGCATGAAAAAAAGTACATGGGCTTCCCAAGGAAACCAGTATGTTGAAATACAGCTAACAAAATGTAACAAAATGTAACAATCCCCACCCCGCCCTCCCAACTGTGATATGATAGTGCACATGTTTTTTATTAATAGCTTAAGACAAGATTGAGTTGTCCGCCTTATAACCACCATAATTACAAAGCAGAGAGAAGGATGAAAGTCACTGATGATACTGGCAACAGCTGCAATGCAGTATGAAAATATCCGTGATTTCGACAATCACAGGTGTGTCCCCCACAGTGTGCTTCATTGCCTGTGTTCCTAATGGAAGAAAAGGCCAACATGTAGTTAGAAGTCAGGGAAAATAAAAATGGAATTTCTTTCCTATCTAAGTTCACACACCTCCTGACTCCTCACCCAGGTTAAGACTTTGCGAGGAAGAAAAGGCCAACATGTAGTTAGAAGTCAGGGAAAATAAAAATGGAATTTCTTTCCTATCTAAGTTCACAGACCTCCTGACTCCTCACCCAGGTTAAGACCCCGTGTTCTGTGCTACAGTGGTGGCAGCTCCAGGCATGCCCTGGCCCTGCCCTGCCCCGGACAACCTCGTGTGCAGAGTCCAGCCTGGTCCTGGCAGCTCGGGTGGCGCTCTAGCTGTGGCCATTTCTAGGTCCTGTTTTACCTTCCCTCAACTCTGCTCACTGAACCAGGTCCTCATGATGGGGCTAAGGAATGTAACCCCTTTCAAACACTTTTACACTGTTGGTGGGAGTATAAATTAGTTCAGCCATTGTGGAACACAGTGTGGCGATACCTCAAAGACCTAAAGACAGAAATATCGTTCAACTGAGCAATCCCATTGCTGGGTACATCCCCAAAGGAATATAAATCATTCTATTATAAAGACACATGTAAGGGAATGTTCATTGCGGCAGCACTCACAATAGCAAAGACAGAATCAACCTAAGTGCCCACCAATGGTAGACTGGATAAAGAAGATGTGGTGTATACACACCATGGAATACTACGCAGCCATAAAAAAGAACGAGATCGTGTCTTTTTCAGGGACGTGGATGGAGCTGGAGGCCATTATCCTTCGCACGCTAGCACAGAAACAGAAAACCAAATACCACATGTTCTCACTTATAAGTGGGAGCTAAATAATGAGAACGCATGGACACACGGAAGGGAACAACACACACTGGGGCCTTTTGGAGGGTGGGAGGAAAAAGAGGATCAGGAAAAACAACTAATGGGTTTTAGGCTTAATACCTGGGTGATGAAATCATCTGTACGACAAACCCCCATGACACAAGTGTGCCTATATAACAAACCTGCGGTTGTACTTTTGAACTTAAAATAAGAGCACCCAGTCTTTGGATGGAGGGCCCACCCTCAATCCAGGATGATTTCATCTCAAGACCTTTAAACTGATCACATCTGCAAAGACCCTATTTCAAAACAAGGTCATATTCATGGGTACTAGGGGTTAGGACTTAAACATATCCTTTTTGAGGACACAAGCCAGCCTGCTACAGTGCCTGACTTAGGAAGAGCCTGAAGGAGTGTAGAAACCAGGGGGATGGAGAAGCTGAAGCTGGCCTAATCTAGACCCCAAACCTTGGGTTCCATCAGAACAACACGGCCTTGCTTTCCTGAGAATCTACACTGTGCCCGAAACTGAGTGTGGGGCTCCTGCTAAGTCGTCTCAGTGAATTCCCACAACCACACGTGGACAGCACAGGGCTGTTGTATTTGAATCCAGACGGCCTCCTGCCCAGTGCTCCCGTGAGCTGCCTATCAATGTCCTTCCCGCCCCATCCAGGAAGCTAGCCACAAAGCACATGTGGCTATTTAGATTTAAAATTATTAAAGTTGCCGGGCGCAGTGGCTCACGCCTGTAATCCTAACACTTTGGGAGGCCAAGGCAGGTGGATTGCCTGAGCTCAGGAGTTCCAGACCAGCCTGGGCAACATGGCGAAACCCCGTCTCCATTAAAAATACAAAAAATTAGCCGGCCGTGGTGGCTTGCGCTGCGATGCGCGCCTGTAGTCCCAACTACTCGGGAGGCTGAGGCACGAGAATCGCTTAAACCCGGGAGGTGGAGGTTTCAGTAAGCCAACATCGTGCCACTGTACTCCAGTCTGGGGGACAGAGCAAGACTCTGTCTCGAAAATACAATACACTAAAATAAAGTTAAATAAAATTTAAAATCCAATTCCTCCATTGCCATTGTCGTGAGCGGCTACCATTTGCATAGCACGGATAGGGCGCGTCATGAACGGATGGCGCTGCTCTAGACCAATGTTCACGTGTATTGTATAATTATACCTGCATCAACTACAGAACAGCTAACCAGAGTCCCCAGTTAACTCAACTTTTTTTTTTTTTTTTTGGCCAAATAATTTTGTGGAGAAAGAAGCAAAGGAGAGTCAGACAAGAGGACAAAGGAATTTAGAAAATGCAGCCGCATTCCAATGAACGCCAGGGAGCAGCCAACTGTTAGCACCATCTCGGGGTCTTGTGGAATTGCCATAGAAATGTGATCCCCAGGCAGACACCTGTAATCCCAGCTACTCAGGAGGCTGAGGCAGGAGAATCGCTTGAACCCAGGAGGCGGGCTTGCAGTGAGCTGAGATCACGCCGCTGCACTCCAGCCTGGCAACAGAGCGAGACCCTGTCTCAAAAGAAAAAAAAAAAAATGACCCCCAGGTACAGACTCCCGCATTCAAACAAGCAAGATAAAATTATATAGACTCTACTGCCCTTGCTAAGGCAAGAAGATAGACTGTGATTTTCGCCACTGATGTGCAGAGATTGCAATGGCTTCCTTGAACCAGATGGGAAAATGAGCTTATACTCCTCATTTTTGAGCATTTCACTTGATTAAGTTTTAACTGTGTTCAGGGATTGGGGGAAGGGCAATTGCTGGCCACTGAACCCCAATTCCTTCATTTCCTCATGGTTGGAGGATTTCTTGAACATTGATCTGTGTTTTATAATGATGCTAGTGAAAAAGTTCCAAAGGGAGGTGACTCTTTGATGTTCCAACCATGACAGCCTGAGTAGTGCTTGTTAGGGAGTGGGTGCTGGGGGAAATTGGCTGGGCACACTTGGTTCCTCAACAGGGAGCTGCTGGAAGAACGGGGCATGGAGAGGGGCTCCCGAAGACACCATTGGGCTGAGGGATTCACTGTGGCTGGCGTGCATTGAAAGGAGAGATGGAGTTGGCTTTGTCCCAGGGTTGCTTAGCACTTTTGACTGGGGCTGGGGCTTGGCAGGTACACAGGGTGACTTCCATAACCGGTGCCCTTTTAGGCGAGGCAGGTTCAAGCTGTAGGCAAATCTCGGAGGCCATAGTAATCGCCTTTGTGCATACCTTGGTCCAGACAAGAATCACCCACTCTGTGTTCTTGCTGACAGCTGGGGAAACAGAGGAAGCCTGTGATCAAGGTCCAGAACGCACCCATGGGAAAGCGTGGGAGTCACAGGATGACAGTGCGCCGAAGTCCATCCCCGGGCTGCTGTCCTCAGGGGCTCTGGAGCCACAAGGCAGCCGGGGGCCTGCGGGTCCATTCTAGGTACCTTCCCCCTGCCTTGTGTGCCTTGGGTCCCCTGGTTGGCTTTCTCACAGAGAAGTTGCTGTTTTAGACTTTATATTGTGGTATAAGCCAAACCACAGTGGCAGGTGGCCTTATCTTAAGGGAGGGCTGGTGGATGCTCCCACCTCTCCTGTGAAGGGCTTGGGACCCTGGGGTCTGGGGACATCCTTCTCCACCTGTCATCCTGACTCATTCATGAAAGAGTGGCTTCAATGCCTCTCTGTCGAGTTGTACGGTTTTCCTGAAAACAAGGAGACATGCCCGGGTCACTCAGCCTGCCTGGTTCCTCTAACCTGGCATGACAGAGACCGTTGCAGGCTGAGTGTATGTGTGTGGGAGGTGGGGAGGTGCTCTCAGATTCCTTCTGAAAACACCCCCACACTCCAAGAAGTCCTGGAAAGTCTTTAGGAAGAAGAGGTAGCAGTGAACCAAGTTGAGATTTGCCAAAATGCCAATAAATTCCCCGCAGAGTGGCACCATGGGGAGGGGAGAGAGGCAAGAACCCTGAACTTATAAAACCACCCCTTGCACCCACCCAGATCAGCCGGCTCTCTGAGATCACCTGGCCACATCCACAAACAGAGCCTGGGGTGGGGTGGGGAAACGCTTTCTTCAGCCTCCTGGGGGCTCAGTGCAGGCAGCCCTGTCCCCCGGCCGAATGGGGCATCTTCCATCACCCAGGTGCCCAGACACATGGACAATGGGTAGAGGCACCCCTCCGAGCCCTTGGACAAGGCCTGAGTATCCTTTCCCGTCCGCATCCTGCACTCAGTATGGTTCCCTGCACCAAGTTGCGTCCATGTCCCATAGGCTGACCCTGGGATGTGCTTGTCTAATCCAGCAGGAAAAGCCCACAGGTCACCTTGCCTATGCATTTTCAGCCTACGTCTGCTGAAGCCCACCAGGAAACAGAGAAAAAAAATTGGCATTTGCTTCTAGATTCTCCTTTGTTTTTCTATTCTTCCCGCACGGCTTCAGTAACTCAGGGATCTGCAAATGTTCACTGGGGATGTTGGGGTGAGGAGGTGGGAGGAACCAGCTCTCTTGTAATCTAGGAAGGCTTCTTGCAGGAGGTGAAACTTTTTTCTTTATAAGGGCTAATTGCCAAGGGTAAGGAGACATACCACAATCAGCTGAAGGAATGTGGTGTGAGGGAACACAGGAAAGAATGAAGAGCTGATTGTAAAGGTTGGCGGGCGGATTATCTGAAGCCCACTGGGGGCTGCTCCCAGGTGTGGGTAGATGGTGCCTGGGGAATGGCCCCAGTGGAGGCCAGTCTTCTGGTTGTGAAATGCAGTTTGGAAAGATAATTATACCATAGTGCTGCTTACATTCATTTCAAGAACTTGTAAACCTGCTCACTCACTGACTGCGTGGTCAGGGTGTCACTGCAGACATAAATAACAGGGCTTTTTTATTTTGCAAGAAACTTTGTTATTAGTCACATATATGGTCTTGCCTACTTCTCTTCCTGGTTTACTTTGGTTTTGCTGCCTCTGCACTTGTTGGTAGCTGGGATGGTTTCACCACTGAAGGAGGTCAAAGGGTGGTCCTGGGGGAGGTGGCTGTGTGCTGTGTGCACCACATCCCCCAGAAGGAGCTGTCACAGGTGATAGGCATGCTGCTTGAAGAAGTCAGTGCTAGCTCACAAGTGTTAGTATTTACTCGATTCATCTGAGGAACTTTCAGACATGCAGATTCCCTGTGAATCAAAATCACAATGAGATACTATCTCACACCAGGCAGCATGGCTAAAACAACAGGTGCTGGCGAGGCTGGGGAGAAAGGGGAAGGCTTATACACCGTTGGTGGCAGTGTAAATTAGTTCAGCCACTGAGGAAAGCAGCTTGGAGATTACTCAAATAACTTGACATGAATGCTAGGCTTAATACCTGGGTGATGAAATCATCTGTACAACAAACCCCCAGGACACAAGTTTACCTGTGTAGCAAACCTGCTCATGTACCCCTGAACTTAAAAGTTAAATAAAAAACTAAACAAAAACCATGTTTTCCAATATATTTCAAATTTTTTAAAAAGAGAAGAGAGTCTAATGGGATTGTAACACAAAGGATAAATGCTTGAGGAGATGGATACCCCATTTTTCATGATGTGATTATTGCTCATTGTGTGCTGGTACCAAAATATCTCATGTACCCCATAAATATATACACCTACTATGTACCCACAAAAATTAAAAATAAAAAAAATTTTTAAAAAGAACGTAAGACAGAGTTACCATTTGACCTAGCAATCCCATGACTGGGTATGTACCCAAAATAAAATTATTCTACCAAAAAGACACACACCCATATGTTCATCACAGCACTATTCACAATAGCAAAGGCAGGGACTCAACCTAGGTGCCTGCCCATGGTGGACTGGATAAAGAAAATGTGGTACATGCACATCATGGAATATGACACAGCAATTAAAAAAGAACAAAGTCATGTCCTTTGCAGCAACATGGATGTAGCTGGAGGCCATTATCCTAAGGGAATGAAATGCAGGAACAGAAAACCAAATGCCTCATGTTCTCACTTATAAGTGGGAGCTAAACAGTGGGTGTTCATGGACCTAAAAATGGCAGCAATAGAAACTGGGGACTCCAAAGGGAGAGAGGAAGGGAGGGGGACAACGGTTGAAAAACTAACTGTTGGATGCTATGCCCACTATCTGGGTGACAGGATCATTCCTATCCTAAATCTCAGTGTCATGCAATATATCTGTGTAGCAAACCTGAATGTGTACCCCCTGCATCTAAAATAGAAGTTGAAATTATTTTTTAAAATGCAGATTTTTGGCCCTGTCCCAGGGAATCTGGTTTGGTAGGCCTAGGAACCTGCATTCTAATGAGCACCTCCAAGTGAACTCCAGGTTGGGGAACCCTGCTGACGGTCAGGTAAGCAAAATTCCTCCATGTGAAACTGTCCCAGAGGGCACGGTAGCTCTCCTGTGCTTTTTTTTTTTAAATCTCATTTACGAATATAGATATACATTATTCTAAATAAAATATAAAAATAGAACCAACCCAAATGTCCATCAATGATAGATTGGATTAAGAAAATGTGGCACATATATACCATGGAATACTGTGCAGCGATAAAAAAGGTTGAGTTCATGTCCTTTGTAGGGACATGGATGAAGCTGGAAGCCATTATTCTGAGCAAACTATCGCAAGTACAGAAAACCAAACACCGCATGTTCTCGCTCCTGTGCTTTTGATACAAAGTGCCAATATTTCAATTTTTCTCAAAACAGGGCCTGTCCTGATAAATGTTCTACCTAGAGAATGTTCTTTTAAGGGCTAAAGGGAATGCAGAAGCCTAAATACAAAGCAAGTGCCCCTGCCACTCATAACTGCCACATCCCCATAGAAACATTCACTTTCATTAGCTGGAGAGGAGTTTCTCTTACTTCATTCCTTGAACCACTGTTTATGGAGCACTTCCAATTACCAGACACAGGTGACAAAAAGGTAAATGAGACTGGACCCCATGCCTGCCTCCTGGAGCCCACATTCCATGGAGTGGGATCGTTATCTTGAAACGCTGATTGCTTTGCTTTCTTTTTCTGCACTTCTTATCTGTCTTTTCAACTGAGGCATCCATTTTCTTGCAGAAAAAGGAACACTCAACATTTAATTTGACTCACAGTTCATGGTCTTGAATGCATGGCTTCGGATGGCAAGGCAATGCGTTCCGTGCCTAAGCAAAGCACCTAGCTCTCAGGAACTGTAAGTATTAAACCCATATGGAATGAGTCTTAAAGTTATGAAGGCTGTCTTTGTGGCCCTTGAAACCAACTCCACTTTTTTAAACCAATCCAGACCTGGCTCTCGTGCTGTCCATCAGAAAGACCACATGACTAGGATGTCACCTTTAATTTACATCATGGTGGCTTCACCCCTCTTCAGTGCCTCCATAGAACCTTCTAGCATACAGGCGTCCTCCAGTTTAACTTGGATAACTCTCAGGATAAACACCTCTGTTGTTCGCAGAGTCAGAACTGTGGTGGTTTCTTAATTGTAGAGCCGAAGCCGTGGCCTTGGTTCAGGTCGGCCACATCCTGTGGAATGAAACACCCTGCACGGATGAGGAAAGGGCCCATCCCAGCTCCCTGGCAGCCCCAATCTGCTGGGGAGGCAGTGTGGGGGTGGGTAGGGCTGACAACATGCTTCCCCTCCCCCAAGTGTGGGAGCAGCACCAACCGGTCTGATGAAGTCTCATGGCCACCCTAACTCAGACCCACCACAACCCATCTCTGAGCTCTTCTTTGCGCTGGTTCCTTTACCCGGAGAGCACTTCCAGCCATCTCTACCTGCACGAATCCCATGCGTTCATCAAAGTCTAGCTGAGACACTTCCATAACACTTTCCCAATCACGCCCTTGAACCCCCACTGCACCATTGGCATGCCTACGTTGTTTTCAGGTTGGGGTTGCCACGGCAATTCTCCTGCTTTACTCTTGGGAGGGGATTTCACTGGACTCCTTTGTTACCCAAGAGCATCCGTGTCTGACCCTGAGCTGGGGAAAATGCCCAATAAAAGGACTTATCTGTGCCCCTGCAGTTGCCTTAGACTCATCCCCGCAAGATGCTGTCTTAGACTGCAGGGCTGGGAGTAGAGTGTAGGGAGTCTATGGTCTACTGTGCTGGCTTAAACTGGGCTGCTGACACGGTGATACAGTGAGAGAAGCAAAAATTACCCTTCACATTGTGAATTGCCCACATTACCAAGGATAGAGACAGCACAGCAATGTTCCTAAAAGCTTCCATTTTCCAAATGCTCCCAGTGCACAAGGCAGTTTATAAAAACTATTTAATTTGACTCTCACATGAGCCCTGCACTGCTCATTCAATCATCACCACCATTTCACAGTTAAGAAAACCGAGGTTTGGGAAGGTCACATGTCTTGCCCGAGGTCTCACTGCTCATTAGGGTCAAGGCCAGAGTCTCAACCCAAGTCCTGCTTCCCAAACCCATGCCTGACTCTAAATTCCCTAAAACTACATTGTAAAAAAAAGCAATCATATAGTTTATGCAAAAAAATGTATCAAACGGGTTTCTTTCATTATCTCATGTGAAAGAAGAGGGAGATTTTAGAAATTACTTTACATAATTGTAATAGTAATGAAGTCTTGTTCAAATCCCTGCTTCCCATCTGCCTGCTCATTGGAATTGCCTGGAGAGCTGGTTCAAAGCAGACTCTGATTCCGCAGATCTGGAATAACCCTGCTTCCAAGTGATTTCCATGGGCTGCCAGATTTGGGGCCCCCAGTTCAGGTTGTCATTTGGCCCAGAGAGCCAACCTAACCAAGCTGAGGCTTTATTCTTTTTAGGAGACCACTAGCTGAGTGCTCTGTGACTGTTGGGACTTGAGACCCTTCTTATCTCCCCCAAGACTCAGTGGGATGGGGCTGCTGTTCCGGAGCTGACTCCAACATGCCAGCCTTTTGGAAATTTGCCTGGAGGCTGAACTGAAGGTAGGTCCCTCTTCCCTCCCCCCATCATTTATTTCTTTAACTTAAAAACACTTTTTTGGGGGATCTCATATGTTACAATCTATTAAATACTTCCTTCCTCTCTTCTTCCCTGGGTGGAGTAAATGTATGTGGGAAAGAGAATTCTAGAGCAGGAGTAAGGAACCCTGGATTTGCTAAGACGTCTGGATCTACAGCAGGCCTGAGGAACCCTCGATGTACCCAGGACTAAAGGTCCCTGGATGTGCATTTGAATTAAGGAAACTTGTCTTTGCACGGTTCTCGTGGTTTACATGGCCTCTTTTGAACACTCCATTTCTTCTTGTGTAAATGGCACAGCATGCCCATCCTGCCCAACTCACTGGGTTACTTGGCACAAGAGAACCATAAAAGTGCTTCGAAAAATATGAGGCCTAATGCAATAGAGGATGGGATTGGGAGCCACATGGCTGAATGGGACTGGCATGGGCTTGGGGCACGGGTGGGGTGACCTGGCCCTCTGGTTTCCCTGGGACAGTCATCATTCATACTAGTGACCATTCAGCTCTCAAAACTGAAAAGGATGTGGCTAACTTACTTCTAAGCCCCAGTCCTTGGAATCTTGGTCCAATCTCTCTACATCTTGGTTTCCTACTCTGAAATACGCAGGTCACATCCATGCCTTTAAAGACAGATTGTGAAAGTCAAAAGAAATTCCAATTGAGAGCTCTTTATAAACTGGAAATAAAAATCACACAGTGGGTGTCATTGTTATCATTAAGTCTAGGTGGTGTGAAACCAGGAAGCAGTATTTTGTGTGCCCTCTGGAATCTGGTTCTTTACCAAGGGCTGTCCCTTCCCTCTTTTGGACTCCTCCTTCCTCTGGCCCAAGAGACCACTTGCTTTCTTTCCCTGAGCCCCAGTTAGCTTTTCTGAAAAACAGAAGAATTGGAGTCTGAATTTCCAAGATGCCTCCCAGTGGTAACATTCTATGGTTTCATGATTCTAAACAACGTTTGGCCTCCTGGTATTGGTTGGTTGTTTTCTTAAGAACAAAGAAAGCCAGACAACCTAAACATGAAATACAACCCCAGCAATGAATTACATGGGCTTTGAAAAAGGCATTCAGCGAGAATGATTATGTCTAATATTGGGCCTTCTGGCCTTGCCAGGGCCTGGGACCTGGCATCAGATGTCTGAACTTGATATACACCTGCAGGTACACTTACGGCTGTTAATCTGCCAAGCTCTGTTGTTCAAGCTGTTTGAAAGCATTCAATAAATTTCTTTTAGAAGCCATGTGTTATATGATTCTTTGTTTTCCCAAACAATATTACTGATGTTTCATTTTAACTTACTTCAGCTCCTTGGCCTTGTGCAGAGGGTTTTTTGTTTGGATTTGCTTTGCTTTTGTAGAGTTTCCATGCAATCTCTGGTGATGTCTCCCAGCAGCTACATTAATGTTGTATTATATATTTGGGGGAACACCTTGGGTTTCTTCTTCGCATTGAATAATGCGATTATTGAAGGGACGTCTAGCTAGAAGATTTACAGATTGGGGGAACATCTTGGGTTTCTTCTTCGCATTGAATAATGCGATTATTGAAGGGACGTCTAGCTAGAAGATTTACAGATGGGATATGAGGGTGCAGGCTTCTCAGAACTTTCGCTCTAGGAAAGAAATAATAGAAATGAGAAAAAGAGAGAGAGAGAGAAAGAGAGAGAGAGAGGAAGATTGACTCTTTAGCTGTTTAATCCCAGGTTAATCAACTTTGGGCAGCAGGGCCAGTCCAGGCTTGCACCCAGGTGAGAGTGGGCTGATGACCCAGGCAGGTGGTCCCACTCCTGGCCATTCCTGAGCCCAGTCTCTGTCCTCCAGAGAGGACCAGTCACCCGGGGTTCCCGGAAGACCCACACAGGAGGCTGGCCAGGAATCCAGTGGTCAGATTGTCTTTGTTTTCCATCTGCATGGCTGCCTAGCTCATGGCTGACTGATTGTGGCTGCAAATCCCTACGAGTTCTCCCCATTTGAGGTAGATTAAGTCATTGTTGAGTCTCCTTAGCAAAATACAACGGAACAGACAGACCTGCCAGGGCCTCCTTTCTCCATACGACTTCTGCCTCGATTGGTATTTCTTTGACACTCTATCCCATGGCCAGTGTTGACTCTTATATCACAAATGGAGCCCACACATCGGGTCCTCTCTGAATGTTACATGAGTTCATTCATTTGTGCTTTCGTGCATCTGTTTGCAGATGTCAGCTGTGGTAACTCGGCCTCTTAAGTTCTAGGCTGCATCAAACCCACTCTGCTGGTCATGGGAAGTCCAATTCCTCTGAATTCCTGCTTTGGCTGAGTTGATTCTGTTCAGGGACCATGTCATCACCCGCACACATGCACAATCCCCATTTCTTTCTGTGTCTACTGAGACATGGAGTTCCAGGTCCCTCCATTATAAATACATTCACACAAAGCATTGTGTGTGTGTGCAGATTTGGCCAATGGCTTGGGGAGCTGGAGCATTTATGCTGCAGCAACACCAACAACTTTGGGAAACATATTTCTGTGCTTAAAAGCATCCTTCATGCGCCATTTGCTAGGTTCCAGCCTCCTATCTCTCTTCACGGTTTTCAGCTCTCTGCCCCCTTGTCTCTCCTGCCTCTCTACTTTGCTCTTTTCCTTTTTTCAAATTCTGTTTTTGTTTGTTTGTTTGGTTTCATTTTTTGAGATGGGGTCTCACTCTGTTGCCCAGGTTGGAGTGCAGTGGTGTGATCATGGCTCACTGCAGCCCTGAACTCCTGGGGCTCACGTGATCCTCCCACCTCATCCTCCCAAGTAGCTGGGACCACAGGTGCATACCACCGAGCCCAGCTAATTTTTGTATTTTTTGTATAAATGGGGTTTTGTCATGTTGCCCACGCTGATCTTGAACTTCTGGGCTCAAGTGATCCTCCCACCTAGGCCTTTCAACATGCTGGGTTTACAGGCATGAGCCACTGTGCCGGGCCCCTTTCTCAAATTCTTTTTTTTTTTTTTTTTTTTTTTTTTGAGACGGAGTCTCGCTCTGTCGCCCAGGCCGGACTGCGGACTGCAGTGGCGCAATCTCGGCTCACTGCAAGCTCCGCTTCCCGGGTTCACGCCATTCTCCTGCCTCAGCCTCCCCAGTAGCTGGGACTACAGGCGCCCGCCACCGCGCCCGGCTAATTTTTTGTATTTTTAGTAGAGACGGGGTTTCACCGTGTTAGCCAGGATGGTCTCGATCTCCTGACCTCATGATCCACCCGCCTCGGCCTCCCAAAGTGCTGGGACTACAGGCGTGAGCCACCGCGCCCGGCCTCAAATTCTTAAGATAATTCCTAATGCCACAATTCAGTGATTTCTTTTACACTGATCCATATCCTCATATTCTTAATTTCCACCCCAAGCAGCTGTATTGAGATATTTTGGAAAACAGCAACAGGTGCTTCCCTAAAAGGTATTCTAATGTCAAGATAATACATTTTTAGAAATGCATACAAGATGGGTTGGCGGTACGATGGGAATTTAAAATCATAGATATTTATCTTGCTAATACTTGTGAAGCATCCACTCTTAGGGGTGGGAAGATGACCAGGCCAATGCTCTGTGCTCAAGGTGCCTTCCGTCTCATAAGAGAGACAGTACTCAATGACGGGACTGGTGTGTATCCAATGTGCCAAGATGGGGATGGAGCGGGGGCATCCAAAGATTCAGTCAGGGTGTCAGGGAAACCTCTGTTAGAGGAAAGAGCCTTTCGCTAGACCTAACAGAGGTTGCAAACATAGAAACGGAGAGTAGGGAAGGGAGAGGGCCCCCAGGTGGAGTTCACGGTCATCAGAGCCTTGGAGGCAATGCCATAGACAGATATCAGAAGGTAGCGGATTCTGGGAATGGAAAGAATAGAGACATTTGCAGTTTCTGGTCTGGCATGTGAAGAGCTTGGACGTCATCACTCCTATCCACACAGTAAGAAAAGAGCCTGACAAACCCCAAAGCAGCAATTCTTAGATCTGTCAGGGAGTTGAGGTCACAGGGCAAACCACTGACCCCGAAATTGGAAAGGCAGACAGGCAAATGCAGAATATCACAACTTACAGGAGCAGAAGCCTCTGTGGGAAGCAGTATTGGGTTCCATTTTCCCAGTGCAACATATCTGGTTTTGAATAAAAAATTACAAGGGTTACTAAGAGAAAAAAAAAAGGAGTTAGAAGAGACAGAGCAAGCATCAGAATCTGACTCAGATGTGACAGAGAGGTTGGAGTGATCAGATGGGGAGTTTCAAATAACCATCATTACCTGGCTAAGGGTTCTGATGGACAAAGTAAAAGGGGTGGGAAGCCCTGAAGACAAGGCTGGGGCATAAAATGCAGGCTGGGGCCCTGCGGAGGGACATGAGTGCAGGTGCGTGGAAACACACCTGTTCCTGCCTCACACCTCTCTGGGGAGGCTGTGCTCACCATTCCCAGCAAGACAACCTCCTCTTCTCTGTCCTCACACCCTGTTGGAGACTGGCTGGGTCTGGACCCTTCTAAGCCACTGATCTCTCTATGGGTTCCTCTCCCAGCAGCCCCAACACTCAGGTTAACAAGGACAATACCACCAACAATGTGGCAAGGGCCTACTGGGCTTGCCTTTGTGTAAGGGCAGGATTTTGCTGGAGTCCAGCTTCCTGGAGTTAAGGGCAGAAAAGGGGGCTTGACCAAGGTCACAGCATGACAAAAGCAATGACTTCTTATTGTTTTAGCAGACAGATGTGAGAACACATCATCCTTCCTTCTTCCTTCCTTCCTTCCTTCAATCACTTAGCGCTTACCGACAGGCTATGCTGATGTAAGCTGCTCACTCTCTTAGCAGCCGTGATGAGAACTGCCCATCAATAAAGGCAATATTAGGAAGATGGTGGCTGGGCCCATAAGGGGGTATAGATGGGTGCTGTGGGGAGATTAGAGGGCTCCGTGGGAAGAGAGGGCAGGTGGGCCTTGGGTAGGGCCATCAAGGGTAGGCCTTGCAGGAAGGCCGGTTCTCTCTTCTTGGAGGGGATGTTGGTTTTGCCTTCCCAAACCTCTTGCCCTCCTTTCTGATGTCAGACCTTGCCACCCCTGACCACGGGGGTAGGTGGCATAAGCCAGTTGGCCATTGTTAGTGACGTGGATTCAGGCACAGCGACATCACCAGACACAAAGGAAAGCAATCAGCCATGATGCTTGCGATTTCTCCTCTCAGATTCTCTCTGATTCAACCTTCTGCACTGACATTACAACACAGGATTAAATAGACCCCTCATCTTTGAAGTGGGAGCTTTTCAAATCCAGCCCACAAACACTTCTGCATGCCCACCACCCTGCATAAGGCAGTGGGCTGGGTCCCTATGCATGAGGTTTTGGTCATCCACAAAAAAGTGAAGGGGGTGCTTGACACCGCTATCACTTCCATTAGACATAAGAGTTCAGTTTCTATTAGAAGAAAGTTAGAGTCAAAACAAACATGCCCTTGCAAAGGTGTAAGCCCAGACCCTGACACACAGAATGTCCTCAAAGGGTGATGAATGTCAGCACTTCGAGGTGGACCCACAGTGTGGGCATCACAGGGTGGGGCTGGGTGGGGGCCTCAGGTGGAGAGACTGCATGGTGAGCCCAGAAAGCAGCTTTGGGTTCGGTGCGCACACGAGCCCATGTAGCAGGTGCAGGAGGCTTCGCTCCATTTATAAGTAAGGACACTCCTTGGGCAGGACAGAATCTTTGAGATTTAGCACAGTTTCTTCATTTCTGTTTGCAGACAGGCCTGGGCTGATCTGGATTTTGCTTTACCTGATCCGGGAAAAGACGGTGGCAAAATTGTTGAGACAAATGAATCAGAAATTGGCAGAATAGATGACACAAAAATCCAAGATCAAAGCTCCGATGCTATCACCCTCTGGATGATCCTCCAAGAGAGAGGCATGGAGGACATTACTATGCATTATTTAAGAGATACATGGTTCTGAAATTGACATGGCCTCTTTTGTTCAAACAGAACGAACTTCTCAGAGTCCTCGTCCATCACCAGCCCTAAGTGGGAAATTCCAAGCCTGGACACAGGGTCTGTTTGTTGAATGCTGTGTTCAGGCTTTGTCTTGCCATCCCTGTCTGCATGAATGGAGGTCAAGGCTGATCCCGTATGAAGCCCGCTCTGTGAAGACATCCAGGAGAGCCTTACCTGGTCTCCCAGGAAGTGACAGGAGTTTAGAATGGAGGATAAGTTGCTAGTGTGCTTCCTTTTTGGTTTTGAAAAAGGTGTGTGGCCTGTGTATTGGTCCAGAGCCTGGCCCAGGGCTGCCCAGGGTTGCCACTGTGGCTGTCTGACCTCCTATAGGCCGTGGGACTTTCCTAAACCTCAGTACAATCATCAACCAAAGGTATAGTAACTGTGGCCCTGGCCTATGTCATTGGGTTTTTACTGGAATAAAATAATGCTGGGCTTACTATTTTGTTAGATGGTTGGGGATATTTTTGTCAATAGCTCAGCTTTACTTGTTTTCTCACTAGAGTGACGTCGCGCTTGCGAATGGCCTTGGAGGTGGTATTCTCTGTAAACCAAACAGGAGCTGTAGGACTGAGCCAGTTGTATTTGCACTGTGTTCGCTCCTGGCTGCCTGCGGGTGTCTGGCTTCTGCGAGGCCTGCCCTCCTCTCCACCCAGCCTGAGGTCTGAGGCTGTTAAACCACAACAATTAGAGGGCTAGCTTTATGGGGAGGCTCAGATTGTTCACTCACTTCGCCTGGGTAATTACAGCGAAGTGAAGCTGGCGGTTGACTCTCGTAAGAGTTTGGATTTCCAGAATCAACCGTGGGACTGTCTCCCTGCAGATGTGGACCTTCCTGGAGCCCAGAGGTCCCCCAGACAACCCAGTGCCTCTCGAATGTTCTCTGCTCTGTACCTGACACCACCTCCATGTGGCTTCACGATAGTGGGCTTAAGGATGTCATGATCTGTCCAGGATTCGGAAGATATTTTGATAATCACAAAACACGAATTAGGGTGCCTACAGCTATAGTCCTCAAAGTGGCCACATCCAAGCTAAAATGCTTTCAGGGATAATGAGAACCACCTCTCCTGATTCTCAGTCTTGCTGTCTCAGGGCAGGGGAGACATTGCCATCACGATTCATATGAGATGTCTCAGGTGCCTTCATCCCTTCTCCCAGGGCAATGGTTTTCTATAGAGGCCTTGATAAGGTAACAGGATATCCTGGTTATTTAATAAATTTCATGGAACTTCCCACCACACATTCAAAAGCAAACCAAAGCCACTAAAACACGAGAAATGATGTATGCCATAGGAAAGGCGGCTGTCATGAAGTCCCAGAGAGGCGATTTCTACCAAGAAGGTAGGAAGAGCATTGGGTTTCTTATTATCAGGGGGATGAACCCCCCTTACCCTTGCCCTGTCCCTGACACCTGGGCCGTGAATGAGGTGCGGTCATGGGTGGGCTGAGTTGTAGGAAGGCAGAGAGCTGGGCGGCAGTGTAGGTTCTGAAATTTCCCAAAAGGAGAGACTCGGGGATGCAATCTGGTTGGAAGAAATGATTAAGTTTACTCAACGTGTTGGCAAATTCTTACTTAGCTTTGATAAAAGAAAATTTTCAGCTGAATTAAATTTAAAGGAGTTTAATTGAGCAATGAACGATTCGCAAATCGGGCAGCCCCCAGAGTCACAGCAGAGACTACCATGCAGCCACGTGGTGGAAGAAGATTTATAGACAAAGAAAGGGAAATGATGTACAGAAATTGGAAGTGAGGTACAGGATGGCTGGATTGGTTGCAGTATGGTGTTTGCCTTATTTGAACACAGCTTAAAGACTCAGCAGCATATGAGTGGTTGAAGTACGGCCGCTGGGCTTGGCCAAGACTCAGCTATTGTTCCGGGCGCATACTCCTAAGTTAGGTTTTCAATCTTGTCTACCTATTAAGCTAGGTTGCAGTTCATCCACAAGGACTCAAATATAGAAGTATGGAGCCCTGGCTGGGCGCAGTGGCTCACGCCTGTAATCCTAGCACTTTGGGAGGCCAAGGTGGCTGGATCACCTGAGGTCAGGAGTTCGAGACCAGCTTGGCCAACTTGTGAAACCCTATCTCTACTACAAATACAAAAATTAGCTGGGCGTGGTGGTGTGTGCCTGTAATCCCAGCTACCCGGGAGGCTGAGGCAGTGGAATCACTGGAACCTGGGAGGTGGAGGCTGCAGTGAGCCGAGATTGTGCCACTGGATTCCAGTCTGGGCAACAGGGCAAGTCTCCATCTACAAAAAAAAAAAAAAAAAAAAAAAAAAAAAAGAAGTACGGAGTCCTTCTCAGACCATATTTAGTTCACTTTAACAGCTGTTTTGTTTCAGATTAAATAAATCAGTAAGATGCTTTAATCCACATTTTCATAAGATTGAGAATATCAACTCTTTATCAAACAATGTTATTTTCATCATATCAAGGGGTGGCTTTGAGGTTGCTGATGGAAATGAAGGCGGGAACTAACATGTCTCCCAAGCTTCCTTGGCTGGATAGGGCTGGATAGCTGGAGGTAGCCTGCCACTTCTCTCCTGAAGCTGGTGAATGGCACACCTCAGACAGCTGCCCTTGTGTCTCTTAACCTGTCCCTTTGCAAGGACGCATTGTCAATCACAATCCCTTACTTCCTATGTTTTCTGACCTCCCTCCATACTCCATTAAAGGAGTCTGGATTTTTATCGAAGTTCTGTCACTTGACAGCTGTGGGTGACCTTGAACAAGTCACTGATGCTCTCTAAGCCTCGGGTTCCTTATTTATAAAATGGGAATCAGAATACTTCCTACCTCATAGGGCAATGATCAGATTAAATATGATAATATTTGGAAAGCAGTTGCCACCGTGCCTGGCATATTTAAAATATTCTCACTATTGCTGTCATCATCATCATCACAGCAGCAGTAGTAGTAGGTATTTGTATGTGTTTTTGCAGCAGAGGCTAGAGTCTTGGAGAATCTTTAATATGCTCAGAGTTATTAGAGCATTGCCATCTTTGCTGGAGAAAAGGACTTGTCTTAGCTGTGTTTTGTTATCTAGTTAAGTTCAAAAATGCCCACCTGAGATCTGCGGGGGGGGGGGGGGGGGGCAGTGCACCCTTTTAAACCCTGAGAAATGGAAATTAATTATGACAGCAAAAAGACCACCATCCTAGTCAGAATGAGCTAGGCTTATCGTGCTGTAACAAACAACCCTAAAAATCTCAGTGCCATAATATGCAACAGCTGATTTCTTGCTCACTGCAAGCCCATCATAGGTAGGCAGTGGCGGAGTCTGCGCTCTACCCCGTGCAGGGCCCCTGCCTCCGCTCTCTGGAAGTTTGCTGGTTGCCATAGGGGAGAAGAGTGAGACTGGGGAAAGGCTCAGGAGCGTTTCACTGCCTCAGCCTGGAGGCGCAGGTCAGTTCCGCTTGCATTTCATTGGCCAGTACTGGTCACATGGGCTGAGAATTACAGGTTCCTATCGCTCCAGGAAGGAGCCTGAAACTGGCCGGCTCTGAGTCAGTTCATCCCTAGCGTGTCCGTGTCCGCAAAGGGCACAGCAAAGACCTTAACGCAGCGCCAGAGGCCATGTGGCCAGGGGTTTTGTTTAGAGTAGGAGCTGACAAACATTTTCTTAAGGGGCCAGAGAGTAAATATTTTAGGCTCTGAAGGCCATGTGGTCCCTGACGCAACAACTCAGCTCTAGAAAGGAGCCTAGGCAATGTGTAAATAAATGGACCTGGCTGAGTGCCAATGAAACCTCATTTGCAGAAACAGGTGGGCCCTGCAGTCCCTGGTTTAGAGCAGCCCAGAGCATCTCTTAGAAAACCAAAATCGTATTTTTAATAAAAACATAATATTCCAAGTGATCCCCCTCAATTTGCCAGATGAATAGGGCTGCTGTGACGAGATGAGGATAATGTGAGGGGGTATTCAAATGACCACAGTTACCATCTCAGTGACAGACGTGAACCCAAAAGTATCGGGGACATGTCTCAATCTATTTAGAAAGTTTTATTTTGCCAAGGTTAAGAATGCGCCCGTGACACAGCCTCAGGAGGTCCTGAGGACATGTGCCCAAGATGGTGGGGCACAGCTTGCTTCCATACATTGCAGGGAGACATGAGACATCAATCAATATTTGCGAGATGTACGTTGGTCCTGTCTGAAAGGGTGGGACAACTCGAAGTTGGTGGCGGGGGCAGGGTGACTTCCAGGTCATAAGCACGTGTAAACATTTTCCAATTGGCAATTGGTTGAAAGAGTTACTATCAATAGAAAGGAATGTCTGAGTTACGATGAAAGGTTGTGGAGACCAAGGTTTCATCATGCAGAGGAAGCCTCGAGGTAGCAGGCTTCAGAAACAAGATATTGTACATGTTTCTTGTCAGACTGAAGGTCTGTGTTGATGTTGGGGTGATGAGGCATGTCTGACCCCCACTTCCCGTCCTGGCCTGAACTAGATTTTCAGGTTAACTCTGGAAGGCCCTTGGCCGAGAGGGGGGATCCGTTCAGATAGCTGAGGGGCATTAGAATTTTATTTTTGGTTTATACAGACAACGATGACTAGCTTCTATTCTTGCCCCATAGATTCTTAAAGTACTTCCGTTATTCCAATGCCTTTTTTTTTTTTTTTTTTTTTTTTAGAAAAAGAAGTAAACGATCTCACTGTTTTGGAACTCTGAGTTTCTAATTTGAAACAGCAGAATGGGATATTTAAGAGCAGATGAGAAAAGTTAGCAACTGCTGAGTCTTCTTTAGCATAATTCATTTAACATATAACCTAGGTAGCCCTTATTTTCACATATTTTAAGTGTTCTAGAAACGCCTTTGGAAGCTTCTTCAAGGAGAAGCCAAACTTAGAAATTCCTTTTCTCTCTCTCTTCTTCCATAAATACCCCAAAGCGGCCACTGCACCAAGCGCTGTTCTAGGCATGAGGATGTCGGAAGAGAGGCCCAGTGACAAGGTCGATGTTTCCATGGAGGTCACAATTCAGGCAATAAGTACACAAACAAACGAGTAAACGCAGCACATTTAAATACCTGTGAGTGCAATAGAAAACAGCTCAGTGAGAGTGAGGGTGGTGTAAGAGTGGATGGTGTCCGTGAGGAAAGCAGCATCTGTTTCTAAACGTGAGGCTGCCAGTGTCCACCTGCAGGAAAGGCTGTCCTTCTGGTTAAGTTGAGCAGAACAGGATTTAATGCAGGGTATTAGGTACTTTCAGAATCCCTCAGAAGGCTGGGCCTCCACAGCAGCTCCCCAAATCACACCCCGTGGGCTGCCCGGAGCTGCGCTCACTGCTGCTGTCAGGAAAATCAGGAACCAGTAGCTGGGGTAGTAGCCACTGGCTCAAGAATGTGTGACAGGGCTGGGCGCAGTGGCTCACACCTGTAATCCCAGCACTTTGGGAGGCTGAGGCGGGCAAATCACGAGGTCAAGAGATTGAGATCATCCTGGCCAACATGGTGAAACCCTGTCTCTACTAAAAATACAAAAATTAGCTGGGCGTGGTGGTGCACACCTGTAGTCCCTGCTACTCGGGAGGCTGAGGTAGGAGAATCGCTTGAACCCGGGAGGCAGAGGTTGCAGTGAGCCGAGATCATGCCGCTGCACTCCAACCTGGCGACAGAGCGAGACTCTGTCTCAAAAAAAAAGTGTGACAGGCCAGCACAGTGTCTCATGTCTGTAATCCCAGCACTTTGGGAGGCCGAGATGGGAGGATATGAGGATCACTTGAGCCCAGGAGTTTGAGACCAGCCTGGTCAACATAGTGAGACCCCATCTTTACACACACACACACACACACACACACACACACGAATGTGTTACAGGCTGGATCCAGGGGTCTGGGAGCAGCCTGCCTGTAGCCATGGGAACTGCCTCATGACACTCACAAAACAAAGCCTCTTGACACTGTTGTAGGAACCCCCAGTGCTGCCACAGCTGGGCCACCCAAGAGCACCAGCCAAGAAGCAGCAACACAGCCGCCTGCTTCCACTCACCTCCACCGTCCAAACCCTACGCAAGGGCATTGAGTTGAGTTGGGGGGCCTACTCTTCTAGAGTCCTTGCAAGGGATCAGAAAATATGATGGTAGCTTTCCCAGCATATCAGCTCCCTAGAGCTGCCATAACAGACTGGGCGGCTTAAACAACAGACATTTGTCCTGGCGCAGTGGCTCACACCTGTAATCCCAGCACTTTGGGAGGCCGAGGCGGGTGGATCACGAGGTCAAGAGATTGAGACCATCCTGGCCAATATGGTGAAACCCCCACTCTACTAAAAATACAAAAAAATTAGTTGCGTGTGGTAGCATATGCCTGTAGTCCCAGCTACTCGGAGGCTAAGGCAGGAGAATCACTTGAACCTGGGAGGCAAGAGGTTGCAGTGAGTCGAGATCGTGCCACTACACTTCAGCCTGGTGACAGAGTGAGACTCCATCATCATCATCAACAACAACAACAACAACAACAACAAAACAGACATTTTTTGTCTCATCGTTCTGGAGGCTGGAAGTACAAGACCAAAGTGTCAGCTGGGTTGGTTTTCCTGAGGCTGTGAAGGAGAATCTCTTCCAGGCCTTTTCCCAGCTTCTGCTGGGTTGCTGGCCATCTTTGGTGCTTCTTGGCTTGTAGACACATTGCTCCGATTCCTGCCTTTGTCTTCACAGGGTGTTCTCCCTGTGTGCGTGTCCATGTCTAGGTTTCCCCTTTTTATAAGCACACCAGCATGTTGAATTAAAGCCCACCCTGATGACCTCATCTCAACTAATTACATCTGCAATGACCCCATGTCCAAATACAGTTTCATTCTAAGGTACTTGAGGTTAGGACTTCGGTATGTGAAACCTGGGGGGACATGACATCCAGCTTCCTCAAGGCAGTCATAAGTTGCCTTGGAGGAGGATAGAATGGCTGGTGATCAAAGTCAACACACTCCATCCCAGGCCAAAAAGGTGAGGCCTGGAGGTGGATTCAGCAGATGGAACTGCTGGGGCCAGAGGCCTGAAGAAGACCCAGTATCATATGAAGAACTGAAGAGAAAACTCTGGGCATAGGGAGGATGAACTAAGCAGGTGAGGAGTGAGATGGGGTTGGAGAGGGAGCTAGGGCCATAGGATGAGGGCTGTGAGGCCACTTGAGCCTTGAATTTAACTCCATATGTTCTGGGAAGCCAGTGGGGGCTTCTGAGCTGGAACTGATGGGACTGGGTATACCTTCTGGGGAGGCCACAGGCTGCTGCATGGGCCAGGGGCTACAGGATGCCCAGCAGGAAGTGGGAAGGTTGTTCAGGCAGCTGCTGTAGGTGTCCCCAGGAGAGACTGTGGTGTCTTGGACCAGGGGGAGCAGTAGGGCAGAGAGAGGGGATGGATCTGGGATGTTTTGGTGACAGCTGTTTAGATTTGCAGTGGGTAAGCACACAGGCCCACATAGATATGGTCATTATTGAAGTTGGGCTGATGGCATCTGCAGACACCCTAGAGCTTTTTAGCTGGTGTTTAAATAGTGGGATGACACCCACAGTGCAGGTGGGCAGATTTCTGTCTGATTTCTAGTGACCATACTTCTCAAATCCCAGATCAGGGATCACTCTTGTGAGATGTCTCAGCTTTGTGCTCGCCAAAATGCAGTGGGAGAGGAAGTAATGTTCCCAAAAGCTGCAAATGTGTCACCTGACACAGCAGAAGGGACTTTGCAGACGTGATTGTGTGAAGGATCTTGAGGGGGGAAGATGGTCTTGGGTGATCTGGGTGGGCCCAGTGTAATCACAGGGACTTTATGAGGGGGACTTGGGTGCGTCCAAGTCAGAAAAGGTGATGTGATGATGGAAGGAGGGAGAGAAGGTGGAGAAAACTTGGGTTTTGCTGCTGCCTTTAAAGATGGACGAAGGGGCCATGAGCCAAGGAACGTGGGCAGCCTCTGGAAGCTGGAAAGGCAAAGGAACAATTCACCGTTAAAGCCTCCGGAAGGAACCAGCGCTGCCAACACCATAATTTTAGCCCAGTGAGGCTGATTTTTGAGCTTTCAGCCTCCAGAGCTGTAGGATAGTACATGTTTTTTTTGTTTTTTTTTTTTTGAGATGGAGTCTTGCTCTGTCACCCAGGCTGGAGTGCAGT
This sequence comes from Homo sapiens, assembly GCF_000001405.40. Lineage (NCBI taxonomy): Eukaryota > Metazoa > Chordata > Mammalia > Primates > Hominidae > Homo > Homo sapiens. The sequence continues at coordinate 38,961,577 of NC_000021.9, read as the reverse complement.
GGTGCAATCTTGGCTCACTGCAACCTCCGCCTCCTGGGTTCAAGCGATTCTTCTGCCTCAGCCTCCTGAGTAACTGGGACCACAGGAGCGTGCCACCACGCCCGGCTAATTTTTGTATTTTTAATAGAGACGGGGTTTCACCATGTTGGCCAGGCTGGCCTCCAACTCCTGACCTCGTGATCCGCCTACCTTGGCCTCCCAAAGTGCTGGGATCACAGGCGTGAGCCACCACGCCCCGCCATGTGTGGTTTTAAGCTGCTAACTTGTAGTGGTTTGTAGGAAACTAATAAGGGTAGCGAAAAGGGAGATAATACAAGTCAGTTCACCAAGAAACAGTAAAATGAATCGAGAGATTTTGCAGGGGCCCATGTGTTTCTTGCATCTTGGTCAGTGACAGGTGTCATGGAGAATGGTGGGCAGGTGGGGTTGCAACCTCTTCCTGGAAGAACTTCATCGTGAGTTTCCCAGTGAGAGAGAGACAGAGAACTAAGCCAGTCATGCACCGCTGGATGATTTATTGTTTTTTTGTTTTTTCTCTCTAGACAAACAATATAATTATAGAAGCAGGCATGTGTTAGCCTAAGCTCTTGTCAATCACACCCAAGTTATAGTTTCTTCGGCCTGCAAGCTCCATTGCCACTCCTTATTAGAAAGATCATCTGAGCTGTACTCCTAGGCGGGTAGGTGTGAGGCCTTTATGTTTCAGGTATTGTGTTTCTAGTGAACTCTAATCTGCCTTCCCTGCGCGATGGAGAGGTGGAAATGGAGCGAGAAGGGGAAAGGTGGAAGACAATGGGGAAAGTTCTTATTGTCACAACAGGAGGAAACATCAGCTTAGACCTGGCTCATTCTTTGGGATAGAATAACACTGGTAATAGTTGAGTTTAACCTTCAGTATAGTTGAGTTTAAGCCTAGCTCTGCGTGGTTGGAAAAATGTAATGAATTTGCAGTGTATAAACTGGTCCATTGAGTTTTATTTTAAAAATCTTCTTTAAACATATTTAGCAATTAAAAAAATGTATTTGGAATATATCTGTGACCTGTCTGCATACATTTCAGATTGACCGAAAAGGGTCACCCTTCCTGTCAAAGTTTCAAGATTCCTGTTAAATGCTGACATCCTCACTTTTTTTTTCTCTCCAGTTGATTTTTTTCTTAGATAAGCCATTCTCTAGTTGAGAAGGAAGACTCTGTTTTGTCTTCATGTGCAGAATCCCTTGGCCTTTGTTTGTCACTGAGTTGGGCTCTCCTGTCTGAGTGACGAGGCTGTGTCCCTCAGAGGTCCTTGGACCAGAGCCTTGGGCAAATCTGAGCCCACTTAGGCATCAGACAAATGCTGTGGGTTAGGTGTGATTATCAGCATGTAAAGCACATACAACTCTTATTGATCATCACCCAAGGTATTCTGAGAGCCACGAATTTGTTTAATATCACTGGAAACTGTTTTAGAGCAAGCATTTCAACAGACTTGAATTTCCTTTGGAAAGAAAGTGGAGTAATATGGTTTTCTGGAGGGATTTATTGTTCTTGTTGAGATATTTGAAGGCCCACGTCAGGCCTTATACTCTCCAGGAAATTCTCCAGGAAGGTAGTACCCCACAGTAAAGAGCTGTTGGTCCACAGTGAACCCTGAGCTGGGACTTTCTCCACAACTCACCACCTCACTCTCAGCCTCAAGTTACTCGTTAAAGGCCTTCCCTGGCTGTCTGGTTGGGCCACATGCCTTGCTGGTCACTCACATGACATCCTCACTGTCTTATTGCAATTGGAGTGGCGTAAAACAACCATGGATTATCTCACAGTTCTGTAGGCAGAAACCCAGGCGCGGTGGGCTCAGGGTCTTGCATGTCTGGAATCAAGCTCTCAGAAGGGCTTCGTTCTCTTTTGGAGGCTGTATGCATTTCCCGTGCTGCCGTAATAAAGTGCCACAGCTGGGTGGCTTCAAACAACAGACATTTCTTCTCTCCCAGTTCTGGAGGCTAGAAGTCTGAAGCTAAGGTGTGGGCAGGGCCCTGCTCCCTCTGAAGAAGAGTCCCTTCCTTGCCTCTTCCAGCTTCTGGTGGCTCCAGGCATTGCTTGGTTTGTGGCTGCGTCACTCCATTCTCTGCCTTCACATGGCCTTCCCCTCTGTGTCTGTGTCTTCTCTGCTGTCTCTTATAAGGATGCCTGTAATTGACTTTAGGGCCCATTGTGTAATCCAGGGTGACCTCATTTTGAGATCTCAAACTTAGTTACATCTGTAAACTCTCTTTTTCCAAATAAGGTCACAGTCAGAGTCCAAGGGTTAGGACAGGGATGATCTTTTGGGGAGGAACCATTCAACCCACTCCAGCTGCCTTGCTTGGGGTAGCTACTGTTAAAAACTCTCTACTCAAAGCCTCCCAGGGGTTTTACCAAGAAATCTTATCACACTCATTTTAACATGAGTCATGCCTGAAATAACTGCAGTGTAGAAAAGTAGCATCTTGAGAAACATAATAAAGAATTCTGTTCTGTTCTGTTCTGTGGAAAATGGCTCAGGGCAGTGGTGCAAAACCCAGGTTAATCATCTCCGAGGTTAACTCAAGTAGCACCTCCTAGGATGTTTGCTTTGGAAGGGTTTGCATTTGAGGGTTGAGCTTAAATTGCTTCTTCATCTCCGATGATCACTCCATTGCTTGTTTAAAAGGCATCAATACTCAATCAAGTTAGCTGGAATGGGTTGAATTGTGGCCCCCCAAAAAGCTACGCCCACATCCTAACCCTCGGACTCTGTTTGAAGTTTGGGAGTGAGGAAGGAAAACTTTCTTCCATGTTGGGCTGTTGTAATTTCTATTTTTACTCTGATAGGCCCTGTATAATAAGCCCCTGAAAACTTTGAGACTTACCGTTTACTCATTCCTAATCATGATCTGAAAAACAGACTGTCTTTAGAGAACACAAGAATCAGTTTATAATTTGTGCTTCTACACATTGTTCTCCCACCTGGGAGCAAGGGGGCTTGGCCAGCAGACAGGACTGGTGTGTGTACTCATGACAGGCATAGGAGAAGAGGCAGGTGGCAATCCACGGCTCCTGTATCAGCTTGAATCCTCCACCGAGTGTCTCTTCCTGTTGGTAAACAGAGATAACAGCCTAATCCTGGGGCTGCTGGGAATGACACTGCCACAGCTCTGGGCACCTGTCAGCCAAGGACAGATGGCGACCACTGCCACCCACAGTCTGTCCCAGGGAGAATTTATGGTGAGACTCCTGGGGTCTGGGAACATCCATCCATGGGCTGATGTTGAGGGTATGCCCCACCTGGAGGAATCGTAGAGTCTTTCTGTCAGTAACATCCCCATTGACACCTAGCTAGACCCTGGCCTCTGCTCCCACTCCACCATGTCCATCTCTTACTCCATCATCCTACACCTCAATGATGTCAACATTCCTCTCCCTGCTCCCTCTTGGCCTCAAAGTGTGTCTGGCAAAAAGCAAGTCCAGTCATGACTTTCCTTTGCACAGAGCAGTGAGTGCCATCCCACTCAGAGGCAAAGTCAAGGTGCTCCTGGTGGCCACCTGGCCTCAGTGTACCTGCCTCACCTCTCACCTGCTCGTCCCCATTTACTCCATGCCCACAGCCACACGGCTCCCAGGATCAAGCTGGCCCTACTTCCCCCTAGGCCCTTCCCACTCCCTCTGCGTAGAAGGACCATTTTCCCCCCAGGTAACCACAGAGCTCCCTCTGCACCTTCTCTCCCTGTTTGCTCTAAGATCACCTTTCCACCAAGGCAACCCCTCCACCCGCACCGCCCCCCCAGCTGTCTTTACCCCATAACTCTTAGAGTTTCCTTATCTGTTTCCTCTCTGTCTCCACCTGTAGAGTGGAAGCTCCAGGGAAGAAGGGATTTTTTGGGTTTTATTTTGTATTTGGCAGCTACTTCCCCAGTGCCTACAGTGGTGCCCCATGCTCCATAAGCCTGGGGGAATATTTGTTGAATGAATGAATGAGTGCAAGAAAGAATTAAAAGCAGCATTTGCTAAGTGTCCTGTCAACCCATCTGTTCAGAAATGGCTTTGGCATTTCTGTCTGAAATGAGTCACCTGCTTAGGGGCCTCACGATTCTTTTCTCCTCGCCCACAGAATTTATTTTTTAATGATGAAAGGCTGGATCATTTGAAATCACTGTGGGATGTGTGCTTTTCTAGCCCCGAGTGTGGCGCTGACCATGTAATTTTCCATGCACCAGTTTAAGAAAGCAGTAGATTTCCACCAAGAAAGAGGAAGGAGCTGGCGGCCAAGCCGGGAGTGGTATTTTACTGGGGAAAAACAGGGGTGGCTGATATACAAAGCAATCTGCAGGCTTGGTGCTGACACCATAGCCTTCCAGCGACCAGGTGCAGAAGCTCAATATAGAAAGCTCCAAAACGGAATGTTTATTACCTATTACCTGAGAAGTACACACTTTCAATTTGCCCTGCCCCGAAATGTATTTCTGGGAAAGCAGCCTTATCTCTAGCGTGGCTTGGTAGCAACAGCTCTGCTTAGTGTCATTATCTGGAGAGCAGCTGTCTACACTCACCTTTTAAAAAGGTGCTTCTAACAAACAAGCAATCTAATTTATTAAGCAAGCTGGCTTGGGCTGAGGGAGGAAGGCAGGTGCTTTCATTCAGCTTGCTCACAGGATATTGTTCTTACAGAGCTTCCCACTTGTTTGTTCTTTATTCCCTTCATTTCCCTGCTTAAGAGAGCTGTTTGCCCGGCACGCTGATTTACAGAACAGGGAGTGATCTGGATTTATCTGTGGGTTCACTGGCCTCCCACAGGGCTTATGGATGGTCTCAGTTTCAGCTGCATCACACGCTGCCTGATGAAATTGACAATATTCGGCCAAACACCAACTGCATGTGGTTCAACCTAAGGGTATTTTACATTGAAGGGCAAAGTTACAGATTTCAAAGCAAAAGACCCAAGTTCACATCTGATCACCTGCTAACTGGCTACGTAATCTTGGGAAAGTTCCTTGGTTTCTCTGATCATTCCTGGTCCTCATCTGTAAAACAGTTCAATTAATAGCCAGCTAGGAAGCCATGATGGGAAGCACTTGCGGCTGCTTATATAAAGCACTCAGCACAGTGCCTGGCACGAAGGAAGCTTTCAGTAAGTGGTTGGTGGTGCTTATTTGCGGCCATGGCTTATTGAGACTGGAAGCTGTGGGGACTCCGGTGCACGATGGTGGATGTTCCATGAATGCTGGCAAGAAGAGTGAGCATGGGGTGAGCTGAGAACTCAGAACTTAGCTTCTTAGATGCCTGCTTTGTGTATAGTTTTGCCCTGTCCTAAAGCCCAACGTGCACCGATGTTTTGCATCATTGTTCCTGTTGCATATGTTACTTATCACTCGTCATGAGCTTGTTTATATCCACCCACAGTCAGGGGTTCTCCTCCTCCCTCCTCTGCAGGCAAATCCATGTCTGGCTCTCCAGGCGAAGGGGGTGGGGTGAGTGGTGGACCAGGAGGTCCTGATGGGGTTGGCCTCAGCTTGCCCTGGGCATTCTGCAGCCTATGGCCTCTCCATAGCCACTTTGCCTTTTATCTCTGGCTTCTCCAGGCCTAGAACAGGATCTGGTTTTGTAGGCAGAATCAAATACACAATTTGCAGGGCCCACAGTACAAAAGGAAAATGCAGGACTCCTTGTTCAAAAATCGTTAAGAATTTCAAAATGGCAGCCACTGAGCATTAAACCACGAGCAGGGCCTTCTGAGGGCGCCCGCTGTGGCACTACCTGCAGGTGCCTGTGATGCCAGCCCTGTTGGTAGGCAAGAAATGTTTCTTGAGTTGAGCTAAATAAAAGTTAATTCAATGCACACAGATGCCTGGGTGCTCCCAATGTATCCTGCTGTTTTGCAGCAACATGAGTAAGTGTCAGGCTGAGGGACATGAGTCACTAACGTGACCTGAGCACTCGGCTCGTTGGGTGATGCTCAGCTCTGGCGTGGGTGTGATAGAGCCTCTAGAACATGCCTGTGCTTGGGCACCATCCCAAGAGATTCTAATTTGAGTTGATTGGGTCCACAGTACAAGGCGTTTCTTTTCTCCTCAGCAACAGTGACAGAATCATGGCAAACATGTTATTTTTTTAGCATTATTAATTTCCATTGTGGTAAAGTACACATAATGTAAAATGTTCCAACTTAACCATTTTTACGGAGAGTTCTATGATACTAGGTACATTCACACTGCTGTGCAACGATCCCCACTATCCATCTCCAGGCCTGTTTCTGTCTTGCAAAAGTGAAATTTGCTATGCGTGAAACCCTAACTCCCCATTCCCTACAGCCCCTGGCAAACACCATTCTACTTTCTGTCTCTATGGACTTCATTCCTCCAGGTGCCTCATGTAAGTTGAAATCATACAGTATTTGTCTTTTTGTGACTAGCTCATTTCACTCGGCAATATGCCGTCAAGGACTATCCATGGTGTAGCCTGTGTCAGAAGCGCTTTCCTTTTTAAGGCTGAATAATATTGCATTGTATGTAGAGACCACATTTTGTTTATCTATTCGCCTGTTTGCTTCCACCTGTTGGCTATTTTGGGCAAACGTATCCTTTTTATAGTAGTGTGGTTTGATTGCCAGTCCCACTCACAGATAGGAAAGTCGAGGCTAAGAGAGTGTGAGTAGCTTGTCCACACAAGCAGAGAAGGCTCCTGATTCTGAACTGTCTGCTTCCTGCCCCTTGCTCTCTTCACCTTTCCACACTTCCTTTTACTCCTGCAGAAGGGTGCTTGTTTTTTTGCATTGAGATAAGCAGTGAGTATTTACCTAATGACTGGCTGAGTAGTTTTCCTCCCTTTCATGCCCAGTGGATAAGCTGCTGCTGGTAGAAAATTGGATACACACAGGTGTCCCCTTATTGGAGTCTTGTGTTCACAACACGTGTGAGCACCTGGTTGCTTCAATGACAGGGTTTGCTCAGCAGGTGAAGAGGTAGCGGCACCCTGTGCTTCTCCAGGGCCTGACACAAGACATGTGGAGAGGACAGACACAGGGGAGGTCCCACAGCAAAAAACTGGTGGCTGTGAGGTCTGTAAAGCCATTAATTTCTACTAATTCCTTTCAAGTGTGGTGGGAAAAGCTGAACTTTGAGATTTCTACCCTGAACCCACCGTTCCTAACATGGGAAGTTGGTGTTCATGACTTATTCTCCCCAAGCCTTAGTTTCTTGATCTTCTCACCGTTAGACAGAGATGATAGTACCCACCTCAATGGGCTTTTGTGAATATTAAATCTGCAGTGAGGGTTAAGCTCCCAGGATACACCGGCACCCACCATCAAGACACACATATGTCTCCTGCTCTTATCTTTCTATTCTCCCTTGGAAGCATAAGTGTTTAATTTATTGTTTTAGTGTGTACATTTTGAAGAAAATGACCTGTTTTGTGGCCAAATGAATGGAAACTTCTCTTTATTCATTATGTGAAGAGGAGATTGGCTCTGTACGATCAACACACTTGTCGTTTCTTTTTGATATGAAAGACAGTGGGACATTATTTTTTCCAAAAGTTTTGAGACTGAAAGACAAACTTTTCTAAACCTACAAATGTGATAAAGTAGACAAAGAAAGGCAGGGGTTGGGGTCAGGTTTTCTAATGCATCATTAAAAAAAAGTCTATCTCTTTTGGACTTTCTTGGATGTGCTGCTCCTTTGATGACTCTGATGAGGACCTCATTGGGGAATGGAAATCTCTGGAATGAATTTTAAAAAAAGTGTGTGTTTTACTGGCATATTTCTAAAGTCCTTAAAGTACTTCTGTAATAACAATCTCTATGAAAGATCAAGTCCTACAACAGGGCAAACTGAGTTTTAGATAATCGAGCATGATCCTGTAATTGATGACGTCATTGATCCCTTTTGTGTTGCCTTCACTGGTCATTTTCTTGTTTTCTTTTTTTTTGAGATGGAGTCTCGCTCTGTTGCCCCAGCTGGAGTGCAATGGCACAATGTTGGCTGACTGCAACCTCCGCCTTGCAGGTTCAAGCAATTTTCCTGCCTCAGCCGCCTGAGTAGCTGGGATTACAGGCACCTGCCACCATGCCTGGCTAATTTTTGTATTTTTTAGTAGAGACAGGGTTTCACCATGTTGGCCAGGCTGGTCTCAAACTCCTGACCTCAGGTTAACCGCCCACCATGGCCTCCCAAAGTTCTGGGATTACAAGCATGAGCCATCGTGCCAGGCTCACTGGTCATTTTCTACTCAAAGGTGGGGAGAGGGATGTCCATTCCTCTCCTGGGCTATACTCTTGGGCCAGGACTCTGTCCACATATTTAGTGGCTCCAGCTGTGGCAAGGTGGTGTTGACAAGGCTTGTTGTGTCTTTGCATATTCCTGGTGACTTCGCTGCTGTGAACATCACCAGCCAGGGGATCTAAAGCACTGTTTAGACCTTTTGGTGTTGTTGAATGTCGTCATGTCAACTGTATAGTGACTGTAACATTGCTAGTCATGTCAGCCAAAGTGGATGCCAGCAGACCAGATGAAGTCACCCATCTGGCTCTGCAAGCCTCTGCCCATGTATTTAATCTGTCATAAAGATTTGCTAAGCTCCTGTCCTCAAATATCTTACTGTCAACACAAGTCACCAAATTACCCGTGAAACACACTGTGTGCCATGTGGACTTATAATTAGATTATCATAAGACTGGAAATTAGAGGAAGAAGTGGAAGGGCTGTGGGTGGTCAGGGAACACCTTGTGGGGAAGGAGGATAGAGTGCTGAGATCTGAGTGGGAAGATTTGGAAGGGAAAGAAAACCAGAGAGGGCTTTCCCAGCCAGGGAACTGGCATTGCCATAAGTGGAGAGGTGGGGCCAAGTCCAAGCTCTCATGGAATGTTGGGGTTCAGTAGAAGCTGGAGCAGGTACTCGGTGACCTGGGGTCCAGCATAGCCATGAGCTTGCTGAGTAAGCCTAGCCAAGTCACTAGATCTTTTGTGGCCTGGTTCTTCATCTATAGCATTGGAGCATGGAGGTATATACCCAAAAGAACTGTAGACAGAAACTCAAGTGCTTACACACTAATGCTCAGAGACACAGTAATTCGCAGTAGCCAAAAGGTGGTGGAAACAACCCCAATGTCCATCAATGGGGAGACGAATGTCTCCCTACAATAGATTATTATTCAGCCATAAAAAGGAATACCTCCTGATATGTGCTACAGTGTGGATGGACCTTGAAAACATTATGCTAAGTGAAAGATGACAGATCTAAAAAGGCACATATTGTCCGATTCCATTGATATGAAATACTAGAATAGGTAAACCTGTACCCACAGGAAGCAAATTGGTGGTGCTATGGGGTAAAGGGAGGAGGGACTGGAGATTGATTGCTTAATGGGTTTGGTGCTTATTGGGGTTGATGAAAATGTTTTGCAACTAGATAGAGGTGGTGGTCACACAATGTTGTGAATGTACCGAATCTTTCCTTTTAAAATGCTTAATTTTATGTTCAGCTCAGTTAAAAAAAATGGGGCATTGTATTAAATCCAAGCATTTCAGCTTTCCTCTGTGGGTCCTGAGGAATTCTGGGGAGAGGCCCCTACAGGGCAGGAGAAAGGTTTTACCTTCCCCTGTCCTCTCTCTCCTTCGATGAGCACAGCTGTACTTTAAATATGTGATACCCTGGGAAGGCAGTAAGATTTCATGGGAAGAAAAGCTTCCCAAAGACGTTATCCTTTTTTAAAAATGATGAAAGGTGAGTTCAGCTTTCTGGTATCTTTGCTAGATGGGAAATTCTATCATTTCTTTGGGAATCGGCCATGTGTCATTTTTCAGCATCACCTAGACCTCTGGGCTGTGGCCCTTCTAAAACAGAGTCTTCTATAACCTCATTTGGCAGATGAAAATGGCAAGCACCCCTGGCTCTTGCCATTTTATTTATCTTCAGAGAAATTTTGGCCAAGGGAGTTTCTAGGCATGTGGGACTTAGGTTCCAATGGGAAGGCTGTGGACAGATGGGATGAATTCCCCTTTGCCTCCTCCCACCCTCAGCCTGCTGAATCAGAGTCTGCATTGTCATGAGATTCCCCAGGTGATGGTCACAGTGTTGAAGTTTGAAAAATGCTGGTAGCTAAGGCAAGTTCAAAGGCCTGAAGGTCAGCACCTGACTCCACTTCCTCATGGTAAAAAGAAGAAAAACCAAAACAAAACATCTTGTAGAATCTAGCAGAATTTAGGAATAGATGCTGCCTTCAGCCCAGTCCTGAGCACAGGGGAATCAATCACTCCATCAAAAAATCGGGTGAATCTCACTCTAACATCTGTGGTTCTTAGGGCTTCATAGGATCTCTAGGAGTTGCCCTGGATGTAAGTTTCAACCCTGGGGAAAGTTCCCATTTCACTTTAGATTCAGAGTTGAAATCCAACTTTTGGGTCTAAAGATACTCAACTGGGTTTGCTCTTAAACAAACATAATTAGGAAATTGAAAAATATACACACATGAACTTATACATAGAGATATTTAACTAGTTGATGTTTCTGGATGGTCTTTAAAGAGCTCTTTACAGCTGTGTGTAGATAACACTCATGGGCAATGTACTCTAACTGTCCCATAAACCAGGAAGGCAGGGCACGTTGCACAATACATCATCCCATCACTTGACTGTAATAAAATGACTACTTCCTTGATGAATGTGTACCAGTCCTTTCATATGTTATCTGAGTAAATGATAAAAGTGGCAATTACATTTTAATAGGATATGTGTCCAAATCTTCTTTTTTTTTAAACCATTGCCAACATATACAATGAACAGTCTGTATATTTACATGCTCCAAGGTGGAGTCTAGGTTACTTTTATGGTAAACGTATGGAAACTTGCTGTACTTAGGAAGTTTTTTCTCCTGCCAATGAAGTTTTTCATTAACCAAAGCTTTTGTTTTGGTTGCTCCATTCCTGTTCTATGAATCAGAAATAATATGCATGTTATGATAAAATATCCACTCTTTAATGCAAACAGAAAGGCTAAAACACTGGGATGATATCTCTGAGACTGTGTTTGAGTGTTATATTAGTCTGTTCTCACACCGGTAATAAAGACGTACCTAAGACTGGGTATAAAGGAAAGAGGTTTAATTGACTCACAGTTCTGCAGGGCTGGAGAGGACTCAGGAAACTTACAATCATGGTGGAAGGGGAAGCAAACATGTTCTTCTTCACATGGCAGCAGCAAGGAGAAGTGCCGAGAAAAGGGAGAAAAAGCCCCTTATAAAACCTTCAGATCTTATGAGAACAGCAGCATGGGGGTAAGCACCCCCATGATTCAATTACCTCCTACTGGGTCCCTCCCACGAGGGGATTATGGGAAATACAAGTCAAGATGAGATTTGGGTGGGGACACAGGCAAACCATATTAAGTGTTTTAAAAAGAAAGCCAAAGATAAAAAGAAATGTTTCTGAGATCCTAAGCACTTCACCTTTCTGAATCATCCTGCATTTCTGGAACACAAATGAGCCGATTAAAAATTGCTGGTATTATTTAGATTACAATGAGAAGTTTTCCCTTCCATCATCTCTAAGCTTTTGATCATTTGCACTTTTTGAGTTTTCTTTGCTGTAACTTGAGTTGTTTCATATACAGCAAATTTTCATAATAAATACAAAACGATTATTCTCCAGCTTAAAACGTGAAACTAAGAATTGCTTATAATCAGAAGCTTTTCAGTGGATACTCATGGTTAATAATACGTGGTTCAAAATCAAAGAACCATCTCATGTATCTGACACCTGTCACCTATGCTCTTTCAATCAATCAATACTACTTCTTGAGCATGTATGCTATCAGCCTTGAGTTAGATCTTACAAAGGTGTTGAAAATGCAAAAGTCATTGAGAGTTTCACCAATCTTACCATTTAAATGCTTTCTCTGAAGCAAAGGAAATGAGCCATACATTCTGTGTTGAATCAGTGGTATGGATGAGGCCCTGTTCTGTCGTTCAGAACAAGCACGGAGCACTGATGCTTGGGGGTGAAGATGCCACGAAGCCCATCCTTCATGCTAAAGTCAATAAGGCATTTTTTTTCCCCCGGAAGCCAAACATATCTTGAGATTCCATTTTGAAATAAGGTCTGCCCTTGTTTCTGTTCTTCATGTTCATGCTGAGGAGATGCAAATGCTGGATTAAAGAGCATCTCACTCAATTAATAGAAATTAAATAAAATCAAGACCATTTTGGTCCATAGATACTAGGCCTTCATAGAGTCAACTAATACTATCTAGATATTTGTTTGGGTCAGGACTTATTCAGATGCAGGTGACAAAAACTGAGCTCAGACTGGCTTAAGAAAAAAGGGAAGGCAGAAGGAAAGGAGGGGCTTTGGGTCCAGCTGGATCCAGAGTCTCAGATGACATCATCGAGACAACTGTCTCAGCTGTAGCTGCCTCTGCTTATCTTCAGTTTCACAGATTTTCTTCATATGGCTTCAAGATGGTCCCTAGTAATTTCTGTGACTACATAGTAGGACCTCCAGACCAAGTGTGACCTCTTACCTTAAGCTCCATTTCAGTTCCCCCAAAGAACTCTGATTGGGCCAGCTCTGGGCCAATCACAGTGTGTGGGGGTGGGACTGGGGTGGGACAATTTCATAGGCCTGAGTGACTGCCCACTTCTAGGGTGGGTGAAGTGGATCACATGGCCATGACATCCACTGGAGAGACCTGTGTAGAAGGGAGGGAGAGCAGTTTGGGAAGGAAAGGAGGCAGGACAGGCAACACATGTCAGCATTGTATTATTGTTTGACAAAAAGGCAGTATTGCAGAGTAAATATCGAAAAATCCACGTAACCTGGGAGTAAATGATTGATATGGGCTTCTATCCTGGCTCTATCACTTACTAGCGATATGACCTTGAGCAAGTTACTTAACTTTTGTGTCTCACTCTCCTTCCTGGAGGTGGAGGTAACAATAGTACTCCACCTCCTTGGGTTGCTTTGAGAATGAAATAAGCTACTTCATACAAAGCCCTTGGATTAGTGCCTGGCATATGGAAATGTTACATAGTTGAGTGCCTTCTGCCTGGTGTTGTTTAAACCACATATTTTTGATATGAAACAGTCCCTTTAGTGGGGAAATAAGTAACCACCCATTGATTCATTCATTGATTCATCAAATATTAAGCACCAGTGAAGGGTCAAGTACTTGCCTAGCACGGGGGATGCAGCAGTGACCTAGACCCAGACCTGCCCTTGAGGAGCTCATAATTGTAGAGGCAGAAGGTACTGAAGAAACGAGATTATAATGAAACGTGGGAAGTGCTGCAAGGGGTGTGTCGCCTGTGCCACCTGCATCTCATGGCAGCCATGGCTCTAGTCCGAGGTCTCCAAATGAGCATGTCTCTAGTGGCACTCCCTCTGTTATCTGCCTCTCTCTCTCCCCAGTTTCCCACCTTTTCTTTTGAGATCCTGTGCCCCTTCATCAACAAACACCATCCCTACTGCAGATAGAGGAGGTTCCAGCCCTGCCTCCTTTCTTTGTGTCTTATGGAAATCGGTGCTTCACCTGGAGATGGAGACATAGCTGGTCCCGGGTTTGTGGCAGTGAGTCTCATTGAGGGAGGGTGTGTGTGTAATTTTACCCCCCAGGGGACATTTGGCACCTTCTGGAGACAGTTTTGGTTGTCACACTGAGGGGTGCTCCTGGCATCTTGTAGGTAGAGGACAGTGGTGCTGCTCAGCCTCCTACAGTGCCCAAGACAGCTCCCTCAACAAAGACCTGTGCAGCCCTAAATGCCGTGGACGCTCTTCAGGGTAAAGGGCTTGCAGAGGGAGCTTGTTGAGGGGAGGGACTGGAGATGAAGCCCCACAAGGCTTGCATTGTGGAAAATGGAGAAGACAGACTCTTTTGCTCGAGCCTGGCTATAGGCACCCAATGCGTCCATGTAGAGGGGACATGGCTGCCCATCTGCCTGTCTTGGCCTCTCCAGAGGTGTGGGGAGATGCACTGGCTACCAGAAAGGAGAGATGGAGGGAGGTGACACCAGCACCAACCTCCGTTGGCCAGGCTCTCCTGCTGCTCTCCCCTTCCTACTGAGTTGCCAGCACTTATGAAACCATCATTACAGGCATTTTTGTTTTCTGGAAACAGAACTACCACTTCCTTACACCCTAATATGAGAGGCAGAATTTGCTATATTTCCCCCAGATCTTCTTCCATAGCGTGGAATTTTTGGCTGGGCACATGACTGCCTAGAAGAAATCACTATGTTTCCCTGCTTCCCGTGAAACTACGTGAAGACATGTGGCTGGTTCTGGCCAATGAGGTGACAACAACAAACCCCACTGTAGATGCAGACGCAGATGTGGTGGCTGGGTGCCATCTTGGACCATGAGACAAGGACCTCACCTTAGAGGGGGCCAAGTGGAAGAATGAAGAGGCCAGGTCCTGCAGGCTCGGTGAAAAAGAGCTGGATCATTTCTGCCACACTTTGCAGGGAAAATGAAGCCAAACCCAGTCCCGTGTTGTTTAAGCCACTGTGATTTGGTATCTATGATACTTGCAGTCAACCCGATCCTAACTGGTAAAATAGGTAAATTCATTCTTGGACTTTCAGACTTTTACCTTTTAAAAGTTTTGGGGGCTAAAGTAGAGGGCTGCCTGAATAGTGACTGGAGACTGGTGGCCCTTCTGGCAAGCTGCCTCCGAGAGCATGTCCCATGGCGCAGACACCCAGGAAGGAGAGGGATCATTTCTTGTATATGCGCTTCCACATATTCCCCAAGATATATGGGCTTCCACATATGTCCCTGGGGCTCCTGCCCTACAGGAGTGCTTGGTACACCCTGCTAGACCCTTGCCTGATCCCAGAGCCCCTTCCTTCTCATTTCCTTCTGAGGTCATTCTTCCCTACCCCTGGGGACAGGGCTGTCCTGATACCTTGTGGTCCCAGCACATCCTCCCCACAGAGAAGAAGAAATGGTCTCAGAGGGTGAGGACTGTTCTGCAGACATAGTCGGCAGATGGAAGAGCTGGGACTTAAACCCAAGTTCCAGGGTGCGTGCTCTCTTCTCCCTCCTTCTCCATCTCTCCCTCTCTCTCTCTCTTTATGTACCACAGTTCTCTTGTCCATAAACATTTGAGTAATATGGAAATATAGAAAGTTTAGGCCAACATAGGATGGTCAAACTTTAAGATGGTTTAATTATTTTTAATGGAGAATAGAGGTTTTTGTAATGACAATATCATCAAATGCTGTGATTAAGTGCTGAATCATAGTTGTTTAAAATACATTTCTTTATCGAGCCAATTAGCAATGCTAAAATTACCCCAGTGCTCTTACTTGAATGACCAAGAGGTTCAAAACACAAAGTTCCGGAGCAGGAGAATTAGACTGACTTACACAATAAATTATTCTTTAAGAGGAAAATCCATTTTCAAAAAATGTATACCCAAGAAGTGAGAAATGAAAATCAGGCTGAATGATGAAATGTTTTTTCACATTGTCGGAAAAATACAAGTCTCAGGAGTTGGCTTCAACAGCGCAGCCAGCGTTTCCGCAGGGCTGAGGACTGGGCTCGTGGACGGGGCTGCCCGCAGGCCTCAGTGGTGACAGTTCCAGAGCTGCGCGCACTCTGCCTGGCTGAGTGGATGCATTACCTTGCTCTCTAGAAATAATGGGAATTACCCACTTAATCCTTGGCACAAAGTGCTGATAATATGCCAATTAACGAGTAATTAGGAAGATTTTTCCCGAACATTAGGTTCTGGGAGAAAGTCTCATTTGAGAAAGAGGTTTGTATGTCTTCTCTCCTCTTCCTGTGGTTTTCAGCTCAGCGGGCGTCCAGCGAATCTGGGTTTGTTTACAATGACTCCAGGGCTGTTCCATTCACTGATTTGGTTCAAGCAGCGTGTGTAAATCATGCTATGCTGACCCTGGTCATCCCAGAGCCCGCGTGAATAAAAAAGGGGCCTTGCTCTCCCACTGTGAGACAGACTTGCATGGGATTCCTTCAGTGCAGAATTCTGGAATGTTGATGAACACCAGGTAAGCCAGGGAAGGAAAGGGAGGGAACTGCAGGAAGGGAGAGAAATGGCCCTGCCTCGGTTTCTTTCTTTCTTTTTTTCTTTTGAGACAGAGTCTCACTCTGTCGCCCAGACTGGAGTGCAGTGGTGCGATTTTGGTTCACTGCAACCTCCGCCTCCCACGTTCAAGTGATTCTCCTGCCTCAGCCTCCCAGGTAGCTGGGATTACAGGCGTGTGCCACCACCCCGGCTAATTTTTGTATTTTTAGTAGAGATGGGGTTTCACCATGTTGGCCAGGCTGGTCTTGAATTTCTAACCTCAGGTGATCCGCCCACCTCGGCTTCCCGAAGTGCTGGGATTACAGGCATGAGCCACTGAACCTGGCCCCCTACCTCGGTTTCTTTGCTCCACTTCCTGCAGCAGGGACAATGAGATCCCACCATGTTCCACAGGAGATTCCTCGCTGGGAGGGCAGAGCTGGGCGGAGGAGGATGGAGGAGCCCGGAGGCCCCTGCCCAGCAGCGAGGCCCCCCTGTGGAACCTAGAGGGGAAGCAGAAGAGGAAAAGTTGAAAGTGGTTCCAAGTTTCCGACTCTGGGAAAGAAAGCGATAGAGATGGGTAACCGCTGAGTGGCCAGTTCTGGGTGGGCCGGCACTGACTGTGGCCTACAGCACGCTCTGGTCCAGGTCCGCTCCTTCAAACCCATCCACGGAGCACCGTGATGTGCAGGCTTTGGTCTGGGCACCAGGACGCAGTCGTGACAAACAAATCCCCGCTCTCACAGAGTTGATGGTGTAGGAGGTGACATTTCTGCCGAGGCACTGCCGGCGTTTTGGGCTGGATCGTGCTTTGTGGCTGGGCCTTCCTGTGCATTGAAGGATGTTAAGCAGCATCCCTGGCCTCCACTCACCAGATGTCAGGGGCCTCCTCCAATTGTGACAATCAAAAGTGACCCCGGGCACTGCCCACTGTCCCCCGGGAGAAGTGAGGAGCGATGTCACCGCCAGTTGAGAATCATTTGCCTAGTAGAAAAGCCAGGCGATAAATAATATATTGGTGAATAGATGCATGCTGGATGATAAGGAGAAGTAAAGCAGGGGAGGGTGGAGAGGGCGCTGATGGGGTGACAGTGGGTCTCACTGAGAGGTGGTACCGGAATAAAAATAAATAAAATAAAATAAAAATAAAGTCCTGAGGAAGGGAAAAGAGGAGTAGTGCAAAGCCAGGGGCCCATCTGTTGGAGGAGCAGGCGGGAGGGGAGACCTTGGGGAGGAGGCGGAGACACGGGCAGGCTGCGAGGGCCTTTGCAGAGGGTGTGGAAGTGGGACCCCGAGTGCGCTGGAGTCACAGAGGGCAGTGGGCAGAGGCGGATGGCTCCCTCCCACCACTGTCCTGTCACACAGGCCTGTAGGCCCAAAGGCCCACTCGGCTCAGCTGGTTTCTCTCCTGTGGCTCTCACAGACCACCGTCCTGGGGTTGACCAGCTGGGCTTTCATCAGGAGGCTCCGGGAAATCTACTTCTAAACCATTCCAGGCCATTGCCAGCCTCTGGTTCCCTGTGGCTATATGGCTGAGACCCTGTTTCCTTCCTTGCTGTCAGAGCTGGGAGCCATCCCGAGCTCCTGGGGACTCTCTGGTGAATCCCAGACGATCGCCCTTTCAAAAGGGAGATGAAGAAATTGCCTTCATCACTTTGGCAGAGTCTTTTTTGCTGTGTAACAAAGTGTATTCATGTATTCATGGGTTCCGGGATTAGGACGTGGACATCTTTGGGGACTGTTCTGCCTACCAAAGTCTGAAACAAAAGATATGGTGTTATTTTCCTGAGCATTATGCTTTAATTTAATTTATTTTTATTTTTAATTTTTATTAGAGACAGAGTCTTGCTGTATTTCACAGGCTGGAGTGCAAGCGCATAATCACAGCTCACTGCAGCCTCCATCTACCAGGTTCAAGTGATCCTCCCACCTCAGCCTTTCAAGTGGCTGGGACCGCAGGTGTGCACCAGCACACCTGGCTTTTTTTTTTTTTTTTCTCTGTAAAGAAAGGGTGTCTTTATGTTGCCCAGGCTGGTCTCAAACTTTTGGGCTCTAGTAATCCTCCCACCTCGGCCTCCCAGAGTACTGGGATGAGAGGCCTGAGCCACCACATGAGGCCAGCATGATGCTTTTATAAAGGGAACCCTGAGTTGAGCTTGACAAGGGCAGGTCCTTTGCATTGACCGTCATTGATGCCACACGTGGGCATAGTGAGGTGGGCGTTGACAGCAGTAAATCCTGACTGGGCAGCCATGCTCCATGCAAGGCATGGGAGTGATGGTCCCCTCACAGTTCTTGGAGATGGGGACCACTTTTAGCCTGGGTTTTTTAATGGGGGAAGCCAGGCTCAGAAAGACAAGGCTCTCTCATCCAAGAGTGGGCGACCCAGGGCTCAGTGCCTGCCTGCCTATGCTCTAAACCAAGATGTTCTGTGAGATTCTTCTCTCCCACAGCAGCCCCCGCGTGTTTCATTCATGCTCACCTAAAAGGAAACGAGGAACCTCCAGCTTTTGCTCCTCTAGTGGGAATGTGCTTTATGGGGAGCCCTGGGAGAGATGTGGGCTGAGTAGGGAGAAATGAAACGGAAGTGACAAGAGCCCACTCTGGGGGCTTAGGGAAATACGGCATGTTATGTGTAAAGATGAAATAGAGTGGATGTTTCCTAGCAACCAGACTGCTAAGGGACAGGTGTATGTAGGTGGGGGAAGCTGTGTGTGGAAGGCTGTGCTGGGTTCTCAGTGCATGGAGGACAAAGAGCACACTATCTTGTCATTCCTGTGTCAATGAGACTCTCACAGGTAGCTCATGAGACGTGCACCTAGTTAGGGTGGAGAAGCGCCTTCAAACGGCATTGATGTAAATATTCTCCCAACCTCCCTGGAGCACAGCACACAGTCAATGCACAGACAGCGTTGTCTCTAGCTTCCATGTCTACGAAGTTTTATCTGATTCTATTTATACAAAGTTCTAGAAAAGGGAAGTCAAATCTCCCATGTTGCTTTGGGCCAGGAGTGGGAATGATGGCAAAGGCATGTAGAAAACTTTTTGGGGTAACGGGACAATTCTATATTGTTGTGATGGTCATGTATGTTTACTTTTGTCGAAGCTCGTTGGGTTGTGCAAATAAAAATGGATGCATTTTATTGTATGTCAGTTCATAGCAGGAATGATTTTTTAGAAAGGAGTACCATAGGCTTTTCTTGGGAGAAGGAAGCATTGAGGATTGAGTTGAATTCAGATCTTGCCGAGCCAGGGCTAAGTCACTCAGACTCCACATTCCTGCTTTTCCATCATCAGAATGAAGTGATGGCTTAGACCCAATTCCAAGGGGCTGTGCAGATGGGCTTACTGGTCAATATGTGGCTCTCAGAACTAACCACTGAGTGGGCGAGAATGCTGAGCAGCAGCCTTGCTTGCAAATGAAGGACCGGTCAGGGCAGGTGGCTGTTAAGTAGCCACCCGAGTCAAGATGGCTGATTAGATGCTGCTCCCATACTTTCATCTGATGTTGATTTGGGATCTGCACAAGAGCTGTCCTTTGAAGGATGAAAAATAAGCAAAGTTAGGAAAGTGTGAGTTTCCTCTTTGCCTCGCATTAATGGATGGGTGGTAAGACACACAGAGGGTTTCCTGAGGAGCCCAGGGCAGGATCTTACTGATCTCCTTGTACTCTTGGATGCCTGTTTCCCCACCTGGACAATGCCCTGACAAGTTAGTGGTGATAGGGTTCACGCCTGTATTAGTCCGTTTTCATGCTGCTGATAAAGACTTACCGAAGACTAGGCAATTTACAAAAGAAAGAGGTTTAATGGACTCACAGTTCCATGAGGCTGGGGAGGCCTTACAATCATGGTGAAAGGCAAGGAGGAGAAAGTCATGTCTTACATGGAGGGCAGCAGGCAAAGAGAGAGAGAGAAGCAAAAGTGGAAACCCCTTATAGAACCATCAGATCTTGTGAGACTTATTCACCACCATGAGAACAGTAGGGGGGAAACTGCCCCCATCATTCAATTATCTCCCACCATGTGGGAATTATGGGAGCTACAAGATGAGATTTGGGTGGGGACACAGAGCTAAACCATATCAGTGCCCTCATTCAGACCACCTAGGTTTGAATCCTACCTTTAGCTGTTGAAGACTAGGCGGAGCCAGAAGCAGGAAGGCCAGTGTGACAAGCCTCCCAAAATACCCGCGGTGGGTGGGCTTAGGGGCTGAATGCTGTCTCCACCAATTACTTGCTGTAGGAACTTCTCACAAGTTTCTATACCCTCTGTGCTTTAGCTCTTCATCTGAAAATCTGCAACAATAATAGTACCTACCTCTTGTTATTGTTATAAGGTTGTATTAGTCCATTCTCACACTGCTATAAAGAAATACCTGAGACTGGGTAATTTATAAAGGAAAAAGGTTTAATTGACTCACAGTTTTGCATGGCTGGGAAGGCCTCAGGAAACCTACAATCATGGCAGAAGGCAAAGAGGCATGTCTTACATGGCAGCAGGAAAGAGAGAGAATGTGCGCATAGGAGGAACGGTCAAACACTTATAAAACCATCAGATCTTGTGAGAACTCACTCATTATCATGAGAACAGCACTGGGGAAAGCCACCCCCATGATCCAATCAACTCCCACCAGGTCCCACCCTCAACACGTGGGGATTAGGGGGATGACAATTCGAGATGAGCTTTGGGTGGGGACACAGACCCAAACCATATTAAAGGGTTATATAGGATAATGCTTTTGAAGCACTTAGAATAGTGCCTGGCACATGGTAAGTACTATCTGCACATTTGTCAAATAAAATAAACAAATGATGGAATGAATTAATGGGTGCAAAACTCTTGGCACTGGTTCTGGGCCTTTGTGTGTGTCCGTTTATGTTAAAGAGTGGTATTCCTGCTTCAGTGTCTACTTTGGTAGAATGAATTGAAACAGGCCTAGATTTTAAGTAACAGGCATAATGGCTTCTGTGGTCTGTAATGAGCCTTGTATTATCCTCTCATGCCTTGGGTCTTATTATTATTATTTTTTATTTTTGTTTTTATTTTTGAGACAGAATCTAACTCTTATTGCCCAGGCTGGAGTGCAATGGCGTGATCTCGGCTCACTGCAACCTCCGCCTCCCGGGTTCAAGCGATTTTCCTGCCTCAGCCTCATGAGTAGCTGGGATTACAGGCATGCACCACTGTGCCCAGCTAATTTTGTATTTTTAGTAGAGACAGGGTTTCTCCATGTTGGCCAGGCTGGTCTCGAACTCCCAACCTCAGGTGATCTGTCCCCCAGCCTCCCAAAGTGCTGGGATTACAGGCATGAGCCACCGCACCCGGCCCTTAATTTTTAAAATATACTTTTTCCCACTAGAAATCCCAGGCCAGCTTCCCAAGTTCTCACTTCCACATGTCATATTGGCATCACTTTTGAGGACTTCAATGGAAAAAAAAATAGAGATAAATAAATGTTGAAATCCTCAATTTTCTTGGCAAACAAATTATCCATATCTACAGGTAGATATAGATACCTGTATATCTTCTATAAATATCTTCAGAATTTTATATCTATCTGATTGATTGATCGATATAGATACATATCCTTTTTATTGAGGGGCCAATGTCTAACACCTATGAATGGCAATAACACCAATAATAATGGACCATATTAATAATACTAGATTTTTTTTTTCTGGAGCCATTTATGCCCCCGGACCTCTTTGGCAGTCTGTGAAACCTGTGGGCCAATTTTCAGAATCAGATTTTTGAATGCACAAAATAAAACACACAGGTTATAAAGGAAACCACTTACATTAAGATTAAGATACCATTATAAAACAATGAATGAGGTAGCAACACATGTGCTATTAATATACCATAACCAGATCTATAACAAGCCTCGGAGGTGGTACTAATAACCTGGGAATTTTGAAGCAGTGATGGGCATAAGTGGTGGACAGGCATAACATGGAATGAGATGATCCAGTGATTTTTACTGGTGTCAAAGTCACAAGGATGCTAACACGCCACTGTGCTTGTTGCCTAGGTACCTATTGAAAGGAAATGATACATTTCAGTTAAAGGCTAGCGAAAATAAAAATGTAATTTTTACCCTTTAAGTTCCTGGATCCAGGTTTAGAGGCCCCTGCCTGCGTCATTCCTTCCCCCTTCCCTTCATTCCTTCTCCTTCCTGCCTGCTTCTAGGGTGAAAACCAGGAAGGCAGGTCTGTCACCCCAGCACCAGAGCCCCTTTATCTAAAAGATCCACAGTCGATTCTCCCTGGCCATGCCTAATAATGCATTGATTTTTGCAATGATCTGAATATCTGTGTCCCCATAAAATTCATATGCTGAAATCCACACCCCCAGGGTGATGATATTAGGAGGTGGAGCCTTTCGGAGATGACTAGGTGGTGAGGGGAGAACCCTCATGACCGGGATTAGTGATCCCATGAAAGAGACCCCAGAGAGACCCCTCACCCCTTCCCATGTGAAGTTAGGGTGAGCAGAGGCCATCGGAGAGGAAGCCTCCCTCACCAGAACTGACTCCGCCAGCGCCTTAATCTCAGACTTCCAGCCTCTAGAACTGCAGAAAATACATTTCTGTTGTTCATAAGTCACCTATGGTATTTTGTGATAGCAGCCTGAACAGACTAAGACATTTTCGTCTCAAAGACATTATAATTTACATGAAGTTAATGTGTCTCGGCAGACGAAGGAAGCTCACGCCTTGTGAAGGAGGTGGCTTGTGGCTATTACCTTAGAATCTCATCAAGTGCTACTTGGATATAAATTTCCTATAGCCCAAATTGTGAGAAGTGGCCAGTGTGGGTTCACAGACTGCCTCGGAGAGGGGCACATGTAGCCCCGAGGGTTTACAAACGCTTGTTCCCAGCAGCGATGATGAAGACCCCACACCAAATCCGAGTTAATTAAAGTGCTTTATTTAATCATCTGTGGTGTTGCTGAGGGAGATGAAGGTGATGCTGAATGCGGGAGCCCGGGTAAGGCAGGAAGTGGAGAGTCATGTTACCATGGCAACAGTGTCCCTGGCCTGCAGTGTGAATGAAGCTCTGGCTCTGAAGACCTCTGTGGTTTTAAAATGCCATCTATGTGAATATGACATCAATTTGTCACAACAAATCTAAATAGAACCTACTGGGGAGGGACAGAGACCCAGAGACCCAGAGGGAGACACTGACACAGAGAGAGTGATAGAGAGAGAGAGGCAAAGTCACAGAGACAGAAAGAGGAGGGGAGAGGGATGGAGAGAGACAAAGTCACAGAGATAGATGGAGGGGGAAGAAGGGAGGAGGCAGAGAGAGAGAGGAGAAAAACAGAGAGACGGTTGACAGATTAGGAGAGGTGCTTCTGGTGCTGCTGGTTGTGCTAGGAAAAGACATGTTTCTCTTTGGACAGATGTGCTGCCAGTGCTGGAAGTAGGCTGACTGTGTCTCTCTCCCTGCTCTGAGCCTGGCACCAGATTTGGCAAAACCAGACAGAGCAAAAGCTGCTTCCAGCCCACAGCACCCAAGGCTGGTCTCCTCTTTCATCGCAGGGCTGCTATGTACAGTTGCACAGGCTGTGCCCTGCACCAAGCACCCAGAAGAGGATACAAGAGCCTGCCTGTGCTCCTTGAAGTATCCCTGAGCCCTGATGAACACCTGTGTCTACGTGGAGAGAGGGGAGCCTCTGCTCACATGAGCAAAGGCAACAGGGGGGGACTGCAGAGGCCTGTTCCCTCCCACAGTCTCTATTTTGCAATAAGGTGGGTGGAAGGCTCTTCCAGATGTATTTACATGCAACAGTAACCTCTTACCCTTACCTCCTTACCTTTGATGAAGACAGTAAAGACCAGCTCCCTGACAAATAGACAGAAATGCATGGCGATTGGAAGAGAGTCTTGGGACCTGCGTAGACTTGAGGTGTGTCCTTGATGTTCCTGTCTTGGGGTTGGTGTGAGAAGCCTGTGGTTTCTTCATGGGAGAGGAATGTCAGCTCTGCCGTCATGAGCTGATTGTTCAGATAGGAGACTTTAGCCCACAGAGCCTCAGTGCACTCATCTGTACAGTGGGGTGGTTTGGAATCACCAATTCATAGCAAAGGTTGTTGTGAGGATTCAAAGAGATGCATCATGTTAAGTGAGTGAGTGTGTGTGTGTGTCTGTGTGTGTGTGCATGTGTGCAGAGCCCTGACATCCCAGGGCAGGCCACCTTGACCACACACAGCTATGCATATTTCGTGCCTGAGATTGCCATGGGTGCAGAGCCCTGGCCACACTCATGGGACTGGCTTCGGCCTGAGCCTTGGCACCATCAGAGTGGGTGCTACAAGGTGCTGTCCAGACATGAGAAAACTTGGATTTGCTAAAATTCCTGCCGCCTCAGGCTGACCTGACCCCTGCTCCCAGGAAGAGGTGTTTGCCCTTTCCTTCCTCCTGTGGCACCAGCCTGATGGGGGGAAGCACAGATCCGACGCTTTGACTGGCAGGACCTCTGATGCCACACGTGCCTTGGGAACTCGTGTCCAGGTGGGAGAGTCAGGCTGACATGGGCTCCTGCAGCAGGTCAGACAAGCCCAAGTTGAGGGCCTGCTCTGCCAGCCATATGACCAGAGTTAAATTCACCGGCCTTGAGTCCCTGCTTCCTCATCTGTGAAATATGGAACAAAACAACCTTGATACCTGAGGTTGAGACGAGACAGAGAAACGATGTGGGGGGTGGAAGTTCCTCCCACAGCTTCTAAGAAATGATCATTCCATGCTAATATGTTGGTTGCTGTCAACCTATGTGATGGGTTATGGCTATGCTGTGGGGAGGAGCTTGCCCTTCTCTGAGGCTCGGTTTCCTCTGTGGGCCAAGGACTGGAGGGGTCTTGGACACTGCGAGCCCTAACAGAGTTGAAAACATGAATCCCAGAAAATGGCATGCACCATGATAACCTTTTATAAAAATATGAAAAAACTAAAACTAAAGAGTGTGTTTTTAGGAATACCTACCCAGGATAAAACTACAGTGTTCAAAAAAAAAGGCCAAACACAGGTTCAGCCCAAGTGGTGCCTCTAGAGGAAGAGGGAGCTGTAAGTGGGTGTGAATTGGTGCTAAGGCTCAGGACACATGGTGTTGGTGACCTCGCTGGGCTGAGAGTATGCAGATGCCTGTGGATGTGCACATACTTACATGTGCTTCCAGTAGGAAGAGGGTGGTAATCTATTTCTGTGAACCTGACATTGGAGAGAGAGAGACGGAGACAAACACAGGGACAGAAACAGACAGAGACAAAGAGAGACAGAGGGAGGAGAGAGAGAGAAAGTGTTCGGAGCCGTTTTTTTCCAGTCTTTCAGGAGCGGCCTGCATCTCACCTTTGGTTCCGTGGAAAGGAGCACTGTTGCCATACACAGCTGTTGAGATTCATGTAAACAAAGGTCCGTGCGTGCTAAGCAGAGTTTGGAGAATGGGTCCTGGAGACCATGCATTATAATTGGGTAGTAAGAGAACGTAAGTAGTGGCTCAAATATTTCAGCAAGGTTTCAAAAGAAATATGATTTACAAAAATGTCATTTGGTGGCTCTATGGTCCAAAGCTGCTTATTTTTCAGAGGAATGAACTCCATTTATTTAGTAAAAGGAACAGAAAGGAATATTCCGGTGCATGAAGCAGGTGCGTGCCTGGAGCTTTGCTTTTTGGAGGTTGCCTCACTTCAACCTCGCAGCAAACTCCGTGAAAGCTTAGACCTCATTGTGTACAGTGGTTAAGGGTGCAGGGGCCCAACAGTGAGTGCTATGGAGGACATGAAGCTACGGGAGACCCCTCACTGTGGGGGCCCCGTCAAATGGTAGGCACTTAGGAAGACCAGCATGGCAGTTTCATGTAAAATGAAACACACACCACTCCCATGACCCAGCAATTCCACTCCTAGGAAGGGTTTGCCCAAGAGAAATGAAAACGTGTGCACCGAAGGACCTGCCCAAGAGTGTTTACAGCAGGTTGATGCATCGTAGCCAAAAACTGGAACCCAAGAGTTAGCCCACAGGCAAATGATAGCAATCTGTGGAATATTGAAACCACGGGTAGGAGAACAGGAGAAAAGGAGCAATGTACTGTTTTATTTATATGATATTCAAGAACAGGTAGGACTGATGGGTGGTGATGGGAATCAGGACTGTGGCTGTCTCGGGACAGGGACTGGACCCACTAGAAAAGGGCAGTGGGGAATTTTCTTGGGGAAATGATCTGTTCTATATCTTGATTCAGGTGGCGCTACACAGGGCTTAAATTTGTCAGATCGTACTGTGAATTTCACTTAATGAAGCTTTGCCTCATTAAGAATGTTTTAAATGGTAAAATCTTTATTAATAAGTACAGGTTCTGAAGACAGACGGCCTGGGTTTGAGTCTTTTCTCTTCTGTCTGTAGGAGTTTGCTGTGGCTGTCATAGCAAATGACCACAAGCTTGATGCCTTCAAACAACACAACTTCATTCTGTTATGGGGCTGGAGGGCGGAAATCCGAAGTTAGTGTTGCTGGGTTAAGGTCAAGGCATTGGCAGGGCTGTGCCACTCTGGAGGGTCTAGGGGAGAATCTGGTCTTGTCTTTTCTGGCCCCTGGTGGCTGCCAGCATTCCCTGGCCCATGGCCCCTCCCTCCGTCTTTAAAGCAACCACGTAGCATCTTGCTCCTTGGTAACAGCCCTTCTGCTCCTGTAGCATATCTTCCTCTGTGTTCTTCTTTAAGGCCTCTTGTCATTGCATTTAGGACATACCAGGACAATCTCTTCATCTGAAAAAATCCCTAAACCCAGCCTGGTGAGGTGGCTCACGCCTATAATCCCAGTACTTTGGAAGGCCGAGGGGTGGTTCACCTGAGGTCAGGAGTTCAAGACTAGCCTGGCCAACATGGTGAAACCCATCTCTACTAAAAATATAAAAGTTAGCTGGGCATGATTGTGGGCACCTGTAATCCCAGCTACTCAGGAGGCTGAGGCGGGAGAATCGCTTGAACCCAGGAGGCAGAGCTGCAGTGAGCTGAGATCACGCCACTGCACTCTGGCCTGGGTGAGAGTGCAAGACTCTGTCTCAAAAAAAAAAAAAAATCCTTAAGCCCATCATTTCTGAAGAGACTTCTGGCCCTGGGACATCACATTTAACTTTAATCACCTCTTTAAAGGCCCCATCTCCGAATACAGTCACAGTCTGAGCTACTAGGGGATAGGGCTTCAAGACAGGAGTTTTTGTTTTTATTTTTTTGAGACAGAGTCTCACTCTGTCACCCAGACTGGAGTGCAGTGTCGCGATCTCGGTTCACCGCAATCTCTGCCGCCCGGGTTCAAGTGATTCTCCTGCCCTAGCCTCCCGAATAGCTGGGATTATAGGCATGTGCCACTACCACTCGGCTAATTTTTGTATTTTTAGTAGAGATGGGGTTCACTATGATGGCCAGGCTGGTCTTGAACTTCTAACCCCAGGTGATTCACCCGCCTCGGCCTCCCAAAGTGCTGGGATTATAGGCTTGAGCCACCGTGCTAGGCCAAGAGATGAATTTTGAGGGGAACACAGTCCAGCTCATAACACAATGTGTAGCAAAACAAATCCAAAAGGGAAGGACAAGGTAAACACGGAAAGGTGGCAAAAGAAGTGGCGGCCCCTGTGGGTGTGTCTGCTCATGTGAACACAAGCTCAGGGACGTTCCCTCCACGTGAATTAACCGTGAACAGAGGGAAGTGGAGAAATGGACTCTGGGCACAGGAAGGATGGAGGGTGTGGGTGACAGCAGCACTCAGGCCACCGCCTGGCAGAGGCAGCTAGCAAAGGGGAGGTCATGAAAGCCGTGTGTGTGTGGGTGGAGGGGGGCTGAGGAAGGAGGGCCCCTCCATCTCCTGGTCTTTTCCATCCATCATTTGAGGGCGTAGACACCAGGAGTTGGCTCATACCTGATACCATCCCATGTTTACACGAAGGGATAGGTCTCAAACTGTGGAGCCTGGACTGACCTCTCACCATTGCCTGGAAACGTGTTAGCAATGCAGAATCCCAGGCCCTACCCAGACCCACGGAATCAGAAACTATGGGGCGAGGAACAACGGGTGTTGCACCAAGCCATTCAGGTGATTCTGATGCCCCCGAAGGTTTGAGAACTGCCGCTGTAATTATGTTGAACTGAACTTCAACTGTAATTATGTTGAACTGAACTTCAACTGAGTGGCCCTGCACAGACCGTGGATATAGAAGAAGGCTGCTGTAACACCAGGTCTTGGGGTGAATCTTCATGTGATCTTCGGAACAAGGATACTTGGCTTGGATCCCAGCCCAGACACCCTGCACCTATAGGATGGGGACCTTGGCCCTGACCTCAGGATGGTGAGAATGAGACATTCTATGGGACACTCACAGCAGAGAGTCAGGCGTGACTAGAGACCTAACAGCATCTTCTTTCCTTCCTCCCTGGGCCCTGCCCCTTGTAGGCAATGGGTATGGCATTATTTTGCTTTTATTTTGCATCCTTCGACATGGGCCACCCTACTTTAAGAAAACTTGGAGGGAGGGAAGGTTGGGGAGGACACACCTCATTTCCCTGGACCCCTTTTGGAACTAGCCAAATCCCCAGAGGGCCTTAATGGTTCTTACTTGGATTTGCAGCCCAAATCGGGCTTAGGTTGAAACCTCAGAAGCAGACAGAAGCAGCAGAAGAGATGTATTAAGAATAGAGATAAAGCCGGGCATGGTGGCTCAAATCCCAGCACTTTGGGAGGGTGAGGTGGGCGTATCATTTGAGGTCAGGAGTTTGAGACCAGCCTGGCCAACATGGTGAAACCCATGTCTACTAAAAAAATCCAAAAAATTAGCTGGGCATGGTGGCGTGTGCCTGTAATTCCAGCTACTTGAGAGGCTGAGGCAGGAGAATCGCTTGAACCCAGGAGGCAGAGGTTGCAGTGAGCTGAGATCATGCCTCTGCACTCTGGCCTGGGTGACACAGTGAGACTCTGTCTCAGAAAAAAAAATAATAATAAAAATAAATAAAAAAATAAATAAAAATAGAGATAGGCAGCGACTTTGAGTGAAAGTGACCTAAAGGGGCATTTTAGGGTGGAACTGTGTGTGAGTTTCCCGGAGCTGCTGTAACAAACAGCCACAAACTCAGTGGCTTCAAACAACAGAAATGGGGCTGAGCACAGTGGCTCACGCCTGTAATCCCAGCACTTTCGGATGCCAAGGCAGGTGGATCGCTTGAGCTCAGGAGTTTGAGACCAGCCTGGCCAACATAGAGAAACCCCATCTCAACAGAAAATACAAAAATTAGTTGGGCGTGGCGGCGGTGCATGCCTGTAATCCCAGTTTCTCAGGAGACAGAGATGGGAGGATTGCTTGAGCCTGGCAGGTCCAGGCTGTGGTGAGCTGTGATCACACCACTGCATTTCAGCTTGGGTGACAGGGTGAGACCCTGCTCAAAAAGAAAAGAAAAAAACAAACCAAAAAGAAAACAGAAATGTATTCTCTCACAGTCTTGGAGGCCAGAAGTCTGTAATCAGTTGGTTCCTTCTTGGGGGCTCGGAGGAAGAACCCTTCTTGCCTCTTCCTGGTTTCTGGCGGTTGCCAGGGATCCTTGGGGTTCTGGGGCTTGCAGCAAATGCCTCCCATCCCATGGCCTCCTTCCTGCGTGTCTTTACATCATCTTACCTCTGTGCCTGTGTCCACATTTCCCTCTTAGGAGGACACAGCCTTTGGATTTAAAGCACACCCTACTCCAGCGTGACCCCATCTTCTTATATTTACAAAGACCCTCTTTCCAAATAAAGTCACATTCCCAGGTACCAGGGATTGGGACGGTAACGTATCTTTTCAAGGGACACAATTCAAGCCACCACACTCAGCATTTATGTAGCAGTGCCGGGAATGATGGCAGCTTTTTGGGCAGGCTCTGCTTTGCAGCGGCAGGCAGGTGGGTGGCAGGATCTGCCCAGTGGCGAGTTTCTCAGAAAGCATTTGTTCCTCTGAAAGCATTTGTTCCTCTGAGGAGGGGGACTTCACTCTGGAGAAACTGGCTGGACTCTCAAAGCCTTGAGAGCTAATGGCAGCTTCTCAGGACCTACAAAATAGAGAAAATGAGGAAATATCGTAGGTTGTTTGAACCAACTATTGCCTATTTAACTTCACAGAATGGAATTAAGAAAAAGGAGAAGCAGAAGTTAGATCTTAATGACTTTTTTTTGTTGTTGTTTGAAGGCAATTTAATGAGAGATGGGTGGGAGCAATAATGAGGGTGGTCTGAAAATCAATGTGGTAACTGTCTCCTGCATCTGGACGGAATGTACTGAAAGGAAGTCATATATGTTTAATGATGTGTTTGTTAGTATTCGAGTTCCTTGTGACTAGCTGGGGGCCGTTCCTTTAAGAGCATGCTTTTAGGGGGAAAAATCTGCTCTTGGAAAAAGAAAATGAACAAACTCAAACCTCCACAAACACTTTGTATATTGCACACTGCTGCACTTTGGCTAAAGTGATGGTGAAGTGGGTGACCTCACTTCCCCCAGGCAATATCTTGCACAACTTCAGAAGGAGGAGTGGGGTCAGTCTGGGGGATATTGCTCCATCTGGAGTTTTCTGAGTTTCTGGCTGCTTGGACATTGCTTGTCTGTTTCCTTTAATAGAGTGGGTGACGGCTGTCTCAAGGCAAAGGCTTTATCCCCAATACCCCCTACTCCTTGCCATTTGACTTTTAACTGTTTAATCCAAAGCTATCTTCAAAAATATAAATAGTCTTAGGAAAATATCAGGGCAGGCCTTGCAGGCATGGCCCAGCAGAGCATCTACAACAACCCAGTTTCTTGGGGTGCCCCCTGATCCACAGGTTGCCAA
Source organism: Homo sapiens (assembly GCF_000001405.40). Lineage (NCBI taxonomy): Eukaryota > Metazoa > Chordata > Mammalia > Primates > Hominidae > Homo > Homo sapiens. The sequence continues at coordinate 38,930,728 of NC_000021.9, read as the reverse complement.
GTTGAGTTGCATTCTGTGATTTAACTGCTCTATCCACCACTGATAAAGCCTGCCTTCCAGGCAGGCTGTCAGTCAGCAAAGTGTCCTGGCAGAAGAACACTGTCTTAAGGCATGAGGTAGCCTGAACAATGCCCCCTCTCTTCCCCCAAAAAAGCCTGTGTCTGAATCCCTGTGAATATGTTACTCTACACAGCTGATGTGATAAATAAGGTATCTTGTGATGGGAAATTATACTGAATTATCTGAGTGGGCCCTGAAGCATAGCAGAATAATATGCCTCCCCAATATAAGCCATGTTGGTAACAGGATTATTTTAAGCTGAAGGCAATTGAGAAGAAGAAAAGCTCCCTGCCTTCCCCCTGTTTGTCTAAAAGCGGAACATAAATTTGTAAAGGTATCCCCCTCCTTTCTCTACCAAGAAGGGCAAGTGTTAATCATCAGAGACAGCTCTAGACCCTTATCAGCCTGTGACGGCACCAGGGGAATCAACAAACCTTATTAACTAGCCCTTATCTACCATTAGGTTTTCCATATATTTGTCTTCCCACAATGTGTCCTCCCCCTTGAAACTCAAAGCCCTTTTCTCTTGTCTTGTCACTTCTCTACAAAATTGACTGTTCTTTTGTTAAAATTCTATGTAAACCCAAGTTCTATCCACCCCTCTGAGTTACTCATCCCTGAGTGCTCCTCATGCATGGTTAAGATGCACACATTAGTAAACTTCTGTCTGCTTTCCTCTTGTTAATCTGTCCTTCATCAGTGCCTTAGTCCATCTTCTGCTGCTATAACAGAATGCCACAGACAAGATAATTTATTTCAAAAAAGAGAGATTGATTTAGCTCACAGTTCTGGAGGCCGGGAAGTCCAAGTGCTTGGCACTTGCATCTGGCCAAGGTGGGCCCATGGCAGAAGGCAGAAGTGAGCATGTGAGACAAGCAGAGGAAATTAGACTGAACTCATTCTTTTCATCAGGATCCCACTTCTGCAACAACTAACCCACTCCCACAATAATGACATTAATCTATTAATCACCTCTTCAAGGCCCCACCTCCTGATACATTACATTACATCACATTGGCAATTAAGTTTCAACATGAGTTTTGGAAGAGAGACATTCAAACCATTAGCAATTAGTCTCATTTACAAGACTATAGCTGGGGAACCTAGGAGGGTGAGAGTAGACGTTTTTTCCTTCTTTATGGCCCCCAAATTTTGTGTTTTTAAAGCCACTAAGTCTATGGTAATTTACTACAGCAGCTCCAAGGAAACTAACACAAAGGATATTGGAAACTAGATAATGACTGATCAACCCACCCTGTCACCCTCTTGGGAAGCATGAGGAAAAGACTAACCAAGAATTGGCAAGGGCAAAGCAGCATGCTGCAAGAGGAAGCCAGACATGGGAGCTATGTGGCCACAGGCTTGTGACTAGCAGAAGCCATATGTCACAGCAACAGAGAAAAGAGCCACCATCTTCGAGGAGCAATGAAGATGGTACCCCTGGCCCACTGCATTGGTTCCTCCCTACATGCTCACACCTCTGTGCAGCATGGCTGGCAGCTGGTGGGAAAGGTTCCATCCATCAGACATCCCAGTCAAACACTTAGGCCCAAGTGTGAGTGAGCTTCAGACTCCTCAGTGGACAGGGCTGCTGGTGCCAGGGTGGGTTGGGGCCCTGTTGTACAACCTTTCCATCCTTATCACCTCCCAGAAAGAAAAACTAATCGATTTAAACTTAATTTAATTTCCTCACAACAAAGGAAATTCAATACTAAAGAGTAAGAATGTGCTGTAGAGAATGAAAATTTAAAGGGCCACAAACCATTATGATGTCTAAGATTTGTTGACCCCTTAAGAACCAGTTTTCTGCCCTTTGGAAAGAGCATCACCCCCATTAAGGATGTGGGGTGCAGGGAAGGTGAGGCTGCCAGTGAAGAGCTAAGTACACACAGCAGGTGTTGGCTGCAGACAGTTGTCTGGGCTGGCCCATGGCCTGCTGCAGTAGAATCTTTCCTGTTCACATGAAAACATGACTGTGTCAGGAGGTCCAGTTTTTTCTCCACCTCAAATGTGTACAAGTGTAGCTGCTACAATTAAATCAAACTCGTTCCTCTATAATAGCTGATGATATTCAGGCCTCATCAGACTTTTCTCTTATTCTTTGGACTCTGCCTTTTTTGACGTGGGAAAATTTTTGGTTCCTTTTGGACTTTCCATCGTCCCATAAATGTTCCCCTCTCTCTCTTTCTCCCCTACCCCCTAACTGAAGTGGGAGGAAGAGGGGTCTTTGTCACTTCTTTTCACCCTTCCAGTCTGCAAAGTAGTTACTTGAATTAACCGTGAACTAGTGACTTAGAATCTTAAAAGTGTTGAAGCTTCACTGGCTGGGCTCTCTCTGTTTATCGAAAAGCCTCTTTTGTTTTTCCGCAAACCATTGTTTATACGAGACAAAAAATGTTATATTCATGGCAAAGTTGAAATTCTGGAAGATTAAAGATAAATATCTACTCATAGACTTGGCAAGTAGAATTAATGCTACATTTGTTTCATCAACAGGTATTTTTTGAGCCCCAGTTAGGAGTAGGCCGGTGTCTTAGGAACTGGAACTCTGTGGTAGACAAGGTGGAAGATTTCTGCTCTTGTGGTTTTTCAGTGATGGGGCCTCAGTGCCTTGCAGGTGAAATGCAGATACTGAAGCTGAAGCAAGCTCTGTGGCCCATGGCCCATAGCCTACGGCACTAAAGGGCAGGCACCTGCTGTTCTCTGGGCTGTGGAGTCACCTTGCAGCATCTCACCCATTCTTGTTGCCACATTTTTCGAGAGCTATTAACCAACTCAAGTCTGTTGGAGAGGAAACAGGCTGCAGAGGCCTTGGGAGGCCATAGCCCATGAGGAAGGAGGGAAATCATGGGGCAGCCAGTCTGGAAATGGGCACCCTTGAAGGTGCACCTGAGCTGTTCTCAGAAAGCTGGAGGAAGATCTCAAGTAGGAAGAGTTAGACATGGGTTATTTGCTGCAGAGTTCACAACAAGGAGTGATGGGTTGGAAGCTCTGGAGAGGTGACTTTCAGCCCTGGAGAGGAGGCCAATGTGTGTGAGGCTGAAGAATCCCCCCTTCCTGCAAAGATACCCACATTCTAATCTCTGGAACCCGTGAATACATCACTTTATAGGGCAGAGACTTTGCAAATGTGATTAAATTAAGGATCTGGGATGGGAGTTTGTCCTGGCTCATCCAGGAGGGCCCTAAATGCACTCTCTAGTGTTCTTATAAGAGATGGGCAGAAGGAGATTTTACATAGACAGAAGAGGGCCATCTGATCGAGGAAGCAAGATGCTACACTACAGGCTTTGAAGATGGAGGAAGGAAGGGACCAGGAGCCAAGAAATGCAAGGGATGTAGCTCTAGATGCTGGGAAAGGCAAGGAAACAGATTCTCCACCACAGCCCTTGGAGGGTGCTAGCCCAGGGAAACTGGTTTTGGACTTCTGGCTTCCAGAACCATGAGAGGATAAATTGCTATTTCCTTAAACACCCAAGATTAAAATAATTTGTTACAGCAGCAAGATAAAGCTAATATACCATGCTAAACAATTTCTTTGAGACGTAGTGAGGTCTCCATCCCCAACAGTGACTGATGGCTTCTCAGAGTGTGTCCATAAAAGAGATGGTGACCCTGGGGGGCAGGTTGCACAGGAGAATATCTGAACCCCTCGTAGCTCTAAGCATGTGGGATTAGTTTGCCAAGGCTGCCATAACAAAGAACCACAGACTGGCTGTCTTAAACAGCAGAAATTTATTGTCTCCCAGTTCTGGAGGCTGGAGTCCAAGACCAAAGTGTGGCAGGGTTGGTTTCTCCTGACTGGTAGATTTCTCCTGAGGTCTCTCTCCTCGACTCATAGATGCCGTCCTCTCCCTGTGTCCTCACAAGCTCATCCCTCTGTGTATGTTTCTGTCTCCTCTTCTTATGAGGACACCAGTCAGACTGGATTAGGGACTCACCCAAATAGCGTTACTTTACTTTAGTTACCCCTCTGAAGACCCCATGTCCAAACAGAGTCACATTCTGAGCTACCATGGGTTAAGGCTTCAACATATCAATTTTGGGAGACACACTTCCACCCTGACAGCTATGTTGTACAATGACATCACTGTCATATCTATTTAAGGGTATTTCTACACACACCTCTGCTTTCGATTTGAGAGCTTAATTAATTTATTTTATAGAGATGGGGTCTTGCTATATTGCCAGGCTGGTCTCCAACTCCTGGCCTCAAGCAGTCCACCTGCCTTGGCCTCCCAAAGTGCTGGGATTATAGGCATGAGCCACTGTGCCTGGCCCTGAATTTGGGAGCTTCAGAGGGCAAGTAAAGAGAGGGGGGAACAAGTTCAGAAGTAAAAACCCGCGATGCCAGGAAGTCCTTACAGCTTTAAGCTTCACATTTAATCACTTCCCACAAGGAGAAGCAGGCTGGGTGTGCTCCAGGCTCCGGAAGCTCCAGCAGCCCCAGAGATGAGGGTGGTCTGCCCCCCACACTCCCTGCCCCAGCCCATCCTGGACCTTCTCCTGACACACAGCAAACCACACTTAGCTGTCATTGATGAATCGGAGCCTCTGCCAGACAGCCGGCCAAGCCGACGCTAACTCACCCCACAGCCTGAAATAGAAACTCGCTCGTTTTCCAGTGTGTGACAAAGAAGGAAGGTATTTAATTTTGAAAGGAGCTGAGCCAGCTTTATTGTGGGTCATTTTTTTCTGGAGCAAAATCCTCTCTAGTTTTCTCCCCAGGCTCATCTTCCTTCTGATCTATGGGTTAGCATTTTGGATGGGATGGTTTTCTGGTGTGGGGGGCTGTCCCCAGTGCTGCAGGATGTTAGCAGCACCCCTGTTCCTACCTGCCAGATGCCAGAAGCACCCCTGCCCCATTTGTGCCAACCAAAAATGCCTCCAGAGGTTGCCAGTGTCCCCTGGGTGAAACAGCACCCCGTTGTTGAGAAGAACTGGTCTAATTAAACGGCAGATTAGTTAGGAAGAATGGGCTGGTGTCCTGGCTCTGCCTCCTCTGCTGGGAATACAGCAGGCTGAGATGTGTGCCTGACATCTTATGATGCTGGATATGAATGGAGGGACCGCCAAAGAAGGCAGGAGCCTCTTCAGTGGTGTGCAAGGAGGACAGCAGTGCATGGTTGATTTTATTTATTTAATTTTACTCTTTTGTGACAGACAGGGACTCTACTTTGCCCAGGCTGGCCTTGAACTCCTGGGCTTGAGCCATCTTCCCATCTTAGCCTCCTAAGTAGCTGGCACTACAGGCACATGCCAACACCCCTGGCTTCTTCACTGGGTTTTGAATCAGACAAGTTTTTCCACTGGTCCCTTGAGTGGTTTAGAAGCCCACGCTCGGGGCTCCAGATGAGACCAGAGAGTGTCCTCAGAAGACAGTTGGGACCATCTTCATGCCTCCCCCATGATGCCCTGTGTGAAGGGCTGCACTGAGATCTCTGCACATCCCTCCTTCCTTCCCCTGCAGCTGCAAAACACCCGCTGCTCCTTGAATACTCCAGACCACCTACCCCAGGGCCTTTGCACGTTTTCCCCACACAAAGCTTTCCCCCTGTATTTTCACTTACCTGGCTCCTTTTCCTCACTGAGGCCTTAGCTTGGCATTCCCTGAACGGGGGGAGTGTTCAGGGGGATTCAGTTGCTCTGCAGCCCATGACCCACCTGATGTTCTTTATAGCACCCTGTGCTGTGATGGGAAAGCTGGATTTCTTGGCTTGGGGCTGTAGGTCTCAAGGTACTCAAAACCATGAAAGCAGAGTCTGTTTGTCTTGTTTGCTGCCAATTCTCAACCTTGAGAACACAGAGCAGAAACTCAATGAACAGTTATTGAATCAATGAAGGAATGAATGATGCAGCCTGTAGTCCCCCTGAAGGATGTGAGTCCAAAGATCAGAGGGGCCCCTTTCAGCTCATTGTTTCTCCCACAACCCTTTGGGCCCGGACTGGCACCCATTAAAAGGCAGACATTCTTGGGACTCATCGCCCCTTTCTTGGGATTGGTGGAGCGCCATCTGAGAGGGGAGCGGGCCTCGGCTGCAGGCAAGGGGCTGGGTGACACCATCAGCAGTGGATCTGCAGGAAGGCTGGGGAGGGGATATGGAGGCTCCAGCTGGCAGCTTCACTGGGGCCGCCCCTGCCTGTGTCCTCTCATCTTGCTCTTTTTTTTTTTTTTTGAGACGGAGTCTCGCTCTGTCGCCCAGGCTGGAGTGCAGTGGCACAGTCTCGGCTCACTGCAAGCTCCGCCTCCCGGGTTCACGCCATTCTCCCGCCTCAGCCTCCCGAGTAGCTGGGACTACAGGCGCCGCCACTACGCCCGGCTAATTTTTTTGTATTTTTAGTAGAGGTGGGGTTTCACCATGTTAGCCAGGATGGTCTCCATCTCCTGACCTCGTGATCCACCCACCTTGGCCTCCCCAAGTGCTGGGATTACAGGTGTGAGCCACTGCGCCTGGCCTCATCTTGCTCTTTACAGCCAAGGGAGTTTCCAAAGGTGAGGGAAATGCTAGCACCAGCGCCCGCCCTCCATTCCAGAGCAAGAGACACTCATCCAAGGGCACCAACCTTCGCCTGCCTTCCATGACCACAAATGGGGGCTTTGTGGAGAGAAGTTCTTCTGTGGCTTATCTTACGACCTCTGGAAGAAATCTCTTCCTTCTTTCTGCCCAGACTATAGAGGGAGGGCAGAAAAGGAGTGGAGGTGGGGAAGGTCAATAGTGGAGTTGAAGATAGCCATGCCTAAGTGACCTTTCCACCCCATTAGAGGTGTCATCACTGGTGTAAAATGGTGCCCAGCCTCGTATCTCAAGTGGGGATGGCTCAGCCCTGCTAAACTTCACTGCCTTTCCTCTGGGGTGCATTGTGTTATATGGTGTCTCCCCCAGGTCTGGCCAAAAAGAGAGCTTCCTAATGAGGCATCCTGGAAACTGATGGGAACTGTGTTCTTATCCATCTCCCCCATCTCTTGTGCCCCAGGACATCAACTGGGAGTGGCCCAGAAGCCCGAAGCTGAGAGGACAAAGCTCACTGGGGTAAGTTAACATCACTCCAGATCAGCCCCGGTGAAGTCAGCGAGAATTGCCTACACCTGAAAAAATGTGGCAAACTTATTTGTAAAGCTTATCTGACACTTTTGTCTATATTTGATACATTCAGTCCTCCACAATCTCTACTTTACCAAAATCCATGCGGGTGCATCATAAAGAGAGATGCTTGATGACCAAGTTGTTCTGGACAAATCAAGGTAAACAGATTATAATTACTTCACAGGGATTATTTTTGGAATGTAATGGCTGGTCACTCCCTCGACTGTGTATATCTCTTGACATGTAATTCAGAAACATGGCCTGTGCCTTAGGGAAAGCATGAAGATACACATGAGATGGGCATTCATGACCTCTTTAGTCATGCCAGAGACGCTCAAAAATGACATTCTTGAAGATCTTTATTCTTGATGCTTAATTTTTCATTTGAAACTCAAACAGTAGAATACTTCTTTTGAGATTTGAGTTTAGGCAATTCCTTTTCAAAAGAATACATATACATGGCCAACAAGCATATGAAAAAAAAGCTACACATCACTAATTATTAGAGAAATGCGCATCAAAACCACAATGAGATACCATCTCACATCAGTCAGAATGGCTATTACTAAAAAGTCAAAAAATAACAGATGCTGGTGAGTTTATGGAGAGAAAGGAATGCTTCTACACTGTTGGTGGGAGTGTAAATTGGGCCAGCCACTGTGGAAAGCAGCGTGGTGATTCCTCAAAGAGCTAAAAACAGAACTACCATTCAACCCAGCAATCCCAATACCAGGTATATACCCAAAGAAATATAAATCGTTCTGTCATAAAGACATATGCACACATATGTTCATTGCAGCACTATTCACAACAGCAAAGATATGGAATCAACCTAAATGCCCATCGGTAATTGACTGGATAAAAAATGTGATACACATACACCATGGAATACTATGCAGCCATAAAAAAGAATGAGATCATATTATTTGCAGGCACGTAGATGAAGCCATTATCCTTAGCAAACTAATACAGGAACAAAAAACCAAATAACTGCATGTTCTCACTTATAACTGGGAGTTAAATAATGAGAACACTTGGACACATAGAGAGGAGCAACGCACACTGGGGCCTACTTGAGGGTAGAGGGTGGGAGGAAGGAGAGGATCAGAAAAAATAACTAATGGGTACTAGGCTTAATATGTGGTTGATGAAACAATCTGTTCAATAAACATTCGCAGCACAAGTTTACCTATATAACAAACCTGCACATGTACCCCTGAACTTCAAGTTAAAAAAAAAGAGTTTAGTGCAGTTCATTGTTCTTGAAAAGGCACACACGAAGTCTTTTCTCATGACCAGCACTGCTTCACAGGTGTTATCAAAAGTACCGAACAACAAAACGCTCCTTAAAAACTTGGGCTTGCCACGCAATTACAAATGAAAGAGTGGTTTTTAGATTAGGATTAATTTTATGACCAAATAGAGGGTTGAGCTACTTTGAACATGCTGCAGTTGACAGTTTATTACACAAGAACAAAGGCGTTGGTGCATAAAACTTAGGTAACAACTACAATAACTTAAAACAAATCTCAGGGGCCATCACATTTCTACAGTTGAGACTTTTTTCCCAAGAAGGAAGGCTGCACCTGCCCCCTGCCAAGACAGTCCGTTGCATGGCCCTAAGAAAACCACCTAACTCAGTTGGAACGGTACCAGTTTTGTGATTAAAGTAGGGCTTGGGTCCAGCCAAGCATTAGTTTTGAAGAATGAGTAACTAGGCTGTTTCGGGAGCAGCAGTGTTGGTAAGATCAAAACCAGGCGGGGGAAGAAGCCCCAGGCCACTGGTGTTTCTGAAAGTGTGCTCCCAGAGTCCTCAAGATATATTCCTACTTGGAACAAGTATCAGAATTTTATTCCTTTTTAAGGCTGAATACTATTCCACATTTTTGTTATTCATTCATCAGTCATTGGACATTTGAGTGAAAACAGAACTTTTAATCTTACTAGCTCATACATGAACAAGACATGAGTTTGTTCATATGAGCTAGTGATATTTTTAAAAGTCAGTTTCTTCTTTAGAAAAAGAGCATTTTAAGCAAGTTCACTGAAGAAAATTGCCCAACCTCTTTAATAGTGTGGGGAAAAATAGATGATAAAATACAAAAATAAGTAGGCAACAGCATGTATTTAAATCATAGCAAACATGTAAATAGGGATATCATTCCTCCCCTACTCCTCCACCTCAGGTTTTTTTTGTTGCTGTTCTGGAAAAATATTCGGGGTACAAAGACTGCATTTCAAAAATAGAATTTATGAGCCTAATCATCTTAACAGGGAACATAAATGCCAAAACAGCTTCTATGAGTCATTTCTTGGATTCTAAAAGGAATTCATTTCAAACAGGAGTTTTCTCGTCTTTGAGGTTTGTTTTAAGAAGTTCCAAAAGCAAATAGCAAAATAACAAAATGCCTGGAGCTGCAGATCTCGAAGCACCCTTCAAAATAGCAGCCCTGGTGTCAGACGTCTGGGGCTGGCTCTGGGCTGGAGGGGTCTCCATTCCTCTCCTAGGTCTGTGGACCATGAGAAGATCATTGCATTTAAGAAACAACAATGCTAAGGAATGGGTAGGGGTTCTGGGGAATGGAAGTGTGAGAAAGAAAACCAAAGGATCTTTGAGATTTTTAAAAGCCATGACTATAGTTTGGAAAGGAATCCCACACAGGAGCACCAACGTAATTCTGCTGATTTTTCTTTTTAAACGTTCTGTGTTTACTCAACCATCCATGCCTGAATTGTCTCCCTAGCTCATCTGTTTGCAGCCCCTGTTCCTGGGGAACAAAACCTCCTAGTCAAGAATCATCACGCCCATGGCTACACTACCACAAACACTCCAGTAAATCAGGTGAACACCCACCCAGGGCTCCAGAGCCTACACACATGGAACATTTGTACTTTGGTGACTTCCATCTTGAAGATCTACGTGGGCCAAGAGTGATGCTGACATTAGCTGCTTCTTTTTCCACGATCAAGTGGGTTTGGTGATCAAATAAGTTAGGAGCCTGGGCAACATAGTGAGACCCTGTTACTACAAATAATACAAAAGTTAGCCAGGTGTGGTGGCGTGTGCCTGTAGTCCCAGTTACTTGGGAGGCTGAGGCAGGAGGTTCACTTGAACCCAAGAAGCAGAGGTTGCAGTGAGCTGAGATTGCGCCACTGCACTCCAGCCTGGCTGCTAGAGTAAGACCCTGTTTCAAAAAACAAACAAACAAACAAAAAAAAAAAAAAGAAAAAAAAACAGGGAAATACTGGGCTAACCAATGACAAATAAGTATATCTATTGCAGGAATTACCAAAAATGTAATGTGTATTAGGAGTCTCCAGGGGATGAATAGGAGATGACACATTTTCCAAATGTATTTAACCATCAAATGCTCTTAGTAAGAAGCATCTCCCTGGAACAGTGTCGTCAGAACGCACTTAGAGAAGCCCAATTTAGACCCCTGTTAAATTCAGCAATTTAATATGGTGGCCAACACACTGTAGGCCATCAATACAATATTAATAGTGTTCCAGGGACCACATATTTTGTGCACCAATAACCTCAGTCTCTGTTTCCTACTCCACTCTCAGGGTTCCCGCTTTCTGTAATCCCAGCTTGGTCTTGATCTTTTGGTATAGGGAAAGGAAAGGAGAGAGGGTCCCAGGAAGGAAGAAACTGGTGGGATTTTCCATGGGAAGGTTTGAGAACTACTGTTGCATCAAGAGGGAGAGAGAAAGCAAGAGGGTGTCCCGGGAGAACGTGGCAGAATTTGTTTGGAGAGAAGATTATGAGAACTGAAATGTCAGATGCAGACAGACAAAGAAGAAAGGTGGGAAGAAGTTGAGCTGGGTGTGGGATGGAATCTTCCTCTGGCCTGTCCCGGCACCTTCAGTGGTGGCTTAATTTGCCCTTTGCTTTCCTCTTTGGCTGCTGTGTGTTTGGATTTTGAATCAAATACTATGCTATGGCTGGCTTCAGGGTGCCAGCGAACCAACCTGACTTAATGCAGGTTCGTGGGTAATATTGTCAACCATTTACCATATTCTTGTATTATTCACCCATAGATCTTCTCATTTGCTCTCCCTAGGAGGGAATATTGAAATTGGAACCACAACACTTGGGTATATCAGGTTGGAAAAGACAGTTCAACAGATGGCTGGTCACCTTGATTGAGTAGAATGCCACTGGAAGACCACAAATCTCTAAACCATAGTGAAGAATTGGCCAAGGGGAGCAAAATCCAATCAATTCAAGGGGTTCCCCTTTCCAGGGTCTTGGACAGCGAGGTGAGCGTGTGTTTCTAGCAGGTAAAGCTGACACGTGGCATCCAGGAGGTCTCCACTCAACTTGAAGAAATTGAATGAGTGCATTTTGTTTCCTGCTTATAATTTCCACTTAAAGCACCTCTGTAGTTGACCTCAAGGCCTGCTTTGATATCAATCTCCAAAGCACAAAAGGAATCATTTTGCACTTTTTTTCTTCAAGGGACTTACAAATGAAGGATCTGATAAGCACAGTTGATGATTAAACCTAATAAGCTGGCTGCTGGAGTGCTTTGATTTACTTTGGCAAAGGCTCTTTGAGCTTGGTGGAAAACAGAATCAGTTTGTTTGTTTTTGTTTGTCTCTGGCTTTTCTGTTGAAGACCTTGATTTAAGTCTTAAAAGCAGTGGTTTTTTGTTTTGTTTTTTGTTTTAAACCAGAAAGTTCTGCAGGTTGAGAGGACTGTCCTTGGCGTACCCTGCTGAGTGGTCTAAATGGAGTCTTCTGTGATCACCAGCCACCCTGGGAGTTCCTGGGTGATGGCACCAGCCAAGGACATTTGGGGAAATGGTTTATGTATGATGTAACTTTCAATACTTGTATTATTTCCTAATTGTGAAATTAGAATAGGTTAAAAAAAAGGGGTGCAGGAGAGGAAGAGGCGCCTTGAGGTGAAGCTATATTCAGTTTTGCCTTTCAATTTAGGTTGGATTTGGGTCCCTGGGCAAGACTGGCATATCCGTGTGCATATCAAACAGCCAGTGTTGACTTCTCTGATTCTTCTTTCATTATTTATTCATTGGTTCATTCACTTCACAAAGTTACCTGGTCCCAGGTTCAGCAGCAGCTCAGAGACTCATTTGGGAGCTTTTGGAGTCACCTTCATGGGCCACCATCCCCAACCCCAGAGACTGACTCAACCAGCCCAAATGCTTTTCGAATACAAAGTCTAACTTTCTTTTGTGATTTAGACATGGCTGGGAAAAAAATCAACCCGTATAGAAATATTTTCTTGTGGAAAACAAGAGTTCCCTGCCCTGGCCACCCCACCCCAGGCTAGCTTCACAGAAATCACCATTTTAAATTAAATCTTGTAACTATTTCTGCTTTTAGTTCTGCTGGCAATCCACCCCAGGTTGCTAAGTAATGTACGTGTACCGCTTCAAAAATACCCATTTTTGGCATTATCGGTAGATTTCTCCCATGAGAAACGAAGATTTGTTCCCTCCTCCCTCCTGCTAATATAGTGCTTAGGCTATTGCTATTTTGGTCTCTTAGGGGGCTGTTTTATAAGTTTAAATAACAAGCCTTTATTTGAAGCTTCTTTAACAGTGTCTCTTAGACCCTCAGGTTGAAAGAGAATGATGTTAGGCTGGGTGCAGTGGCTCACACCTGTAATCTCAGTACTTTGGGAGACCGAGATGGGTGGATGACCTGAGGTCAGGAGTTCGAGACCAGCCTGACCAACATGGAGAAACCCTGTCTCTACTAAAAATACAAAATTAGCTGGGTGTAGTGGCACGTGCCTGTAATCCCAGCTACTCAGGAGGCTGAGGCAGGAGAATTGCTTGAACCTGGGAGGCAGAGGTTGCGGTGAGCTGAGATCGCACCATTGCACTCCAGCCTGGGCAACAAGAGCAAAACTCCGTCTCAAAAAAAAAAAAGAATAATGTTAGTGCCCCTGCCCCCCAACTCTCCTCCACCCCCGGGGTGCAGGCTGGCTGGGGCTCCGGGTCAACTCTCCCTTCTCCCTCTGTAGAAGCCAGACGCTTCCCCTCTCTCCCCTCACCTAAAGAAGCCAGTTTGGGGCCAGTCACATACTGGATTATGGATCTTCAGAATCCCTGGTCTTTGGCATTTGGAAAGGCCTGGAATATGCCTTTTTAGCAGATGACTGTGATGCAGGTGGTCTGAGAATGTGCTCTACATCTTGTAAAACAGGTGACATGAAATGGCCGTTCTAGTCTATGCAATGGCAGCATGAACACAGAAAGCTGAAACGGGGGATCAGTTCTGCAGCCAAGAGACATTAAAGCTCAAAGGTATAATCGGAAGCTAGAATTCATTCATTCAACAAATATTGACTGAGCAAGCTCTTACTGTGTGTAATGCCTTTCTTCTCATAGTTTTTGCACCGCCACCCCCACCCCTTCTCAGTTGCTTTGCCAGATTTCGAACTCCAGGGGTATTTATTCAGTGTATTGTTTCAAGAAAAGGAAGGTCTTCACAAACAGGTGCAACAGGCCACAGCCTGCCCAGGCGGAGGCTTGCAAGCACCTCTGATAAAGCAGCAAAAAAACACGGGAGGACATTTTTTCTTTCAGATTTTCATATACAGATGTGGAAGAGATAAGGTTAGCTCCATTCTAAGTTCTCTGTGTTTGGTTAAAATAGGCTCAGTTCCTTCCCTCCCTCCCTCCCTTCCTTCCTTCCTTCCCTCCTTCCTTCTCTTCTTCCTTCTCTTCCTTCCTTCCCTCCTTCCCTCCTTCCTTCTCTTCTTCCTTCTCTTCCTTCCTTCCCTCCTTCCTTCTCTTCTTCCTTCTCTTCCTTCCTTCCCTCCTTCCTTTTCTTCCTTCCTTTCTTCCTTCTTCCTTCCTTTCTCTCCCCTCCCTTCCCTCCCTCCCTTCCTTCCTTTTTCTCTTCCTTTTCCCTCTCTCCTTCCATCCCTCTCTTCCCCCTTTTTTCTTTCCTCAATCCTTATTTCTAACTAAAAGGCCAATAAAACAAACAAACAAAAACACATAAATTTCAATAACCTTATAGGCATCCCTTCAATTAGGTCAATAAGTAACCAGATCATCATTTGATTTTTCTAAGGTACATAGAATTGTATTGTGGAAAAACAAATCCAAGGGCAAAGAGAATGCCTACTGTGGCTCATTGTTTTGCGGCAACATCTCATTTAATCTTTACAGCAAACCTACCAGGGAGGTGCCATTACTATTGTTTGTTTAGAGGTGGGGACATGAGTCTAGAAGGGTTTAATCAGCCTGAGGTCCTTTGGTGGGTAGATGACAGAAGCAGATTTGAACTCCTGGGCTCTTGATACTATAGTCAGCTGCCACTGATTGAAAATACCAATTCACACCTTCTAACAAGAATGCAAGATTGACTTGGCTGTGCAAAATATGCATTACATTGTGCCAATAAAGAGTTCACCTAAGTTGTCCAACCTAGCATTTTAAGTCACTTGACCTAAATACAATGCACCCAGTTAAACTGTCCTTGAAAATGACACATCTACCCTAGTTTGTGCCTGGTACTACAATGTCCATAGTAGCATTTAGGAAATGGTTTTAGTTACAAATCCCAGTTTTAGGAAAAATGAAGATGGATAAGCTTTCCAATGAAGGGCTCAGGACAAAGTTGAGGGTCCTGCTCGTTCTCTCTTCTGAAGTTGTTCCCTTCTGAGGGTGTGTTTTGTACAGCTGCTTCTGTTGCTCTGTGTCTTTTTGGCTTCAGATTTTTAAAATCTTCTCTTTAATCCCTGAAAACAAAAGGTAAGCGTATGTCTCTGTGCTTCGTAGCATGTGTCCAAATAATCACCGAGACAAGCAGCTTGCTCAAGCTGTGAGTGAAGAAGCCAGGCTGGTTTGTGTTGCCCTTGGTTTGGGGTTGGACAGTTTCTCTTTTAAACCTCTTCCTAGATGTTGGGATCCCAGGCAGCGATGGGGTCAGAGAAAGCTGCCTCTAAGAGTCAGGTTCTTCTCCACATCCAGACAATGACTGAAACAAATCTTTCTAGCTCCAAAGGCCAAGCTTTCAGAAACCAAGTTGTGCTGTATGTGAGCCCTTTCACGATGGGAGGAATGCCTGCTTCCAAGTAGGGGTTTGAGGAGGAAAGAGATTCAGCTCCGGACCAGCCATTTCTTTTTTGGAGGAAATATATGTGTGTGTGTGTGTGTGTGTATATATATATATATATATATATTTGTGTGTATATATATATGTGTACACACATACACACACATATAGAAATACAGGACATCAAAGCTCTTTCATTTGGGAAGAACTTTCCCTTTGCCATTCCATTAGCATAAAAACAAGCTCCCTGTTGGCTGTTAAGTTCATACTGTGTGTGAACTTTGAGATACAGAAGGATTCATCTGTGTGATGCATTACAGAGATCTTGCCTGGGAGTGAGGACTGTTGATATTGTAAAAATGCACCACTCCTAGAAGGGAGGAACAAAGGAACTCGGTCCAAGAGCCTCTCTGAGACCTCTTCTCCCTTCTCTGTCAGCACAGGAAAAGAGAGTGGAGGGGCTGCTGCCCCAGGAAGGCTGGGCCCACCCCTCCTCACAGGCACCCTGATGCCTGTTCAGCTTGGCTCTCTGGATGACAGGCAGAAGGTAACATGATGCCACCAGCCACCGGCCACCCTCTCTTCCTCCTTCCTTAACCCTTCAGCACCTAGAGAGCTGGTCCTTGACTTCCGACCTCACTTGACCCCTTCCCTGACACAGAAGCAGGTTCCTCGGCCGGGTCATCTGGGACACACTGGCCCTTGCCCTCTCTTGAATTTGCCCTGTGCCCTGAGGTGAGCGTTGACCTCTCTCCTCTCTGACAGGGAGAACCAAGCCACCCCAGCTGCCTCAGAGGTGTGGGTGGCTTAATGAGTCAATGTTGGTGAAGTTCTTTGAAGACACAAAGTGCTCCGTAAAAGCTGGTTCCCATCTTGCTGACAAAGGCGCTCCCTGAGCTCTGGCCCTTCTGATAGAGAGTGGGCTTCTGTGGTCCTTCCTCCCTTCTTCTTTATGGATGACGTAAATAGCTCCTCTCACTTACATTCTCCATGGGTGAGAACGCATGAGGAGAGAGAGACAGGGAGGGAGAGACAGAGAGACAGAGAGAGACAGGGAAGGAGAGAGAGAGAGGGGTGTGTGGGATGTGTGTGAAGTGTGGTGTGTGTGGTGTGTATGTGGGTGTATATGTGGTGCATGTGTTGTGTGTGATGTGTGTGCTGTGTGTGATGTGTTTTGTGTAGTGTGTGGTTTGTGTAATGTGTTTGTGTGGTGTGTGCAGTGTGTGGTTTGTGTTGTGTGTTGTGTATGTGGTGTGCGCTGTGTGGTTTGTGTGGTATGTGGCATGTGTTTGTATGTGTGTGGTATGTGGTATGCATTTGTATGTGTTGTGTGTGGTATGTGTTGCATGTTGTGTGTGGTATGTGGTGTGTGTTGTGTATATTGTGTGTTGTATGTGGTGTATATTGTGTAGTTGTGATGTGTGTTGTATGTTGTGTGTGGTTTGTGGTGTGTGTTGTGTGTGGTTTGTTGTGTATGTTGTATATTGTGTGTTGTGTGGTATGTTGT